>NC_000015.10:45151874-45776874 GCF_000001405.40 Homo sapiens
GTAACGTCATTCCAGCCCTTGCTGTTCACTGAGGCGCACCGAGAGAAGTTCCAACGCAGCTGTCTCCACCAGACGGTGCAACAGTTCAAGCGCTTCATTGAGAACTACCGGCGCCACATCGGCTGCGTGGCCGTGTTCTACGCCATCGCTGGGGGGCTTTTCCTGGAGAGGGCCTACTGTGAGTGACTTTACTTACCACGAGCCCTGTCCCTAGGCTTGCAATGAGTGATCGCCCTGGGGGTGGGGCCTGCGATAAGTGCCAGCCCTGGGTAGGGTAAGTGGAGCCTGTCTGAGTGAAGACTGTGCGGGGGAGGCCTGTTGTGAGTGGCAGCCGGCCAGGGCCTACCGCCCCTAACCAGCTCTCTGTCCTCTGCACTGACCCTCGCTTGCCTGCCTGGGCCCCCTCCACAGACTACGCCTTTGCCGCACATCACACGGGCATCACAGACACCACCCGCGTGGGAATCATCCTGTCGCGGGGCACAGCAGCCAGCATCTCTTTCATGTTCTCCTACATCTTGCTCACCATGTGCCGCAACCTCATCACCTTCCTGCGAGAAACCTTCCTCAACCGCTACGTGCCCTTCGACGCCGCCGTGGACTTCCATCGCCTCATTGCCTCCACCGCCATCGTCCTCACAGGCAGGGCCTGGGTGTCCCTGGGAGGCTCTCCAGGGCCTCCCGCCCCCGCTGACTTCCCCTCGTATGAGAGCCCCCCTCTCTGCTGGCACTTACCTTTAATGTCCTTCTCCATCAGGATGGAGTTGGCCTGGGCCAGGGTGTGAAGTAAGCCCGGGAGCCTGTCGCTGGTCACTTCCAAGTGCCTCTTCCCGCACTTTCCAGGGCGCCTCACCAGCCTCAGCTGACAAGTTACTAACACCCCAGAATGAGTGTGCATAATGTGTCAATTCTCCCAATTTTTATGTTTTAAAGCATGACTCTGAGAGAAAGCAAAGGAGTGAACTTCTAATGCTGTAATTTCAGACTCACATGGTTGCGCACATGGATGGTGTGTCTGTGGGGTGTTGGGTAGGGCCAGGTGATTGTTTAGAGGTCAGAAGTCCAGGCCGGCGCGGCGGCTTATGCCCCTAATCCCAGCACTTTGGGAAGCTGAGGCGGGCGGATCACTTGAGGTCAGGAGTTCGAGACCAGCCTGGCCAACATGGTGAAACCCCGTCTCTACTAAAAATACAAAAATCAGCTGGGTGTGGTGGCACATGCCGGTAATCCCAGCTACTCAGGAGGCTGAGGCAGGAGAATTGCTTGAACCTGGGAGGCAGAGGTTGCAGTGAGCCGAGATCGCACCACTGCCCTCCAGCCTGGGTGACAGAGTGAGACTCCATCTAAAAAAAAAAAAAAAAAAAAAAAAAAGAGGTCAGAAGTCGAGACTCCTAAGGTACTTCTCTGGGACCCCCACTCTGGCCAGGGTCCTCGATCTTGGGCTGAATGAGTGAGCACCCACCCTGGGCTGCCCCAAGCTCACCACTTGGTCTGCTCTTCCTTAGTCTTACACAGTGTGGGCCATGTGGTGAATGTGTACCTGTTCTCCATCAGCCCCCTCAGCGTCCTCTCTTGCCTCTTTCCTGGCCTCTTCCATGATGATGGGTGAGTAAGTGCGAATGTGTGTGTGTGTGTGTGTGTGTGTGTGTGTGTGTGTGTGTGTGTGTGTGTGTATAATGGGGAGGATTCCTTTTGGGTGGAAAGAAATTATCTGGCTCCAGAGGAGACTGTCACCTTCTAGGTTACAGGACAGACAGTGACCAGCCTGAGCCCCTAATGCCAAGTCAGCAGGAGAGACTGGTGTCTGAGTTGGGGTGCCTCCCCTGAAGGGTCCCATCTGGAATTCCCAAAGATCTCCTCTCATTAGCTGGGCATGGTGGTGCGTGCCTGTAATCCCAGCTACTGGGGAGGCTGAGGCAGGAGAATGGCTTGAAACCAGGAGGTGGAGGTTGCAGTGAGCCAAGATCATGCCACTGCACTCCAGCCTGGGTGACAGAGCAAGACTCTGCCTCAAAAAAAAAAAAAAGAGAGAGAGATCTCCTCTCAAGGTGTCTCTTTGCTGTCCCTTCCACACAGGTCTGAGCTCCCCCAGAAGTATTACTGGTGGTTCTTCCAGACCGTACCAGGTGAGAACCCTCCTTGATCCATGAATTTCTGGACCTGACTGTGAGTTCAAGGCTCTGGGTTCTCTGCACCCCAGAGCAACCCACGTTCACTCACTCAGCTCTTCCGGTGACCCAGGCTCTGTCCTCTGGCCTGAGGACACTACTGGGTGGGCAGGAGACTTAGACTACTCTGCATTCCAGCCCTCCTCGCAGGAGCTCAACTGGGTTCCTGCCCCTACTTTGGGCTAGTTCCTTCTCTAGTAGGGTTAGGAGGAGAAATATCTCCTACTATGGACTAGTTCCAGTGGAATAGGAGTGGCTGGCTACCTCTTCCCCCAATACACACACATACCCTAACAGTAGCTTTGAGGAGTGCTGTGCCCCAGCTGCATGGGGGAAGGAGCAGGCTCTTTGTCAAGCCAGACAGAGGCGCCTACCCAGTATGCCTTGAAAGGAGCGTTTGGGGGATATTCCTAACTCCCTATAATCACCCATCTTAGAGCTATTAGCTGTGAATCTATTCAAATTCTCTTGAACCTATTTATATTTTCAGTCTGTTCCTTCCTTGGAGTAACATAATTTCTATACTGGCTCCTCTCTGTGAAACACAGCATGGTTTTTTTTTTTTTTTTAATCCTAAAATGATCTGCTTTGAACTTCAGAGGGTGCTTGCTAATTCCTGCACACTGAGATTTAGTGGATAAGGCTGTGTTTATGCTCTCCTCTCCTTTTAGGACTTTACAGGCTTTGGTTAGATCCCTTCTTAACCTTTACTTTTTTATACTTCAGGGCTCTAATCTTCTTAACTTCTGCCTCTCTTCCTTGATCACTTGAGGGAGCATTCTCTGTCCTCTCTGCCCTGCCCTGGCTCCAGTATTATCCCCCTGTATACCCATGGCCTGGATCCCCTGTGAGAGGAGGGGCCTCCCACCAACTCTGGGTTGTACTTGGGGACCCTAGTGATGAGCAGGGACAGTGTGGTCCTGGCCAGTCACTAACAGTGCCAGTGCTCATGCTGTGTGCTGTGGCAGCCAACAAAGAGTGGTGCAGGGACAAGGACCAAACCTTGACTCGATGAGAGTACAGCCTGTCATTTCCATTGTTTGGCCCAGAGGGCCCAGAGTGGACACCCTCTGCATCCATTCATTCAGCACACATTTATATAGGGCCCACGGTGTGCCAGGCCCTTGCACTAGGCACTAGGATTCAGTGGCAAACTAGCTTAGCCTGTTCCTCATTCTTGAGAACCCGAGAGTCAGGAAAGTGACAGACAAAAACCAAATAATGACATTGGTGAAAAATTGGCTGGGTGTGGTGGCTCATGCCTGTATTCCCAGCACTTTGGGAGGCCAAGGTGGGCGGATCACCTGAGGCCAGGAGTTCAAGACCAGCCTGGCCAACATGGCAGAACCCTGTCTCTACTAAAAATAAAAAAAATTAGCTGGGCATGATGGTGCATGCCTTTAGTTCCAGCTACTCAGGAGGCCGAGGCAGAAGAATCATTTGAACCTGGGAGGCAGAGGTTGCAGTGAGCCGAGATTGCACCAATGCACTCCAGGGAGCCTGGGTAACAGAGCAAGACTCCATCTCAAAAAAAAAAAAAAAAAAAATCATGGTGACAAGGGCTATGAAAAGTGAACAATGTCTGCTGAAATGAAAGGTACCTGTGATCAGTGGTGTTGGGGGAGAGGACCAGAGGAGAATGCTGGGACATTCTTACTCCAACTTGGGCAGTGGAGTGGAGAGGGGACCTTGGAAGCTCCAGAACAGTTCCCTTTCAAGGCACTGATCTTCTGCCTTCCACCCTATATTCATTTTGCAGGCCTCACGGGGGTTGTGCTGCTCCTGATCCTGGCCATCATGTATGTCTTTGCCTCCCACCACTTCCGCCGCCGCAGTTTCCGGGGCTTCTGGCTGACCCACCACCTCTACATCCTGCTCTATGTCCTGGTGAGGGCTTTTGGCTGTGAGCCAGGCCAGGAGGGTATGGGCAGGACATTTCCAGGGAGGCAAGGAGAGCTGGGACATTCATTCAATTTCTAGCTATTTGAAGCATCCTCTTCACTTCTCGACGTCCCTCTTTGAAGGTGGAGATGATAGTACAGGGCTCTCCATTAGGATGACCCCAATATGCAGCACTTGGAAGCTCGGCTCCCTGGCATGGGTTTTGCAGTAGCAGCCCTGCCAGACTGATCTCCATTCCTCGCAGACACCTCCACCCCACTTCTGCCCAGCTAGTCTTTCCCCACTTTGGGTGGCTGGTTTTGGCTCCTGGGTGGACTACCTGCACCCAAGAGAGCATCACCCTTTTTGAAGAAACTTATCTTAAATGGGTTCTGCCACTTTTGTTCTGATCCTATTTTTGGGGGCATTAGTCACACCTGCTAAGTGCCACCTGTACAGTATATAAGCTTGTTCAAAATGACTTCAGTTGGATTGTTGATCTAATGAATTTTTATTTTTTATTTTTTGAGACAGAGTCTCGCCCTGTCGCCCAGGCTGGAGTGCAATGGCATGATCTCAACTCACAGCAACCACCGCCTTCCGGGTTCAAGCAATTCTCCTGTCTCAGCCTCCTGAGTAGCTGGGACTACAGGCACGCACCACCATGCCTGGCTAATTTTTGTATCTTTAGTAGAGACAGGGTTTCACCATGTTGGCCAGGCTGGTCTCGAATTCCTGACCTCGTGATCCACCCACCTCGGCCTCCCAAAGTGCTGGGATTACAGGCGTGAGCCACCGCGCCAGGCCAATCAAATAGATTTTTAAGACTCTACCTATCCCCTTTCCTTCTCCTTAACCTTGGCTCCTGCCTCCCTCTCTCCATGTTGCCTCCCTTCTCATGTTCCCTTCACCCTCCCCTGGGTTTCTCATCGGCTGCCTAGCTGGTTAGTTCCCGAGCTGATTCTGTGTCCCTGTGTTGTGGCTCTGCTTGTCTGCCTTCCTCATGAGCAGAGGCAATTCCCTAAAGGGTACTCTGAGGGCCTCACTTAGAAGCTAAACCAAATCCCAAGGCTCCAGCTGTTCCCTGCAGCAGAACTGCATACAGGGCTCTCCTTTGTGCCGAGACAAAGAGAAACTGCACCATGGCCTCGGTCAGGTTGGCTCCTGCCATCTGACCTGCCTTCTCTCAGGTGCAGTTCTGTCCTCACTGACAGATAGGAGGGTCTGTTTCATCTTGCCTGTTGCTCAGCATTTCACAGTTCTGAAGATGACTACTTAGCCTTGGCTTAGGATGTTTCCTAGAACTGATGATATGCGTTTCCTAAGAAACATCTCTTTCTTTGGAAGCTATGACTAATTTACCCTCTCTCCTCCTCTTCCCAATAATGAGTGGAGCCCTAGCATTCTCGGCTACTGCTTCTGTTGGGGGTGGAAATGACGTTCTTGTTCCTGGTGATAAAGCAGCTACTTTGAACTAGATGAGAGATCCAGAAGAGTGGCCAGGCAGGCTCCCTAAGACCCAGAGCCCTTTCTGATTTGTCCTGGGGTGTAGGCATCACTAGGATTCCAAGCCACCCTTCCTGCCAGCAGGAAAGTCAGGGGTTCGAAAGGTGTGGCCGGGCACAGTGGCTCACATCTGTAATCCAGCACTTTGAGATGCCGAGGTGGGTGGATCACCTGAGGCCAGGAGCTCAAGACCAGCCTGGTCAACATGGCGAAACCTCGTCTCTACTAAAAATACAAAAATTAGCTGAGTGTGGTGACGCACACCTATAGTCCTAGCTACTCAGGAGGCTGAGGCATGAGAATCGCTTGAACCCAGGAGGTGAAGGTTGCAGTGAGCCGAGATCATGCCATTACACTCTACCCTGGGCAACAGATGGACAGCCTGTTTAAAAAAAAAAAAAGAAATAAAAAAGGAAAAAAGAAAGGTGGAGGCCTCTATGCTAGGCTATCCTCACCAGCAGTTTGGGACAATCTCATCTCAGGGAGATCAGGGCAAGAGCACCCTCTTTGTTCCCACTTGTCCCAGGCGTGACCACTTGACTTCAAGCAGAAAGATAAATTACAAGTAAAGGACCCCAGTATAGACTAGACCCTGGGGAAGGATGGCCAGGCTTCTGATCCAGGCAGAAGAGGGCAGGGCTAGCACATCAGAGGCTGAGCTGGCTGAGCCACCACCCCATCCCACCAGCCAACAAGGAATCTGCAGCAGCCTTGTGGTTTAAAAGGAAAGCCAGCACAAAATAGGGTGTAGAAACAGAGCAGCATGACGTCACCCTGCCATTGTACTCAGCCTGTTTGGATGCTCAGAAAGCCTTAGGGGTGGGTGTGGGCTCCACAATGAAACAGTGAACTTGGGGAAGAAAGAGCCAGTTCAAAGAAGAGCTCAGAGAGGTTTAAGTTAGTCTTGTAGGGAAAGGTTCAAGAATCTAGGAAGACTTAGCTGGGGGAAGGGAACGCCTGAATGGGGAACCAGAGTTCAGTTTAAAAGCTATCTGTTGGCCGAGTGCAGTGGCTCGCACCTGTAATCCCAGCATTTTGGGAGGCTGAGGCGGGTGGATTACCTGAGATCAGGAGTTGGAGACCAGTCTGGCCAACATGGTGAAACCCCGTCTCTACAAAAAAATTAGCCGGGAGTGGTGGCATGCGCCTCTAATCCCAGCTACTCGGGAGGCTGAGGCAGGGGAATTTTTTGAACCAGGGAGGTGGAGGTTGCATTGAGCCAAGATCACACCACTGCACTCCAGCCTGGGTGACAGCGAGACTTCCATCTCAAAAAAAAAAAAAAAAAAAAAAAAAAAAAGCAGCTATCTGTGTATCTGTGGAGGGTCTTTTATGTACTAGCTCTCTGTAGGGCCCAGCAGCAGAAGGGGAGACTCTAATCTCTTCCTTAGGAACTTAGGATTCGCTGTGACAAAAAGTGGCACATGCATGAAATGATCAAAATGAACACTTGATATAGGATTAATTGCTGAGCGGAGTGTTCCAAACAGTAAGTTATAGGAGTTCACTGAAGGGAGTTTCACTTGGGCTAAATTGGCTAGGGAAGACTTTGAGGAGAAGACTGGACTTGGGCCAAGGGTCTGGGGGAGGTAAGCTAAGCTTTGACAGGGCAGAGTGGAAACTGAAGAGCAATCCAGGTAAAAGGAAGGGCATGAGCACAGGCAGAGGTGGGAATGGTGATAGGATATTCAGGAGGCAGAGGGGACAGGGCTGGCTGCAGATGGCCATAGGGCATTAGGTGGTGGCAGGACATGCTGCTGGTGATCATGTGGCAGCTGCAGTTGAAACTGAGGGGCTGTGGCTCAGCTGAGAGGCCATGCCACATGGCGGAGCATAGAAAGAGATGAGCAGAGGGTGACAAAACCAGGCTTGGGCAACACCCATGACTGGGGGTGGCAGAAGGAATTAAGCCAGTGGAGGAGATGGAAAGCGAGTGGCCCAAAGTGGGAGAACCAGTAGAGCATTGTTGCAGAAGTGGCGAGAAGGAGGTGGTCACTAGTGCCTCAGGCTTCTAAGAGTAGGAGCCAACATGGCCTGAAAAGATATATTTTACCCATTTGTGGGGCTGCTGGGCCCTCAGTGGGAAGGTCCTAAGGAGAGGTGGACGCAGAAGTCAAACTGAGCCAGACTCAGGAGCAAGCAAGTGGGAAGAATGTGACCAAGTAGTGTCTGACCATGTTAGACAAACTTATTAGGGAAAGGACCAGAGCTGGATGATACTTGTCAGTTATTACATGGAAAAGGGAGACTAGTTAGGTATTCTTAGCCTGGAAAAGGAGAGGATAAACTGGGGAAGCGCCTTTCCCCAACAGTTACTGTGTGCCTATCATATGCCAGGCAGAAACTGCTAGGAGCTTATAATGGCAAACAGTCCCTACCCCTTCAGTCCAGTGGGGAAAACGACAGTAAACATGTAAATGAATGAGGAAGCAAAAGTACTGTTGGCCGCGCGCGGTGGCTCACACCTGTAATCTCAGCACTTTGGGAGGCCGAGGTGGGCAAATCATTCGAGGTCAGTTCGAGACCAGCCTGGCCAACATGGTGAAACCCCATCTCTACTAAAAATACAAAAATTATCTGGGTTTGGTGGCAGGTGCCTGTAATCCCAGCTACTCGGGAGGCTGAGGCAGGAGAATCTCTTGAACCTGGGAGGCGGAGGTTGCAGTGAGCTAAGATCATGCCATTGCACTCCAGCCTGGGTGACAGAATGAGACTCTGTCCCCCCAACCCCCAAAAAACAAAAGTACTGTGGATGACAACGCATGCACTAAGAGAGTTAACAGGCAGATGTGGTAGAGAGGACTGAGGGGAGGCCTGAGGAGGTGGTGTTTCTACTGAGACCTGAAAAATGAGATGGAGCTAGCCATGGGAAGAACCAGGAGAAGGGCATTCCAGGCAGGAGATGCAAAGATCCTTAAGCAGAAAGGACTGGCCGTGTTTGAGGAACAGGGAGGGGAGAACGGCTGGCAGGCAGAAGTCAAGAGTACTTGTGAGGCCTTGTAGTGCAATGGGAAGGCCACCAAAGCTTTTAAAGCTGGGGATGAACAGGATAAAATGAACTTTAAAAAGTCACACTGGCTGCCTTGAAGAGACAGGAATTACAGTGAGACAAGACCAGTAGAAGACCTACTTCCACTGGAAGGCTCCTGCATGAGTCCAGGTGACAGGTGACATCACTTGGTCTAGGGTGGTGTCAGGGATCTAGAAAATACTCTAATTCCTCATGGAATGCTATGGAGGATGGAGTTGGGAATGGTGAGGTTTTGCAACCTAGAAGGAGCATGGTACGTGGTGAGGTGGGGGCTGGATATACCAGCGGGGAAGTATGGAGGGTCTAAGGCCTGAGCTGGCCCTGTATTCTGCTATGGGCATCGCTAGGTCTGAGCAGAGCTCTTTCCTCCATCTAGCTCATCATCCATGGTAGCTTTGCCCTGATCCAGCTGCCCCGTTTCCACATCTTCTTCCTGGTCCCAGCAATCATCTATGGGGGCGACAAGCTGGTGAGCCTGAGCCGGAAGAAGGTGGAGATCAGCGTGGTGAAGGCGGAGCTGCTGCCCTCAGGTACCAGCCTGGCAGGAGATCAGCTTGGTGACACTGAGGGAGCTGACCGGGCAGAGGCAGAGTCTAGACCGCACAGTCTCCTGGTCGGGCCCAGTGGAGCTGGCAGGTGCCTTGGGTGGCAGGGACAAAGGAGCTGGTAGGGGCAAGGCGCAGTGGCTCACGCCTGTAATCCCAGCACTTTGGGAGGCCAAGGCAAGTGGATCATGAGGTCAAGAGATCGAGACCATCCTGGCCAACATGGTGAAACCCTGTCTCTACCACAAAAAAAAAATACAAAAATTAGCTGGGTGTGGTGGCATGCACCTGTAGTCCCAGCTACTCAGGAGGCTGAGGCAGGAGAATCGGTTGAACCTGGTAGGCAGAGGTTGCAGTGAGCTGAGATCGTGCCACTGCACTCCAGCCTGGCAACAGAGTGAGACTGTGTCAAAAAAAAAAAAAAAAAAAAAAAAAGGAAGGAGGGAGGGAGGGAGGGAGGAAGGAAGGAAGGAAAGGAAAGGAGGGCTGTTTGCCAGGGGACCTGAGCCTCTCTCATCGCAGAGAGCAGAGAAGCTCAGGCCAGGCTGCCCCTTGCCTGGCTGACCCTCAGCCCCAGTGCTGCCTGGGCCCCCACAGGGTGAGCTTCTGATGGGGGAGGCCTCCTTTGTCATATTCCAGAAGCAGAGCTGAGGCTGTGGGTGGGGAGCTCTCTGGAGGCCACATTGTTGCTGGGTTCAGGGCAGCAGCTTCTCACCCACCATCCCTCCCCAGGAGTGACCCACCTGCGGTTCCAGCGGCCCCAGGGCTTTGAGTACAAGTCAGGGCAGTGGGTGCGGATCGCTTGCCTGGCTCTGGGGACCACCGAGTACCACCCCTTCACACTGACCTCTGCGCCCCATGAGGACACGCTTAGCCTGCACATCCGGGCAGCAGGGCCCTGGACCACTCGCCTCAGGGAGATCTACTCAGCCCCGACGGGTGACAGATGTGCCAGATACCCAAAGGTACCAGACCCTGGCCAGACATGCCACATGCGCCCATATCCCCTTTGAAGGCTTTGGCCCGGCAGCACTAGACTCCCCGCTCTGTGCCTCCCCTCTCTGCATCTAGAGACTGGTTGTTCCAGATAATGCCACAAATCCTCCTCTTCCCCTCACTCCATATACGTATCTACCTTTCCTTTTCTCTCATTTCTGGCTTCCGATCTATGGTGGTGGCCAAGCTTAACTGAAACCCACGCCCCTCCCTACAGCTGTACCTTGATGGACCATTTGGAGAGGGCCACCAGGAGTGGCATAAGTTTGAGGTGTCAGTGTTAGTGGGAGGGGGCATTGGGGTCACCCCTTTTGCCTCCATCCTCAAAGACCTGGTCTTCAAGTCATCCGTCAGCTGCCAAGTGTTCTGTAAGAAGGTGAGTACTGCCCCCACTTCCCACCAACCCATGGCCCCTTCTTCCTTGTCATGGTACCCATCTGTGCCTTTCTCCTCTGCCTTTGTTCTTGGCTTCCCTGAACTGGGCAGGGGCAAGTTGGTTTGAAACCTGGGGTTGGGTGGTGAGTGGGGTGGTATCAGGATATCCCTAGACCCTTTAGGACAGAACTGGTTTGCGGATGCCTCCAGAATCCTGCCTGGTTTACAAAGACTCTTTCCCTCAGTTAGGGGTGCTCCACATAGGATTTGCTTCTGGGAGTTCCTCCAGGCAAGGTTGGAGGGGGTAAAGAAACCCATTCCTTCTTACAAAGGAGCCCAGCACTTGGAGCCTTATTGGGCTGGGAGAGGGAAGGGCATGTTGGGTGGAGCACAAGTGAAACTGGCTCAGCTCTCAAGAGGAACAGGAGGAGTGGTGGCAAGGCAGGGCTGGTGGGCCAGGTTGGCCCCAGGAACACAGCTCAAACCCTCAGGCCCTCACACGGGTCCTTTCACACCAGCCTGGACCTGGTGGCAGGCCCCTGCTCGTTTCTCTGGGCCTGGCAGGTGAGTCAGGGGTGCTGGAATGCAGTGGGCAGAGGCCCAGCCCATGTGCTGTCAGCATTCAGAGGGTGACAGCTCCCCTCCTGTCCTCTGCCCTCTGCTTCTTAACTATACAGCCCCGCTTTCCTCCCTCGGAAGCTGCAGAGGGCTCCCCGCAGGGCAGCTTCCACCCGCTGGTATCTCTTTGAGCCCATTCCCATCTGCTCAGGCAGCTGCTGGGTCTCCCTGAGGCTGCTCTGTGAAATGCCCTTTAGCCACTAGGTGCCTGGCAGCCTGACCAGGGACCACTGGAGGGAGCTGTAGGACAGGCTGAGCATGAAAGCTGCTTCCCACCCCACAGACCATCAGCTCCCAATCACCAAGGGATCTTTCCCATGGCCCTGGGGTCTCTCACTTCCACCTCTCTATGCCCTGGGCCAACTCCATCTCTGGCCTCAGAGCCTGGCCCCGTGGCCCATACACTCCATCTCCCCAGGCTGTCTAGGGAAGGGCACAAGCTAGCTGTGGTCAGAAGAGTTCTATCAGTATGGACACCCCTGGGGTTTAGGGAGACTGAGCTGAGATGGGTCCTGAACTCCAGCCCTGTGTCCCCAGATCTACTTCATCTGGGTGACGCGGACCCAGCGTCAGTTTGAGTGGCTGGCTGACATCATCCGAGAGGTGGAGGAGAATGACCACCAGGACCTGGTGTCTGTGCACATCTACATCACCCAGCTGGCTGAGAAGTTCGACCTCAGGACCACTATGCTGGTATGTCAGGGCCCACCAGGAGGGTATGCGGGCCACTGTCTGAGCTAGGAATTGACCCTAGCTGTGCCTGGCTGAACTTTGTTCCACCCTTCCCTACCATAGTACATCTGTGAGCGGCACTTCCAGAAGGTTCTGAACCGGAGTCTATTCACAGGCCTGCGCTCCATCACCCACTTTGGCCGTCCCCCCTTTGAGCCCTTCTTCAACTCCCTGCAGGAGGTCCACCCCCAGGTCAGTCCAACCCATAACCAGGTTCTCTTCCTCTTTATCATTTGGGGTCTGAGCAAAGCTCCCAAACCTTCCCCATCGAGGAAGAAATCGACTGCTGATGAGAACCCATCCCCTGGGAGATTGGTGGGGTAATGGAATGGAAAGGATAGGTGGGTGTCACCCTTAGGTGCTAAAGGAGGAGGCAGGCAATAGGGACTTGCCATCTCTGAAGCCAAGATGTATTGTCCAGAAGGAAGAGCTCAATCATTGAGCTAGTCCTCGCCAAAAACTCGGGGCTACCCTCACCACTACCCTCACCAATACTGAGTCAGTCCTCACCCTGGACACTGAGGGAACCTTTACCATGAGCACTGGGCTAGTCACTACTCACAAATACTGGTCTAGCCCTCCATGAGACCCTGAGCTGTTCTTCAACTTGAACACTGATTAACCCAACCTCTATTAGAAATGTTGATCTAGCACTTAGCAAAATTCCACTAGACCTATAAACACTGAGCCAGCCCTCACCATGCATAGTACAAAGCAAACCATCAGGAGCACTGCTGGCTTTTTTTTTTTTTTTAATTTAAAGAAAGGGTATTGCTCTGTTGCCCAGGCTGTAATGCAGTGATGCAATACCAGTTTACTGTAACCTCCAACTCCTGGGCACAAGCAATCCTCCTGCCTCAGCCTCCCAAGTAGCTGGGACTACAGGAGTGCACCACTATGCCTGGCTAATTAAAAATAAAAAAATTAGAGTCAGGGATGTTGCTATGTTGCCCAGGCTGGTCTTGAACTAGGGAGCTACCCCTTCCTCTGAACACTGCGTTATCCCTGCCTCTGAGCAAAGAGTTAGCCTCCACTTATTCCTCCTGCAACAGGTCCGGAAGATCGGGGTGTTTAGCTGTGGCCCCCCTGGCATGACCAAGAATGTGGAAAAGGCCTGTCAGCTCATCAACAGGCAGGACCGGACTCACTTCTCCCACCATTATGAGAACTTCTAGGCCCCTGCCCGGGGGTTCTGCCCACTGCCCAGTTGAGCAGAGGTTTGAGCCCACACCTCACCTCTGTTCTTCCTATTTCTGGCTGCCTCAGCCTTCTCTGATTTCCCACCTCCCAACCTTGTTCCAGGTGGCCATAGTCAGTCACCATGTGTGGGCTCAGGGACCCCCAGGACCAGGATGTGTCTCAGCCTGGAGAAATGGTGGGGGGGCAGTGTCTAGGGACTAGAGTGAGAAGTAGGGGAGCTACTGATTTGGGGCAAAGTGAAACCTCTGCTTCCAGACTTCAGAAACAAATCTCAGAAGACAAGCTGACCTGACAAGTACTATGTGTGTGCATGTCTGTATGTGTGTTGGGGCGGTGAGTGTAAGGATGCAGTGGGAGCATGGATGCTGGCATCTTAGAACCCTCCCTACTCCCATACCTCCTCCTCTTCTGGGCTCCCCACTGTCAGACGGGCTGGCAAATGCCTTGCAGGAGGTAGAGGCTGGACCCATGGCAAGCCATTTACAGAAACCCACTCGGCACCCCAGTCTAACACCACAACTAATTTCACCCAAGGTTTTAAGCACGTTCTTTCATCAGACCCTGGCCCAATACCTATGTATGCAATGCTCCTCAGCCCTCTTCTCCCTGCTCCAGTAGTCTCCCTTCCAAATAAATCACTTTTCTGCCTTCAGGGTTTCTTTATTCTGCCCTAGGACCGGAAGGGGCATGGGGAGAGGAAGCCACTAACCCAGCCAGCTCACCAGGCTGGCCCAGACATCTCTCAAGCTGCCCAGTGTCCTGAGTAAAGGAGCTGGCCCAAGGCAAAGTGCCCCAGCTAGCAATCCCTTCCCCGGCCCAGGGGTGCCCTTCCTGACAGAGGGCCTGTCAGCCACTAGTGTGAGGCCTGGTGAGCCTGCTCAGGAGGGGCAGAAACAGAGGGTGTGGAAGCTTCTGGAGGAGGTTGGCTGGGGAAGAGAACGGGGTCGGGGGCAGACTCAGCTGGAGTCTATAGGGAGCCAGAGCCGCCTGGCTTGTTACCAGGACCTCAGTCACTCCCAGCCCTTCTCTGAGCAAAGGGAGAGTTGGGCACCTGTGCCTACATGGCTCTTCCAGGCAGTGAGATGATAGCAGGAGACAAATGAACACATCACCCAACCTCTCTGGGCCTGTTTTCTCATCTGCAAAATGGCTGGATGCTCTCCAAGTCGACTTAAAGACAGGACAACCCTCTGAGGGAATTTCTCTGAGTGCGCCCCTTTTTTTTTTTGAGACAGAGTTTCGCTCTTGTTGCCTACGCTGGAGTGCAATGGCACGATCTTGGCTCACCGCAACCTGTCTCCCGGGTTCAAGCGATTTCTCCTGCCTCAGCCTCCCGAGTAGCTGGGATTACAGGCACGCACCACCACGCCCGGCTAATTTTGTATTTTTAGTAGAGACGGTATTTCTCCATGTTGGTTAGGCTGGTCTCGAACTCCCGACCTGAGGTGATCTGCCCGCCTCGGCCTCCCAAAGTGCTGGGATTACAGGCGTGAGCCACCGCGCCCGGCAAGAGAGTGCCCAATTTTAAGTGATCCTTCCTATTGCTTCCACAAAACGCCTGCATACCACATATCCTCAATTTCGAGAAAATAGCCACTGGTTTAGAAACTCTCAAGTACTGTGATTCACAGCACACTTTGGAGGTTGCACGTTTAGGTTCTGGAAGAGGCCCTCAGACGGCCCTTTGGCTCAGCGGTCCCCCGAAGGTGCCTGTCCAGCATGTCGAGGGGTCCTGACCAGCCTGCCCGCGGGGTGGGGCGGGCCTGGGGCAGCCTGAGAGCCGCTCCGCCTGGCGACCCAGTGGGCCTCCCCGGGCCCGCCCAGAGGCCTGGGCGGGTTCCAGCGGTGGGCGCCGGTCGGGGTGCGGCCTAGGCCGCGGGCCGGTGGTTAGGGGCTCGCAGGCCGGCCACGCCCGAGGGTCTGCCCGGGACAAACCCTTCCGTTAGGGCGCGAGGGAGGCGCTGCAGGCCCTCAGTTCCTCGGCCAAGGAGACAAGCGCGGCCCCCGCGGCCCGTCCCGCCAGCCTTCCCGCCTCCGCCGGCGCGCGGCTTCCGCGTGGCAGGCCGCCCCGCTCCCCGGCCTGGCGCGCTGCCTCTTTGTCTCTCCGCGCCTCCCCTCCTCCCAGACAAATGGCTGTTGGCAGGAAATTGGACGCGCTCGGGGGAAGCCGCGCGCCGCGGGGAGGGGGCGCCGCGCGGCCAGCGGGCCTCGGGTGCCCCCAGCCGGGGCGGGGGCGGCGGGGATGTTTTGACATCTCGTCAAAGAAAGGAACTTGATGCTTCGAAAGTGCTTTTCACAGCCGGGCTGTGTCTGCTCCAGAGCTGATTTATACGCAGAATCTGCGCTCGCTTCTCCGCTCCCTCCCCCGTCAGCCCGGGGACGGCGCCGGAGGCGCGGGCGCGGCTGTGCCCGGCAGGATCGGGTTTATTTATTGCCTCTGGCCCGGAGCCGGGGCGGCCTGGGGACTGCACAGTTCCCTCTGCCCGAGCCCCTCCCCTTCTCTCCCCACCCCCCAAAGCCGGCTGCTTCCCAGGGGCCTGTCTTCCCCAAACCTCTTACCAGACTCTGGGCGGAGCCCTCCGACGGTCTGGGGTGGAAGTCGGGGACGGAGGCAGAGAGGTGGTAAGGCGCCCCAAGGGGCCGAATTCTGCACTACCTCGCACGGACCCAGTGGGGAGAGGGTGGTGGTGGTGGAGGTCACCACCTCTGCCCTAAGGTCGGAAAGGAGCCGGAGCTGCCAGTCTGAAACTCCCTACCATCCCAGTAGCTCTGGAACCCCCTTCCTCCAGGGGCTATCCTTTCTCTCCAGGGATTCCTCTTTCCCCAGCTCCAGACAACCCCTTACTCCAAGGCCCCAGGAGCCCTTTCCCTTTAGAATAAATTAAGGAATCTCCAGCTTCTACTGGATCCCAGGAGAAGAAAGGTTTGAAAGATCACGTCCCTGGCAAGAGCCACAGCCCTCAGCCAGGTGATGGGCACAGGGCTGGGTACAGGTCTATCACAGTGCCCTGGCTTCACATCTAAAGAGTCCGGATGGCCACAGGGTAGAGCAGGGACATGTGTTCGGCTCCCTTAATGGGTAGCTTGCGGCTGGCATAGTGGTGCACAATTTCAGGGACGCTGCTGAAGGGCGGGCTGTTCTGGCCCAGCACATATTTGTGTTCCTTGGTTCGGGACAGCTTCATGTGCATGAATCCCTGGCTGCTCCTGGGAAGAGGAGAGGAGACTTTGGTGAGTGGGGGCTCTCCTCAGCCCCCTCATCCATCCACCCAGTAACCCTCCCCAACCCTACAGCAAATGTGGTGGTTCCGAAGCCAGCTGAGAATGACAGGTGATTAGGGGAGGTGGAGGTCAGTCCAGAAAGCAGGGGTGGTGGTGGTGTAAGTAGGTAGCACTGGGCATTGGCTTTGTGGTAAGGCCACTGGTTGTGCCAAGAATGTGTGTATAGGGAGCATACAGGGTGTGTGCAGGTGGAAACTGAGCGACCAGCACCTCCCCCGACCCCTGCTGGCCAACCCTGGGGTCCAGGCACCCCGGCCCTCCAGCCTCTGTGGCCAGGGCCAGTTTAACCTCACCTTTCTTGAGCTCTTTGGTAGGACACCCGTGAGGGGCTCCTGGTGACTCATGTGGAACCACATATGCCCTTGGCAGGAGGGTGGACAGATGTGACAACCAAGCTAGTCTTCATTGGGGCTCTCCCTTCTAATGACTAGGGGGAAGGGGGAAGCTGATCTGGAAGACCCCCCAAAATCTGGGAGTGCTCAGCTGCCTCCTCCTGGGGATATCCCTTCACTCTCTTGCTTTCTGGGTCTTGGACCAAGCCCCTAGCTCATTTATCCGGCCCTTCAGCCTACAATGACTTCACTCCCTTGCTCAGAGGAGACATGCTCCTGCCTCTGCCATCTCCCTGCCACAGCCAGGAAATCAGCATTAGTGCCTGGCCCCGCCCTCAAGACAAGGACCCCACTGCTCAGAGCTCTGGCTAGCTCCTAAATGTCCAGGGACCCTCGGCCCATGAGAGGGCATGGGAGTGAGACCTCCAAGAACCTTTGTCTAAACCACCACAGGCTTGGTCTGTCAGGCCTCAGGTCTGAAACTCAAGCACAGGCAAGGGGTGAGGAATGTTTTGGGGAGCCCTGAAGCCTAAGTGTTATATACTGCTGGCCAGAGCCTACTTGGGGACAAGGACGGGGCTTAGAGGTTAGTGTGGAAAGCAGAACCAGTGAGGGAGCTGCCTCCATCCTGAGGTCCACCCCCCGGAGAAGTGAGGCTGGCAATCCTTATCACTTGCCTCCCCTGACTGGGTACAAGGCTCTGCCCGGACCCATTTCACCAGGCCCACAAGCGAGAAATCAGAGTGGGGAGGCTGAAGGGAGGTGACAGATGGGAGGAAAAACGGAGGCCCCAAACTCTATCCCTCTGCCTCCCCAGGCATGGAGTCCTCAGGAGCCTAGCAGACTGCTAGGAAAAGGCCTGAGGCCCCAGGGCTGGGAGTCAGGGTGCAGGGTGGCCGGGGCCATCTGTAGGTCTGAGATAACTAGGGCTGACAGCACAGGCCCTTGGGGAAAGGAGCCAAGGGCCTGAGGCAAACAGCCCCTGTGGGTGGTGGAGAGGGGAGGCAGTGTCCCCTGTCAGGCTCAAGGCTGTGGGCAGCAGCATGGGCCCTGCTTTCCTTCACCTCTTCTCAGTTTGGGGCTGACCCCTTCTCCCTTAGTCCACCTGGGGAATTGTCTCTCCTAAAAGCTGCACATTGTATCTTCTCAAAAGACAGATCTGGCTAAGAAGGACAAGTGGCCAGAGAGCTCAGCCGCCATCTGGATAACCAACCTCCTGCAGAGGGGATGGCTGTGCTTTCCCACCTCCTGGGACAAAGTCCCAAGGGTCCATTAGGACACAGCAAAGCCCTTGCCAGACCCTCAGGGTACTGGGGTTAGGACCAGCTGGGCTGCAGGACCAGGCTGGCAAGCCTTTTTGAGGAAGTTGTTTAATTACCAGTGAAAGCTCTTCCATTAGTGAGAGAAGAGAAACCATAATTCTATTTCAGAGAAGCCATTTATATGCAAACGAGGCTCTGGCAGACAGATGCGGAGCCAGGTCAGCCAGGGTGGGAGCAGGTCTCCAGGCCTGCCTTGCCATTTTACCTCCCAGGCTAAGGCAGGCTGGCAGGGCTCCACTTTGGGAGCCAGACCCCTGGCATCTCCCCTTACCTTGGCCTGTACCAAACAATAATATGGCACTGGTGGAGCCCTGGAATACCATAGTTTGTGGAGTCAGACAGAGCTGGGTTCAAATCCTGGTTTGGGGACTTTATTACCGGGTGGCCTTGGGCAAGTAACAAACCTCTTTGAATTTATTTTCTGTCTATAAAAAAGAGATCTATCTTGCAGGGGAGTAGTTGGTTTAGAAATGGTATACAGGCTGCTTGGTATGCTCCATGAACTTTATAATTTTTAAAGCAATACACATTTCTGAGGTTATGTAAATCAAATTTTTGACAAAAACTTTTCTGGGAAATGCTTCTTTGATTTTACAATTCAGACTCCTAGAGTATGACAGCTGGAAAAAAAGCGATAATCTATCAACTCATTTGGCAAAGGTAGAAACCGAGGCTCGGAGATATTAAGTGATTTCCCTAGGATCACATAGCTAGTGTATCAAATCCAAGAATAGAACTCAGGTTACCTGACTATAGTCCGGCACTTTTTCTATTATCTTTTTCTTTTTTTTTTTTTTTTTTTTCTGAGACAGAGTCTTGCTGTTGTTGGCCTGGGCTGGAGTGCAATGGCGCAATATCGGCTCACTGCAACCTCCGCCTCCTGGGTTCAAGCGATTTTCCTGCCTCAGCCTCCCGAGTAGCTGGCATTACCAGTGCTCACCATCACACCCAACTAATTTTTGTATTTTTAGTAGAGACGGGGTTTCACCATGTTGGTCAGGTTGGTCTCGAACTCCTGACTTCAGGTGATCCACCTGCCACGGCCTTTGAAAGTGCTGGGATTACAGATGTGAGCCAACACACCCACCACTTTTTCTATTATCTTTGAGGGAAGTTGAATAATTATCCCCCAAATATGTCTTGTTTAGCAGCCCCAAGTTCCCATAGATTGGATTTGTCTGAATGGGAGGGTATATCTGTACTCTGATGGTCCCAGAGAATGTGGTAGAAAGTGGTGCAGGTGTCCTACTAGTGATGGTGGGGGGCAAATGAACATACCACCCCACTGGCTTCCTAACGGGGTGCAGGGTCTACCAGGCAGAACTCCTGGTTGCCCAGGGCAGGGCTGGCCATGCTACCAGGGAGTCTGGGAGGCTGATCTGCTGCTCCTGGGAGGAAAGCCTGATGGGGAGGGAGGGCCTTGCCTCCTCTACGTCTTCCAGGACCCAAAAGCTCAGACACCCCCCATCCCCGAACACACACACAGACACACACACTCTTCCTCAGAGTAAACAGAAATACTTTGTGTCCACTGCCCTGCCCTCCTTCCAGGAACCAGCCCCCCCCAACACCCTACAGACTCCCTCACGCAAAGCTCCTATCTCCTTGCCTATGCTTCTAGAACATCTTGGGCTTCCATTAATAATGACAGTGATAATTTATTGAGCCCTTAGCACTATGCTAAGCACTTCCCATGCATTATTTCACCTAATCCTTCCCTATATTATCCCCCATCCATTTCATTAGTAAGGAAACTGAGGCCTAGAGAGGTTAAGGGGGCCAGGCCACACAACTAGAACAGAACCCTTCTGAGCTGGATGCTGCGGATCAACTATTTCTCCCAATGGACTCTGAGCTCCTTGAGAGCAGGGGCTGAGTCTCAGACATCTCAGGACCCCCAGTGCCTGGGGATTGTTCATGGGGGATGGGGACCTCCCCAGCTTGGTTGGGCATAAGGGGAATACTGGAGTCCCCTTCCACCCTGCTTGCTGTCCCTGAAACCACAACTGTCCCCACTCACTTGAGGGAGAGGGAGAAGTCATTCTTGCTGGTCTCACTGTTGCGCACCAGGTAGCTGGCCTCTTTGCACAGCCGGAGCAGGTTCTCGGCGTCGGTTCGGCTGATGGCCCCGTGATACCAGCTAAGGATGAGAGAGAGGAAGGGGGGCATCTCTGCTGGGTCCCTCGCTGTCCAGGCCCACCCATTGTGGGTGTCCCCTGTAGGGAAGCCAGTGCCAGGAGGGGAGGAGTGGGGAGGGAGTCCCCAGCTGGACACAGACACTCACACCTGGTTTTCCAGAGGCAGTGCTGGATCTGTCCACTCCCCCAGGGGGCTGCTGGGCTCCATGCTTAGGGGTTTGGCTGACTTGGGGTTCCCTGCAGAGAGTCGGGGAGGTAGCCGCCCCTTCTCCTCCCGGCCAGGTGACAGGCAGCTCTTCTCCGGTCCTTCAAACTGGGCTGTGGGGAACATATCAATCATGGACTCTAAGGACCCTAGAGGTCCTCAGAGGTCCCTATTGAATAGCCAGTGCCCAACCCCTACTTCTTCCAGCCCCAGAAAGGATCAAAGGAATGCTCTAGGAGGGCAGCCCATGCTGAAGGGCCTGACTGGCTCTGGGGACGTAATCCTGGATCTATCCCCTGGTGGGGGTGGGCCCAGCCTTCTGTGCCACACAGGGTGTTGCAGTCCCCACATTGTGGGAGGAGAGAGCAGAGGAGCAACCTGAGAAACCATGCACGCTTCTCCCTCCAAAGCAGCTGACTGCCTTCCCCCAGTCCATCCTCTCAGGGTGGCTTCAGCACTGATAATATTGTTTCTTTCTCCTCCTCAGAGTTCATTACCGTTCTCCAAATCACCCTGCCAAGCCATTCTGTAGAAATGACTTATCGATCTGAGAACAATTATCTGGTTCCCCTTGGTGCCATCCTGACAGGCTAATCCCGCCCAAAGCCACCAGCCAGCCTGTCCCTCCCCGACCCCCAACGTTGCTGCCCACTGGCTCCCCTCCCCAACCCACAGAGGCCCAGAGGCAGCACCTCTGCCCTCCCAGACCAGGGGAGCCTGATGGCTGAGCCCATAAGGGAAGGCTGAGCCCCCGTGGGTCCCCAGGCACACATGCGCACGTGCACGTACGGACAGACACCCTCCTTCATCCCATATTTTAAAATACAACATTCAGGCACAAATGTACGAACAGATGCTCATGCCTCTGCACACACACCCTTGGGTGCCCATTCTGGGCAGAACTGAACATAGAGGAAGAATTAAGTGCGTTCTTTCTCCTCATTTGGGCTCTTTTTCTCTCCTTGTAGCACTTTGAAGCCCTTACTCTCTTTCAGTCACCAGATGCAAGGTCAGATCTGCTCCTCTGCGCCAAGGAGTTCCACACTTGCTGTGTCTGTCCCACCCCCAGCTCAGGAGTATTTGCATTGCTGAAGGAGCTTGTCAAGCAAAGCTCTCCCCAAAGTGAATTTAAAATGGTGGATTTTTGTAGCATGGTGAGGAACACATTAGAAAGGGGCCTCCCTGTAGAAGACACCATCCCACAGCTGTGGGGAAGGGAGGAACGTGCATTTTGTCTCTTCCTTCTTCCCAAATGAGATTCTTCCTGGGGTCTCCAAATCCTGCCCCACCTCTCAGCTCCTCCAACCCAACCCACAGGGCCTGGAGGGGTGAGGACATGTCACCCTGGCCAGAAGCCCCCCAGGACCCACCGCTGCTGTCCTCCAGGCTGGGCTCAGGGAGGGGCGAGGCTGGACCGGAGATGTCCCTGTCCCCATCAGGCAGGGAGGGGCTGCTGTCCAGCTGTCCCACAGGTGGAGGCCAAGGTAGGTCTTTGATGACCTTAATGTCAACTGGAGCCAGCAGCAGAAGTGAGAAGAGAGACAGACAGTGACAGAGACAGAAAGAGGTAGAGGTTGAGACACCAAAACCCAGAGCCAGGACACAGGACAGCCTAGAAATGAGGAGGGGCAGAGGCAGAGGCAGAGGCAGGTCAGCTTTTGGGGAGGCACTCAAGGGCTGGGCAGAGCCAACGTTGACCACACCAGGTTGGCCTGGTCAGAGGGAGGGAGGCTTGGGTGGCAAGCAGCAGGATGCAGGGGCTTGCACTGTCAGCCCGTGGGTCCCCTTCATTTGACCTCTCACAAGCCTCCAGGGCCCAAAGGTACCAGGAACAAAGGAAATGAAGGACTAAGAGTGACCAGCACCTCCCAACACCACATCTGGGTTCCCATAGCCTCCTGGCACCCACAGCCTTGCCTCCCTTTCTCCTTTTCCCCACAGCCTGGGAACTCGCAGGCAGCAAGAAAGAGCCAGCCTCGCCTCAGGTTGTCAGGATTACTCAGACTTGAGGGCAGATGTTTTATTGAAATTTAATCCCCACCCCCCATCCTGAGAAGAGTGATGCCACTGGCGGCTGCTGGACTGCTAACGAGGTTTCCTAATGACGAGCATAGATTTTCCCATTAAGCAATCCAAACAGTATTGATTCTCCAAGGAGACTTCTGGAGATAAACGGCCCATCCTCAATGGTGTGTGCTTTACAGGAAGAATATTAGAATCCTGTGGTTTTCCAGTCTGGCTGTCAGGGTGGGGAGGGCAGAGGAGGGCTGGGTCCAGCTCCAGGATGAGCCCCTTGCCCAAGCAGGGGAGAGGGGCATATGCAGGCAGGAGTGAAGTCGAATGGCATTTGAGCCCTTTATGTTCTCCCTGAATCAAGGACCCAGGAGCAAAAGCCCTCTCCCTACTCCAGGCTCTTGCTCCACCCACCTCAGACCACTAACATGAACTTTTCCATGGTGGACTTGGACTTGGGATGGACAGAAGAAACCTGATCTTCATTTGGCAATCAAGAGATTTCTCACAGCCTCACTCTGCTCCTCAGAAATCTCCTTGGGGCCAGACACCCCTGGTCCGCCAGGGCCTACCACTGGGAGGCAGAGCCCTAGAATTCAGGTTACACCCATAGCTGTCTTTATTGTTTGAAGTAAGTGCCTTCTTTTGTTAAATGTAAGTATTTTAACATATGTCACGAGTTTCATAAGTTTGTTTTGGAATTTATTTTTAAATATACCCAGTCCCCAAAAGAGAGAAGTAGTCTAAGCCTCTTAGCTTCCAAGAGGTGGTGATGCAGGGGAATGCCTTCATCCTTCTCCTGTACCCATTCCTTGACCCTGCACACAGCGCTGTGTCCACACTGCCAACCCCACCCCCTATGGTACAGAACTCAACTACATTTCCCTGGAGTCCTGATCCTGGGCCTCTCTGGGTTCCTGGGGTCCACTCCTTCCATTCTCTTGAGCCTGGAAAGCTGCTCAGAGGCCCCAGCTGACCTGCCCTCTCCACCAGGACTCACCTGCAAAGGCTTTGGAAATCCGCTCCTTCTTCCACTCCCAGGGCTGGTCATACTCCTCAGGGGGCCTCTCATCATCCTCTGGCAGGCGGGACTCCCGGGGCCAGGGGGCCCCCTCACCTTCCGCGGTGGCCCCATCCTCCTCTGGCTCATAGGGTGTGTCATACAGAGGCAAGGGCTGAGTTGCTGTCTCCTTGGAGCCCCGGATCTCTGCCGGAGCAGGGCAGGAAGGGAAAGGTGAGGGTTCAGCCTTGGCTTTCTGGCTCCCCTCCTCCAATGCTTCTCAGCAACAAGCCAGGCCTCCTTCAGAGGAGATGCCCTGGCTCTGGGGGGAGCTCAGCAACCACACATCCTGGGTTCCTCACCCTCAAAACACTTCTGGGTCTCTAAAAGCAAGGGAGCCAATGAAGGCAAGGGCAGGTGGGCACTAGAGTAAAAGACAGGAAAAGGATCCTGCAACAGCCAGCGAGGGCTGGGTAGCTAAAATTTATGAGTTTAGGAAACTGAGGCACAACCCTCCCGTTGTCCACTTCCTCCCTGATGCCAAGCTCCATTTGTTTCCTTCTGTCCCAAATGATATCATTCCTTTTTTCTTTTTCTTTTCTTTTTTTTTTTTTTTTTGAGACGGAATCTTGCTCTCTCACCCAGGCTGGAGTGCAATGGCACGATCTCGGCTCACTACAACCTCCGCCTCCCCGGTTCAAGCGATTCTCCCACCTCAGCCTCCTGAGTAGCTGGGATTACAGACATCCGCCATCATGCCCGGCTAATTTTTGTATTTTTGTAGAGATGGGGGGTTTCACCATGTTGGCCAGGCTGGTCTCAAACTCCTGACCTCAGGTGATCTGCCTGCCTCGGCCTTCCAAAGTGCTGGGATTACAGGCATTAGCCACCACACCCAGCCCGCAAGTGATATCATTTGACAATCACAGAATTATTCTTTGCTGCCCAGACACTGTGGACCACCCGCTCCTTGAAACTTTCCCTTCGACAAGTTACGTTCATCATCATAAAGACCTTTCACTTTGACATTCCATGGTTTCAAACTCATCACCTTCTCTAAAGCTAATTGGTTCTCTTTTTGGGATCACTGACCCAGCCCTCACCATTATTTTGTCCTTCCTGACTATCTCGAATGCTAATATCTGACCTTCAGTTGTGTGGCCTCCTGTACCACTTCAGGTCACACAAGTCACATCTGCTTCTCCAAAATGACTATTGGAAAGGCAGTGACCATCCTCCCCACGGACCCGGCAAAGACTTTCTTTCTGATCACCCCCATTTGGCCTCTCCCTAGATCCTCTCTTGGCCTCTCTTTCCCAAGACTAGGTCTTATGCATTTTTCCCTATCCTAATTCCTTGAACTGTATGCCCAGCCTCATGGCACTTGCTGCATCTGTATTTCCAGTCATTTGGGTCCATTGCCATAAAGACCTTTCGCTTTGACATACCATTGTTTCAAACTGACCACCTTCTCCAAAGCTAGTAGTTCTTTTATTGGGATCACTGACCCCAGTGAAAATATGATAAAAGCTATGGAGCTACTCCCCCAAAAAATGTGCTCCCATATTTTCACATATAATTTCAGGGCATTCATGGGGGCTTCCTGGGTTCCACACCCTCTGACCTAAATGGGGTAGTCAGCTTCTCACTTTCTCCATTTCTGTCTACTACACTGTTCTCCTTGGACCTGGCCCTCCTTCATTCTTCAAATCCCATCTGTTCTTTGCCAATACCCAGTGACCTTCACCCTCATCTTTCCGTATATAGATTACTGCTAGGGTGAACCTCCATTCTGCAGGCTTGTGTTTCCAAGAGCTCCATGGAATAATAGTCCTGGGATATTCTTGACCACTCTCTGCCTCCCTTACCACCTCTCCCAAGTAGGAAGAGCAGTTTATTGTATTGGTCAGTGAATGCACACTCTCTTTTCCTGAAGAGAAAGAACATTCTGGTTCATGCAGTCAGTGGCCTGCTCCTGTGCTGTCTTTGACCCAGAGCCCCAGGTACCCAAGGGCAGGCTCTGAGCTTGGATGGGGACAAGCTCTGGCTCTTCTTTTGCAGGGTTCCCCCACTAGGCCTACTGAGTTGCCCAAGCCTGATTGGGCAAGTTTAATTCTGTGGTGAAGTATTAAGAAGCCCATTGTGATGACACATAAGCCCATTGCAGTGAACATAAGTAATGTTCTCTAATCAACTTTATCAGTAATAAAGCTGACATTTTCATCCTGTTCCTCTCTTGCTCAAGAATTCATCATGGCTCCACTCCCCATTTTGAAGCAAGTCCAGATACCTCATTCCAGCCTATGAAGCACTGCTCCGCCCCTCTCGGACTCTCTCATCTAGGTTCCCATGCACACCCAGCACTAACATCATTTGCTCCTGAACAAACTTCCTCTCACCCTGCCTCAGGGCCGTGGCTTGGACAGACCCACCCTGTCCTCTCTGATCTCCCCTATTTGATCTCTTTCCCCTGGACTGTCTCTCAGCCTCTGTTCCCAAGACCAGATCTTACTCTTTTCTCTCTAGCCTCACTCTTTGGACTACTTGCCCAGGCTCATGGCACCCACTGTAACTGTATTTCTAGTCATCTTTCTCCAACTGCCATGAAGATGTTTCATTTCAAACTCATCCCCCCTCCCAAGGCTAGTGGTTCTCTTTTTGGGATCACTGATCCTCCCAGCCCTCACCACTCTTTTCCTTCCTATCTTGAATACTTCTATCTGAACTTCAGTTGTGTGGCCTCCTATACCACTTCAGGTCTCACAGGTCACAGCTGCTTCTCCAAAATGACTCTGAAAGGCAATGACCATCCTCCCTAAGGACCTGGAAAAGACTTTCTCCATATTTTCCAGGGACCAAAGAATCAGTCCTTAGACTTGTGAGTCGCAAAGCCTGTTCTGCAGAGCCCAGGCCTCAGGGAGCACCTCCCCTGCCCCTGTCACTCACCGGCCATCATCTTTTGAGCCTCATAGGGCTCCATGTAGCCATCATTTTCAGGGACCTTCTCTGGGGCTCCTGAAGCTCCTGCTGAGCCTTCGCCAGTCTCCTGAACATCAAACGGGTCCGCATAGTCTTCTAGGATAGCTAGCTGTGGGAGGAGAGTGAAGAGAGTGGGCTTCAGGGAGCAGAGAGGCAACTCTGCTTCTCCCAAGGTACTCTGTCCATGGGAGCAAGAGTCCCAAGTAGGCTGCCTTCGACCCAGACCCCCAGGTACTCAAAGGAAGGCTCTGAGCTTGGATGGGGACAAGCTCTGGCTCTTCCTTTGCAGGGCTCCCCTACTAGGCTGCCAACCAAGTGGTACCTCTTTCCTTCTTTCTTTTTTTTTTTTTTTTTTGAGACAGAGTCTCACTCTGTCACCCAGGCTGGAGTGCAGTGGCGTGATCTCGGCTCACTGCAACTTCCATCTACCGGGTTCACACCATTCTCCTGCCTCAGCCTCCCGAGTAGCTGGGACTACAGGCACGCACCACCAAGCCCAGCTAATTTTTGTGTTTTTAGTAGAGATGGGGTTTCACCATGTTGGCTAGGATGGTCTCAATCTCTTGACCTTGTGATCTGCCCGCCTTGGCCTCCCAAAGTGCTGGGATTACAGGCGTGAGCCACCGCGCCCGGCCCCAAGTGGTACATCTTTTCCACTAATTTTGTGCCTCTAGGCCATCTCCTAGGCTAAATGGCCAGGAGGAGGCTACTGGGCCATAGGGCCTGCCTCAAGTCAGGGTCCAAGCAGGACCATAGCTTACACCAGGTGGTTCAACAAAGGGAATTACTTCAGAGAAACAGTTACAAAGGTGTTGGAAGAGTTCAAAGAGCAAGCAAAGAATAGTGAGACAACTCAGAGATTAGCATGGTCCATGCCTACAAGGGCGCTTCCAGATGGTGAACAAATAAACAGCTGCTGAGCATCAAGGAAGGGAAGACTGAGTAGTCACTTTTTCAGTTCTGCTGACGGATCCTCACAACATCCCTGTCATGTGGGTATTACTGTCCCCATTTTAAGAAGTCAGAGGCTCAAGGAAGTTAGGGAACATGTCCAGGACCATTCTACGTAAGTGGAGGAACCAGGTGATTGGAACCCATGCCCTTTGTGCAAAAGGCTGCCAACCTGCCACCAGGGGGCATCTTGGCTGTCCTGGGAGAGAGAATGCTGGAGCCGGCTTTGGGACAGACCTGAAGTTGTGCTGAAGTCCCTGTGGCTCCTGGAGGGCAGGGACAGGAAAGGCTTCACTTTGGCCCTTCACTTCCTACGCTGCCCCTTTCTCCCACACAAGTGGGCTCACGGCCACTCCTCTATGCCTGCTGCCATTCATCGCACAGTGAACTGCAAACCACACACTCCGAAGAGGCACTCAAGGTGCTCAGGGCGGGGCGCAGCTGAGGACAATAGAACCTTTCTCCAAGCTGGGCTTGGGCTTCTCCTGATGGGGCGCTGGCTGAGGCAGAGACTGAGCCCGGTTCACCCAGGGCTGCCAGCACCCCAGGAGCACTGCACCACTGGGTTGACAGGCGATGACAGGAGGTGGCTCCAGGGCCTGCAGCATGGGGAGAGGCCACTCTTGCCTTTCCCTAAATCTCAGTCTAGGCTTTGATTCTGAGCCAGACCAGGGCTGTAGGAGCCAGCTGGGCTGGGAGGCCGTGGGGTGACTGGCCTGCTCTGGGTTAGAGCAACTGGGAATGGTGACCCCTAGCAAGGCAGAGATGAAGAAAGGAACCTCTTCACCTCGGAGACCCCTTCTGCATGTTCCTTCCACCTTGCTATTCCCTCTGAGGTACCTCCCAATGGCTCCTACTGTCTCATCTGGGGTCTTCAGCTCCCACCTTGTTCTATTCATGCCCTCAGCTCCTTTACAACCTCCTTTGCGTCTCTGCCTGCTTGTGGGATAACCACCATCTCAGATCATCCAATTACCACCACTGGACTATTCATATCTGGAGCTCTTTGTTGTTTTTGTCTTTCCAGCTCCAGTAAGCACCTGGCATACAGTAGGCACTAGACAAATGTTTCTCCTTGATCATCGCCTATCTCCCCTTGGAGCCCTTCACCCCTAGTCCTCCTTCTGCCAGGAAGTAGAGAAAATAAATCCACTCACCCCTACCCGCCCAAGCTGCTTCCTCCCAGGCCAACTGGCACCCACAGCCCCACCCCTTGACCAAGGCGGCTCTGTGGTCAGCCCACCTTCGGTGATTCTGTCAGTCGGCAGCCAGCATCACACTCTTGTGGCAGCTGCTTAACAGTGTCTGACTCAACCAACACGTTATCCATAAACCTTGCGATGGCTCTCCAGTGCTTCAGGAAAAAGTCTGCAGTTGAAGAGATTTGAAAGCTTCCACTTTCCTCTTTAGTTTCTCTCTACTCACCTTGGATCACTTTGTTACCAGAAAGCTGCATGTTCTTTCTACTTCAAAGGCTTTCCCTCTGCCTGGATCACTTTCCCCTTCCTCCTCAAGAGCTAACTCTTATAGATTATTTCTTCAGAAAGCCTTTCCATACACCTCCCAGGCCTGTTAGGTGTCTCTGTGCTGGGCTATTATCACACTGCATGGTAAATGTTTGTTTTGTTCCATGTCTTCCTGCAGACTGTGAGCTTCCTGAGGGCAGGAACCATGTTTACTTTCAAATTCCTGACAGTGTTAACTCCATTCACATAAAACAGGAAGAATGGACAAAGGAAGTACTTTTCCTTGTTCATTCAGGAGAGGAAGCACAAATCTGGATTGGGTGGGATCATATGAGGGGACAGTCTTTCCAAGTGAAGCTGTGTCACCAGAAGCTGCTTGGTCAGCAGAGGTGCCTGATCCAACCCCCGATAGTCTCCCCACCCCTAATCCTCCACTCCATAGAGCCCCTTCGGCCTCTCCCTCACCAAGCCTGCAGGCAGCACCCTTCTTACCCAAGTCCTGGGCCCATGCCCAGAGCTGCGACCCCTCCGAGGCTGGCGTGGGCCTCCTCAGCTCTAGCCTGCAGTGCCCATGGGCACCCAGGTGGCAACTCTGTGGGCAGCTCAATGGCTCCTCTGTTCCATTCCTGGCTCCACACCCAGCTCCAGGAAGCCCCGGCCCCACGCCCTGGGCTGGGATGCCCAAAGGAGCCGCCCACAGGGCTGGGAGTTGGGAGCAGCAGCAGAGATGCCAGTTGGGAAGGATGGCAGGACAGGCACCCACCCTGGGCATAGAAGTTCCTGGGCAGAACCCAGGCCTGCTTTCCTGTGGCTTCTAGGTCCCCAGGATAGACTGCTTAGTGGAGGAAGCTGCTCCTATAGGCTTCCGACCCCTTTGACCTACCCTAATTTGTTATTTTGTTTATGGTCCCTTTGCCCCACTCTGATGTGCTCACTACTGTATCCTGCATCAATCTCAGGGCTGGCACACAGTAGGTACTCAATGTATACTAAGGGACGCTCAACAGGCGTCCTCTCCAGACTCCATCCTCTGGAGTGACATCACCTTTCAGATCCCCATTCACCTTGACCTCTAATGGCTGCAGGATCAGGCTCTCAGCAGATCTACATCTGAATAGAAATCAAAGACTCTGGCGCAAAGGCCAAAGGGAGGAATTGTCCGCAAAGGACCTTTGGGGAAGACACCTAAAACCACGGCGGAGGGGTGAAATTAAAGACTTTCAAAACTTAAAAATAAATAAATAAATAAAAAATAAAACCACGGCTGGTATTTAGGCACATTCTCTGATATAGCCAGAATGCTGCTGAAATGCTGAAAGATTTCCAAACTAGTAAAGTAGCTACTACCCAGAGGATCCCATCCCTCTCCTTCCTGCCACCCAGCAGGGTGCCTCCAGGACTCTGCTATATTGTGTCTGTTCCAATTGGGCATTACCCCTCCCAGAGCAGCTGTCATACTTTGAATCTCCTTCCTGCTCAAGCCTCTCCTGTGGTAGCTAGCAGGCCTGCCATCTGGTTCCTCTTCCACTCTGCAATTGGGCCATGCAACACATCCCTGACCCCCACCACGGGGCTCCAGAGGGTGTGGATCCAGGAGGAGCAAGAGGGGCACACGTTACAATGTGTGCCTTGCTCTGGAAGGTCCCCAAAGTCTCCCACTGCCCCTTTCCTCTGTTTCTTTAGTTTACATTGAGTGTCTGGAAACCTCTTTTTATGTGTAGACCTCTGTCTTTTTATCTGTAGAAAAAGGATGGTAATAGTACCCATATCATAGGGTTGGGAAGAGGAAAATGAATTTGTAAAAGTTCTTAGCCCAGAGGCTGGCATGGAGTCAGTGCTGAATAAATGTTAGCTCTGAGGATAATCTTTTCTATTCAGGTATTAAGGCCTCAGAGTTTAGATGCTTGTCCAGGGTATGCAGCTTGTCAGCAGCAGAGACAAGATAGGGACCCTGGCCTCCTGACTTGTAGTATGTTATCATAGATTTTTCAAACATTTGGAAAATGCAGCATCTTCTCTCCTCTATTTGTAGATTTAAAATACACTTTAAATCTAAGGAGTCCTGCAGCAAAGAAATCAGTCTACTTTTGTTTAATTCTGTAATTTCCCAAAAATATTTAACCATGGAAGCCCTTTGTCACTGAAAACCTATTAACCTGTCACAGTTTGGGAAATGGTACATTACTTACCTTCCTCGAGATCAAACTTTTTATACCCATTGTTCCTGCTTATTGGAATGTCCTTCTCCTATTTTATCTGAGAAATCCCTTGACATAAAACAAATGTCTTTCCCTTTTCTAATTACAAGAACAATGCCATGTTCATAAAACAGTTAAACATTACAGACATGCAGTAGATCCTAGCAACCCTCATAAGACCCTTGGGTGTGTCTGGTGTCACCTTGGGATTGGGTAGCAAGTGGTGGTCCCCAGCATTCAGGAAGTAGTAAACTCAGTACAGAACACACCCCTCATTCCTTCCCTAAGAGTCTGCTTCCTCTTGTTCATTAGCAAATGCTTAGTGAATACCTCTTCTCTGCCAGGCACCTGCTGGTAGGTGCTGAGGGTCCAGGCATTGGGCTCACTCTACCACCTGCTGGCTGAGAAACCGTGCAAGTGTGACTCAGCATTCCTGTGCTCTGGTTTCCCCATTTATAATCTGGGGATAGTAGTAGAATCTTCCTCACAGGATTGTTTTAAGGATCAGTTGGTCTAACACATGTCAGCTGCTTCAAAATGGTATCAGGCACAAGGTAGGTGCCTAGTAAATGTTAGCCACTATATTATTAAAGACAAAAAGACCAAATTTCTGAGTCCTTCTGGAGGAGGCCCACAGTGATAGACCTAAAATAAGCTCCAAGTTGTGAAGCCCTAAGGCTAGGCACCAGGCTCTGGGGGCACCCACAGGCCCACCGTATGCAGGGTTTGGGCCCCACTTTTGCTCTCACATAATATGTTGACTCTGTGGTGAGGGCTAATGGAGTGGGCAGCAGGTATCCTCCAAGTCCTGGGCCCCAGCCAGGGCTTGTTCAGCCTAGCCAGTAGCTCCCACCCATGGTCCTCAGGGTCCCAGCTGTTCCTGGCTCCCAAGAGGCAAAGTGCCAGAGCTGAGTTGTCATTGAGTCACTCACTGGCCAAGGTAAGAAGCACAGATGTCTTCCAGACAGAGTTGGTGCCACAATGTGGGGTGACAGCACTGGGTAGAGTGGACAGGCCTGCCATCCAATCCCCCAGTAGCTGCAGGCCTCAGCCATCCTCAAAGCAGCAACGGCAGCACAGATGGCCAGCCTGGGCCACAGAGGCTTAAGAGGTTTAACTAGTCTACAAAAGTTCCTTCACCTGGACTCCTACCTTCTCCTCCCTCCCTTCCCCAGACTCTCCTCCTCCCTCTATCTCCATCTGCAACATAAGCAGACTGGATCTACAGACTCTGTGGAAGTCTTAAGAAGAAACATTAAAGCAAACAAACAAACCCCAAAAAGGCAAGTATGAGGTCTTCCAGGTGCTGTGTCCCTTTCAGCGCCTAATGACATACACTTAATGAACACTGGCTAAGAGATGGTCTTACATTGACTGGCAGCCCCTACCAATCCTCCTAACCTCAGGGCAGGAATATTTTGTTCAACTTTAGATGCCCTGACTGTATCCCTCACTTTACTCTTCCTATCTCTGTCTGTTTACTCCTTTCCAAATCTGTGCCTGGAGGACCCAAGTCCTGTGGATATCATCTATGAAGTACATCTATTTTTTAAAGTTCTTAATATTTTGGGGCCTGTGAAACCCTACGAGAATCTAAGAGCTATACCTTTCCCCAGAAAAATAGGAAATATCTGCACACAATTTCTGGCGGTTCATGAAGCCCAGGAACCTCTCCATGAGCTAAGAAGAGCCCTGGTTGTAATCCAGGGTGCCTGACTGTCTCATTGTCCGTGTTACCTCTCCACCCAACCCCAAACACGTATCTTGGCATGAGGGAGGCAAAGGACACACTGCACAGATGGTCACAGGCAGCTGAGAGCTTTGTCCAATCAGAGCCCTGTTCCCATATCCATCCCCTTCCCTAATTACACCAGGTTTTTCCTGCTAAAGGTCTGAGAAAAGGGAGCAAAGCAAGGGGCCCAGCTCTCTAGCCCCCACTGCCAGAGCATGGCCTGGGGGCCAGACGAGGGCCCAGCACCGTGAAGCTCTTCCTCTGGCCAGATGGCAAGGCCCTGCCTGCCCGTTGCAGGGCGCGGCTCCTGCTGCTCCCACACCTGCCCTGCCAGGCCTGCCCAGATGGCCACCCCTGCACCCCTGCCAACTACGGCAGTGGGTCCCAGGGTGGGCTGGCAGCCAGAACCCCACATGGGGAGAAGGCTAATGGTCCTGAACCCCCTGGGCCTCTCGGTACTGTCGAGGACCTGGTTCTCTCCTGCCCCCATACTAACTGGGTTTCTGCTCAATCCCTCTGGCTTGTCATAGAAACACCTCCACCCATTTCATCAAATCTCATGACCCATCCCTTCTCAGAGGGTTCTGACTCCCCCAGCCCCAGCCACTGGGCTCCAGAGGAGAGAATAGGCCAGCACAAAGCACATCCCTGTTCCCAGGCCTCATCACATGTCAGGAGGAGACCTCAAAGCAAGCCAGAAGGCCTGAGAGAAGGAGGAACAGAAAACAGGGAGAAAGCGGCCACATAGTACATAAACACCAGCTCCACTGGGCCACAGGGGCATGCGCCAGCTCACATCCAGGAGCAGCATCTCTTAGGTTTAGGGTAAGGGACTCAGGTACCTTGTTTGAGCTTTTCCTAGGGGAAGACTCAGACCCCAAACTCTGCTCCTAAAGGGGTGGGGAGCTGCTCTCTCTAAATGGTGGGAGGCCCCAGGTCAGGGCCCAGAGAGATAGCATCCCTGCCCCGGGCCAACTCAGATGGCATCCTGGGTCTTTCTCATCACACCCATTAAAGAAACCACAGATTGTATGGCTCCTGGGAGAGCCTGCTGGATTTCATTCCTGTCCCTGTAGCTGACAAAGGAGTCAGACATCTCTTGGCCCCTAAGTCTGAACAGCACACAGATCACAGAGCTGACCCAAGCTGAGGCATGGAGGCCCTTGGCAAGAAGAGGCTGTGAGTCTCTGCATAGAACTGTGTGGGTGCACCCCTTCCTTGGGGGTGTCTGGGAAAATGTGCAAGGGAAGCTGTGGCTAGGGGAGTCTCCGACCCTCACGCCACCCTGATAATGGACAGTCACCATTCAGGACATATTTATGTACCCTTTTTTATGTCAAGCATTGTGTCAGGCACTTGGGAGACACAAGAAGACATGGTCTGTGTCCTGGAGGAGCCCATGGCTTGGTGGGCAGCCTGTTAGGGCATCCAAGCCACTGTAGAGAGGAGAAGGGCCAAAGACAGCTCAGGCCCATGTTGCCTGTGCCAAACAGGCAGTGGTTAGAGAGGAGGAGACTGACTGGTCAGTGGGAAGAACAGGGCCTATCCCTCTCCTCTGTCTCACTGTCACTACCTCCATCACATCACACAATAGCAGGGGACAAGAAGCAGACGAGCACAGCCTTGGAGAAGTGCCCTTGAACCTTCCTCTGCAGAATAAGTATCCTGGCCCAGGATGGGCAGCCATGCCCCATGGCAAAAACTAGGGGAAAAATAATTTGCATTCCTGAGGCTTCTGCTCTGACCCTGACAGATCTCTCTCATCCAGGAAATCTGGCGGAACGGCGCTCTCTCAGCTAAAAAGCCTCAATCCTGGAGCCAACGGATTCGGAAAGCAACTTTGCACTCCAATCAAATAAAAATGTTCTTCTCTGCTGAGGAGAAGGGGGCAGGCCCCAGAACTGAGCTCTCGGGGTGAGTGAAGAAGGACAGCAGAGCCAAGGCAGCCCACAGAGTCATCATCACAGAATTTAGGGGCCTGGGATGGCTTTCAGCTCTCACTCTGCCAGGGAGGGATAAGGCCAACCCGAATCAGGGCAGGGCCCTGAGGCATGGTGGATTTCCTGTTCTCCTCCCTATCCTGGTGCCTGCAGACCCAGGAAAAGCTCCAGCCTCCCTCAGAATGGACCAGGGGGAGAGGGAGGCCAGGAGGAGAGGAGGAATGGGCTCAGCTGCTTAGCCCCATGTGGGCAACAGGTCCTGAGCACTGACTATCCTCATACCTGAGAGGACGAGGGAAGGAGGGAGGAGTGGGCCTGGACCCCACGAAGCCCCCTTGGCAAGAGCTGTAAGCTGCCTGTCTTCGCCTCCTGAGAACAACAGCCTATAGGGCAAAGGCCAGCTCGTGCTGTGTCCGCAAGGAGAAACCCGTCTTCACCTCCTTTCTGGGGCTTCAGCACCTGCAAGGATGCTTAGGCTGGAGAAACAGGAGGAGGAAGAGGAGGAGGAAGCAAAGAGGCAACAGGAGGGAAGAGCTTTGTGCTGGCTATGCCCAGGGGGAAGGGTCAGAGATCAAAGGGCACTGAGCCGCTGCTTCCAGAGGGGCAGAAAGGCCATCAACCAGTGGGGGTTGGGAGGTGCGCCTCAATTCCCGTTAGCAAAAGGCTCATGGATCAGGCTAGAGGGGGCTACGAAGTGGAGAGCCAGCCCGGGAGGGGGAGGGTCACCAGTTCTGGGGCCATTACAAAGGATAGGGCAGAGGGGCAGAGTTTGGGGCTTCCGTCTCAGATTAGTCGGTTGAGAATCTGAACAAAGGTGGGTGAAGGCTCGGAACCCCGGGGTCAGGGGCTCGCGTCTGCCAGAAGCTGAGACACCGAGGGGCCCGGGCCAGGCCACCTTTGTCCCTCTCGCAGCCTCCAGACCCCTGACCGCCTTCCCTCCTGGCCATCCCGGCCCGGCGCGGCACTCACCCTATCGCTGCTGGCGGGGGGTCCGGAGATCCGCTCATCAGCAGGCGGCGCCGGGGGCCCCGGGGTCTCGACCCGAATAAGGCGGTGTGGGGGAGAGCCGTGGCGCGGGGGCGGCGTGGGTCCGGGGGCGACAGGGGTGGCGAGGGCGGCGGAGCCGGACGACCCCCCGGAGTAGGGGTCTTCGAAGTCGCGCTCCCGCTGCAGCCTGTAGGCGGCCAGGATGTCCGGGGGCGGCGCGGGGGGCGCGGCCGGAGAGGGCGCAGGGGGGCGGTAGTCGGGCTCGGGGGGCGCCGGCTTGCTGCCCCCTCCGCCGCCGCCCCCCCCGCGGAAGCCCAGGTGCTCCCGGAGCCACTTGGCTACTCCGCCGCTGCCGCCCCCTCCTGGGCCGGCTCCCGCACCCCCGGCGCCCCGGCGGGACCCCCCCGGGCCGCCCCCAGCGCTCCCCTGCGTTCGCGGCCCCGGGCGGGAGCCAGCCGGAGGAGCTCCGCTCAGTAACATGGGGCCAGCCAGACTGAGCGAGGGGAGCGCAGCGGCGGGTGGGGGGCGGGGGCGGGGGTGGGGAGGGGGGCGGGGCTCCGCCGGGCGGGGAGGGGGCGGGGCGCTTCAGTAACAAGGGAGAGGCGGGGCTCCGCTCCCTAACAGGGTCTTCCTCCTCCCGTAGCTCGGAAGAGTGTACGCGGGCTTCCAGCCGGTATGCACAGGCAAGAAGTGAAGTGGGCAGCCCTGGGGCAGAGGATGCGACTACTGGACTGAGGTTGAATCCTTTACGTGTCGCCACGCGGTCCCCTGTGGGGAGCGCATCCATCCCCATCTGTTCTTTTCCCCAGCTCCCAGCTCGTGCGAGACGCAAAGAGGGGAGCCCCCAGACTCCTGACTCTAGGGAGCCTTACGCCTCTCCTCTTCCCTCTCCCAGGATCTCGCAACTGGGAAACTATAATCTAGGAGGAAAATCTAGGCGGGCAAGAAAAGGGGCTAGGTTCTGTAAGATGTGTCTGTAAGCCTCCTCCTCCCGTGCTACCTTGGGAGCCCCACAACCTCCTCCCATCCAACCGTACGCACTGCACATACCCGAACCTACGTTACTTCCCGATCCAGGCAAACACATCTCACATCACATACAAACAACTCCCTAGAGACGCCCACTTCTCCCGTGTCGTTTTCACACACGCCCTTCTCACACGCAAACAGCCCTCGCTCAAACATCCCCCACCCACGGGAGCACCTGCTCCAAACGGGCCCACATGGCCCTGACGATAGCATGCGCACGCACGCAGAAATCCCTTCCAGCCACATCCCGGGCTTCATTGTCAATCAGATTAGTAACAGAATGGAAACAGACAAGTCAATAAATCAAGTCTAGAAACAGTCCCAGTGTTGTCTATCACAAACTCCTTATCCTCTTGAGGCTCAGATGCTCAAGTGCTAGGCATTTTTGTCTTAGAAATAAAGCCAGTTCCGGCTGGGCGCGGTGGCTCACGCCTGTAATCCCAGCACTTTGGGAGGCCGAAACGGGAGGATCACGAGGTCAGGAGATCGAGACCATCCTGGCTAACACGGTGAAACCCCGTCTCTACCAAAAATACAAAAAAATTAGTCGGGTGTGGTGGCGGGCACCTGTAGTCCCAGCTACTCGGGAGGCTGAGGCAGGAGAATCGCTTGAACCCAGGAGGCAGAGGTTGCATTGAGCTGAGATTGCGCGACTGCACTCCAGCCAGGGCGACAGAGTGAGACTCCGTCTCAAAAAAAAAAAAAAAAGAAAAAGAAAAAAGAAAAGGAAAGAAATAAAGCCAGTTCCTCACCATAAATGTAGGCCTGAAGCCAACACCAACACATTTGCTCTTGGCTCTGCTGGGAAAGCAGCTGTCTCACCTCACTTTACCCCACCCCCTTTCCCCCACTGCCTCAGTGTCTCCGCACTCCTAGGTTCATGTCTGCCTTTTTTTTTTTTTTTTTTTTTTTGAGACGGAGTCTCACTCCGTCGCTGGAGTACAGTGGCACGATTTCAGCTTACAGCAACCTCCACCTCCCGGGTTCAAGCAATGCTCCCAGCTCAGCCTCCCTAGTAGCTGGGATTACAAGCGTGCGCCACCACACCTGGTTAATTTTTTGTATTTTTAGTAGAGATGGAGTTTCACCGTGTTGGCTAGGCTGGTCTCGAACTCCTGACCTCAAGTGATTCCCCACCTCGGCCTTCCAAAATGCTGGGATTACAGGTGTGAGCCAACGGCACCTGGCCATATCTGCCTTTTGAGGGCGCAAAAAGCCAAGAGGCCCCAAAGGAAAGGAGTTCAAAGCGGGGGGTGTAAAGAAGGATGTAATGGCAAAACTGTGAATCTCCTGGGATTCCCAGGGCCCCGAGTCTCAAAATATTTGTTGAGTTCCTGCTTTGTGCAAATTCTAGTTGGGCGAGGTGGCTCATGCTTGTAGTCCCAGGTACCTGGGAGGTTGAGGTGGGAGAATTGCTTGAGCCCAGAAGTTCAAGGCTGCAGCGAGCTATGATTGTGCCACTGGTCAGACAGTGCTGCTTGTATTTAGGACAGTGCTTCTGATCAAGCCAGTGCTGCTTGTATTTAGGACAGTGCTTCTCAAACTTTAATGTGGACACTAATCTCCTGGGGATCTTGGTAAGTTACAGATTCTGACTCTCTAGGTCTAGCTGGGGTGGGGTCCCAGGTGATACAGATACTGCTGGTCCCAGACCACATGTTGAGTAGCTGGACTGTAGGAGATACTGGAGAATCTGATGTTGAACTTGGTTTTATGAAGTATAATAGAGAAAATAACGTGCATATTTTTAAAATGTGCAGTTAAATTGACTAATGGTGCAAAACGAAGCTGGACATAGAGATGATAAATAGAGAAGAATGGTCCAGTTAATGTATATCAGAGAGTCTCCACAGTCACCAGGTGTGAGGGCATGGATAGGTAACTAATAAGAAATCCAATAGTTGTGGGCTGTAGCCAGGTATTTGGGGAAGGTACTCAATGCTACTGATACTTGCTTTCATGATCTCTGGAAAGGGCGTGATAATCATTGTGTGAGGATTAAGGGAGGTGATGAATATGAAAAAGGTTTGAAAACTGTAAAATGCTTACAGTGGAAGGTGTGACATGAGTTAAACTGCTTGACAGCTCAGAGGAATGAAATCAATCAAGTCTGCAGGCTTCATGCAGGACAGGAGGTAGACCTGAGCTGGGTAGGATTTGGACAGATGAAGCAAAGGAGTGAAAGGTCATTCCAAGACAGGAGGTCGGCATTAGCTGGACAAAGGCATAGAGGTGGGAACCCGCACACCATAAAAAAGGGGAGTATTCATGATGGGAAGAGTAGGAATAAAATAAGATGGGAAGGAGGGAAGATGTCATAAAGGCAGGGTTTAAACAATAATTTTAAAATTATAAAAACTTGTGTGCACCATACACTTACTCTTGTTTTAAAAGATCTGCTAATGTACTTTCCTCCATTACCAGAGTATGAGCTCCTAAAAGCAGGCAGTTTGAGCACCTCATGGAGTCAGGCAGCTTGATAGGAACCAAGGATACAGAGGTGAGGCCATCACAGCAAGGGTCCTCTGAGAATTGGGTGGAATTTTCTAGATCCAAATTCTGTTTACCTTTTCTTTCCTTTAGAGATGGGGTCTCACTCTCTTACCCAGGCTGGAATGCAGTGGCACAATCATAGCTCACTGCAGCCTTGAACTTCTGGGCTCAAACGATTCTCCTACCTCAACCTCCCGCGTGTGATCCGCCTCACCCAACTAATTTTTAATTTTTTGTAAAGATGGGGCCTCAGTACGTTGCTCAGACTGGTCTTGAACTCCTGGCCTCAAGCAATCCTCCCACCTCGGCCTCCCAAAGCACTGGTACTACAGGTGCACATTACCATACCTGGCTAATTTATTGTATTTTATTTTCTAGAGACGAAGTTCTTGCTATGTTGCTTTGACTGGTCTCAAACTCCTGGCTTCAAGTGATCCTCCCGCTTGGGCCTCCCAAAGTGCTGGGATTACAGGTGTGAGCCATTGCACCCAGCCTAGATTCAAATTCTTGCATGTTAAGCAGTTCGCCATAGTATCAGGATTCTGTAAGGAAGCATGGGTGCTCCCATCACCAAGTGCAGAGCCTGTCACATGGCATCGGTTTAACAAACGTTGAAATGGATAAAGACAATTTGTCTTTCTTATTCTTAGTTTTATATAGCTATAATTGTGGTATACACATAATTTTATATCTTTTTTAACTTAACATTGTATGATAATTTCCCCATTTTTGTCATGTAAGTTTATTTTCTTCCAAATTTTTTTTGGGGAAAACTATCAACCCTACAGAAAAATCCAAAGAAAGTATACTGGAGGCTGGGCACAGTGGTTGAAGCCTGTAATTCCAGCACTTTGGGTGGCCGAGGTGGGCGGATCACTTGAACTCAGATGTTCAAAACCAGGCTGGGCAACACGGTGGAAACCCTGTCTCTATTTAAAAAAAAAAAAAAAAAAGTAAGTGTGGTGTAAACCTATTTACCCTTCAGCTAGATTCACCTCTTTTTAAATTTTGCCATATTTGCCTTATTCCTCTCCTTTTTCTTTCATTTTCTTAACCATTTGGTACAAGTTGCAAATATCATGACACTTTGGTTTTACACACTTTAGCAGGCATTGCCAAAGAATAAGGAATTCTATCAGGCTACAAGATCATTATCACATTTAGGAAATTTAATATTTATTTAATAATATTGTCTGTCATACAATCCTTATTAAATTTTTTGATTTTTCCTGAAAGTGTCTTTTATAGTTTTTTTCTTTTTTTATTTTGTTTTTGAAAAATCTTTAAATTTTCCTTCAGGCAGCCTCCTGAGCCAGAGTAGGCTCAAAGAAACTCCCTACAGTTTTTTTTTTTTCTGATTCCAGATTTTTTTTTTTTTTTTTTTTTTTTTTTGAGACAGAGTCTCGCTCTGTCATCCAGGCTGGAGTGCAGTGGTGCAATCTGGGCTCACTGCAAGCTCTGCCTCCCGGGTTCACGCCGTTCTCCCACCTCAGCCTGCTGAATAGCTGGGACTACAGGCACCCGCCACCATGCCCGGCTGATTTTAATTTTGTATTTTCAGTAGAGATGGGGTTTCACCGTGTTAGCTGGGATGGTCTCGAACTCCTGACCTCGTGATCCACCTTCCTCGGCCTCCCAAAGTGCTGGGATTACAAGTGTGAGCCACCGCGCCTGGCCCTGATTCCAGATTTAATTAAGTTTCCCCATTTCATCTGTTTGTTATGTTCCTTTAGTCTATTTTAATTTTGAACAGTCCCCTATTCTTTTGTTGCTAGTTTGTTTTTCATCACATTTATCTTTTTGAAATGTCCAGGCCAATTGTCATGTAGGATGTCCCACATTCTGGACTTTTCCATAGTTTCTTCATGATTAGATTCAGGTTACACATTTCTGAAAGGAGCACTACATAGGGGATGTTGTGGACTTTCTAGTGCGTTACACCAGAAGGCCCATAATGCCCATTTGTCCCTTTATTGGTGATGTTAGGCTTGATCACTTGGTTAAGCTGGAGTCCACCGGATCTCTCCACTTTACAATTTAAAGAAAGCTGTGGAATGATATTCTGAGAACTTTTAGCTATTTTCTTCAAGCAACATATTACCCCATTGTTTTATCCCCCACATTGATGATCTATACTTAAATTTGCTATTACACTGGGGATTGCAAAATAGTGACTCTCTAATTCTGTAATTCTATGAACTCAAAATATCTGAGACAGGTCTCAAGTAATTTAGAAAGTTTATTTTGCCAAGGCTAAGGATGCACACATGACAGCCTCAGGAGGTCCTGAGGACAGGTGCCCAAGGTGGTCACGGCCCAATCAATATGTGTAAAATGTACATTGGTCTGGTCTGGAAAGGTGGGACAACTGGAGGCCAGGGAGGGGGCTTCCAGTTCATAGGTAGATGAGAGACAAATGGTTGTATTCTTTTAAGTCTCTCATTGGCCTTTCACTGAATACACAATATACATGTGAGAGGAGAGGAGAGGAATAGTCACTTATGCCTTAGTCTGGTTTAGTGAAGCAATAGGGCAGAGGAAACAATAGGGCAGAGGAAACAATCAGATATGCATTTGTCTCAAATGCATATAATATTCAGTCATGAGCCTCAGAGGGATGATTGAGTTCCACAAGGAAATTCCTTGTGGGCAAATTGGAGGAAAGTATGTCGCTTTTTAAAATCTTTGTAGCTATCTTATTTAGGAATAAAATGGAGCCAGGTGCAGTGGCTCACGCCTATAATCCCAGCACTTTGGGAGGCCGAGGCGAGTGGCCTTATGCAGGCTTCATGCAGGACAGGAGGTAGCCCTGAGCTGGTAGGATTTGGACAGATGAAGCAAATGAGTGAAAGGTCATTCCAAGTCAAGAGGTCAGGAGTTCAAGAGCTTGTGCTCAGGAATTAGAGACCAGCCTAGGTAACATGGCGAAACCCCTTCTGTACCAAAAAAAAAAAAAAAATTAGCCAGGTGTGGTGGTGTGAGCCTGTAGTCACAGCCACTCAGGAGGCTGAGGTGGGAGGATTGCTTGAGCCTGGGAGGTAGAGGTTGCTATGAGCCAAGATCGTGCCACTGTACTCCAGCCTGGGCAGCATAGTGAGAGTTTGTCTCAAAAAAAAAAAAAAAAAAAAAGGTAGGCAGCATTGCCTGACATAGTTCCCAGCTTGACTGTTCCTAGCTGGCATTCTTCTGTAAAGGAGAGCTTTCTTACCTCTCCCCCAACCTCCATCATGGAGTGAATTTTTTTTTAATTCAACATGATATAATCCATTATTATCATATTATTATTCTTTTTGATGCCCAAATTACCCAAAATTTGACTATTGGGAGCCTTTTCAAGAGGCTCCTGTGTCCTTCTTCTGTTTTGTTTTGTTTTTTTGAGATGGAGTCTTGCTCTGTCGCCCAGGCTGGAGTGCAGTGGCGCGATCTTGGCTCACTGCAACCTACACCTCCCGAGTTCCAGCGATTCTCCTGCCTCAGCCTCCTTAGTAGCTGAGGTTACAGGTCCCTGCCACCACACCCAGCTAATTTTTGTATTTTTAGTAGAGACAGGGTTTCACCATGTTGGCCAGGGTGGTCTCAAACTCCTGACCTCAGGTGATTCACCCACCTCAGCCTCCCAAAGTGCTGGGATTACAGGCGTGAGCCACTGCGCCTGGCCTCCTGTGTCCTTTTGACTTGGTCCCATCAATGTTTAAGCTCTTCAGTGCTTTCTCACACAAGATGTTCCAGAATCACTTTGTACCTCCCCTGCTGCAGACTTAGAATCAGTCATTTCTTGAAAGAAACCTTACTCCTTTTAGTTGGGAATGGTATTTTAAAATTGACTTTTTACTTTGTAATTTCATTTTATTTTTGAGACAGGCTATCACTCTGTCTTCCAGGCTGAGTACAGTGGTGTGATCATGGCTCACTGTAGCCTCAACCTCCTGGGTTCAAGCGATCCTCCCACCTCAGCTGCTCCAATAGCTGGGACTTACAGGCATGCACCACCATGCCCAGCTAATATTTTGATTTTTTTTGCAGAGATGAGGTCTCACTCTGTTGCCCAGGCTGCTCTCAAACTCTTGAGTTCAAGTGATCCTCCTGCCTCGGCCTCCCAAAGTATCGAAATTATAGGCATGAGCCACTGTGCCTGGCCTGTAATTTTAAAATGGTTATTTAATATATCACCAAATGAACATACCTCAGTTTAGTTCAACATTACCTGATTTGTTGAGTACTTAGGCTATTTCCAATCTCCCTTTTTCTAAACACCTCTTTATGGAGATAATTTTTCCTAGTTTCGCATTATTTCCTTTGGTGAGATTCTCAAAAGTAGAAATCTTGGGGCAGAGCATAAACTTTTTTGACTCTTGCTACACACTGCCCAGTTGCTCTCATGGATAGTTTTAAAAGTCAGCCATGACTTCTAAATGTCAAACCTAATTATTTTGTCTCATTTTTTTTCCCCTTGACTTCTTTGCACCACCTGAGTCTGTTGACTCCTGTCCTTGAAAACTTCTTCTAAACTTTCTTAAAATGACACTTTCCTGGTTTTCTCTTCTCTCAGGCCACATTCTTTTATTTAAAGTCTATTTTTTTAAATAAATTTAATACAGCACCAGAGATACTGCTCCTTTTAAGAGCAGAGCTAACCCATAGGCAGTGTGCCTAGAGCAGCCTCAGGCCACATTCTTGTTTCCCCTCTTAACCTCCTAAAGTTGTGCATATTCCAAGGCTAAGTCCTTAGCCCTCACTTTTCTCACTGGGTACTGAGTACAGCATCTTCACTCCTGTTTGCCTGGCTTTGGGTGTCCAGTTCTGTCCTGAACTCTGATTCTTCCTAAGTTTTGCTGTCCAAGTCTGGTCCTTGCCTTTTGTCTCCAGCCTTGTCTTGGGTCCATCTCTGTCCATAACCTTGAGAGGACAAGCACATCCTAGTGTTCTCACATATGCACTTTGTTTGTTGGGATCTTGGATGTTAAGACAGAGCTCCATTTGGGCCAAGTTTTGTTTTGCCTATATAGTTTTGGTCAACTCAGTGTTTAAAAAAATAATTGAATTAGTTGCCGATATTTAAAAATTTATAACATCTCACACAAAACTCCAGATTGCTGACTTCCTGTTTTTTTTTTTTTTTTTTGAGATGGAGTCTGGCTCTGTCACCTAGGCTGGAGTGCAGTGGCCTGATCTCAGCTCACTGCAACCTCCGCCCCCCGGGTTCAAGCAATTCTCCTGCCTCAATCTCCCTACAGGGACTACAGGGGCATGCCACCACACCTGGCTAAGTTTTGTATTTTTAGTAGAGACGGGGTTTCCCCATGTTGGCCAGGCTGGTCTCGAACTCCTGACCTCAGGTGATCCACCTGCCTCGGCCTCCCGAAGTGCTGGGATTACAGGCATGAGCCACTGTGCCTGGCTGACTTCCTCTGAAATATCAGAAGATCTGGTGCATTAGGCTTATATTCCCATCAGAACATCTGGTACAACTGGTGGAAGATAAGTAGCCTGACTGGTTTCAGATGAGGCTATATCTCCAAAGACCATCCTAGGTCCTTCCTAGCATTTCATCGAAGCCCCAAGTCAGTTGCTTTTACCAACTTTCTGTTTTTCTTCCCTCCTTACTATAGAGTTAAGAGGAAAGGCCGGGCGTGGTGGCTCACACCTGTAATCCCGGCACTTTGGGAGGCCGAGGCGGGCAGAACACGAGGTCAGGAGATCGAGACCATCCTGGCTAACACGGTGAAACCCTGTCTCTACTAAAAATACAAAAAAAATTAGCCGGGCTTGGTGGCGGGCGCCTGTAGCCCCAGCTACTCGGGAGGCTGAGGCAGGAGAATGGCGTGAACCTGGGAGGCGGAGCTTGCAGTGAGCCAAGATTGCACCACTCTGCACTCCAGCCTGGGTGACAGAGCAAGACTCCGTCTCAAAAAAAAAAAAAAAGGAAAGTGCACTATTTCTCCAGGTCATGTCCCTATTAAGGATAGTAAAAGGGAAAAAAAGAAAGAAAGAAAGACCTAAAAGGGCTACAAATTACTAGAAAAATAGGAGCACACACTTTTCTTTTTAGTGAAAATACAGACTATTCCTATTTGATATTAAAAAACATGATTCTGTTTTGAAAGGACACAATTTGAGATGCAGCAGCTCTAACCTATAGTCCTAGCACTTTGGGAGGTCAAGGTAGAAGAATTGCTTGAGGCCAGTTCCAGGCTGCAGTAAGCCAAAATTGCTCCACTGCACACCAGCCTGGGTGACAGAGCAAGACCTTGTCTCTAAAAAAAAAAAAAAAAAAAAAAGCAAACCTGGCCATGTCACTCATTTATGGACTCCATAAGAAACCTCTGTTCAAATATTTATGGAGAGACTGTGTGCTTGGAACACAAACATATGTTAAGATCTCGTCCTGCCTTCAATGAGCTTGAATTTTGAGTTTCCTAACTGTAGTGGTTTGTGACTTAAAGTTGGAGCCTGATAATAAGAGAAGGGGGACACGGGAGTGGAGGGTCTCCAAATGGCCTGCCAAGTCAAGTCCTTCTATCTGACTCCAAATTCAAGATGCTTCCCTGCCCTTCCCACCTGAAATCAAAATAGGGCTGCTTCCTAACAGAGCCCAGGCTCCCACCCAAAGGTTTATATGGGTATAGTAAACAGTCCCTTTCCCCTATCTTACCAACACAAACTGTTTCCCCATCTCCCCAGCCTGGAGTCAGGGCCTGGGTAAAAGAGGAACAGGACCAGAAATAGGTAGAGATTCACATCCTTCAGGGTATGTGACCTCTTCCCAGTAAAGGGAGATTGCCTACCAATACATACCTATTACTTCATGTTCTGTTCACATTCCATCACCTCAGGAAAAAAAAAAAAAAAAAAGAGAGCGGGCAAGCGAGGGCATGTTTGCGTTTTATGCAAAAAGCAAGGAGGAATAGATTCACATACGTATATGCATATATAAATATATATTCATACAAGGACTGTTGTGGAAAGATATAGTGGAAACTGAAAATAATTGGTGGATAGGGTGAAAAATGAAAAAGAGCTGTACTTTTTACTAGACTTTTGTGCATGTATTCCCTATTTAAAAATAAATGACCCAGAGCCTCCGTCTCAAAAACAATTTTTTTTAAAATTAAAAAAACAAACAAAAAAAAATTATCCGAGCATGGTGGTGCACGCCTGTAGTACCAGCTACTCAGTTGGCTGAGGCAGGATAATCGCTTGAACCCGGGAGGCGGAGGCTGCAGTGAACCAAGATCGCGCCATTGCACTCCAGCCTGGGCGACAGGGGAGACTGTCTCAAAAATAAATAAATAAGTAAAAATAAAAATAAATGACTCAATAAAAAAATGTACATGAAAAGAGAAAAAAATCACAGGGTCATAGGGGAGCTGTTTTGCTGGTGTGGAATTATTCAGACAACTATATTTGGTAAGAAAGGGATTATAACGGCTGGGTTGAAGCTGTATCAGAGCATTACATGAGAGTTACTGTAGGTGGCGGTCCTCGGAGTGCCTCAGTTTTCAAAGGAGAGAAACGTTGGTTCGTTTCAAGAAAGTGAATTACGATTTATATAAAATGTTACAAAAAAGGGGAAAAAAATACCGAGCCCCTTGCCGTGCCATTGTTCCCACAATGCCGTGACTCGGATTCGAACCGAGGTTGCTGCGGCCACAACGCAGAGTACTAACCACTATACGATCACGGCGAGCTACCGGGGACCCGTAGGGGTTGGCTTCTGATTATCCTCTTCAACAGTCATAGGCCTTCCCAGTTTGCGCGTCATTAAATGGCCTACTTACGGGGCGAGGTTCCAGCCTGTCCCTGAGTCTGATAATGCGCAGGCGCGTTGTACTCCGCCAGTTGCTTTTCTTCTTCTGTTTTGGCCCATTAGCCACGGGCTGTGGTGATGATGAGATGGGCTCCCGGTGAGCGCAGTGGGAGTTTAGGGGAGACGGCGTGAGCATCCAGGAATGGGGCTGGGCGGAACTCAGACTACCCTTGGGGGATGCCCGTTTCCTATGCCCCGGAGACCCTTGCCGCGAACCCTCCAGGGTTCCGGTCCTACAGGGGGCGCTCCTCACGGGTCCTCCCTCCTGCTGCATCCTCCAGCGGTGACCCAATGCCGCCTCTGTGGAGATTGTGGACACCCTAGAACCAGGTTCCACGTAGAAAAAAATTCAGCAAACGCATCTCCCCATGTTCCCAACACCCACTTCCTTCCAGCCTCTCATACTCCCCTGACAGCCCTGACTCCTCCTGACTCCTCCTTCCGCAATGCTTCCGCCGTGCCAGGTGCCCACCTAGGCTGTGTCACGGGGCCGCAGCAGGGACTAAGTCCGATTTTAATTATTGTCCATCAGTGCTCTCGCCCCCACGGCGCCTAGAACCGGGCCGAGTACACAGCAGGCAGTGGCTATTTGCTAAAACTCAGAAGGTGCCATTGGCATTTAACAAGTGAATTCCAGAGAGAACACCTGTCTCTCCAATGTCACCCTCTCCCATCAATCCTCCCTATGCAGAGCCGCGGGAGGGATCTTGCTAAACACGATTTGAATATTTTCACTTCTACCCTCCTCACCCTCACCCCTAGACGGCAGGAACTTCGTCTGCCTTTTCCAGCTCATCTCTTGGCCCTCCTTCAGTGTCGTTCCCCATGCCTCAATTTCACTCATTCAACTCAACACGTCCTCGAGAAGCGCCTACTACCTGTCAGGCCAGAGCCTTTGGGCGTTGTTGGGGTGGGGACTTACAAAGAAGACAGAAGACTTATAAAGAGGAATTAAGATCTTTCCTTTTCGGTGAAACCTCGTCTCTACTAAAAATACAAAAAAACTAGATGGGCCTGGTGGCGGGTGCCTGTAGTCCCAGCTACTCGGGAAGCTGAGGCAGGAGAATCGCTTGAACCCAGGAGGCGGAGGTTGCAGTGAGCCAAGATCGCGCCACTGCACTCCAGCCTGGGTGACAGAGCGAGGCTCCATCTCAAAAAAAAAAAAAAAAAAAAAAAAAAAAAAAAAAAAAAAAAGATTTTTCCTTTTCAAGACTCCCTTCAAGCCTCTGTACACGAAATCATCCTGGCTGCCTGACAAATTCTCACTGTGCCTTTAAGAGCTACCTTGATCCTCACTTCCTTTGCTAAGCCTTCTTTTCCTATCATTAGGAATCCGCTCCCAGTGCTTCTGTGGAAATTTGTACGTATGTCTACTACAACACTTTTTAAACTGGCGAGTGGTCTGTGCTTTGTCTTCAAGAACGCGCCCAGGCTCAGAGGACCCGGAAGCCTATATCTTTCCAAAGTCCAATTTAGCCAGAGCCAGCGTAAACGTCGCTCTCAAATGTCACAAGGGAATCGGGGTCCATTTTCCACAATGTTGTGAACTCAGGATTAAAAACGGATTGGTACAATAAAACAAACTCCCCTTGCCGTGCCATTGTCCTCACAATGCCGTGACTCGGATTCGAACCGAGGTTGCTGCGGCCACAACGCAGAGTACTAACCACTATACGATCACGGCGAGCTACTAGGGACACAGGACCTCGGCTTGTCGCCTGAACTCTTCTCTGTTGAAAGCCCCGCCCCCTTGCAATGTCATTGATTTGTCATTGTTTGTTCTAGCCTATCTCCACCCTCGCAGCCATCTGAGGGCACGCAAGAGCATTAATCTCTGCTTTCTCGATTTTGGTCCACACTTGCCTGCGCACCAGACACGGTGGCCGATTTCTCCACCGTGGAGGCTGCTCTTGGGGTTCCCCTTACCTCGCGCCTCAAGGAAGTTGTATGGTGGTGGGTCAGAACTGATTTTCCTTCTTGTAAAATTTAAGAGCTCCAGTCCCAGCCAAAGTCGTTCAGATAGCATGATAGTCAGGGCATGGTGAGCGTCAGAGAGACTTTGGGCCACCATTCGGGCGTCCTCAGGGGCTTCACATCATTGCAGGCCCGGCCTCATAGGAATCCTTTGGTTGCAAAGCACTTTCATGTCCCTTCTTTTGCGGTCCGTGCGTACAGCCAAGAGGAGACTTCGGGCTAGGGAGTCCACAGCGCTCCCGGCTGCTCTTGCGGGTGAACGTGGGTGCGGGAGGAACCTGGTAGATAATGGACGCTTAGGAAAGCTGGAATGGCCGCCATCTAGACGAGAAGGGCAACACTGGGTCAGCTGCTCGTCGTGGCGTCCCGGTAGCTCGCCGTGATCGTATAGTGGTTAGTACTCTGCGTTGTGGCCGCAGCAACCTCGGTTCGAATCCGAGTCACGGCATTGTGGAAACAATGGTACGGCAAGGGCCTCTTTTTAGACTTAGAAAGCCACACATTCTTCTGGGAAGCTAACTCTAAAAGCTGTTACCTGGCCAGGGCTGAAATTATAACGGACAATGAAGTGTGCACAAAAAGTTCGGTGCACACTCTGGGGCTTTCCTTTCTCATCTGCTAGTGAATCAGTCACCCCCACCTTCCCCAATATGTGATTATTTTATTTTTGTGTAGTTTCTGTGTGGTACTCTTTATTTTACCCTTGTGAATGACCGAATCATATATTGGATCCTCTAAAAACCTTCACACTAGCTAAAACATCAATACTTTGGGACAAAGGGGTGATAGGAACAATGTGCAAACATTAATTAAGGGTTAGAAGAATGCAGATTAGACCATACGCTGAACCGTTTTGCTTCAGATCCCGTGACAAGTGAAATATATGACTGCACTAGAGGTGCTGGTTCCAGTAGCCACTATGAGGGGTGCTAATGAGAGGTTTGTGGCCTTCATCTCCACAGTCTCCTAGGTGAGAGGGGGTTTTCTCCTGGAGGGTTTTCCCCTAATCTACCTCAAGTTTAAGCACATTTTGTTTGCTTGTTTTATGTGGACCTAAAAAACCCAAACTCAACAAATTCAAGTCTGTCATTTGGCATTAGGCAAAATGGAAGTGAGTTTTGGATTTGACTTTCAGGCAGCTGGTGGTGGCTATGTCACTCTCAAGGAGGGAATGAGAGGGCACTGAGGAATGAGCCTCTCCAGCTCCTCTCAGGTGTCCTGAGGGTGGCAAGGCAAGCCCGAGATCATTCCTGGGAGAGACAGACATTGCAATGGGGTTGCGCCCCCTCTACCCACAATCAATCAGTAAAGAATGAACAGCACTTAAAAGCTAGGCACTGGCTTCATGCCTGTAATCCCAGCACTCTGGGAGGCCGAGGTGGGCGGATCTCTTGAGCTCAGGAGCTCCAGACCAGCCTGGGCAACATGGCGAAACCCTGTCTGTACCCAAAATACAAAAATTAGGGCATGGTGGCGTGTGCCTGTAGTCCCGGCTACCTGGGAGGCTAAGGTGGAAGGATTGCTTGAACCCGAGAGGCAGAGGTTGCAGTGAGCTGAGATCACACCACTGCATTCCAGCCTGGGCGACAGAGCAAGACCCTGTCTCAAAAAAAAAAAAAAAAAAAAAAAAAAAAAAGCAAGGCACTGCGTGGGGGCTGTAATCTCCCCAGGTCTCCAGTCTCCCAGTTCTCTACATTTGGCGAGTTTAAACCACACAACAGGACAGCTCACACCTCGAGAGTGTTCTGCGCAAAATAGAATGGGGAAAGGTGAGCCTGAGAACTTGCCAAGCTTTGGATGACTGATTCAAACGTTATATGTCTAGAAAATCAACATCGCCAACAACAAAAAAAGAACTGGCCAACAGGAATGTGGTGACTTATATTCCTCCAACCCCTCACCAAATAACTGCTGTGACGGATTTCAATCTGTGGGCTGGAATAAGGTGTCAGGGTGGGATGCCAGGAAAGGCTCTGGCTTTTCCCCTGAAGACCAGCCCCCACTGCCCTGCTGCAGGTGCTTCAGTAGGCAATGAGCTGCTCCCACACCCTGAGGAGAAAGTTAGGAGTAGCCACTCTCTAAGAGTACTACAAGGAAAAAGTGTCAACCAAGAGGCTGGGCATGGTGGTTCATGCCTGTAATCCCAGCATTTTGGGAGGCTGAGGTGGGAGGATTGCTTGAGCTCCGGGGTTTGAGACCAGCCTAGACAACATGGTGAGAAGCTCTCTCTATAAAAAATACAAAAATTAGCCAGGTGTGGCGGTGTGTACCTGTAGTCCCAGCTATTCAGGAGGCTGAAGTGGGAGAATTGCTTGAGCCTGGGAGGGGGAGATTGCAGTGAGCCGTGATCATGCCACTGAACTCCAGCCTGGGCAACAGAACAAGACCCTGTCTCAAAAAAAAAAAAAAGCGTCAACCAATAAAACAAAAATCACAAACATTCACCATCTGAGATAACCCACTAGCCATCCATGTCTGAGGTCAGGAATGCTAAAGAAAGCTGAACTGAAAGTGTTGTATTGTGACCTAGTTGCAGGAAGAGTGACACGAGGGGAGGGCTGCCTTTTTGGCAGCTACACGGTAGTCCATGAGATGGGCGCATCCAGCTCTCAACATTTCATAACATCCTCTTCTGAGGTCACTCAGTCAATTTTCCTTACAAAACAGACTTTGATAATGATTTGCCCATTAGACTTCCCTACAGGAAAAAGCATGCTTTGAACAAGCTTATTGGCACTGTTCTCCTAACTGTGGGTGTTTTGGTTTAGACTCATAAGAGTCTGGTTAGCATAATTCATTTCCCTTGTGCCTACTTATCTCTAGGTACACTGACAAAATGGAATGTCAGGGCTGGCAAAGCCCTGCTCCTGGAGACCCTGGCCTGGAATGACCTCATCAAGACCCCGCTGCCCTGGGACACCCTCTCTGAGCAATCAGTCAGCACCCCCTTCCTGTTGGTCCCTTGCTTTTAAAATTGTTTTATGATTTCTGATTCTGGGAATGTAATATTTCCTCCTATCACTTCCAGCTTGAGGTTGGAACTCTTCTCTAGGTCTCAGTGCCAGGAAAGAGGTAGGGTGCTTATACTTAAGAGCACCCTGTTCACACATTCCAGCTCCAGTTGTTCCCATCTTGGTTGGATTTGTTAATTTCTGCAGGTTTCCAACCTCTAAGTCACTTTGAATTTTTTTCCCTTCCATCTGATAGACCCTGAGGTACAGTAGTTGATAGTACTAGACTAGTCCTAACTCTAATTAAGGGGTAGCATAAGTTGGGGATGGTGGCTCACGCCTGTAATCCCAGCACTTTGGGAGACTAAGGTGGGAGGATTGCTTGAGCCCAGGAGTTCAAGACCAGACTAGACAGTATAATGAGACCTCGTCTCTGTTGGGGGAGCTAGCATAGCTTAGTAATGAAGCCTCTGACACCTGAAAGTAGGCTGTTTAAGATTTGAATCTCAACTCATCCATTTACTAACTAGGTGACCCTGGGGAAGCAACATGTCTCCATGCCTCAGTTTTCTCACCTGTAAAATGATTGTAGAATGACTTCTCATCTGTAAAAGGATTGTTATGAAGATTAAATGAATGAATATTTGTAAAGCAATAGTGCCTGGCACTTACAAAGCCCTACTGAAGTTTTACTTAAATAATATAGTAGATGGGAATATAACATAATGAAATCAACTCCTTAAAAATGAACACCCTGGAACATAAACATCCAAATGAGTATTGTGTTTCAAATCAGGCATTCCACTTTCTCCAAACAGCTGCCCAAAATATTTTTGGAATTCTTATTTGGAGATTATTTTCAGGGCTAATTTATAAGCCATATGAGTACATCCACCTCAATATTTATAATCACATTCTATTTTGAAATAACTTTTGACTGCTTTTAAAGCTACCTTCAAAGAGAAAAATGTCACCACTGAGTCTTTTAAGGCACAAAAATTTCAATGACAATGCCAGAAATGTTTTATAAATAACATTCCAGCAAAAGAAAAACAATTTTTTTTTTTTGGTAGGAGTGTGTAGACTTCAAAGGGCAAACCTTGAAAGGGACAACAGTAATTTATAAGCTTCAGATTGTCTGCTTAAACCATCAACCCCACAGCTTCCTGGTTATACTCCCTGGTTATACCTCGTATATCTGGGAGCTGCCAACCCCCACAGGGGCGCAGTGTTGAGCAGCTGCCACTGGACCAGCAGGCTCTGGTCCTGGAAGGCTTGTCCAAAATTCAGAATCTTGATCCACAACTCAGAATTACCCAGTGAAAATCTTCGGTTTTCCACAAGGTCCTCTCCAAGTGATTCATCTGCACAGGAAAGTTTGAGAAGTGCTGCTCTAGCCTAAAGCTCTAATGGAATCCTTCATTGTTCATCTTGTGAGTACTTGGGTTACTAGAAGGGACCTGCCTGAATCTACTGAGCCTCATCAATGGGGATGTCATTGAGGTTTTCACAGTGAGGAGATGGTGATCTGGGAGGGAGTCATCAAAGGGCCCATGTTTAGGGCCGTCTAGGGAGGAGGCAGCACATCTGGATTTCCACTAGAAGGCGCTGTGCCCCAGGAAGTAGTAGTGAAAAGCTGAGGCTGGAAAAGACTCATTTAATTTGCAACATACCACTTCTGACTTAACTGAGCCTGTTCCACAGGGATTCTCTGGGTAATGAGGACTCAGATTTCATCCATCTACTTATCTATCCATTCATCCATCCATCCATCCATCCATCCATCCATCCATCCATCCACTCATTCATTCATTCATTCATTCTTCATTCTTCCCATAAACTAGCATCTCTTAGTTCTTAAGTCATTGGGGGCTGCAAAGCTGTATAAGATACTTCTTGCCTAGAGTAGTTTATTTTTGAGCTGAGTTTGTCAACTGAGATTTGCCCCTCATCCAAAGTCAAGTGACCAGCATAGACTGTTCAATATGCTGTAGTCGGTCTCTTGTTTCTAGGTACTTCTCTCCATATCCACAAAAAGAAACTGTAGGGAAAGATGGTGCAGGACTTTATTCCTGGCATGAGACCTGAAACTAATTCCTGAGTCAGGAAGAATGCAGGAGCTGCCTTGCAGAAGCAAAGGTCTAAATCAGTGGTTTCCAAACTTTTTAGAACTGATAAACTAGGACAAACTTTTCACCACTGAATGAAAAAATGAGGTCAATGTGGTAAGCTTTTAAAATGCTAAATGCATTTAATCCAAAGGACTGTCCTCTAGGCTGAGACAATGACCTTTTTATTTTTGAGGTATTAAAGTGACTTTTATAAAACTATGGAGAAAGTAGGTGATAGGTGTTTTTTTGTTTGTTTTTGTTTTTGTTTGTTTGTTTTTTAGACGGAGTCTTGCTCTTGGCTCACTGCAACCTCTGCCTCCCAGGTTCAAGCGATTCTCCTGCCTCAGCCTCCTGAGTAGCTGGGATTACAGGCATGTGCCGCCACACCCAGCTCATTTTTGTATTTTTAGTAGGGACGGGGTTTCACCTTGTTGGCCAGGTTAGTCTTGAACTCCTGACCTCAGGTAATCCACCTGCCTCGGCCTCCCAAAGTGTTGAGATTACAGGCATGAGCCACTGTACCCAGCCAGTGATAGGTTTTAAAAAACATCTTTTCTTGGAAACGTTTTAAATTGGCAATGTTGGTCTCCAAAATTAGTTTTGAGTTACTGGTCAGAAAAATCTGCAAATACAAAGCTCACTACAGAGTTCAGAGAGCCAAAGCATCAGGCTGAGCAGAAATGGTCCTGGGTGAGTAGGGGGTCTGAGGAGGCATGCTCAGAGGGAGATGTGTTCCTGTTCTGTTGGGCAATGGTCCATGCTGACACCTATCCTCCTGCCCAATAACCAGTAGTGCCTAGTATGATCTGTGCTAGGCCTTGGAGATATGAATTAAATAAGACCCATTCTTACTCTGAGATCATTTTAGTTCGGGGTTAATCAGATGAGTGAAGAACTAATTAGAACTATGCCAGACATATATACAAAGTGTGTTGGAGCTTAGATCGTTGATTCTACCAGGATACAACATTTGATCTGAGTTCCAAGGCATGCATAGTACTTTTCCTGGAAAAGAAAGGGAAAGGATATTCTACTTGGGAGGCTGAGGCAGGAGAATCACTTAAGGCTGAGAGGCGGAGGTTGTAGTGAGCCGAGATTGCTCCACTGCACTCCAGCCTGGGTGAGAGAATGAGACTCTGTCTCAAAAAAGATAAAAAGGAAAGGGTATTCTAGGCAAAGAGAAAGGCATAAGTAAAAGCAAGGAAGTATGATGCACAGATAGCATAGGAAAAGACAAGTTGTAGCTACAACATTAGATATGGAGGGGAGGGAGGCCGGGGAGGGCGGATCACTTGAGGCCAGGAGTTCGAGACTAGCCTGGCCAACATGGTGAAACCCCATCTCTACTAAAAATACAAAAATTAGATGGGTGCAATGGCACATGCCTGTAATTCCCCCTAAAACAAACAAACAAAGAAACAACAAAGATATGGAGGAGAGAGTGGAGGGTGAGAGGCTGGAGCCAAATTTTGATGAATCTCTTACTTGAGTCAGGCCTTTTTCCTGGAGGCTGGTGTTTCTTCACATTTTGTGGTAACATTGCTTTGGGGATCCATTGACAGCCACAGCCTTGTTCTCCAAAGTAATACACCTATGATAAAATATCAGGAATTCACAAATTTCCTGAAGGCTGTCCATAGGCTTTGTGTCAGGCATTGAGGGGAGAGGGGCATTTAAGTTCCCATTTTTAAGCAGAAGAGAGACATAGTCATATCTGTGTTTTAGAAAGGTTAGGTGTAAATGGATAATTATATCCTGATAAAAGTCTTCATTCAGGAGAGACAGAAGAGAATTTCTGCTCCCTGGACTAGTAGTTGATGTTGGAGCTCGGGGACTAATACTCATCTAGGGATGAACGAGGGACTCTTCCCTCAAATCACACCTATAGATGTTTTCTCTTTAGCATGGAGGTAGAGGGGATGAACATGTTGGATAAAAAAAAATGGATATGAGGCTTGAGTGTGTCATCCAGAAGATCACCAAGATGGCTAGATGGTAGAAAGGAGAGCTATATTGGTGATATCAGTTTGCAGCTGGGAAGAGAAAGTCTCCAACGTGGACCAATGGTGCTCTTTCTTCTTCTTCTTCTTTTTTTTTTTTTTTTTTTTTGAGACAGTATTTCATTCTGTCACCCAGGCTGGAGTGCAGTGGTGTGATCATAGCTCACTGCAGCCTTGAATTCCTGGTCTCAAGCCATCCTCCCATCACAGCCTCCCAAGTAGCTGGGACCACATGCACACACCACCACACTCAACTAATTTTTGTATTTTTTGTAGAGACAGGGTTTCACCATGTTGCCCAGTCTGGTCTTGAACTCCTGTGCTCAAGTGATCCACCCACCTCGGCCTCCCAGTGGGCTGGGATTACAGGTGTGAGCCACCTCACCTGGCCTGCTCTTTCTTCAAGGAGGGGAAGGACACGTTGGGTTTTATGCTTCACAGAGCTTGTGTCATACACATTCAGCAGATTTGGGGAAAAGCTATACATATTTATGAGGGAACTCTATGTATGGGCAATGGGTAAACATGTATGTAACATACATGCCACGTTCACTTTGGGGTAGGATTTTGGCATTGAAATGAGGTGGAATTGGCTCCACATCAAAAGATGAACTATAGGACACCAAGGCAATTTGTGCACAGCCTCTATAAGCTGTCTGAAACTGGCTTAAGGTCTGCAATAGCTTCTGAGAAAAGAATATTTGTAAGGCTGGTCCTCTGTCTAATCAGACTTGGGGTCTGGGTTGTAAATCAGAGCTCATAGCTCCTATTATTAGAGACCTTAGCCATAGGAATTTAGCAATTTGCTATGCCAGCCGGCACCTTGGACCCATAGGTAAGTTACTTTCCTTAAGCTTTGAGTCTGTCTTACTTGATAATGGTGCATCCATTTTGGTCTCTCAGATCAAAAGAGGAAGATCTAATATCAAGTGTATAATGTTTTCTAGAGTCAGGGTAGCCAAAACAGCATGAAAAGAGACGTATCCATGTTATACTGATATTGTTAGCATTGAGCATTTGACATGATGGTACAATGTGCAAATTTCAAATGTAATTTTAAGTTAAAAGGGAAAGATACATACAAAAATTGCAACAATCTGACTTGAATTTCTTTTATTTCCAAACTTTCTTCTAAATTTCAGTCATACTGGCCACGGTGTTTCATGCCTGTAATCCCAGCTGAGGCGGGTGGATCATAAGGTCAGGAGATCGAGACCATCCTGGCTAATGTGGTGAAACCCCATCTCTACTAAAAATACAAAAAAATTAGCCAGGCGTGGTGGCGGGCGCCTGTAGTCCCAGCTACTCGGGAGGCTGAGGCAGTAGAATGGTGTGAACCCGGGAGGCGGAGCTTGCAGTGAGCCGAGATCGTGCCACTGCACTCCAGCCTGGGTGACAGAGTGAGACTCTGTCTCAAAAAAAAAACCAAAAAACAAACAAACAAACCCCAAAAATTAGCCAGGTGTGGTGGTGCGCACCTGTAATCCCAGCTACTCGGGAAGCTGAGGCAGGAGAATCACTTGAACCCAGGGGGTGGAGGTTGCAGTGAGCCGAGATTGCACCATTGCACTCCAGCCTGGGCTACAGAGCGAGACTCCATATCAAAAATAAAAAAATTTCAAAAAGTCAAACTATTTCTGTGTCATGACTACTCTGGTTCACTGGCCTCGTCCTGAGTCTAGATAAAATATTTTTAACCATATAATCAAAGCTGCAAATAACTTCTTTTTCTTCAATTCTCTTTGGCCAAATGCTTCAAGAAAACTCAGGTGATTCACAAGTTCATATGTTCACAAATTCTCTGATACTCCTCCCTTCAAGAAGTAGAGCTTAGCCAGGCTTGATGGCACAAGCCTATAGTCCAGCCACTTGGAAGGCTGAAGTGGGAGGATCACCTGAGCCCAGGAGTTTGAAGCTACAGTGCACTATGATTGTGGCTATGAATAGCCACTGCACTCCAGCCTGGACAACATAGCTAGACCCCATCTCTAAAAAAATTTTTTTAAAAAGAAGTAGAGGCCGTGCACGGTGGCTCACACCTGTAATCCCAGCACTTTGGGAGGCCGAGGCAGTCGGGTCACCAGAGGTCAGGAGTTCAAGACAAGCCTGGCCACCATGGTGAAACTCTGTCTCCACTAAAAATACAAAAATTAGCTGGGCTTGGTGGTGAGCACCTGTAATCCTAGCTACTCCAGAGGCTGAGGCAGGAGAATTGCTTGAACCCAGGAGGCAGAGGTTGCAGTGAGCTGAGATCACGCCATTGCTTTCCAGCCTGGGCGATAAGAGCGAGACTCCAGTCTCAAAGTAAAATAAAAAAGAAGTAGAGCTTAATTTCTCTTCCTGAAGTGAAGGTGGGCTGAATGAATTATTCTTTGAATGAATAGAATAATTTGGAAGTTATGGTGTGTCACATCTGACAGGTCTGATAGGACATTATAAATGGCATTGTAGCTTCTTCTTTGTTCTCTCTTGGATCACTAGCTCTGAAGGAAGCCAGCTGCAAGGTCACGAGGAGACTCAAGTGACCTCACGGGGTTGAGATCCATGTGGTGAGAAACTGAGCCCTCCTGCCAATGGTCATCAAGGAAATGAGATATTTGGCCAATAGTTATGTGAGCAAGCCATCTTTGAAGCAGATTGTCTGGCCTCAAATCAAACCTTCAGGTGACTGTGGCCTTAGCCAACATCTTGACAACGACCTCATGGGAGACCCTGAACAAGAATCACTCAGCTAAGTCACTTCCAAATTCCTGAGTTAAATTGTGAGATAATCATGGCCAGGTGTGGTGGCTCATGCCTGTAATCCCAGCACTTTGGGAGGCCCAGGTGGGCGGATCACTTGAGATCAGGAGTTCGAGACCAGCTTGACCAACATGGCGAAACCCCGTCTCTACTAAAAATACAAAAAAAATTAGCCAGGTGTCATGGCGTATGCCTGTAATCCCAGCTACTTAGGAGGCTGAGGCAGGAGAATCGCTTGAACCAAGAAGTGGAGGTTGTGGTGAGCCGAGATCACACCACTGCACTCCAGCTTGGGTAACAGAGCAAGACTCCGTTTTGGAAAAAAAAAAAAAAAGGAATTGTGAGATAATTAGCTGGGCACGGTGGCTTACGACTGTAATCCCAGCACTTTGGGAGGCTGAGGCGAGGTGAGTGGATCACTTCAGGTCAGGAGTTCAAGACCAGCCTGGCCAACATGGTGAAACCCTGTCTCTACAAAAATACAAAAAAATTTAGCTGGGTGTTGTGGTCCATGCCTGTAGTCCCAGCTACTCAGGAGGCTGAGGCAGGAGAATTGCTTGAACCCGGGAATTGGAGGTTGCAGTGAGCTGAGATCGCACCACTGCACTCCAGCCTGGGTGACAGAGCAAAACTCTGTCTAAAAAAAAAAAAAAAATTGTGAGATAATCAATGTCTGCTTTTAAAGCTGCTAAGTTTTCAGGTAATTTGTTACACTGTGATAAGTAACTAATACAGATTTTGTTACCTAGAAGTGGGGGCACTGCCATAACAAAACCCTAAAATGTGAAAGTGGCTTTGGAATTGGGCAGCCTTGGAGGAAAGTGTTAGTGAAAAGTCTGAATACCTTGAAGAAGCCTCAGGGCCCTTGAGGAGGTTGTAAGTGAGAGCATAAAGAGGAAAGTGAGGAAAATCTTGTTGTCAATTGGAGGAAAGGGGTCATTATTATATAGCAGCAAAAAGTTTAGCAACACTGTTACCTGGGGTAATGTAGAAAGTAAAAATATACCAGATGAACCACATGATCTAGCAAAAAGCTTTCCAGGAAACCTGTTGAAAGCATCTCCTGGTTTCTTCTTATTGTTCATAGGAAAATGCAAGAGGAGATAGATAAGCCAAGAACTATTAAACATGAAGGACACGAAGGAACCAGAATTTGAGGGTTTTGAAAATTTTCAGCCTCTCTAACTGGCTAAATGTAAAAGATAGATTAGGTTTTGGGGGTTTTGTTTTTGTTTTTGTTTTTTTAGAGACAGGGTGTCGCTCTGAGGTCCAGGCTGGAGTGCAGTGGAATGATCATAGCTCACTGTAGCCTCAAACTCCTGGGCTGAAGCAATCCTCCTGCCTTGGCTTCCTGAAGCTCTGGGGTTATAGGCATGAGCCATCATGCCTGGCCAAGAAGTGAATTCTGAGCAAAGATCAAATCTAGGGCACTACTGGGAAAACATGGTCTAAAGACAAAGTAAAATTCTTTGTCATAATGATCCAAGGTACAGCCTCAGAGTACCATTCAGTAAGACAAATGGCCCTCTAAAGATTTTAAGGGTATGCTTTATAGATACTCTCCTTTAAACAGTGGGGCTTTTCAAAAGCTAAACAGCATTGCACCTCAGCAGATGCCCAATATTGAGAAGGGCTTATTGCAAAAAGGTTTATGGCTGCGATCTCAGACTTACGGAATGAACCACAGTAAGATTCACAGAAGACCCACAACATTTAAGAATCATATTGGCAGAAACAGCTTGGAATGAAAGGGACAAAGATAGTACATGAATGAAGAGACTTTTGAATTCCCAAAATTTCACCTGCTGTAATCAGACTGAGAAAACTCTACAGCTGAAAAACATGAGTTATCTCTCATGGAAAAGGAAGGATGACTTAGCAGAACCAAGAGCTCCAAGGTAGGGGCCAAAAGTCATGGGATGAATCCCATTCATTCAGTAGGAATGAATCCTAATAAAAGAATCTCCAAACTTTGCCTAGCTGGGTCTCAGAACCACTATGGACCAGTCCTATTTTTCCCCTTTTTGCACAGGACTGTTTACAGTGTTTATCGTATGCCCATCCCACCACTGTGTGGTGTGTGTGGGTGTGTGGGTGTGTATGTTGGGGAAGATAATTTATCTCCAGTTCACAGGTGTTCAGATTGCAAGAAGCTGTCTTTAAGGAAATACACCTGAAAAGCATTGTCTGCACCTGGACCTGATTTATATACTGTGACTCTGGATTTTGAACTGATACTGAAATAAGAAGAGACTTTTGGGGCCCTTAGGAAAGGGGTGAATATATTTTGTGTAGGGAATTGCAAATAAGTGATTTGTGGCCTGATGGTGGCTTAAAAATATATCCACAAATTCCTTGATACTCTTCCAAGTATCTTCTTCAAGATGTAGAGCTTAATTTCTCCCCATTAGAGAGAAATTTGGATTTAGTGACCTTTCTAACAAATAGAATATGGCAGATGTGACAGTGTGTCACTTTCCAAGTGAGGTCATACAAAGCATTGCACCTTTCTTCTTGCTGTCTCTGTTGGGTCATTAAAGCCAGATGCCATGATGTGAGGACACTCAAGCAGCCCCATGGAGAGAGCTGAGGCTTTTTGGCAACAAATGTCTGAGTTTGATAACTTTCATTTAAGCCTATGACTTTTTTTTTTTTTGAGACGGCGTTTCGCTCTTGTTGCTCATGCTGGAGTGCAATGGCGTGATCTCGGCTCACTGCAACTTCCACCTCCCAGGTTCAAGCGATTCTCCTGCTTCAGCCTCCCAAGTAGCTGGGATTACAGGCATGTGCCACCACGCCTAGCTAATTTTGTATTTTTAGTAGAGAAGGGGTTTCTCCATGTTAGTCAGGCTGATCTTGAACTCTCAACCTCAGGTGATCCACCCACCTCAGCTTCCCAAAGTGCTGGGATTACAGGCATAAGCCACCATGCCCGACCCTCCTATGATGCATTTTGAGTTAATTTTTGTATATTCTGTAAGTTAAGAGGTAAGTTTTTTTCTTTTAGTTTTTAAAAAATACACTGCTATTCAATTGTTCAAGCACTCTTTGTTGAAAAGATTATTCATTCCCCATTTTATTGTCTTGGGACCTTTGTCAAATATCAATTGATGGCTGGGTGCGGTGGCTCACACCTGTAATCTCAGCACTTTGGGAGGCTGAGGCGAAAAGAGGCTGAGGTGAAAAGAGGCCGAGGCGAAAGGATCCTTTGATCTCAGGAGTTTGAGACCAGCCTGGGCAACATGGTGAAACCCTGTCTGTACCAAAAGTACAAAAAATTAGTGGGGCATGGTGGTGGGTACCTGCGTCCCAGCTACTCAGGAGGCTGAGGTGGGAGGTTCGCTTGAGCCGGGGAGGTGGAGTTTGCAGTGAGCCGAGATCACCCCACTGTACTCTGCCCTGGGTGACAGAGTGAGACCCCATCTTAAAAAAATAAAAATAAAAAATAAAAAAAATCAATTGACTATGTATGTGTGAGTCTATTTCTGGACTCTCTTTTTGTTCCATTGATCTAAATGTTTATTTTTAAGCCAAAACAACATTGTCTTAGTTTCTGTAGATTTATATTGGTAATCAAATTAGGTAGTATTATTTCTCCAACTTTATTTTTTATTTTAAAAATTATTTGGCCTTTTAAAAAATCTCCACACACATTTTAGAATCAGCTTGTCTATTTTTACAAGAAAACTTGCTGAGATTTTGATTGGAATGGCATTGCATGACTAAATCAATGAGTGGAGGAATTGACATGCAACAATATTGAGTCTGGCAATCCATGCAAATAGCACATCTTTCTATTTACTTGAATCTTCTTTAATTTGACATCTTTTTCCAAATTTATCCCTAAGTGTTCAATATTTTTATGCTACTATAAATGGCGTTTTAGATAATTTCCAGATATCTTTCGTTCTTGATTTCTAAATTAATTCTGTTGCTATTAGAGAACATTGTATAATCTCAATCTTTTATCCAGACTTGTTTTATGACTCAGAATACAGGTTATCTTGGGAAATGTTCTGAGGGGACTTGAAAAACATATGTATTCTGCTGTTGTTGGATGAAATGTCTATAAATGTCAATTAGGTCAAGATGTTTTATAGTGTTATTCAAGTTTTCTAAATCCTGACTGATTTTCTTTCTAGTTGATCTATCAATGATTGAGATGTTGACAAATCTAATTGTGGTGGTTTTGTCTATCTCTCAACTTTGTCAGTTTTTGCTTCCATGTATTTTGGAGCTCTGATGTTAGATGTATACAATTTAAAACTGTCGCATTATCTAATGAATTGACGTTATTATTACTATTTTATTATTATTCTTTCCCTTCACATGTACAGTTTGTTCGTAGGAAGCCTACAAGTTTTGGTACCTCTCGTCACAATGATCCCAGATTCCTGTTGGGTGTGTTGTAAACAGAGGAGCCATTCCTCAGGCCCCCTGCTCTGAGCACATCCCGGACCTCTTTACTATTAAGAAATTATCGAGGCCAGGCGCGGTGGCTCACGCCTGTAATCCCAGCACTTCAGGAGGCCGAGGCGGGCGGATCATGAGGTCAGGAGATCGAGACCATCCTGGCCCACATGGTAAAACCCCGTCTCTACTACAAAAAAAAATTACCTGGGTGTAGTGGCGAGCGCCTGTAGTCCCAGCTACTTGGGAGGCTGAGGCAGGAGAATCGCTTGAACCTGGGAGGTGGAGGCAGAGGTTGCAGTGAGCCGCGATCGCGCCACTGCACTCCAGCCTGGTGACAGGGCGAGACACCGTCTCAGAAAAGAAAAAAGAAATTATCGAGTTGTGCTGGCGAGACACCGTCTCAAAAAGGAAAACAGAAATTATCGAGTTGTGTTTGCAGCCGCCGTCGCTGCCGCGCCGCCGTCGCTCTCCAACGCCAGCGCCGCCTCTCCCGCCTCTTCCTCGCCGAGCTCCAGTCGAAGGAGAAGGGAGTAAGTAAGGAAGTCTCTATACCTTGGCTCGTACAAAGCCAAGTGCCCGCAAACTGGACGGTGGTAAAGCACCAGGAAGCAACTGGCTACAAAAGCCGCTCGCAAGACTGCGCCCTCTACTGGAGGGGTGAAGAAACCTCATCGTAATAGGCCTGGTACTGTGGCACTCCGTGAAATTAGGCGTTATCAGAAGTCCACTGAACTAATTCGCAAACTCCCCTTCCGGCGTCTGGTGAGAGAAATTGCTCAGGACTTTAAAACAGATTTGTGCTTCCAGAGCTATCGGTGCTTTGCAGGAGTCAAGTAAGGCCTATCTTGTTGGCCTTTTTGAAAACACCAACCTGTGTGCTATCCATGCCAAGCATGTAACAGTTATGCCAAAAGATATCCAGCTAGCACTCCGCACACGTGGAGAACGTGCTTAAGAATCCACTATGATGGGAAACATTTCATTCTCAAAAAAAAAAATTATCTTATTCCTGTTATTGGTAGTTCTGAACATTAGATTTTTTTTCCCCCATGGGGTCAAAAGGTACCTAAGTATATGATTACGAGTGCAAAAATAGGGGACAGAAATCAGGTATTGGCAGTTTTTCCATTTTCGTTTGTGTGTGAATTTTTAATATAAATGCAGGGAGGTAAAGCATTAATGCAAGTTAAAATGTTTCCGTGAACAAGTTTCAGCGGTTCAACTTTATAATAATTATAAATAAACCTGTTAAATTTTTCTGGACAATGCCAGCATTTGGATTTTTTTTTAAACAAGTAAATTTCTTATTGACAGCAACTAAATAGTGTTGGTAGCATTTTTATCATATAGTAGATTCTATCCATTCACTATATTTTTCTGAGTTGTCCTACATGCAAGCACATGTGTTTAATGTTGTCTGTCTTCCGTGCTGTTCCTGTAAGTTTGCTATTAAAATACATTAAATTATAAAAAAAGAAATTATCATTTTTATCCCTGGAAATATTTCTTGCTCTGAAATCTACTTTGTTTGATAGTCTTTTTTTCTTTTTTTTGCGGTGGGGGAGCGAAGTCTCACTATTGTCCCCCAGGCTGGAGTGCGATGGCACGATCTCGGCTCACTGCAACCTCCACCTCCCAGGTTCAAGCGATTCTCCTGCCTCGGCCACCTGAGTAGCTGGTGTGCATGCACCTGTGGTGGTGCATACCACCACACCTGGCTAATTTTTTTATTTTTAGTAGAGACGGGGTTTCACCATGTTGGCCAGGCTGGTCTAGAACTCCTGACCTCAGGTGATCTACTTGTCTCAGCCTCCCAAAGTGCTGGGATTACAGGGGTGAGCCACTGCACCCGGCATTTTTTTTAAGACAAGGTCTCGCTTTGTCACCCAGGCTGAAGTGCAATGATGCGATCTTGGCCTATTATAGCCTTGACTTCCTGGGCTCGAGCGATCCTCCCACCTCAGCCTCCCAAGTAGCTGGGACTATAGGCACATCCTAATTTTTGTATTTTTTGTAAAGACGAGGTCTTGCTATGTTGCCCAGGCTGGTCTTGAACTCCTGAGCTCAAGCGATCTACCTGCCTCAGGCTCCCAAAGTGCTGGGATTACCAGTGTGGGCCACTGTGCCTAGTCTGCTTGATATTTTTATAGCCATTCCAGCTTTCTTTTGATTAGTGTTTTTATGGCATGTATTTTTCCGTCCTTTTTCTTTATCTGTACTTTTTTTTTTTTTTTTTTTTTTTTGAGACAGGGTCTCGGTCTGTCACCCAGGCTGGAGTGAAGTGGCTCCATCATGGCTCACTACAGCCTCAATCTCCTGGGCTCAAGTGATCCTCCCATCTCAGCCTCCTGAGTGGCTGCAACTACAAGTAGGCACCACCATGCCCAGCTAATTTTTGTAGTTTTCGTGGAGAAGGGGTCCCAGTGTGTCTTGACCTCCTGGGCTCAAGCGATCCGCCTGCCTTGGCCTCTTAAAAGTGCTGAGATTACAGACATGAGCCACCACACCCGGCCTTGCCTTTGTTTTTGAAAAATATTTCTCCTGTAAATAGAATTCCAGGCTGGGCATGGTGGCTCACGTCTGTAATCCCAGCACTTTGGGAGGCCGAGGTGGGTGGATCACGAGGTCAGGAGTTTGAGACCTGCCTGGCCAACATGGCAAAACCCCGTCTCTACTAAAAATACAAAAATTAGCTGGGCGTGGTGACACGTGGCTGTAATTCCAGCTACTCGAGAGGCTGAGGCAGGAGAATCACTTAAACTCGGGAGGTGGGGGTTGCAGTGAGCTGAGATCGCACCACTGCACTCTAGCCTGGGTGACAAGAGCAAAACTCTGTCACTCACACACACACACACACACACTCACACACTAGAATTCCAGGTTGATAGGTTTTCCTTTCAATACTTTAAAAGATGTTGCTCTGCTGTCTTCTGCTTGCATTGTTTCTGATGAGAAGTCTGCTGTAGTTACCTTTTTTCCTCTGGCTGTTTTGAACATTTTCTTTTTAATCACTTATTTCCTGCAGTTTGATTATGATTGCCTTTCTGTGTGTTTTCATTATGTTTATTCTGCTTGAGGTTAGCTGAGTTTTGTTTGTTTTTGATACGAGTTCTGGCTTTGTCACCCAGTCTGGAGTGCAGTGGTGCTCGCTGCAGCCTCAACCTCCTGGGCTCATGTGATCCTCCTGCCTCAGCCCCCTAACTCCCCAGTAGCTGGGACTACAGGCGCTTGACACCACACCCAGCTAATTTTTGTGTATATATAAATTTTGTGTATACATATATATATTTGTGTGTGTGTGTGTGTGTATATATATATATATATATTTTGTGTGTGTGTGTAGAAATGGGGTTTTGCTATGTTGCCCAGGCTATAATTTTTTTTTTAATCATTCAAGGTCTATTTTATCTTTATAATGAAATTAAGTCTATATAGACCAAAGAAAGAAAACAAGGGATGAAATGATAACAATAATTTACATTTTGAGGTGTTTACTTTTTGCCAAGCCTGGTGTTGGGGATTTTACATTCATTACTTCCATTCATGTGCAACAACTGAGTACTCAGCATTGGACCAAGAGCTTTACATCTATCACAAGCTAATCCTCCAAGCACTTATCAGATAGGCATTATATTAAAGATCAGAAAACTGAGGCCCAGGGAAGCTAAACGCAAAGCAGATCTTGCTAAAGCAAGATCATATACCTCCTCTGTGACTTTCTTTGTGTGTGGGGGGGAAATTGTATACTGTTATTTGTTCAAGTAATTTTTTTTTTTTTAGATGAAGTCTTGCTCTGTCATCCAGGCTGGAGTGCAGTGGTGTGATCTTGGCTCACTGCAACCTCAGCCTCCCAGGTTTAAGCGATTCTCCTGCTTCAGCCTCCAGAGTAGCTGGGACTACAGGCTTGCACCACCATGCCCAGCTAATTTTTGTATTTTTAGTAGAGACGGAGTTTTGCCATGTTGGCCAGGGTGGTCTTGAACTCCTGACCTCAGGTGATCCGCCCGCCTCGGCCTCCCAAAGTGCTGGGATTACAGGCATAAGCCACCATGCCCGGCTGTCCTGCAGCTTGTTAAGATTCGTTTTTATTTTTAATTTTTAATTTTTTAAGTTTTAAAATATTTTTTCTTTTAAAAAATAAGAGAAAAGGTCTCACTATGTTGTCCAGGCTGGTCTCAAATTCCTGGGCTCAAGCGATCTGCCCACCTTGGCCTCCCAAAGTGCTGGGATTATAGGCATGAGCCGCTGTGCCCAGCTGGTTGTTGAGGTTTGATTCATTTTCCTTTTTCTCTCTACACTGCGTTTTGGATAGTTTATATTGCTATATCTTCAAGTTCACAGTTAATCCCACCCAGTCTAATTTTTTTATATCGGATATTATATTTTTAATCTCTAGAAGTTCCATTTATATCTTTTTATATTGTGTTTCTCTCATTATGTTTATGTTTTCTTTTACATTTTTTTTTCTTTTTGACACAAGGGCTTACTCTGTTACCCAGGCTGGGAGTAGTGGTGTGTTCAGGGCTCACTACAGCCTCAACCTCCTGGGCTCAACTGATCCTCCCCACTCAGTCTCCCAAGTAGCTGGGACTACAGGCACATGTCACTGTGCCCAGCTAATTTAAAAATTTTTGGTAGAAATGGAGTCTCATTAAGTTGCCCAGGCTAGTCTCAAACTCCTGGGCTCAAGCATTCCTCCCACCTTGACCTCCAAAAGTGCTGAGATTACAGGCATAAGCCACCGTGTCTGGCCGCCTTTTACATTCTTAAGAATATTTATAATATTTATGTTAGCTGTCTTAAGGTTCTTGTCTGCTAATTCCATCTTCTTATAGTTTTGAGATTTATACTGATTGATTTTCCTTTTGATTATGGGTTATATTTTTCTACTTCTTTGCATATTTGGTAATTATTTTCTTGTATGCCAGACTCCATGAGTTTTACATCATTAGGTGTTGATATTGTGGTATTTCTTTAGAGTGTTGACATTATTCTGGCATGTGGTTAAAATTACTTGATGTTGCTGGGCATGGTGGCTCATGCCTGTAATCCCAGCATTTTGGGAGGCTGAGGCAGGTGGATCACGAGGTCAGAAGTTCGAGACCAGCCTGGCCAACATGGTGAAACCCTGTCTCTACTAAAAATACAAAAATTAGCGTGGCATGGTGGTGCACATCTGTAATCTCAGTCACTAGGGAGGCTGAGGCAGGAGACTCGCTTGAACCCGGAGGCAGAGGTTGCAGTGAGCCAAGACATGCCACTGCACTCCAACCGGGGTGACAGAGTGAGACTCTGGTTCAAAAAAAAAAATTACTTGGGGTTAGTTTCAAACTTTCAGGGCTTACTAACCAAAGCATGATCCTTCTGGCTAGTAGTAACACAAACTACTCACAGCCCTGTGTGAGCTCCAGAAATTGTTTAGTTTACTACATTCTGGTGGTCCTTTACCCGGCTTCATGGTGATTCACTGGATGTATACATAAGTTACTTCTCAGCCAAAGACTCAAAAAGATTCCTCTGCAGATTTCTGGTGTTCTCTGTCTTTGTAAACTGGCCAATCCCAGGGCTCACCTCATTTGTTCTCTTTCTCTCAGAGATCATAGTTATATGTTGCCTGTTGTCCAATGTCTGAAAGCCACTGTTTCATATATTTTATCCAGTTTTCTAATTTTCCAGAAAGAGAATTATTGTAAGTTAATTTTTGACAGGTGAAAATGTTAAGTCTGTTGACAGATTTTTCATGACTTCTTCAATTTAATTAACAGTAATAGGATTTGGGGGACTTTCAATTTCTTCTTGAGCCAGATGTAGTAAGTTACTTTCCTAGAAATTGGTCTTTTTCTTCAAGTTTTTAAATGCTGTTGATAGAATTATCTTATTAACTTTTAAACCTCTGTCTTATTTATAGCTGTGCCCCTAGTTTCGTTTGTATCTGCTGAAGTGTATATATCTGTCCACTGCTACAGGGGGGAATATAATAATACTCTGTCTCTCTTCCATTCTCCAAATCCCACAGAAGTACCTCTCATTTATGGCATCTAGCATGGAAAATGGTTAGCAAAAGATACTAAGAAATGCTCTTAGTATCTAACTCTTGGGGGATCACAGAAGAGAGATCCTGCGTTGCTAGTGGATAGTCCGGTGCAGTTCACTGCCTCAGGTGCTCAGCATCCATACATAGCCTTTTACCCACATTTATTTTCAAACAATGAGAATGACAGCATAATGCTTTCACCTCAGTTCTGTGACTATCTCTCATGCAAATGAAGATGCCCTCACTATCTTCCTTGGAAGGGGAGACCCAAAGTCCTACCAGTCATTTCTCTTCTCTTTATGATGGTCCTTCTTTTTCCTTTTCAGTCACAATCTTCCTTTGGTATCCTGTAACCTAAAAACTAAATTATGAGGTTAGCTACCATCAACTCACCCTAAATGAAAGAGTAGAGGACAGAGAAGGGGAAGAAAGTCTATATATTAGTTGTACATATATAAAACAAACCAAGGGAAAAATATGTTTAGCTACTAAAATCTCTTTTTTTTTTTTGAGATGGACTCCTGCTCTTGTCACCCAGACTGGAGTGCAATAGCACAATCTCAGCTCAGCTCACTGCAACCTCTGCCTCCTGGGTTCAAGCAATTCTCCTGCCTCAGCTTCCTGAGTAGCTGGGATTACAGGGGCCTGCCACCACGCCCGGCTGATTTTTGTATTTTTAGTAGAGACGGGGTTTTGCCATGTTGGCCAGGGTGGTCTCGAACTCCTGACCTCGTGATCCGCCTGCCTTGGGCTCCCAAAGTGCTGGGATTATAGGCATGAGCCACTTTGCCTGGCCAAAATCTCATTTCTTAATTGGTGATGAGGCAGTAGTTGGTGTTAATAATTTCCTTCTTCCCCTATCCATTTCACATTCCCTATTCCCTCAGTCAGCCCTTCAACTAATTGGTTTTTATCTTACAGCATGACTTACACCTTCACTCTTAAGTTTGTGAACTATTAATGGTTCTGATTAAACTGTGTTGCTATAGTCTTCCTTTACTTTTTGATATGGGACATTGAAGTATTAATAGGCATCATATCCAGAATGAGTCAAGTCCACTGAGGAATTGCTGCCTCCTTCCTCCATTAGGGGGCCGTGAAATCAACCTGCCATCAGGTGACTGTCTGGTGCTGCTGAGAAAGCGTGCCATACTAGGGACTCATCGTTGACCTTTGCTATAGGTAGATTCAGCAATCACCAATGGGAGTAGCCAGATCAGCCTTGGTGAGAAATCCCTATGGCAGAGCCGATGCATAACTTCTAACCCTGCTACATGGCCACATTATTTATGAGTCCATTGAGCAAGCCCTGGGGTAGCTGGGGAAATAGGTTGAAAGGCATTCAACCTCCTGCCAGTGCTTCCCATTGGCTAAACCCAAGCAGAAGCGAGAGGGCAAGGCAGCCTAGTGACACAGTCCACACAGGTCAGAGCAAGATGGAGAACAAGGGAGAAAGGATCTGGAGAAAGACACAAAAGTTACACAGTGTACTCTCTGTTGTGGTGCCTCAAGTAAGATTTCTGCTCACCAGACCTAGACTTTTTTTCAGTTAGGACTTTGTAGGCGCTCATTGTTTCAATTCTGGGGAGACCATGAGCAATTAGGCAATGACAAGGATGCCTGCAGCTCAAACCATTGATTACCAAACAGGCCTTGTGTCCCATTTCCATAACCATAACCATACTGTCTGGCATTTATATGCTGCCAGTGGCAGAGGCTAAATGCATATAAATGAGATTCCATTATTCCCACTGAGATCAAGGAGCCTAGATTAATGTCTGGCATCTATAGTGTGTGCTCAATAAATACTTGTTTATTGCATAAACACTTTGTGAGGTAGATATTATTATCTGCTTTCTGTGTATTTTGTTGGAGTCAATTGGCTAACCTTTCTGGCTATTTTTTATCAGTTTCCCTCTTCCAGATCTCGGCATGATTCCCTAAAGCTTAATACCACAGTCAAATCTATTACTTCCAAGCTCAGAAAGCTTAGTTGTTGGATGGGCTAAGCCTCGACTCACGGAAACAGCAGCATCTGCAGTGTTCTTCATTGCCTTCATTTCAGAAGTTGTGTTCTTAACAGCAAGGAGTGTGAATGCTTTTTACATCTTTGACGAGATCAGAACTCAGAGCATGTGAAATGGAGGAAGGGAAACACAAGACTGAGGGAGTCCAGAGATTTGGGTTCTAGCCTGGTTCTATCTTTTGTGCATTGTGTTAGTTTCCTAGGGCGGCTGTAACAAATTGCCATAAACATGTAGCTTAAGACAAAAGAAATTTGTTCTCTCATCGTTCTGGAAGCTAGAAGTCTGATATCAAGGTGTTGGTAGAGTCACACTCTCTCCAAATATTCCCTCCTTTTTGACTCTTTCAGCTTCTGGTGGCTCCAGGCATTCCTTGCCTTGTGGCTTACCTAATTCCATCTCTACTTCCATCTTCACATCACTTTTTCTCTTCTGCGTCTCTGTGTGTTCAATATCCCTCTGCCTTTCTCTTACAAGAACACCTGCCATTGGATGTAGTTTGCCCTAAATCAAGGATAATCTTATCATGAACCCTTAGCTTAATTATATCTGCTAAGACGCTTTTTCCAAATAAGATAATGTTTAAAGTTCCAGGGATTAGAACTTGGACATCTCTTTTAGGGGGACATTATTCAACCCACTACAGGCACATCAAATCACATCCTTCTCTGGACCTCAGTTTCCCCATCTGTAAATTAAAAGGGTTGGATTGGATGAATCTCTAAACATTTTATAGTTCTCTTAATCTTTACTTCATGTAATCAAGGTCATATAAATAATGTCACCCTAAACAATGTGGCTACAAGAGACAACCAACAACTGACCACTGAAAAATTCTTCACAGCATAGCACCACAACATAGGCAAGAGGTTCTTCTTTTGTGTTGTGTTTGTAAACCTGGCCCCAGCCTTTGCTCCATGCTCAAGAAGGTGAAATCGGCTCTAACTATCAAGCATCTCATTTCTGCTTCAACAGCTCACAGTCACATGCCCAAAAACAAGGAGGGATTTCTGATTCTTTAACAGGCTTCTGCAACCTCTGTCCTTGCACATATTGCCAGTGTCATCTTCTATTACCTTTAGCTTGCTGCCCTGTGGCTCAGAAAGCCACAAGGCAGATTTCGTGACTCTTAGAAAATAATAAAAAAAAGTATTGAAATGCTTTCTTTAAATATAAACCACAGTCATAAGTTATTCAGATATATATGAATAGCTATTTTTGGCAGAGGAAACCCCAGCAATTTTCAATGGGCTCTAAAGAAAAAGCCATTGAGACTACGCTGAGTGATTTGGGGGCCTGCCTTCCTGAAAATCACCAAGGTGATAAAGGTGGAGCCACTAGACAACAGAGCCATCTTGTAATTCTACAGAACATACGGTGACCCTAAAACATTTCCAAAGGCTTAACATTTTAATGAGGCAGAAGGTTAAGATTGGATAATACACTGAACACAAATCTGATAACACTTCATAACAATTTCAAAGAAAGACCCTTTGTTTCCAGTGGTCTCTTTGTAGCCCCCTCTCCTAAGCAGTTGGTTATATACCAGTTCGGAAAGGACAGTAATCTTTGTGATTAACGTCCAGCACCATGGCTACCCCAAGGCACAACACTGATATAGGTACCTTTGTCAATCAACAGAGTTCTCCAGCCTCTTTTGTCTGCTCACTCCCCCCACCCCCACCCTCTTCTGCCCAACCATTTCTAATAGGGCACCCTCCTGTGACCACTTCTTTCTGCGACTCTCCCCACCCTGGCCCCAGCTCACACATACATAACTAATCAGGTGTCATATCCCTGGGGCCTTGCTCCTTAAATTCCAAGATAACCAGTTAATAATTTAAGGTTTTATCTTAACTGCTTTACAATTGATTATTAACCTTTGCCAAGGCTTGTGCTGTATCAGCATCAAGTATTTCATTGTCGTTTTCTATCTTCTGGAAGATACGAAAAGAAAAAACTGTCAAGTCAGCCATTCTGGTTTGTTGATCTCAGCTTCACAGTCCACGGGTTGAGGTCAACTCTGGTCCCTAAACTTTCCTACCTGGGGTTTGTGAATCTTCTTTCCCCTCATTAAATATAATCTCTTTATCTAAATCTCCTCAGAGGGAGCCAGCTAACCTGCTAATTTGTAGAAGGGTGTTAAAAAATATTATCCTTCCACCCCAAAATAACATGATCATTTTAATGGAGCTCCCTCAAGCTAACCTCCTTTATGATGAGACCCTGAGACCAAGACAGGTCACAAAAGAAGATTGTCTGCTGCTTCCAGGGCCCCATGGTGTACCTGGATCTTCCAAGTATTCTTGTCACACAGAATCTGTCTCATTTGTGATACAATATCCAAATCATGGCAAAGGAGCAATGGCATACGGAAAAAAGCAGTGTTGTGTACATTTCTGTAGAATAAAAGATATATAATAGGAAGAAATGTGGTGTGAGTACGAGTGGGCCTAGAGGTGTATCCGTTCAGTTGAACCCTCCATATATAAATGTTGAGGCATTAGAGAGTAGGCAGATGACTTAGTCGGCTTGGGCTGCTGTAACAAGATACCACAGACCTGGTGAGTTAAATAACAGACATTTGTTTTCTCACAGTTCTGGACGCTGGAAGTCCGAGATAAAGGGTCCAACCAGTTCAGTTTCTGGTGAGGGCTCTCATCTTGGCTTGCAGACTGTCACCTTCTCCCTGTGTCCTCAAAGGGCAGAGGGCGCTAGAGTGAGCAAGCTCTCTGGTGTTTCTTCTTATAAGGAGACTAATCCTATCTGATTAGGGTTCTATCCTATGACCTCATGTAACATTAATTACTTTCTTACTCCAAATAAAGTCACACAGGGGGTTAGGACTTCAACATATGAATTTTTTGGGAGAAAGGGGCACATATCAGTCCACAGCAGCAGGGAAGGCTTAATCTAGACCTCTTGCTCTGTGGCCCAGAAAGGTACATCATGCCTTCCAATTGGTGGAGCCAGTAATCTACTGTTCTGGGACCTGGGTTGGAGGTTTATAAGTTAGGCTTATAAATCACTGCTAGGGGCCGGGTGCGGTGTCTCACATCTGTAATCTCAGCACTTTGGGAGGCTGAGGCGTGCTGATCATGAGGTCAGGAGTTCGAGATCAGCCTGACCAACATGGTGAAACCTCATCTCTACTAAAAATACAAAAATTAGCCGGGCATGGTGGTGTGCGCCTGTAATCCCAGCTACTCAGGAGGCTGAGGCAGGAGAATCTCTTGAACCTGGGAGGTGGAGGTTGCAGTGAGCTAAGATCATACCACTGCACTCCAGCCTGGCGACAGAGCAAGACTCCATCTCAAAAAAAAAAAAAAAAAAAAAAAATCACTGGTAGGGGCAGAGAGGGAGCCCCTGGGAACATGGTACAGTGTTTAGTGTTAGCTTCACACATTCTACAGCCTAGGGCCCATGCAGGTGTCGATGAAAAGAGTGAAACTCTGTAAAATATTTGAAGATATTTATTCTGAGCCAAAAATGGAGACCATGGCCCATGACACAACCCTCAGGAGGTCCTGAGAACATGTGCTCAAGGTGGTCGGGTACAGGTTGGTTTTATATATTTTAGGGAGGCATGAGACATCAATCAAATACATTTCAGAATACAATGGTTTGGTTCAGAAAGGCAGTACAACTCAAGGGGGGTGGCTTCCAGGCTATAGGTAAATTTAAACACTTTCTGGTTGATAATTGGTTGAGTTTATCTGAAGACCTGGGATCAATGGAAACGATTTTTCAGGTTAACATAAAGAATTGTGGAGACCAAGTTTCATTGCACAGAAGAATACGTCAGATAGCAGACTTCAGAGAGACAGAGAGAGTATCTTGTAAAATGTTTCTTATCAGACCTAAAAGGGCACCTGGCTCTTAGCTGATTATCTCCTGGATCTGGAAAGAAAGGAAGAAAAACAAAGGGGAAAGGGGATCTCCATAGGATGTGTATTTTTCCCACAGGAGACCTTGTAGGGCAATTTCAAGGTATGGCAAGGAAATACATTTTGGGGTTAAATATCTTTTCCTTGTTTCATAATGTTATGCCAGAGTCAGACTGAGAAGTAAGTCACAATATATAGGGTCAAATAAAACCCATCTGATGATATTTTATGGTTTGTAGGGCATGACTCCCTAGACCCCTTAGGTAGGAATTTGGGCAAGATAAAAAATCAGGGCTTAGTCCTCACAGGCCTGAATTTTTTTTTTTTTTGAGACAGGGTCTCACTGCATTGCCCAGGCTGGAGCGCAGTGGCACAATCACAGCTCACTCCAGCCTCAAACTCCCAGACTCAAGTGATCCTCTCACCTCAGCTTCCAAGTAGCTGGGACCACAGATGTGCACCACCATGCCCTGTTTTTAAAATTTTTGGTAGAGACAGGGTCTCCCTATGTTGCCCAAGCTGGTCTTGAACTTCTGGCCTCGAGCAATCCTCCTGCCTTGGCCTCCCAAAGTGCTGGGATTATAGGCATGAGCCACCATGCTAGGCCAGGCCTGAAATCTTTCAGCGCATGAAGACCCTTTGCTCAGAAGTTCTGTCTAACTCACTGTGGCCCATTGGCCCACAGTCTGGGCCAACAGAGGGTGCAGTTTTAGAGTCCTGAGGATGACTTGCCGGCCTCCAAAATTTATTTATTTTACACATTTTAAGAAGTCAGGAAACAATTCTAAACAAGATGCTCTATTTCCCTTCACTTGCTCACTGATTCTTAAAAGTTCTTTAACACAGGGGTCCCCAAATCCCAGGCCATGGACCAGTACTGGTTAGGAACTGGCCACACAGCAGGTGGTGAGTGGCAGGCGAGTGAGTGAAGCTACATCTGTATTTACAGCCACTCCTTTTCGCTTGCTTTACCGCCTGAGCTGAGCCTCTGGTCAGATCAGCAGCAGCATTAGATTTTCTCAGGAGCATGAACCCTATTGTGAACCGCACATGAGAGGGATCTAGATCGCGTGCTCCTCATGAGAATCTGATGCCTGATGATCTGTCACTGTCTCCCATCACCCCTAGATGGGATTGTTTAGTTGCAGGAAAACAAGCTCACGGCTCCCCAGTGATTCCACATTATGGTGAATTGTGTAATTATTTCATTATATATGACAATGTAATAATAGAAATAAAGTGCACAATAAATATAATGTGCTTGAATCATCCCAAAACCATGGAAAAAATTGTCTTCCACAAAACCAATCCCTGGTGCCAAAAAGGGTGGGGACTGCTGCTTTTAACAGAGTACAGGACCCACATGGGCTACTTTCTGGGTTTTTTTTTGTTTGTTTTTCTTGTTTTTTTTTTTTTTTTGTTTTTTAAATGGAGGAGTCTTGCTCTGTTGCCCAGTCTGGAGTGCAGTGGCACGATCTCTGCTCACTGCAACCTCCGCCTCCCAGGTTCAAGCAATTCTCCTATCTCAGCCTCCTGAGTAGCTGAGACTATAGGTGCACACCACTATGCCCGGCTAATTTTTGTATTTTTAGTAGAGACGGGATTTCACCACGTTGGCCAGGCTGGTCTCGAACTCCTGACCTCAGGAGATTCGCCTGCCTTGGCCTCCCAAAGTACTGGGATTACAGGTGAGAGCCACTGCATCTGGCCCTGACGTGGGCTACTTTCTGACTTTGGTTTACAGTGAGGCAGCCGATTCAATTCTTATTTTTTTATTTTTTGGTGCTCCAGGTGAGGCTTGAATTAGATTTCTTAAGGATAGGTTTTGATCAGGCTGGAGGGAGGAAAACTGGAGGAGAGAGCCAAGGGAAAAGAGGTGGGGATTTGGCTCTGAAGACGCTCTCTGCTGGCTTCCTATTCATCTGTGTGCTGTTCTCCCTCAGGACAGAGCCTGCCTCTATCACGGCCCCACCTTCCCATGCCCCCATTTCACCAGGTTGGGCACCATTCCCTCCTTCACTCTGGACAGTGATTTCTCATGGAAAGGATTGGGTTGGAACTGCTTGCTGAGGTGGAGGGGAAAAGAGTGAAGCAAGGAGGTGACTGTACTATTGCATTCTATCTTCTCGCAGGCCGCCTTCCAGTTTTTAATGCCACAGTCAGCAGATCTGCCACTTGGAAAGGTTCTTGAGAACTCAGCCTGTGGACTGAATCATGGGCGGATTTGGTAACTTCAAAGCTGGTGCCAGCCTGGCGGCCCTTCCCTGCTATTAGAGTTATCTTATTTCAGGAGAACTTCGAATTACAATACACTTATCTTCATTGCAGCACTGTTAATGGAAGACATTTTCAGGAACTGGAACAGCCTCTTGAGATGTGACTTTGGGACTGACTCAGTCCCACAGTTGCAATGCTTCTATCAGTGTCCTCTGGGGTTTTAGGAGTGCCTGGGGCAAGTCTAGAACCTACCTACTTTATTGTGACCCTAATTGAGAAAATACCTAACTGTCTGGATTCACATCTAAGATTTCTACTCAACAGCAGTTGGGCAAGTTGCTTTATCTCTCTAAGGCCCCATTTTTGTAAATAGGGTTTTTAAAAAGCAGTAACTACTTCATAGAGGTTTGAGAGGATTCAGTGAGATAATGCATGGAAGGCCCTTGGCTCAGAGATTGGCACTTAGTAAACTCTCAATAAAGGTTAACTGATATTATCAATAAAAACTGAGGCCAGGCATAGTAGCTCATGCCTGTAATCTCAGCACTTTGGGAGATTGAGGCAAGGAGGACCCTTGAGGCCAGGAGTTCGAGACCAGCCTGGTCAACATAGTGAGACCCTGTCTCTATTTGTTTATTTATTAACATTTTTTTTTTGAGATGGGGTCTCACTCTGTCACCTAGGCTGGAGTGCAGTGGCATCATCTCAGCTCACTGCAACCTCTGCCTCCTGGGTTCAAACAATTCTCCCACTTCAGTCTCTTGAGTAGCTGGAACTATAAGTGTGCATCACCGTGGCTAATGTTTGTATTTTCAGTAGGGGTGGGGTTTCGCCATGTTGGCCAGGCTGGTCTCGAGCTCCTGAGCTCAAGCAACCCTCCTGCCTCAGCCACCCAAAGTGCGGGGATTACAGGTGTGAGCCACCACTCCCAGCTGACCCCATCTCTATTAAAAGAAAAAAAAAATTACCTGGGCATAGTGGTATGCACCTGTATTCCTAGCTACTCAGGAGGCTGAGGTGGGAGGATCGCTTGAGCCCAGGAGTTTGAGGCTGCAGTGAGCTATGATTGCACCACTGCACTCCAGCCTGGGTGACAGAGCAAGACCTTGTCTCAAAAAATAATAATAATAATAATTGAGTTTTCTGATATTAGAGCATAGAGCATATTAGAGCATAGTTTCTATGAGATGAGCATTTTCTCTCTCCCCTGTAAACCTTTGTCAAATTCCACTGACCATATTCAGTGCTCTGACACAGAGCTTGACACCTTCTCACTGATGCATCAGCATTCTTGGCTGGGCTCCATGGTGCCATGTTCCTGTGCTGGCCTCTCAGGCAGGTAGCATCCAGCTGGCCATGCACATATTTACAAAAATATGACTCCTCAGAGTACTATTTGTTTTTATTAATTTAATTTTATTTTAGATTCAGGGGGTACCTGTGCATGCTTGTTACATGAAAGACTGTCTCCAGAACACCTGTGAGGCCACCTCAGTCCTCGCTGAGCTAAACTGGTGACCCAGACAGCACTATGGGCAGAGAGCACTGGTCATGTGCTCAGTTCTAGAGCTTCAGTATCAACAACAACCTCCTACAATTATAGCCTTACCAGTCTGTGGAGCTGAATCTTCATTCTCTATTTGCTGAACTTTCTGGGAGGCTTCTGAGAAAGGCAGATGACAACTCCTTTTGCAGAAGTGAAAATCAAGGCTCAAGGGAGCTAAATACTTTCCCCAAAGTCTCTAGGTCCCTTTGCCCATAGAAACTCTGACTCCAAGTTTTTCCACTCCTTCTGTAAAAGTAAAACAAAACAAAACAAAACAAAAAACTCCAAGAGGGATTAAACCCTGAAATGCTTAATAACAAATAGTTTGGTGGTGGGTTACTTCCTTACAACTTGTTTTCCAAACAAGGGTAGACTTTCACCAATGGGATAGAATGAGAGTGTCTAGAGGGAGGATCAGGAGTGGGAGGCCAACATCAGCTTTCTTAGACTTCGTCCACTTCACATTTAGCCATGGAAATAATTAGCCAACTATAAATCAATAAAGAATACTAGATGCCAGACTTTTCTAATCAGAACCCAACCCAAAAGTCTCCGAGGAAGGTCAGCAAATAAAGAATGAAGATTCAGCTCCACAGACTGGTAAGGCTATAAATGTAGGAGGTTGTTGTTGATACTGAAGCCCTAGAACTGAGCACATGACCAGTGCTCTCTGCCCTTAGTGCTGTCTGGGTCACCAGTTCAGCTCAGCGAGGACTGAGGTGGCCTCACAGGTGTTCTGGAGGTGGTCTTTCCTCCCAGAGATCCCTGTGGCACAGCTTGTCAGGGAGGGTTCTGCAAGGTATAAGAAGGAGAGATGGTAAGTAGAAAGAGATGAAGGAAGGCCAGATGCAGTGGCTCACACCTGTAATCCCGGCACTTTGGGAGGCCGAGGCAGGTGGATCACCTGTGGTCAGGAGTTTGACACCAGCCTGGCCAACATGATGAAACCTCATCTCTACTAAAAATACAAAAATTAGCTGGGCATGGTGGCAGGCGCCTGTAATGCCAGCTACTTGGGAGGCTAAGGCAGGAGAATCACTTGAACCTGGGAGGCAGAGGTTGCAGTGAGTCGAGATCACACCATTCCACTCCAGCCTGGGCAACAAGAGCAAAACTCAGACTCAAAAAAAAAAAAAAAAAAAAAGAAAAGAGAGAAGTAGTGTGAGGGAGAGACAGAGAGGAGAGAGGGAAGGAAGGAGGTGGAGAAAAGGAGAATCAGAAACAGAAAGAAATTAGAAACAGGATACAAAAGCAAAGGACAGAGCTGATGTGGTAGCATGCCCCTGTAATCCCAGCGAATCAGGAGGCTGAAGTGGGAGGATATGGAGGATGGCTTGAGCCTGGGAGTTTAAGGCTGCTGTGAGCTATGGTTCCACCGCTGCACTCTGGCCTGAGCAACAGAACAAGATCCTATCTCAAATAAATAAATAAATAAATAACAATAAAAAAGTAAACAGAGGGCAGGAAAGAAAATGGAATCCCTAATACCAGGACAGAGCACTTGTAGCTCCTTAGGATTTGCCATATTCTCTCTCACTTTGCTTTCTGTGGCTAGATAAATCATATTTAGTTGATCTTTCAGTGAGGTGTCTAGAAATGCTTTACTGAAAAAGCAGGCTCTTTAGCACCTGATAGTGGAATTGGCCAAGACCAGTGCTGCAGTGCTGCGGGCTATTTATAACTTCCGTCCTCTGTTTCCAGACCCTTCATTCAGTGTCATCTCTCAGAAAGGAGCCTGCTATGGGAGACAAAGCTAGAGAAAAAAATATCTTACTTTTCACAGGCAAATGTCAAAAAGCACAGAATTCCATGAGAAATGAAAAGCATTTCAAAAAAATAAACTATAATTGGATATATAAGACATTAATATAAAAATAAATAATAGGGTCCCTTGGAAAACATTTGTTATCACCATCCCTTTAAACCTACTGTTTTAACTGCCCCCAGTAATTCAGATGGCCTGGTATTCAAGTCCACCTCTATCCAAAATTGTGAAGTTGAAGAAATGTGTCTTTCTTTCTTTTTTTTTTTTTTTTTTGACAGGGTCTCGCTCTGTTGCCCAGGCTGGAGCCTAGTGGCACGATCAGAGCTCACTGCAGCCTTGACCTCCTGGGCTCAAACAATCCTTCCACCTCAGCCTCTGTAGTAGCTGGGACCACAGGTGTGTGCCACTATGTCCAGGTAATTTTTTATTTTTTGTAGAGACAGGGTCTCACTATGTTGCCCAGCCTACACAGTTGAGTCTCGAACTCCTGGACTCAAGTGATCCTCTTGCCTTGGCCTCCCAAAGTGCTAGAAGGATTACAGGTATGACCCACTGCAGGGGGCAGAAATGTGTCTGAAAATGCTACCCGTCACACTCTACTCCATGCTTCTTTCTTTCCTTCACAAGCTCCTCCCTGAAGGATCCTCCCCTCTGGTGAGAGGGCACAAAGGCTCAATACCTAGCTAACACAAGAACAGAGAAGGAAAGGGTTAATAGGAAACAGAAGTATACGGAATGCTTTACTCTGCCTGGAGGGGAAGGAAGGGGATTTGGGCAGAGGTGACCTCTGAGATGGCCTCTGAGAAGATAATAGTAGTTTGAGTTTAGGACAAATTGACTCAGATATCAGTGGATCCTCCAGGCAGAAATAACCTTCAGGTTTTTGCAGACAGGAGTGTGGGTGAGAGGTTAGGATTGGAGAGAGGGACTGGGTGTCCTCTCCATGAAGTGGGAAGTGTGTGATGGGCTGTCATCTTCACTGAAGCCTGAGTGCATGACAAGCAAAGCAGAGGGTCCCTATTATGACATGCCCCCCAGGCAGCTCCTGCAGCTTCATGCAGCCAATGCAGTTGGGGTTAGTGGGGAGATCTTAAGGTCCATTGTGCTCTAAGAATCTAAATGATTTGAAGAGGTAACCTTCTCCACACCCCTAGATAACAGCTATTTTTTACCTGGCTCCAAGGCCAGATGGAACTGAACAAGGAAGGGGCAGGTGGACCTCCAAGTAACTCCTTCATTCTTTGATTTCTTCAACCATCCTCTTGGAAGCAGGACAATTTCCAAGTCTATTCTCTTTCTTAGCCGATAACAAGATAATTTATCCTCTTAACATTAGCTCAACGAAAAGAAACTTGGAATTTTCCATTTGTTGGTTCTCTCCTTTTCCTCTAAATATAATTCCTCCAAATATAATTTCTCCATTTTAAATAAAATTTCTGGATTTTCTCCAAAGGTCACTGAATGACAGTATAGCACTGCATTAACATGGACTAACCTAAACTTAGAGATAAAGAAGGGGTCACCCATGTGGGACAATCTCAGGGGTACTAGGAAGGTCCTGATGTTCAAAGCTATCTATCTAGCTCCTTTCCTTAGGTTACAGCATTATTCCTTCTGTTTTATTATTTATTATCCAACAAGTATTTATTAATAGTTGCTATGCCTGCTTTGAAGCAGCCTAGGAAGGACTATACACTTGAGCTGTTGGTGATGAGTTTTTTAGTTGGTTGGTTTGTTGTTTTTAGAAAGTTTTTTTTTTTTTTTTAGACACAAAGTCTCACTTTGTTGTTGTTGTTGTTGTTTGCTTTTTGAGATGGAGTCTTGCTCTGTCACCCAGGCTGGAGTGCAGTAGTGTGATCTCGGCTCACTGCAATTTCCGCCTCCCAGGTTCAAGCAATCCTCCTGCCTCAGCCTCCTGAGTAGCTGGGATTACAAGCACCTGCCACCATGCCTGGCTAATTTTTGTATTTTTAGTAGAGATGGGGGTTTCACCATATTGGTCAGGCTGGTCTCTGTTGGGGAAACTAGCCCACACCATCCAGTGGGTACCCCGAGTCCAGCAGAGACAAAGGAGTTAGAAAGAGACAGAATAAGCATTTAAAAGGTGGGTCCAGGGAACTGGAGCATCGGAGGCTTGCTCACGGCCCAGAGCTCTCAGGCTTCACCCAATTTATTGGTTTACAAGCCCTTTGTTCTTAGGGCAGATGGGAGGGGGAGGAAGGGATGAGGAAAAGGATTAATCAGTGAAGGAGAACTCATGAGTCATTCGATAAGATGTACAGCAGTGGTGGTTTCCGTGAATGCCCTTGAACAAAGGTGTGTGTCTAAACTACTTAAGATCTTGAACTTATTGGGACTGAAACAGGTGGTAGCAGGTTTCAGGAGGAGCCAAGATGTTTGATTATACTCCACTGCTTCAAGGGAGTGTTACCTCCCTGAGCAACCCGTGGAATGCCGCTGAGCGATTATACTCTCAGGGCATAAAGACATAAAGGCAATAAGGAGACTTTTCTCCTCAGAGGCCGCTCATGGCTTCCCATGTGTGTCTCACACAGGGGAGACCAACTCAACTGGCACCCCACTAACTCTCTTTCTCACATGTCCCCCTTTTTTGTCTTTATTAATTTTTTTTGACTAATAACCGCCATTGCTATCATGGCTCATTTACGGTGTCTGACGTCTCTCCCAAGGTGCTGTCTGCATCTGTAGACTAAAAACAAACAGCATAAACAGACACAAACCAAAATAAAATTTGCAATTGTTGATCCACCTATGGTTTTAATCCACTTTAAAGGATTGGTATTAGAAAGGCCATCAGTGGCTCCAGCAAGAATATCAGCTCCAGGCAACATGGTGAGATGAGCCTGAGATGCCTCAAAAACTTGTTTTTTCAATTTAATTTAATATTAAATTATCTTCTTTTCCTTGTGGGTGACAACTAATCATCACCCAATGGTGTTCAGTGGTATTATAAGAGCTAGGAGTAATACAAAAATCAGAAGTATTTCAATCACGTTGCATATGAATTCTATGCTCCAAGCTCATAATCTGATCTCCCATCCAAATTACTGTTTGATGGAGATCATTAATTTGATTTGCCAGTTTTTGATCTATTTGGCTTTGGGAATTCCAAAGCTTAGAAGAATTTTTCTGCCAACTATCCACAAAGCCCACAGTTTGAATAGAAGAGTACAAAGCATCACCAGCAGGAGCAGCAGGAGCAGCAGTAGCTGTGACAGCTATAAGGCCCATGATCACAGCTATTAAAGTAAGTATGAATCTCTTTGATCTATTAAGTATTCCTTTTAGTACTTCAGTGATAATACGTATGGAAGTAGAGGCCTCCCAGGGTCTACTGAGGGAAACAGGTATCCAAACTCCTTCTTGGGCCCTAACCAGTAAAACGCTATTATCTTTATTAAAGGTAGAATTAATGCAGGTAAAAAGATGACAGTTGAGGCATGATATGGTTTGAGAGTCAGGTAGGATATTAATTTTTCCCACTGCCAACATAAAAGGAGGTCTAACACAACTCTGCAATGGGACCAACTGATTAGAGGTCATGGCTACAACAAATCGAAGTTTTTTACTACGGGTCTCTGTTTTATATTCTCCTTTCCAAATCCAAATTGGGGTTTGAGCCATCATTAATTTCTACAATTCTAGATGTTCTGGACTTATAATTGGATCAATCATTTTTGGGCTTGGAGGAGCCATACCATTTTCCTCCCACTTAATAGGGTAATTTGTTTCAATTTTTCTATATAATTTTGGTGCATTATCTTGGTAGTCGTTTGCAAAAGGAGTCTCTCTACAATCTTTGCACTGTCCAGTACAATTTACTGCAAAGTGTCCCCTAGGGGCCCAATCAATGATTCCATAGGAATTATTCTGCAGTACAGCAGCACTGTTTGCAATACAATCTTCCCAGGTTAGCACCTTTAGCTTTCCAGACCATTTAGTGGCCTGCCTAGGGCAGGGCTTCTTATTGGGTTTAAATTTATTAATCTGGCGATGTGTCATAACATAGCCATGCTCAGGGTATTTAATAGTGTCCAAAGATTGAAATGTTCTTCCACTGATTGCATGAATAGAGGCTTTTGGTCCATTATGTGCAGGGACATAAACCATCCAAATTTGTTTATCATAATTTAAAAATCCTGCTGCTGGCCCCAGGCAGATGGGAGGAAAGCGATAACCAATGGAAACATTCATTAACATTCCTTCCTCCTCTGGATGAGTAGGACCTCGGTTATCTGTTGGTCCAGGCATCCAGACACTATCATTAATATAAACCTCCACCAGGGGGTCTAACCATGTAACAGACCTAATCAGTGGGGGAATGGAATGTAGGCCCAATAAATGTAATTTTGATCTGCCCCAGCTACGGGGAGACTCACCGCCAAGGAGATTACTGCCATCATAGCTATCATTAGATTACTGGTGGTCAGCAGCTTGTTCTGAGACCTCAGGTTCTCGTCTGCAATGTGAGCTAGTCTCCTCATCTGCCCACAGGTCGGTGGAGTTGCTTGGCAAGTTTTACTGGTTTCCATCTGCTCAACAGAGATGTTCATCTGAGCCATCTGATGAACCAGGGGTGCAGGGACATTCCGAGGTCTTTTCCTCTTCCTTGGATTCTGGCTCATGGCACAGCTTAAGATGTCTTGTGGGTACCCAGACAGGAAGCTGATTCTCTCCTGGCAAGATACAAGCAAAACCCTCGACCCCATGTAATGATTTTGCCCTTTTCCCAAGTTTGGTTCTGACGTCCTTCCACTACATGTTTTCCTTCATGAGGATTTATTTTTTGTCCTGTCAAATGCTGCTCTGCTGCCGTTGTAACCTGATCTCTAGACAAATTCAAAAAATTTAAAGTGATAAGAGCCAATTATAGCTGCATATGGAGAGTAGAGTGTTCTCTGGTTCCCCCCTCTGTCTTTTGTTTTTGTAATTGAGATTTTAAGGTTCGATTAGCCTGTTCAACAATGTCTTGGCCTTGAGAATTACAGGGTATTCCACTACTGTGCTCAATGTGCCATTGTTGAAGAAACGCTTGTGAAGATTTACTATAGTAGCCTGGGCCACTGTCTGTTTTAATCTTTTGTGGGATGTCCATGGCAGCAAAACAAAAAAGTAAATGTCTTTTAATATGAGCAGCTGCCTCACCTGTTTGGCAAGCTGCCCATACAAAATGAGAAAAGGTATCTATAGTAACATGGACGTATGAAAGTTTCCTGAATGAAGGTACATGGGTTACGTCCATTTGCCACAACATATTGTGGGTTAATCCCCACGGATTAACACCAGTCCCTTCACGTGGCAGTTGTAGTACCTGGCACTGAGGGCAATGTTGCACAATGTCCTTTGCCTGTCTCCAAGTAATCTGACATTTTTGTTTAAGTCCTGCTGCTAACATGTGTTAGGGAGTGAAAATCTTGGGCATTAGTAAGCACAGTGGAAACTAGCAAATCAGCTTGATAGTTAGCCCTTACAAGTGGCCCTGGGAGATTAATGTGTCCTCAAATGTGCATAATATAGAAAGGAAAACAGCGATCATGCACTGCCTTTTGTAAAGAAGAAAACAGCTGATAGAGTTGTTCATCTGCAAGATATTTAGTGAGTGCAGTTTATATGTATTGAGTGGTTTGAACAACATAAGCTGAATCAGAGACAATATTTACAGGTTGCTTAAAGTCTTCTAACACAGCTATAACTGCCTGTAATTCAGTCCTCTGTGCTGATTCAAAGTCAGTTTGAATAATTCTGTTTTTAGGTCCAACATAAGCTGCTTTTCCATTGCTAGAGCCATCTGTAAACACAGTCACTGCTCCTTCCAATGGAGTACTATGGGTAATTTTTGGAAGGACCCATGTTGTTAGCTTTAAAAACTGAAAAATTTTGTTTTTTGGATAATGATTGTCAAGAACTTCAGTGAAGCCAGCTAAATTTATTTGCCAATTGACTGAATTAAGAAAGGCTTGCTGAATCTGATTTTTATTCATTGAAACTATAATCTTATCTGGATCTGAGCCACAAAGTTTAACAACTCTAAGGCGAGCTTGTCCAATCAAGATTACGATCTGGTCCAAGTATACTGTGAGTGTTCTAACAGTATTGTGAGGCAGAAAAGAACATTCAACTAAGTCCTCACTCTGAACTATAACCCCTGTAGGAGAATGGAAAGTAGGGAACACAATGAACTATAATGGTAAACTTGAGTCTATTCTATTAACCTGGGCCTGTTGTATTTTTTCTTCAATCATTTGTAATTCTTTGGCAGCCTCAGGAGTCAGTTCTTGTTTACTATTGAGAGCAGGGTCTCCTCTTAAAATAGAGAACAGATTAGACATAGCATAGGTAGGGATTCCCAAAGTAGGTCAAATCCAATTGATATCCCCTAGTAATTTTTGAAAATCCTTTAAAGTTTTCAGAGAGTCTTTTCGAATTTGAACCTTTTGGGGTTTAATTGCCCTTTCCTGAACCTGCATTCCCAAATATTGGAAAGGAGTGACCGTTTGAATTTTATCTGGTGCTATGAACAATCCAGCACTGGCTACCACCTCCTGTAAATATGAATAACACTGGATAAGTTGGTCTTGATTTTCGGCTGCACACAATATGTCATCCATATAATGAATGATATACGAATCGGGAAACTGATCTCTCACAGGTTGAGTAGCCTTCCCCACAAAAGTTTGACAAATAGTAGGACTATTCAACCTACCCTGCAGCAGGACTTTCCAATGATATCTGGCTGCTGGTTCCCTGTTGTTTGTTCATAGCAGGAATAGTAAAAGCAAATTTCTCAAAATTAGACTCTGCTAGAGGAATATTACAAAAGCAATACTTCAAATCTATAATTATTAATGGCCAGTCTCTAGGAATCATGGTGAAGGATGGAAGCCCTGGCTGCAGGGACCCCATTGGCTGGATGACTGCACTGACCACTTGTAAGTCGGTTAGCATGTGGCATCTGCTGCATTTTTTTATTTATTACAAACACTGGCTAATTCCATGGAGAAAATGTGGGCTCAATGTTTCCTTTGTTTAATTGCTCTTTGACTAATTCCTGTAAGGCCCCCAATTTTTCCTGAGAAAGCAGCCACTGCTTGACCCAAACAGGATTTTGGGTCTTCCATTTTAAGGGAATAGGATTTGGAGGCTCAACGGTGACTGCCCCTAAAAATGGTAACCTAATCCTGTTCAGTCATTTTTTACAGTAACCTGTATGGGTTCAGTAATGCCCATCTCCTGTTTTCCTAGGCCTTTTCCAGGAACATAGCCCATGTTTGACATTATTTTTTGACTGGCTTGACCATACCAGGGAGAAGGGATTGAAATTTCTCTGCCCCATTTGTGAAGCAGATCTCTCCCCCATAAGTTAACAGGAATGGATGTAATTAGAGGTTGTATTGTGCCTTCCTGTTCTTCTGGACCAAGACACGGTAAGATAAAAGTACTTTGGAAAACTTCTGAAGCAGTTCTGACCCCAACAAGACCCACTGGGGCCTTTTGTTTGGGCCAGTTTTTTGGCCATTGATAAAGAGCTATGATCGACACATCTGCTCCTGTGTCGACCAGACCCTCAAATTGTTTTCCTTGAATAGTGACCATACAAATAGGACTATTGTCAGAGACTTGATTTACCCAATAGGCAGCCTTGCCTGCTGAATTCGTGCTTCCAAATCCTCCTGTTCTTTTTTCTGAGCTTTCTCCTAACTTAACATATGGTAAAAGCAACATTTGAGCTATTCTGTCACCTGGATTAGCACTCCAGGGAACAGTGGAGGAGATAACAATTTGAATTTCTCCCTGGCAATCAGAGTCCACTACTCCAGTATGTACTTGAATTCCTTTTAAGTTTAAGCTGGACCTTCCCAGTATAAGTCCCACTGTGACATTTGGCAATGGGCCATAAACTCCCATTGAGACCTTCCTAGGAGGCTCCTCAGGAAGGAGGGATACAGCTTCCGTACAGCATAAATCTACTGCCCTGCTTTTAGCTGTGGAGGGGGACAATTGCTGTACATTTGTACAGGGATAGGCTGGGCCAGGAACACTCTGTTTGGAGTCAGGGATGTCCCATCCTGAATTGGGAATGCCCCATTTTGAATCGGGGCCCAGGGCTGGCCCCTCTGTCTGCTTCCTGGCAAGGGCTGTCCTCTGTTATCAAACTTTGAATGACATTGATTAGACCAGTGTTTTCCTTTTTTACATCTAGGACAGGTCCCTGGTTCCCTGCTTTTTCCTCCTGAGTTTTGCCTTTTTTGGCTCTTTCTACATTCTCTTTTTGTATGTCCTATCTGTCCACAATTATATCAAGATCCAGGGAACACTCGTGTGTTTTTTGTTACCCTTAGTCCAGCCATTGCCTGAGCAAGGAGGATGGCCTTATATAAGTGATCCCTAATGCCACTGCAGGCTTTAATGTATTCACTTAAAGTTTTTTCCTCATTTAGATCTGCCTTTCCCTTAATAGGTCTAATTGCTGCCTGACATTCTGTATTAGCATTTTCATAAGCAAGCAGTTGAACTTTCCTGGCATGAGAATCCAAAATAGCCTTTGAGCTGTGTCTTGCAAACGGGCGATAAAATCTGGATGAGGCTCCCTTGGACCCTGTCGAACTGAGTTAAAAGAAGGATAAGTAGTACCAGGGTCATGAATTTTTTCCCAGGCTCTTAGGCATATACTTCTGAGCTGATCAACAGCCTCATCACCCATTACCATCTGTTGATTTATAGTACCTCATGCCTGTCCGATTCCAAGCAATTGATCAGATGTGATATTAATGGGAGGTTGAGCTTGAGCATTTCTGCATGCCTGATTTGTTGCTTCATCTGTACACCAGGCTTTAAATTGCAGAAATGGAGAGGGGGATAGGGTGGATTGGGCTAATGACTCCCAATCCATAGGTATTAAACACCTGTTATAAGCCACAGATTGTAACAAGGAATGAACATAAGGAGAATTCGGCCCATATTGTCCTATTGCTTGCTTTAAGTCTTTTAATATTTTAAAAGGAAATGGCTCCTAGCGTGCTTGGGCATGTTCTCTGGGCTCCTCAGCTGGCGAAATAATTACCAGAAACTGCCAAGCATCCAAATCCCTGATTTCTCATCCCTGGCGAATGGATGCCTGGATTGTCCCTGTGCCATAATTTGTATTTGGGCCGGCTTGCAGCATTCCTTTACTATAATTAACAGGTGGACAAGCCTGGATCATTCCCTCACTGTAATTGGCTGTTGGGCCAGCCTGAAGCTTCCCTTTGCCACAGTTAATGGTGGGGCGTGCAACAATGGGAGTGACAAGCTGCATCTCAGGCTCTCATTTCAAAAATTCATAAGGCTGAGGTGGGGGTGGCCATTCCGGACCTTCCCCTAAAGGCACAGTAGGTGGCACTATTTCTGCAGTAGGTGGAACTGTTTCTTTCATAAGTTTTTGGAGGTTAGCATATATAGCTTCCTGTTTCTTCCCCTTTTTAAAATTAGACTGTGATGGTTCACTTTGCTGATCATCAGAATCCTGATTATTAAACTTTTCTATGTCATCCTGAAACTCCTTCTCCTCCTCAGCGTGGAAGGGCTCTAGTGCTGTTTTAATTGCTGACCACACAGACCAAGCGGAGAAAGGAATATCGTGGCCCTCTTGTTGTGCTCGTTTTAAGTCTGATCCAACCTTGTCCCAATCTTTTACATTCATGGTTCCATATTCCAGGAACCAAGGAGAATACTTTTCTACGAGATGGAACAAAGATGTGAGATTTTGGGTACTCACAATTACCCCCCACCACGGCACAATAACTGCCGCACCAGGCTTAAGTAATTAACAAACTTACTTTCAGCCTGACCCATATTTTCCTGAGGTTACCCTGGAATTCTCCAAGTGCCCTACTTACCCATAGAGCCTGAAGTAAAAACGTACTCAGGCATCCTTCATCAGTCGTCCTCCACTTTCCACACTCTGGCGTTTCTTCACTGGATTATTTGTAGAGATTATGGGGAGCCCCATGTTGGGCGCCAGATGTTGGGGAAACCAGCCCCACATCACCCAGCGGGTACACTGAGTCTAGAGGAAACAAAGGAGTTAGAAAGAGACAGAATAGCGTTTAAAAGGCGGGTCCAGGGGACTGGAGCATCGGAGGCTTGCTCACAGCCCAGAGCTCTCAGGCTCTGCCCCAATTTATCGGTTTACAAGCTCTTTGTTCTTAGGGCAGATGGGAGGGGGAGGAAGGGATGAGGAAAAGGATTAATCAGTGAAGGAGAACTCATGAGTCATTCGATAAGATGTATAGCAGTGGCGGTTTCTGTGAATTTCCTTGAACAAAGGCGTGTGTCTAAACTACTTAAGATCTTGAACTTATCGGGACTGAAATGGGTTGGAGCAGGTTTCAGGAGGAGCCAAGATGTTTGATTATACTCCACTGCTTCAAGGGAGTGTTATCTCCCTGAGCAACCTGTGGAATGCCACTGAGCAGTTATGCTCTTCGGGCATAAAGACATGAAGGCAATAAGGAGACTTTTCTCCTCAGAGGCCGCCCATGGCTTCCCATGTGTGTCTCACACAGGGGAGTCCAACTCAACTGGCACCTCAGAAACTCTCTTTCTCACAGGTCTCGAACTCTTGACCTCAGGTGATCCACCTTCCTAGGCCTCCCAAAGTGTTGGGATTACAGGTGTGAGCCACTGCACCCAGCTAAAACAGGTATTTTAATACATCCCTTATACATTAACTTATGTTAAAGAAGGTAGAGGAAGTAATGAGCTTGATGGAGATATAAATGAAAGACATAAAAAGAGATTTGAAATAGAACTCTGGGCCAGGTGTGGTGGCTCATGCCTATAATTCTAGCACTTTGGGAGGCTGAGGTGGGTGGATTGTCTCAGCTCAGGAGTCCGAGTCCAGCCTGGGCAACATAGTGAAACCCCATCCCTAAAAATACAAAAAATTAGCTGGGCATGGCAGTGTGTGCCTGTAATCCCAGCTACTTGGGAGGCTGAGACAAGAGAATCACTTGAATCCAGAGGCAAAGGTTGCAGTGAGCCGAGATCATGCCATTACACTCTAGCTTGGCCGACAGAGTGAGACTCCACCTCAAAAAAAAAAAAGAAAGAAAAAAAGAAATAGAACCTCTGAATATGAAAAATACAACATCTGAAATGAAAAGTACACTGGATAGGATTAATAGCAGCTTAGACATCATAGAAGAAAAATCAAACTGAAAGATACAGAGAAAAAAAGACTGGAAGAAACAGCGAGAACACCATATTAGAGATTCATGAAATATCATTAAGTGGCCTGGTGTACATTTAATTTGAGTCCCAGAAAGAAGAGATAAAAGGGGAAGATAGAACTCCTAGGGTCAAACAATCCTCCCACCTCAGCCTCCAAAGTAGCTGAGAATATAGATGTGCACCATGACACTGGGATTTGACTTGTTTTTAAGTTCACTGATTCTCTTCTTAGTTAAGCTGAGTCTGCCAATAAGCCTGTCAGAGCTATTCTTCATATTTGTTACCATGTTTTTTTATTTTTAGCACTTTCATTTGGTCCTTTCTTATAGTTTTCTTCTCTCCTGACAGTCTTTTTTTTTTTTTTTTTTTTTTTTTTTTTTTTTTTTTTTTGAGATGGAGTCTCACTGTGTTGCCCAGGCTGGAGTGCAGTGGCACAATCCTGACTCACTGCAACCTCCACCTCCCAGGTTCAAGTGATTCTCCTGCCTCAGTCTCTTAAGTAGCTGAGGCTATAGGTACGTGCCACCATGCCTGGCTAATTTTTGTGTAGTTTTAGTAGAGGTGAGCTTTCACCATGTTGGCCAGGCTGATCTCAAACTCCTGACCTCTAGTGATCTGCCTGCCTCGGCCTCCTAAAGTATTGGGATTGCAGGCATGAGCCATGTCGCCCAGTCAGTCCTCATCTCTTTATGCATGTTTTCCTCCTTTTCCACTACAGCCTTTAACATGTTAATCTTAATTATTTTAAATTCTCCATATAATAAGTGGATTATTTTAAAGGTCTTCATCCTCATTGTCTTCACATCAAATAGGCTGAGGAGGAGAAGGAAGGGGAGGGGTTGGTCTTGCTATCTGAGGAGCGGCAGAGGCAGAAGAAAATCTGCATGTAAGCAGACCCACACAATTCAAATCCGTGCTGTTCAAGGGTCAACTGTAGTTGGAAGCTATGATGATGGTTTTAGTGTATACTTTTAGTAGAATGATGTAGTTAATTTTGTATAATTAACTGCATTTATGAGTCTTTAAACTTAAAAATGATAAGGAAAACTATCTCCTTAGTTTTAAAGTTGCTTTAACAGGCAGGGCAAGGTGGCTTACACCTGCAATCCCAGCACTTTGGGAGGCCAAGGTGGGTGTTCAGGAGTTCAAGACCAGCCTTGAGGTCAGGAGTTCAAGATCAGCCTGGCCAATATGGCGAAACCCCAACTCTACTAAAAATACAAAAATTAGCTGGGTGTGGTGGTGGGTGCCTGTAATCCCAGCTACTGGGGGGCTGAGGCAGGAGAATCGCTTGAACCTGGGAGGTGGAGGTTGCAGTGAGCCAAGGCTGTGCCACTGCATTCCAGCCTGGATGAGAGAGCAAGATGCCATCTCAAATAAATAAAAATAAATAAATAAAGTTGCTTTAACAGTTTATAAAAATAAAAATCACCTACTTTTTCAGTTAAAAATAAATAAATCTTCCCACGTAACAGTCATAACATATGGATTATATCTGATTCCGGTTGGTCATTGCATTATCTCTTGATAGTGTGGTTTTTGTTTGTTTTTCCTTTTTTGTCATAAGTATTTTGGTTGTAGGCCAGACATCTTGTGTAGAACAGTAGAGACTGGGACAAATTGCTTTTATGCCAGAAAATGGGCATATGCTTTTGTGTTAGTCCATTCTTGCATTGCTATGGAGAAATACCTGAGAGTGGGTAATTTATAAAGAGAAGAGGTTTAATTGGCTCATGGTTCCGAAGCTTGTACAGGAAGCATGATGTTAGTCATCTGTTCAGCTTCTAAGGAGGCCTCAGGAAACTTACAATCATGGCAGAAGGCAAAGGGGAAGCAGGCTCATCTTACATGGCCAGAGCAGGAGAAAGAGAGAGAGGGGGAGGTGCTGCACACCAGATCTCATGAGAATTCACTCACATACAGTACCAAGGGAAGATGGTGCTAAACCATTCATGAGAACTCTGTCCTCACGAGCCAATCACCCCCAACCATGCCCCACCTCTAGCTTTGAGGATTATATATATATTTTTTGAGACAGAGTTTCACTGTGTCACCCAGGCTGGAGTTCAGTGGCTCGATCTTGGCCTACTGCAACCTCCGCCTCCTGGGTTCAAGCAATTCTCCTGCCTCAGCCACCATGCCCAGCTAATGTTTGTATTTTTAGTAGAGACAGGTTTTGCTATGTTGGCCAGACTGGTCTCGAACTCCTGACCTCAAGTGATCCTCCCGCCTCAGCCTCCCAAAGTGTTGGGATTACAGGTGTGAGCCACTGAGCCTGGCCTGGGGATAACATTTCAACATGAGATTTGGGTGGGGACACAGATCCAAATCATACTAGTTTTTTTTTTTTTTTTTTTTTTTAAGACAGGGTCTTGCTCTATCACCCAGTCTGGAGTGCAGTGATACAAACCTGGCTCACTGCAGCCTGGAATTCCTGGGCTCAAAGGATTTTCCCACTTCAACCTCCTGAGTAGCTAGTACTACAGGCATATGGCACCATGCCTGGCAAATGTTAGCCTTTTTTTTCTTTTTGTAGAAACAGGGTCTCACTATATTGCCCAGGTTGGTCTCAAACTCCTGCCCTCGAGTGATACTACTGCCTCAGTTTCCCAAAGCACTAAGATTACAGGTTTGAGCTACCATGCTCAGCTAGGCGTGTGCTTTCTTTAGCTAAATCCTTAGTGTTTGGGGTTGAGTCGATCTAGTGAAAAGTTGAGCTGGATTTGTTGAATTGAGTTGGTGGCTTGTATGAAGATTTTTCTCAATAACTGCTTGAGCTTCAGCTTTAAGTCTTTTCTTTGCACCTATGCCTTAGAGAAGGCCCTCTCCACACATTCCCCCGCCCGCTTTACAGAAGTAAATGCCTGTTACTTTCTACTCAACTCTTGCTATCCTGGTGTGGAAAAGGAGAGTGCCCTCTGTTTTACAGGCTCATCCTCAATCTTACACAGGTGTTATGTCCCTGGGTCTTAAAGGTGGGGCATTATCAGCAATCGTCCCTCCATCAGCAATAGGAAATCTCTAATGGCCTTGGTCCAGGGCAGTTTTCTGCCTCTCTTTCAGAGGTAGAAATTTTTTTTTCTGTTCACTTCTCTCAGCAATGAGTCTTCACCTGTGGCCCAAGGGTGGCAAATTTTTTTCCCCTCTCCCAGTGATCCAAGGCAGTTTTGCAGGGGAGATAGATGAGAACAATCCAGGTAGAGCTTTGTGTCTTTCCTGCAGTGATAGCTGCTCACCTTTCCTAGGCCTGCACCATGAGGGGAACTTTCCCAAGTCTCCTGTTTTGCCCATGGTCTTTCTTCTTTTTTTTTTTTTCAACTTGCATTGCCTCTGACCCAAGTCAGTAGCAACCTTTATTACTTATAAAGATTTTTAAACATTTCCATTGTATTTACAACACAAATTTTAGGCAACACACTCCTATGAATGTGATGGTTTTAATGGTTAATACCTATCCAAGTAAAAAAATTATGCTTTAATGTGGAAAGAATTTTAGCCTGGGCAACAAACATAGTGAGACCCCATCTCTGCTAAAAAAAAAAAAAAAAAAAAAAAAAAAAAAAACTAAAAAATTAGCCAGGCATGGTGGCTCACACCTGTAGCCTCAGCTACTTGAGAGGCTGAGGTGGGAGGATTGCTTGAGCCCAGAAGATCGAGGCTGCAGTGAGCCAAGATTGTGCACCGTACTCCAGCCTGGGCAACAGAGTGAGACCCTGTCTCAAAAAAAAAAAAAAAAAAAAGAACAAGGTAGAGGGATTTGAGAGGTGTGTATTTCTGTATTCTGGCTTTTTTTTTTGAGACAGGGTCTCACTCTGTCACCCAGGCTGGCGTGCAGTGGCACAGTTTCGGCTCACTGCAACCTCCACCTCCTGGGTTCAAGTGATTCTCCTGCCTCAGCCTCCCGAGTAGCTGGGATTACAAGCATGCACCACTGCGCCCAGCTTATTTTGTATTTTTAGTAGAGACAAGGTTTTGCCATGTTGGCCAGGCTGGTCTTTAACCCCTGACCTCAGGTGATCCACCTGCCTCACCCTCCCAAAGTGCTGGGATTACAGGCGTGAGCCACTGTGCCCGGCCCGTCTTTTTTTGGTGTTGTTTTTTAATTCTTTTTTTTTTTTGGAGACAGAGTCTCGCTCTGTTGCTCAGGCTGGAGTGCAGTGGCATGATCTCAGCTCACTGCAACCTCTGCCTCCCAGGTTCAAGTGATCCTCCCACCCCAGCCTCCCAAGTAGTTGGGACTACAGGTGTGCATCACCACAGCTGGCTAATTTTTTGAATTTTTAGTAGAGGTGGGGTTTCACCATGTTGGCTAGGCTGGTCTCAAACTCCTGACCTCAGGTGATTCACCCACCTCGGCCTCTCAAAGTTCTGGGAGTACAGGCATGAGCCACCACACCCGGCCCGTGGTTCTTTTCTTTTTATTATTCTCCCAAAAAGTGCAGCCATTTTGGCTGTCCCAAATATTGTTTGTCTGCATTCTGATTTGAAAAATAAAGTGTCCTCAAAATAGGAGCTAGGATGAATGTGGAGCTGGAGCACAAATCCTTTTTTTTTTTGACCGGGTCTCCCTCTGTTGCCAAGGTTGGAGTGCAGTGGCATGATCACAACTCACTGCAGCCTTGAACTCCTGGGCTCAAGCGAGCCTCCTGCCTCAGCCTCCTGAGTAGCTGGGACTACAGGCATGCACCGCCACCCCCAGCCATGTTTCCCAGGCTGGTCTCAAATTCCTGGACTCAAGAGATCCTTGTGCCTCGGCCTCCCAAAATGCTGGGGTTACAGGCCTGAGCCAGCCCTGCCAGAGCTCAACTCTCTTGGGCTTCTCTCAAGGATTGTAGACTTCTCAAGTCCTGCTGCTACTGGTTGCTCTGCAATGCCTTCAAACTTATTTTATATATTTTGTCCAGTCTTTTTAGTTGTTTTCAACAGGAGGGTGAGTTAAATGCCAGCTACTCTATTAAGACCAAAATTTTAAGTCCCTATACTCTCCCTAGTTCTGCCTGCTTCTACAGTAATTGAAGGAGATATAAAAGCAGAAAGGATAAAACCATCTATTACTTACATCGTATTTATTTCCCAGATGGGTTTTGGCAGGCCACCTCATTTTCCAGGAGTAACCTCTAGGCTTTAGGAGAGTTAACAACCTTTAGGACAGTTGTAAGTTTCAACTTCCACAGAAATGACCAGAGCTAGCCTCTCATCCTGGCTCTCCCCTAACTAACTGTATGACTTTAGGCAAATTCCTCATCTTCTTTGAGTCTATTTTTTTTTCTTTTGATCTAAAATAGGATTAGTAGCTAACTTGCTTACCTTACAGGAATATTACAAGGATAGTGAAAGTATAGAAAAATCTTTTGAAAGACTATAAAATGCTGTAGAAACAGAGGATCTCTTATTTATGTTTAACCTTGCAGCCCAGAAATAGCTTAGAACTGGGAGTAAGGGACTCAGGATATAGAATTGGCTTAGTCACTAACTAAGGTTTTGACTCTGGGTAAATCACTTTATTCTTCCTGATCTGTAATATGAGAAAGTTCATCCATCAAACTATATGTGATAAGGCAAAAAACAAACAATGGGGCCCAAGTCAGTTAATCAAGGGGAGGTACCTGCTAGGTTAAATCTTTTCCTCTTGGCAGTTGGGTTATGTCAATATTTGTGTTTAAAAAAAATCTGGATCCCTTGGGAAAGTGAGAGGAGTACTATGGCCTGCACTTAGAAGATGAAGATATGGGTTTTTACATCTTCTATAAGGAAAGAAAAAGGGAAGTGGGAGGGTGAGAGAAGACAGAGGTGTGATCACTGGCATCATTTCACCTGAACAGAATACTAGGATCTGTGCCTATCATTATGCTTGGACTTAGCCCCGGAAGTGGCAATTATTTAAGGTAAAAACTGTTGGGGCGTGGTGACTGGAGCCTGTATCCCAACACTTTGGGAGGCCTAGGTGGGAAGATTGCTTGAGGCCAGGAGTTCGAAACCAGCCTGGGCAATATAGTGAGAATCCTGGGTCTACCGAATAAAAATTTAAAAATTAGCTGGATGTGGTGGCACACACCTATAGTCCTAGCTCCTCAGGAGGCTGAGGCAGGAGGACCACTTGAGCCCAGGAGTTTCAGGCTGCAGTAAGCTATGATCTCACCACTGAACTCCAGCTTGGATGACAAAGCAAGACCCTGTCTCTAAAATAAATACATACATATGTACACAAATAAGGTAAAAATAAAAAAAAGATATAAGATATATATCCTTTTGTAATCTTATATATTTTTGTATACATTCTATCTTATACATATATCTTATATATATATAAGATTTACAGGTATATATGTATTTAAAAATATACAAAAAGATATAAGATACATGTATAAGATAGAATGAGCAAGAGACACTTCACAGTCATATTGACATATAGGACAACAGCTTGAAAATATCTGTAAGCAGGTTCACTTTCAACACTGGTGTCTTATTTTCCTGAATTAATATAAGATCTTACAACAGTGCTCCACAATTGCAAAGTCATGTAATATTTTTCCAAGTTCTTTCTTCTGTATTAAATTACTTAATTTTCATGATAATCTTATGAGATAGGATTAGGCAGGGTGGGAAAGATGGAAGAGGCCCAGAAAGGTAAAGTGAGTTGCTCTCGATCCAGAATACAACACACATCTACTCTGTGAGGGATTCTGTGTACGTCTGCGCACATACACATGCAGAACTGGGGAAACAGAAATATGTCCTTACTTTGGTGTTTGGAATCCGCATCTACATACCAAATAATCTAAGCCAGAATCTGTGGTGGTGATGTTGTTTTCACATATTTTACAAATATTTATTGATTGCCTAATAATATTGTGGTGGGCCTTGAGCCTAGGGATACAGTGAAGAACAAGATAGAGAACCTGGCCAGGAGCAGTGGCTCACACCCATAATCCCAGTACTTTGAGAGGCCAAGGCAGGAGGATGGCTTGAGCCCAGGAGTTTGAGACCAGACTGGGCAACATATTGAGACCCCTATCCCCACAGAAAATTAAAAAAAGACTTAGCCAGGTGTGGTGGTACACGCCTGTGGTCCCAGCTACTCCAGAGGCTGAGATGGGAGGATCACCTGAGCCCAGAAGTTAGAGGCTGCAATGAGCCATGATAGTGCCATTGCACTCTAGTCTGGGTGACAGAGCAAGACCTTGTCTAAGGAAAAAAAAAAAAAAAAGACAGAGAGCTTGTGCTTGAGGAGATCACTGTCTAGTAGGCGATGGTATGTGCTCTATAGGGTTCAGCAACAACATGGTGCAATCAGAGTGCAGGGAGGGGTCCTAAGTTTTATCCAGAGGGCGTCATAGGAAGCTTTCTTTCTTTCTTTCCAGGCCAGGATAAGTGTTACCAGCTCTGTAAAGTCTTTCTCTCCCTCTTTTTTTTTTTTTTTTTTTTTTTTGAGATGGAGTCTCGCTCACCCAGGCTGGAGTGCAGTGGCATGATCATGGCTCACTGCAACCTCTGCCTCCTGGGTTCAAATGATTCTCCTGCCTCAGCCTCCTGAGTAGCTGAGATTACAAGCCTGCACCACCATGCCCGGATAATTTTTGTATTTTTAGTAGAGATGGAGTTTCGCCATGTTGGCCAGGGTGGTCTCGAGCGCCTGACCTCAAATGATCCGCCTGCCTCTGCCTCCCAGTGTGCTGGGATTACAAGCGTGATTCACCGCGCTCGACCTGCAAAGCCTTTCTTGACACATCCGTCTTTCCTCACTGATCTGTTCGTTTTTTGATGGCAGAGACCTTGTCTCACTCATTTTTATGTCCTCACACGGAAAACGGTGGCTGGCTAATAGTGGTTACTCAATAAGTATTTGTTGAATGGATTAATAAAATAATTCCTAGCAGTCATTTGGCATGGAATCATGTACAGTCGTGCTGTTTATTGTTTTCTAGGGCATGTCTTTCCAGCACAAAATGATGGTAAATTTTCTGGGTGCAGAGACGGCTCTTACTGTATTTTACAGGCTACCCAGTGCCTAGTCCAGTGGTGGGTAATGCTTACAGGAATGTACCTGTTAGAAGTTCTTACAGAATTCTTTTGTTTTGTTTTGTTTTCTGACAGGGTCTCACTCTGTCGCCCAGGCTGGAGTGCAGTGGCGCAATCACAGCTCACTGCAACCTCCACCTCCAGAGGCTCAAGGGATCCTTCCACCTCCGCCTGCCGAGTAACTGGAACCACAGTCGTGTGCCACCGCGCCCAGCTAATTTTTGTATTTGTTGTAGAGATGTGGTTTCGCCATGTTATCCTGGCTGGTCTCAAGCGATCCGCCCGTCTCGGCCTCCCGAAGTGCTGGGATTACGGGCGGGCGCCACCTCTGCATAAGTCTTAGGCCTGCAAAACAGTCTTAAAAACATATAATATTTAACTTGAGAGGTGCAGTCCTCCTCTACATTGAGGGCAGGCTCAGCGAAGGAGGGCCCAAGACATAAAACTAACCAATGGCAGGAAAGCCCCCATGCCCCACCCAAGCTGCCCCTCCTCCCTCGCAGCTGAGCTTTTCTTTCAGTCCTTCACTGAGGAGCCAGAGGGAATCAATTCCACAAGCTGGGGTAAGTAAAGGTGTTTGGGGGAGGGCAGGTGCCTAATTTACAAATTTTTAAAGAGATCATATTTAAACTAAATGCAGGTAGTTTTGTGCCTAGTCAGGAAGGCCCTAATTTACACAATATAAGTTGGTTATGTGTGTTTAATGAAATTATACTTCAAATGCTTGAAGAGATCACATTTTCAAAAGCAATTCCATGGGGAAGGGAATTTTCTGCAAAGTAAATAAATATCTCAGAATGAACTTATATTCTAATTGTGAATGTCCATGTATTAAATTTGCTTATTCTGAGGCCCAAATGTTTGCTTATTTTGTTTAAAAACTTTACTTGGGATCATTAACATTCATACTAATTATTTTAAATGTAAGTTTTGTTAATTTCACTGATGAGTTCTCTCTGGGGCATAAAAAACCAATTCTTATGCTACATTATAGTCAGGAATTTGAAGGCCTGTAAATTGTTATCTGTTCAGCAATACTTTAGGGTCCGGGTCTTCCCAACTGCCTTCCTCCCTGTTTCCTTCTTACTCAGCAAGCTCAGTGGGGCCTCCCTGGGGCTAAAAGGAGTAGTTACCCTGTGACTCTTTCTTTGAGGGTCCAAGTAGGAACCTTTATAGCCCAGATCCTGGGGCCCTGGGCGGCCCACTGATTCATTTCAATTCCACTGCCTTTCATTTCTCTTCTCCTATCTTACTGCCTCTTCTTTAGCTATTCACAAGAGGAAATAGGATTTTATTTTTCATTATTTATTATATAAAAATTACACATCCAATCTTCTCAATTCTCAGTTCTTAAAGAAATCAACTAAGCCTTCAAAGACTTTTAGTTTTGCGTTTTCCATGGGTAACTGGTCCTAAAAATTCTCCCCATCCCCACAGAACAGAATGACCAATCTTTCAGGCTTGGCCCTGAATTTGTTTTTCAGTTGAGGAGAACAGGAGATGGAGAAAGCAAGTGGAAGACAGTCCATTGCTCTGTCCACAGTGGAGACTGGCACAGTGAACCCGGGGCTGGAGCTCATGGTAATCACCAGTTTAGTTTCTCTCTGCAGAGCTGTGGGCTGCTGCATGGGCTCCTGTAGGGTATTTGGCTGCTCTCAATCCCCATCATCCCTGGCAGGGCTCCATGACTGATCCCAATGCTCTCTGTGCTTGTAGGAAAAAGAAGTAGAGCCTGAGGGAAGCAAGAGGACTGACGCACAAGGACACAGCCTGGGGGATGGACTGGGCCCTTCCACTTACCAGAGGTACTGGTGTTTTGGAATCTTGTTCAGTTAGGAAAGGATCTAGGGTGGGCTGCCCCTTCAGGCAGCTTGTGGTATTATCACAACCGCTCCACCTTACCATGTGTACATATATATATGTATCTTACATAATTAATTAACTTAAACATGTGCCATAAACTCCATAAAAAAAAAGGAGTTCAGCAGTATCAGTGTTGGTTGGACTGAAAATAAAAATAATAACAATGGTAATAATGGCTAACAGATTTTGAGTGTATACTTACTATTTTGCAGATTGCTTTATGTTATACATTTATTTTCATTACAACAGGTAGGTATTCATTTTAATCCCTTTAGAAATTAATTTACCATATCATTAAAAAAACAGTAGCTCTTCTGGAATACTCAGATTTGGGAATGGTGGAGAGGAAGGGAAACCTGGGGAGAAAACACAGAAGGACTTATTATAAGGATAATAAAGACAGTAAAAAAGATCTTAGAAGTCAAAAGAGAAGAGTCTCAAGAATGAAGAAGGTACAGTCCACAGTGCTATGTGAACAGGGGTCTAGGAAGGAGGAGTGAGAAAAATCTTTGAATTTGTTTGTGGATCTGGTCCCAGAAGTAATGTCAAAGAAAATTGTTTGAGTAAAATAGATCATATGGAAAGAAGCAATGTTCCATGGTCTGGAAAACAGTGGGTATTTATAAAAGAGTGCAGAAGTCATACACTAAAAGCTGAGAAGAGGACATTGGATAGCTTCTAAAGGGAATACGGTCATGAGCTACATAATGATGTTTCAGTCAATGATGGACCGCATTATACAATGGTGTATAATCATGTATATCAACGGTGTATATCATTACACAACGGTGGTCCCATAAAATTATAATACTGTATTTTTACTGTGCCTTTTCTATGTTTAGATATGTTTAGATACACAAATACTTACCATTGTGCTATAGTTGCCTACAGTATTAAGTACAGAAACATGCTGAACAGATTTGCAGCCTAAGAATAATAGGATCCACCATATAGCTTGGATGTGTCGTAAGCTATACCATCTAGGTTTGCATAAGTACACTGTAAGATGTTAGCATAATTATGAAATTGACTAATGTTGAATTTATCAGAATGTATCCCTGTTGTTAAGTAACACATGACTATATATGGAGATGATTCAGAGCAGCTTCCAAACAAAAGGTTATTTTTATATTTTCTTCTCTTTATTTTTGAAAGTTACCTCAGTGACTTCTTAAAATTTTTAATTGTTTTATTCACAATTTGCTTCTCTCTAAAAATTTTTATATTATCATGTTTTATATATACTGAATTGACAGTAAATTCTTTGTAAGTTTTTCATGCTTACATGATATTTCATATTTTACTTAGCAGTGTGGCCGTTAATCATGTGAGTCACATTGCTTGTGTCTATATTTGAACAGTGGTATGCTAGTAAATGTTTAAGAATTGACTCTCCACCGGGCTAGTGGCTCATGCCTGTAATCCCAGCACTTCGTGAGGCTGAGGTGAGAGGATCACTTGAGCCCAGGAATTCAAGACCAGCCTGAGCAACATAGTGAGACCTGCCTCTACAAAAATTTTTAAAAATTAGCAGGGCATGGTGGTGCGTGCCTGTAGTCCCAGCTATTCCAGGAGGCCGAGGTGGGAGGATCACTTGAGCCCAGGAGGTTAAGGCTGCAGTGAGCCATGATCGTGCCACTGTACTCCAGCCTAGGGGACAGAGTGAGACCGTCTTGAAAAAAAAAAAAGAAGAAAGAACCGGCTGTCCACATGTAGTTTTGCAATGAATGTTGGTTAATATTTTTGCTCACCTTAATGAGGAGTAAGACCAGGGGTTGGCAAACTTTTCCTGTAAAAGATAAGGTAGTAAATATTATTGGTTTTGTGGTTGATGTGGTCTCTGTTGCAATTATTAAACTCTACCATTTTCGTAGGAAAGCAGCCACAGGTGATACTAAACAAATGAGCATGGCTGTGTTTTGATAAAACTTAATTTTTAAAAAGAAGGTGAGATGAACTTGGCCCACAGACCACAGCTTGCTAATCTTTAGTCTAGATGAAATAATAAATTAAGACCTTATTTACAGTATTCGCCTGTAACGTAAAAACTCTCAACATGGCTGATTTCAAGTAACCAAAGGGTTACTTGAACAAGGAGTTGGGAAGAGATGTATCATTATATAAAATTTCCACCATACACATACAGCAGACATGAATAACTTCATGAGCTCACATGACAGAAAAATGTAGCAAAATAATTAGAAAATGATGAGTTTTTAGTATTTATTACCTTTGTCTTTAATGTAATTTAATTATACGTTTATATAGTTTTAATTTTTAGTAATGGCTTGCACAATTCCTGAAAATGTAACAATCACTTCTCTCAAGCCAGCGCAGGCCAGCTTCCCCTGCACCACTGACTCTAGCACTTACCAGATTTTGGGCAAGTTATTTACCCTCTCTAAACCTCAGTTTTCACCCTGTAAAACAAGAATAATATTAGTACTTAGCTGAAAGGATCTTGGTAATTTTTTTTTGCCAGACTGTTGTTGGCACCTTAAACTGCTCTGATATATAACATGTCCAGTTCCCTTCAAGTCTTATCGACCTTATATTTTCTCATATAAACCATGTTAACTAGTTACATAGATATAAAATCATGCCTTAAAGTTCTAACTTGCATTTATTTTTATTTTTTGAGAAATGAGGTCTTACTTCATTACCCAGGCTGGTCTTGAATTGCTGGGCCCAAACAATCCTCATGTCTCAGCCTCCCAAAGTGCTGAGATTACAGGTGTGAGCCATGTGCCTGACCTTAACTTGCATTTCTTTAAATTTTTGTAAAGCTACACATTTTCCTCCATTTGCCTTACTTTCCATATTTCTACGTGTGATTTTCTTTTCTTTTTTTTTGGAAACGGAGTCTCACTCTGTCATCCAGGCTGGAGTGCAGTGGTGTGATCACTGCAACCTCCACCTCCCGGGTTCAAGCGATTCTCCTGTCTCAGCCTCCCGAGTAGCTGGGATTACACGTGCTACCACACCCAGCTAATTTTTTTTTTGTATTTTTAGTAGAGATGGTGTTTCACCATCTTGGCCAGGCTGGTCTTGAACTCCTGACCTCAGGTGATCTGCCCACCTCAGCCTCCCAAAGTGCTGGGATTATAGGCGTGAACCACTGTGGCCGGCCTACTTTTCTTTATCAACTAAAGTAAGTTCTGGATTTTGAACCTCATTTCCTTTCTCCTGACCAACTCTAATAGAACCCACATAGATTTCTTGTTTCCAGTTCTCCCCACCTCCTGCCAATCTATCCTATATAGCTTCTACCAAAACTACCTAAAGTATGTCTGAACTCCCTTATATCACAAACCTCTGTAGCTCTCCAGTTGCTCCTGAACAAAGCCAAACTCCACAGCCTGGTATTCAATTCTCCCCAAAACCTCTTCCCCACAACCAGGATCTGTATCCAACTTGACTTTCCAACATTAACTCTTGCAATTCCCTTTCTAATGCCACCCTATGCTCTAGTGAAAGTCAACTATCAACTGTTCCTTATATGTAATCCCCAGTTTCCTGCCTCCATGTCATGCATGTCATTACATCATTGCTTATGAGTGTACTGTCTTCATTTTTTGTCTTTGTGCCCAAATACAACACATATTTTAAGGCTCAACTCAAGAGCAATCATGTCCATGAAACTTTCCCTGATGCTGCCTCTCCTCCCCTCAACCTCACTGGCCCCAGTACTAAAAGGTCCCTTCTTTCTCCAAACTTCCATAACATTCTATCTGACCCTCTCTTATAACACTTTAAGCTTTTGACATTTTGTTATAGACTTACATGTATATTATATCCCCTATACTGGACTGTAAATACATTGAGGGCAAGATCAATGTCTATTTCATCCTTTTGTCTCCTATAACACTGGAAACAATGCTTTACCCATAGTTTATACTTAAAATGCCATAACATTCAAAATTCAATAAATACATGTTAATAAGTTATGTATATAATCTAGATAACAGACTTTGTAATTTCTTCATGTGTACATTTTTCAATTCTGTTTTGTTTCTGTATTGATTTTTAAGTATTTATTTCTTTTTCTTCTTGTTCTTTTGTTTGATTAACTCTGATGATCTGGGGTGCTTTGTAGGGAGTAATCTGACATGTAGCTTTAAGCTGATGCTTTTCCATACTGATACCCACTTTTCTAGCAAGTTATTAAATTGTGAGTTCTTTCTCTATTCTGATGTTGCTTCGACTTTATTAAGTTAATGTGATGATTTGGATTTATTTTTAAATCTTTTGTTTCACTGACACAGTTCTGAGTACTTAACACGATATCATTGTTTACAATGTACATTAAAACTTGATGGCTCATGTATTTGCATTAGTTTTTCCTTTAAAAAATATTCCTTGGGGCTGGGCATGGTGGCTCATGCCTGTAATCCCAGCATTTTGGGAGGCCAAGGCAGGCAGATCACTTGAGGTCAGAAGTTTGAGACCAGCCTGGCCAACATGGTGAAACCTAGTCTCTACTAAAAATACAAAAATATGTGGGCATGGTGGTGGGCACCTGTTCTCCTAGCTACTCGGGAGGCTGAGGCAGGAGAATTTCTTGAACCTGGGAGGCGGAGGTTGCAATGAGCCAAGATCATGTCATTGCACTCCAGCCTGGGCAACAGTGAGACTCCGTCTCAAAAATATATATACTATATATTTTTTTTGTCAAATTTTATTTTATTATTATTATTCTTAATTTATGTTTTTGGGACTGCATGCCATAGTTTAACTGGTACAGTTTTTTTTGCCTTTTTAGTGTAATGTTTAATAAAGCATAGCATGCATACAGAAAAATAAACATAAGCCTTAATGAATTTTCACAAAGTGAATACAACCATATGACCATCGACCAGATGAAGAACCAAAACATTATCTGTACCCAAGAACCATTTTATGTTTCCTTTCAGTCAGCCTCCCTAAGGGTAATCATTATCCTGACTTTTAGCATCATAGATTAATTTTGCCTGTGTTTGGACTTTATATGGGAAGTCTAATTTATACTTTAAATGAAAATATACCATATATATACTTTTGCTTCTTTTGCTTTACATTGTGCTTTGGAGATTCTTCCATATTATTGCATATATTGTACTTTGTACATTTTTAATTGCTGTATAGTATTTCATTGTAAGAATCTACCACAGTTTATCTGCTCATTTTACTGTGGGTCTGAATTTTAGTAGTTTCTATGCTTTTGCTATCATAGTGCAGCTATGAACATTTTTGTGCATGTCTTTTAGTAAAGATAAATACACCTTTCTACTGGGTATATACTTTGGAGTGGAATTGCCATGCTATAGGGTATGTGTAGGTTTATGTAGCTTTAACAGATGCTAAACATATTTTTAGCAAATTTCACTCCCCTGGCAGTGTTATGAGAGCATGTCTTTTTTCATTGTCTCCATTGTATGTGTGTAGTATTATCACATTGTAGCTTTGGTTTGTATTTCCCTAATGGCTAAGGAACTTGTGCATCTTTTCGGCTTTTTCTGGCCACTGAATATTCTCTTTTGTGAAGTGCCTGTTCAGGTCTTTAATTGGCAGTGTTTTTCTTTCTTAGTGTATAAAAATAGTAGTACATTTTATAAATGATGAAATACAAACAAGAGTACATTTTAAGCACTTGCCATTAAAAAAACTAGTATGTAAGGTAATACATGTGTTAATTAGCTTGATGTAGCCATTCCACAATTTATATATATTTTAAGCCATCATGTTGTATACCATAAACATATACAATTTTTGTCAATTTTATTTTAAATTTTTTTTAGAGATGGGGTCTCACAATATTGCCCATGCTAATCTTGAACTATTGGGCTCAAGTGATCCTCCCTCCTTGGCCTCCCAAAGTGCTAGGATTACAGGTGTGAGCCACTGCACCCAGCCAATTTTTGTCAATTTTAAAAAGAAGTACAAAATTAATACCCTGAATGATGTTGCTACCACTGTAAATGATACTTTCATACTTTCTAGCTATCTGTCACAAGTATATAGGCAAATCATTTTTATGAGTTTATCTATCTACCTATTCTTTTATTCAGCAAACACTTATTGAACATCTATTATGGGCCGGGCACTTGTTAGCGACCTAAAGCAATAATAGTATGTGCTAGGTACTAATTTAGGCACCAAGAATACAAAGATAAAAACAGAAATGCTCCTTTCCCTGATATGCTCAAAACCTAATAAAGACAGGTAAACAGAAAAATGACAATATCATGCTATATGGTAAGTGCTATATGGTAAGTGAGTTGTGGTCAGGAGGTGATGGAAGAAATCTTTTCTAGGCATGCAATTTGTATCTACTCTTGGACTAGTCCAGCCTGCCTCTTACTTTGCAGGAGGCTTACTCAACTGGCATTTGACTGCATATAATTTTAAACTAGCTTTATCTAGTACATCGGTTTAGGTCCCAACAGGAAACAGATGGCATACTTAAATTAAGATAATTATAGGAGAATTTATTTACAAAGAGACCATTACAAAGATATGTATGAGGTATGGTGACACCATAAGAAAGGATAATGCAAGAAGCAAAAGTCTTGAAGCAGTGAACAGTTACTATTCGTAGGCCTGAAGGAATAAGATGTAAGAGCACCTGGCAGGAGAGTCAGATAAAAAGACCTCCTCAACACACTGACCTGTCTTTTCATACACTCTGATCATCTGTGGAGGTCCCAGTAGCAGAACCCAACCTGATAAGCCAGAGGACATGGGAGTACATTGATGTAGTTTACATGAGTTAAATTCCCAGGGCACAGAGTGGAGTGGAGAGTGGTGCTGGAGGAGCACACCAAAGATATCTGGCACACATGGGAAGGCCAGGATTGAAATTAAATTCATTCCTTGATATACTTTGCAAATGATGTTCCAAAGATAATGATGTCCTCAGGTATGCTGGCCCTTTTACTCACTACTTTCTCTATTAAGCATGGAAAAATGAGGAAGGATCACTTGAGCCCAGGAGTTTGAGACCAGCCTGGGGAACATAGCAAGACCTCATCTCTACAAAAATTTAAAAAAGAAAATTAGCTGGGCGTGGTGGTGCACACCTGTAGTCCTAGCTACTCAGAAGGCTGAGGCAGGAGGGTCACTTGAGCCTGGGAGTTCAAGGTTGCAGTGAGCCATGATCATGCCATACCACTGCACTCTAGCCTGGGCAACAAAGTGAGACCTTGTCTCTTAAAGAGAAGAAAAGCAAAGCAAAGCAAAGCAGAGTTCTTGAGATCCTAAAGAATCATCTTGAGTTGATCCAGTCAGATGGTGATAAGCATTGTTTCCTCCTTTCTCAGCTTACCTGTATCTCATAGTACACACTCTGCTCAGCTAACACAGGGTTGGGCTTCCTGCAGAAGGGACAGGAGGGGATGGGGGCAGGAATGAAAAGGAAGACTAGGAACTGGGAGTGTGTTAGATGGGAGGGGCAGCCATGGAACTCCATGGGCCAAAGCCCCAGGGCATTAGGAGTTAATGGCTGGTCCTAACCCTGGCTAAGCTGCCCTGCCTCAGCATGACTGCCAGACTGGGACCTTCTTGCTGGGATCACCTTCTCTGGAGCTCCCAAGATTTTGGAAATTAGAGCTTTTGGCTCAGATGGCTGCAGCATGCTGAGCATACTTAGGAGTGGAAAAGACAGGCAACCCTGGAATCTAGGGAAGATGTGGCATAGAATGATGGTTAAGAGCTCAGATGCTGAAGCCAGAGTGTATATTCTGTGTTCGCTCCTTACAGCCTGTATGACTTTGGGAAAGTTATTTAACTTCTGTTTTTCAGTTTCCATACTGTAAAATGGGAATGCTAATAGTAACAGCTCCAGGGGTCTTAAGAGGAGTCAATGAGTTAGTATTTGCTAAGTTCTTAGAAAGAGCTCAGCATAGAGAAAGCACTATATACATGTTTGTTAAATCAAACTTGAATATCCCTACTTGCTGGGCCTCTTCTCTCAGGCCTGCACATCCAGAGCAATTCTTGAGGTTGGTAGCATTTTCCTTCCTGTCTGTCAATGCACATTTGGCTGACTGTTCAAGGCCATAGGTTTGTTTGGTTTTTAGGGAGGGATGGCCAAATTGCCTCTAAGAAGAACAGGCCCTCTTGTGAATATGGAAGCTTAGCAATCCTCTGTCCTTTCAGAATGGGAAAGGAAAGTAGTAGACCCCTGACATGAGCAGTACCCACTTCTATGGTAGGAGACTACCAAGGATATTGCTAGTTCGGGCTGAGTAGGGTATTCTGACCTGCTGCCCACCAGCAAGGTTTGATTTGCCCTTTTTGGCATTGCAGGACACTACCTAACTTCCTCCTGGCTGAAGAATATTCTTCATTGACTAAGAGCTAATTCTGCCTTGTGTTAGGTAATCTGAATTCTGAGAGTTGAATTAATAGAAATGGGATGGAGTAATTCTTGTATCTTAACTTTTGGGTTCTTATTAGGAGGAGTCGGTGGCCTTTCAGCAAAGCAAGAAGTTTCTGCAAAACACACGCCAGCTTGTTCAAGAAGATCCTGTTGGGCCTGTTGTGTTTGGGTGAGATATTGAGAATTCATGAAAGTGAGAAACACAGTTATTTTAGAAATTTGCCTTGTGTCAAGGTGATTACCAGGTGGAAGGCATTTTTATTCAAAACTGATCTAAAAAGCTATTTGATGTATCAATCTTAACTACTTGTAGGTGCACCATAATGTATTGAATTGCACTTGTAGGAACAAGTGAAATCTGAGAATAAACTATTTTTCAAAAGTGTACTATTTGATGGATTTAAAATATTTCAGAGAATGGGGGCTTATCCTTTTTTTAGTGGCTTGATTTGGTGGAGTGCATGATTCTTACAGCCTTGATGACAGAAGCCTGTATTATACCTTACTTATTTGCTGGTTTACTACTATATCATTGGATATAAAATATTCTTAAAAGACAGCAGATCTCTGTTTAAAACATACTGTCAGTGGTATATGGGGCTTTAATGTCAAAATAGGAGGCACCTGGGATGGTGGGAGCAAAAATTATATTTTGGGATGAGTAAGAGAGCCATGGGATGAGGTCCACATGGCTGCACTTCCCAGTGGTAGCTTTGTTTACATGGTTTGTTCCAGAGGCAAGGTTAAAGTGACTGGGGTAATAAAGTTTCAAGGGGAGATGACTGACTTTTGAAGAGTCTAATGGTGAACACTGATCAAATCTACTCCAAGGGACAGAGAGAGGATATTAGATAAAATAGAAGGGAATGAGATTTCATTAGGGACCAGTGAAAATATGCAGTCTTTGCATTAAGTCAGACTGTCCTTGGGGATCCTCAAGAAGAGGACAGTTAGACATCTATCCTGGCCTCAAGAAGTGCAGTTCTGTCTGACAGTAGGGCTGGGTGGCAAGGTCTCTGGAGGGTTTTTCTTGCTCTAAGTCCCAGGCATTCATGACTGGAGTTTCATTTGCCCATTGGAAGCACTGCCTTGCTGATCTTTACTCTGCTTCTTCTCTTTTTAGCCTATGCTGCCTATCTCCTGGCAGCTTGCATCTTGAATTTCCAGAGGGCACTGGCCTTGTTTGTCATCACCTGCTTGGTGATCTTTGTCCTGGTTCACTCGTTTTTGAAAAAGCTCCTGGGCAAAAAATTAACAAGATGTCTGAAGCCCTTTGAAAACTCCCGCCTGAGGCTTTGGACGAAATGGTAAGATAAGAATCTCAATACCTGGCCTCACAGCTTATCCCAGCCCACCTCCTTTTTTCTCTTTTGATAGTTGCTGAGCAGGCTCTCAGACCTGCACATAGGCTTTTCAGAACCAAAGCGCAGAGAAAAATAACAATAGGCCTCTGAGCACAGGACCTCAGTCCAGATTCTTGTAGCCTTGGGTCTCAACATTGCTGGGGGGCAGGAGGAGTTTAGTTTCAGAGAAGAGTTTTAGTCTGATTGTCATCAGAGCCAGTGTCAGAAATGAGAAAAATCATACTCCTCTTCAGTGAAGTAATCAGAACAGAGCCTTGCAGCTACATTAAGCTATCAAATTGATTTGGTGGTCATTGGTGTCTCCCTTAGTTCCCTGATACTTTTTATGCTTTTTTTCTCTCTAGTCTCCTAGACTTCCTGCACCCACTGGTGCCTTTTAAAATTCCTTAGAGTTTAAAGAGAAAACTTACAGTCGTGTATATTCTGAACTGGCGTCTACAGCAGCCACAGCTCTAACAATGGCACATGCATGGCCTTTGATCACAGGCCAGGAGTGAGAGAATAACTTTCAGACTCTCTGTAAGTTATTTGTTTTTCATTCACTGGGTTGATGACATGGTCTTGGCATTCCTTCTTCAGGGTGTTTGCAGGAGTCTCCTTGGTTGGCCTTATACTGTGGTTGGCTTTAGACACAGCCCAAAGGCCAGAGCAGCTGATCCCCTTTGCAGGAATCTGCATGTTCATCCTTATCCTCTTTGCCTGCTCCAAACACCACAGCGCAGTGAGTTTTGGGTATTTGGGTTGGGTATAGCAACACATGGCCAAGGGCCAAGTGCTAATCATAAAGCGTATGCATCAAGTGTTAATTACAAGGGCATAGAACTAGTTCATAACAACCCCTAGAATTTGCCTCTTTGATAATTTTGTTTCTAAGATAAGTTTAAAAAATTCTCAAAGGCCCTAGACCACTTATTTTCAAACTGTAGATTGTGATCCATTAATGAATCTTGATACCAATTTTGCGAATCTAGGCCAGTGTTAAAGAAAGAACAAAAGAAAAAAAATAAGGAAGGAGAGAAAAATAGAATACAGTAGAAAATCAACACGCAGTGCAGATAGTACTGTTAAAATATTGATTTATAAAACTTTTATTTGTATGTATGCATGCATATATGTGTGTATAAGTGTCATCTAACCTCTAGACACATTTTTTAAAAACCTTATGAACATATGTGGCTTTTTGTATATTACTGCCCTGTTTCTCCCTACCATTGCCCCTGCTCCCTATGCCATCAGACCCTAGACTTACTGTTAATATTCTAGGTTGGTTCCACCCAGAGTACATGTTTAAAACTCCAACCAGGTAATGGACTAGCAGAACTCACATTGAAATAATATTCTTATTGATCCTAGGTGTCCTGGAGGACAGTGTTTTCGGGCCTAGGTCTTCAATTTGTCTTTGGGATCTTGGTCATCAGAACTGATCTTGGATATACTGTATTTCAGTGGCTGGGAGAGCAGGTCCAGGTATGAGAAATTAAATGCGAGGGCTTTTCTCTTTTAGAACCCTAGAGAAAGGAGATTTGAGAGGAGCATGAGAAGATTAGGCTGTATCTTGTTAATGATGTGGTGGAAGATCTGGTTGGGAAAGGAGAGAGTGTACTAGGATACAGCTAAGAATATGAATAAAGAGCTCATGGGGACATAGCCTGCCCCTGGGCTGTCAAAGGGAGGCCAACCTCAGTAGCAACAGTAGGTCCTCAGGACGCATGGGGCTGGTCTCGTCTTCCTGTGTGTCCTTTTGGGTTTCATTCTTATTCTCTGTCTTTTTCTTTTTTTCCCTTCAGATTTTCCTGAACTACACTGTGGCCGGCTCCAGTTTTGTCTTTGGGGATACACTGGTCAAGGATGTCTTTGCTTTTCAGGTGATACCTATTTTATGGGCAGGAATGATGGTCTATGGAGGGGTAGAGGAATAAAGCAGAGGATGAAAGTGTGTGTCCAAGAGATCAGCGCCCCTGTATACCAATTTGACCCTAACAAGAGGGTTTAACCCCATCAGTAAAGGAAATGGCATCTATCTTCTTCCCTGTGGTCATTGCCATCATAAAATTAGATGAAATGAGAATTGGGGGAAAAGGGTCAGAAAACAGCTTGTGGTTTAGTACTGGTGGGACAATGGGTTTAATACATTTTAAATGTATCCCTAAACTAGTTTGTGTAGGTACTGAATACCTACACTGTATGAGATACCCTTGGAATGCTAAGAGCTTAACTTAGAAGCCTAAAACACAGAGTATGCAATGTAACATCTCACCACCTGCTACCATTCTCATTACAGGCCTTACCAATCATCATTTTCTTTGGATGTGTGGTGTCCATTCTCTACTACCTGGGCCTTGTGCAATGGGTAGTTCAGAAGGTGAGTCGTTCTCTTACACCAGTCAGGAGACAGGCCTTCATCCTGTCATCAGTCAGCTTTGGAAAAATGCCCATAGCTAAGGTCTAGAGTGTTAGAAACAATGGGAAAAGGCAGGCCCTCTCAAGCATGCCTGATAGCAAACTGTCAGCCGAGGCCCTAGGTAGGCTGAGGGCAGAGCAGAGAGAAGATGAGCTGGACTGCCTTTGATACTGAGTTTTAATGTACTTGTTCTAAAGGCAACGAGTCCTGAGTTCTGGTCAAGGCTCTGTTTCTAAGTTGGTTTTTGGCCCTAGGCTTGCTGCTCTACTTCTCTAGGCCTCAGTTTCCTTATCAGTAAAGTGGAGGAGGAGGAGTTTTGCGAGATGTTCTCCAAGATTCCTGCTAACATTAATGGTTTAGGTTTCTGTATTCTTCTAGGTCGCCTGGTTTTTACAAATCACTATGGGCACCACTGCTACAGAGACCCTGGCTGTGGCAGGAAACATCTTTGTGGGTATGGTAAGCACCTTGAGGACTTTTGGTCTTCTTCCCTCTGAGGAACTGAGAATTTGGCACAAAACAAGAGTATGCTTTCCTTCTGAAAAGTCAAATAAATGAAGACTGTGGGGCAGCCAATCTTGGATGAGAGATAACTCAGCAGCTCAAAGAAGACTCTGCTCATTGCGTTCACCCTTTGCGCCTAATAATACTTCCCTGGTAATACTTAATCTGGAGGGATAGCCTTCACCACTTCTAATGAACACTTCCTACGTAGGAATGTAGGGAATGTCCTCGTCCAATTCATATCCCCTTTCGGAGGCTATGAAGGGTGTTTGATCCTCATTCTGGTTTCTCCCTGTGACTCCCTGCAGTACTTGGTTTCCAGGGTCTCTAAGGAGGAAATCACTTATCTTGCTCATCGCTAACGCCCAGGCTCTTCCCCATAATACTTGCTTGGTACATTCGTCTGTATGGAGTAGGTGCTCCATATGTGCTACTGACTGATCAGCTCAATGTTGGGGACAATGACTTGTCACATTCGCAGGGAGTTAGTACTGAGGTCTTTCTCTCCCAAGGCTCTAGGCTGCTTCTGAAATGTTCTCAGAGTACTTCTGGATACTTTACCATAGCACTCCACATTTTGCTGAAATTATCCATAATCAGCCTAGTTTCCTATGTGAGACTATAAGCTTCTAAGAGTAAGGACTTTGCCTTACCTATATCAATGTCCTTAGCATCTAGTGCAGTGCTAGGCACATAGTTGGTACTTGTTAAATAATAGATACCATTATCTTAGGTCAGTGCTGGATATGGCTTACATAGATGGCCCTTCATAATTTCATAACATTTTCACAAACATTATTTCTTTTGATCCATAAGCAGGGGGTTTGGATCATCTATTTGTATTTCATTTAATGAGTACTGTTTAAGCATCTAATATGTTCTCATTAAGTGCACTGCATTCCGTAAGTTCAGTAAGTGTGTGGCTTTAGACATTGAGAATATACAAACAAAATATACCATTTCTCTTCTATAACATTTTAACATGTCAATAGATGAAACAAGCATGTATAGAAACAGGTGAGAACTATGCCAGCCAGGACATGATTGGGTGCCAGAGGAAGTAAGGCAGAAGCTGGATGGGCCTGACAGCCGGGCTCCGTGCTCACTAAGTGAAGCTGTGGCTCACTTAACAGTGCTCACACTGGATGGATGTGTATCTAGTGGGTCCAGCCCCTGGGGCTGGGGTGGGCACACTGGCATGGGGAGTTACACCTTCTTGGAATCTGACTGTTTTCTCCGTGTTTGTAGACAGAGGCACCTCTGCTCATCCGTCCCTACCTTGGGGACATGACACTCTCTGAAATCCATGCGGTGATGACTGGAGGGTTTGCCACCATTTCTGGCACTGTGCTGGGAGCCTTCATAGCCTTTGGGGTAGGCATAGTCTGCTTGATCACTCCTGGGTGAACTCGAGTTGGGTTTGATAGAAACACTGATGCCTAAGTCTGGCGCCTCACAGGTTGATGCATCATCCCTGATTTCTGCCTCTGTGATGGCCGCCCCTTGTGCTCTCGCCTCATCAAAGCTAGCGTATCCGGAAGTGGAGGAGTCCAAGTTCAAGAGTGAGGAGGGGGTAAAGCTGCCCCGTGGGTGAGTCCAAGGAGGCATATACTTTGGGAGATGGTGAGCTGTAGTTAAGAGTGGCACTGTGGTGGCAGAGACTTCAAGTCTCCCTGAGGGGGAATAATGTGATTCCATATTCCTTCTTGCCTATCTCTGGTGCTTGCTAATCATGCTGGTTTTCTTCATTTAACCCTCCCACCTGGCACTAGCTTCTGCATGCCAGTACCCTCTGTCCTTGCCATCCATGCAATTACATGACAATTATATCTGATATTGCTTCAGAGTAATTTCCACTAATAGGGTCACTGAGGAACCCCTGTCACCTTCTACATTGGCCTTGCACCCTCCTCCTGCACGATAGGGACAGTGGGATTTCTCTTCTCTGAGGGGCTGAGACTGCTGTAGACACCCTACTCTTGCCCTCTGCCCAATAACCACAGGAAGGAGAGGAATGTCCTGGAAGCTGCCAGCAACGGAGCCGTAGATGCCATAGGCCTTGCTACTAATGTAGCAGCCAACCTGATTGCCTTTTTGGCTGTGTTGGCCTTCATCAATGCTGCCCTCTCCTGGCTGGGGGAATTGGTGGACATACAGGGGCTCACTTTCCAGGTAAAGGATTACATTTGTTGGGCTGTCCCTCTGGGATGTGGTTAGGTAGCCCTTCAAACATGCATGTCCAAATCAAAACCACAATGAGATACCATCTCACACCAGTTAGAATGGCAATCATTAAAAAGTCAGGAAACAACAGGTGCTGGAGAGGATGTGGAGAAATAGGAACACTTTTACACTGTTGGTAGGACTGTAAACTAGTTCAACTATTGTGGAAGTCAGTGTGGTGACTCCTCAGGGATCTAGAACTAGAAATACCATTTGACCCAGCCATCCCATTACTGGGTATATACCCAAAGGACTATAAATCATGCTGCTATAAAGACACATGCACACGTATGTTTATTGCGGCACTATTCACATTAGCAAAGACTTGGAACCAATCCAAATGTCCAACAATGATAGACTGGATTAAGAAAATGTGGCATATATACACCATGGAATACTATGCAGCCATAAAAAATGATGAGTTCACGTCCTTTGTAGGGACATGGATGAAATTGGAAATCATCATTCTCAGTAAACTATTGCAAGGACAAAAAACCAAACACCACATGTTCTCACTCATAGGTGGGAATTGAACAATGGGAACACATGGACACAGGAAAGGGAACATCACACTCTGGGGACTGTTGTGGGGTGGGGGGAGGGGGGAGGGATGGCATTAGGAGATATACCTAATGCTAAATGACGAGTTGATGGGTGCAGCACACCAGCATGCCACATGTATACATATGTAACTAACCTGCACATTGTGCACATGTACCCTAAGACTTAAAGTATAATAATAATAAAAAAAAAACAACCATGCATGTCCTTCTGACCCACAGTAAGCCAAGAGAGAGCATGAATAGAAGGGTGGAAGAGATTGGGCCAAGGCTCCAGAGAAGGTCCTTGGCACCTGACCTTTGTTATATTAGTCCTTCCTTTTCCTGTGATATCTCTCTTTCACTCAGGTCATCTGCTCCTATCTCCTAAGGCCCATGGTTTTCATGATGGGTGTAGAGTGGACAGACTGTCCAATGGTGGCTGAGATGGTGGGAATCAAGTTCTTCATAAATGAGTTTGTGGCTTATCAGCAACTGTCTCAATACAAGAACAAACGTCTCTCTGGAATGGAGGAGTGGATTGAGGGAGAGAAACAGTGGATTTCTGTAAGTGACAATCCAAAAAGCATAAACACCGTGAGGTCTCAGCCATGGTTATCTGAGGGTAGACAGAAAGTGCCAAACAGGTTTGTTGCAGACCTGCAGATGCCTTTCTGGGGTCGCAGGCCTAACTACAAAGCCAGCAGAACAGCCTACCTAGCAGCCTCATCTGCAGCGCCTGAGCTATTATGGGTCTGCATGCTATTTTCCCCCTGCCACCCCCACCACTGCCCCAACTGTGACCCAACTTCTCTCTATAATGTAATTGCTGGGTCTTTACAGCTGGGGCAGTCCAGGGCAGACACTATCTTTTGATGGTCTAAGGTCCCCTTCTTCACTTATAAGTTTAAATTGCTCCAAATTAATATTCTTTTTCTTTCCCTTTGCCTCTCTCCTCCTCCTTCGCAATCCTTCTCATTCCCAGGCCTTCTCGTTATTCATAGCCTTCAACAGGAACAGCGTTGGGCAATGAGGCCCATGGTGGTTTCCATGTCATTATCCCTATAGTAACTCAGGGAACAGTTGTTTTCTGAGCATCCTTTCATGTTCCTTGGGAAACCATGGAAAAGACTGGGGGCTGTCAGTACTCTGGAACTTCTATTGTGATTATAAGACCGCACGCATGGGACTGAATTTATTTGCTTATTTATTTTTGTTTTCCCTAGGTGAGAGCTGAAATCATTACAACATTTTCACTCTGTGGATTTGCCAATCTTAGTTCCATAGGAATCACACTTGGAGGCTTGAGTGAGTTCATCCATTTTCCCAGCTCCCCAGTAAGACAGCCAGATCCCAGCTTCTGTAGTGGGCAGTCCTGGTGCTTCAGTACAAGCTGGGATCAGATAGAGAAGCCATTGTGAAATGGGCCCATTTCTTAGGCTGCAGTTAACTTGGACCTAAGGCAGTCATGCCCACCTGGCTAATGCATACAGCCCTTTATAATCTCAACTTCAGTTACTTCTTTTTCCTTTGGATTGGAGGCCCCAAAAACTAATTTTATTTTAATTTTCTCTATGAGGAAGAAAATATAATGATATTATTTCAATTTTGCCATTAAATTGGAATAGTGCATATATAAATAAAGATATTTATTTATTTATTTATTTAATTTTTTTTGAAACAGAGTCTCACTCTGTTGCGCAGGCTGGAGTGCAGTGGTGTGATCTCAGCTCACTTAAACCTCCACCTCCTGGGTTTAAGTGATTCTCATGCCTCAGCCTCCCGAGCTGGGATTACAAGTGTGTGCCACTATGCCCATTATTATTATTATTATTTTTTTTGTATTTTTAGAAGAGACGGGGTTTCACCATGTTGGCCAAGCTGGTCTTGAATTCCTGGCCTCAAGTGATCTGCTGCCTTGGCCTCCCAAAATGTTGGGATAACAGGCGTGAGCCACCACACCTGGTCTTGTATTTTATTCAGTAGTGAAGACACTTTTTGAAATTAGGCTGCTCACTAGTCATCCTCATGGAAACACAAAGAATTAAAACAAATAAAAGCAGCAGGCACATAAGGCAGATAGACAGTAAGAGAGAGTGGTGTAAAGTGTTGGATTTAAATATGCAAGTACCAAATGTTAAAGGAGTGGGTCTTTGAAGCAGACACAGATATATTTAGACTGTTGGAGATACTGCTGCATGGGGGTGATTGTTGGAGGAATAATATGAGGAAAGTGGAATTGTCCTTGAGTGCAGGGGCACAGGGGTGACTAGCAGATCCCAAGTTTGGAAGATCCAAGTTAGAAATGGATCTTAGGCTGGATGTGGTGGCTCATGCCTGTAATCCCAACACTTTGGGCCAAGGCAGGAAGATTGCTTGCTATAGGAGTTTGAGAGCAGCCTGGGGCAACATGGTGAGATTCTGTCTCTACGAAGAATTTGAAAGTTAGCTGGGCATATTTGCACATATGCCTGTAGTCCTATCTACTCGGGAGGCTGAGGTGGGAGGATTGCTTGAACTCAGATCGAGCCTCCAGTAAGCTGTGATTGCACCACTGCACTCCGGCATGGGTGACATGGGGAGGTCCTGTAGAAAGAAAAAAAGAAGAAAAGGAAGGAAGGAAGGAAGGAAGGAAGGAAGGAAGGAAGGAATCTTAGAAGGAGTAGATTATAATAAGAAATATAGCTCAGTGTGTCCCTTTTTAAAGGCAATTATATTCTGGGGTAGAGTCATTTAATTCATGTACTTGGTAGCCAATTTAATTGAAAGGTGAAATAATTCCCTTTCAGTTTACCTTTTCCCCTTCTGTCAAACACCTGACTGTATTGTTCTAGTCTTGATGCCTGATTACTGTCCGATTATGAGACTGCCATCTAGTAGTGGGATATGCATTGTGTGGCTAAGTCTTAGGCCACACAATGAGTGTTGCTTTCCTTAGCCCTCTGTCTCAAAATAGTCCATCTAATTCTGGTCCAGGCTTAAGAGTGCGTATCTCAAGCAGTGAACGCCAGGCATTTGTACCTGTCTGGAGAAACCCAGAGCCTTGCTTTATCCAGATACATCTTGGGTATGTTCACAGAACCATTAAAGTGAGGGTCAGACACTCAATACTTGATCTGAGGAAAGTCTAAGTTAGTGATCCCTCAGGACTAATGTATACACACACTTCTTAGGGCAACACTGGCCAGTCTCAGGTGGATGGTAATAAGGATGCTCTTCATCGGCTGTGTTTTGTTTCTCTGCGTTCTTCTAAGTGGGGGCCCATGGGATATACCTGATTGCCTTGGTGGGGAAAAGCTGAAGTTATTTTATTTTATTGTCTGCAGCATCAATAGTACCTCACCGGAAGAGTGACTTGTCCAAGGTTGTGGTCAGGGCCCTCTTCACAGGGGCCTGTGTATCCCTTATCAGTGCCTGTATGGCAGGTAGGTGCCTCAGCTCTGATGGAGATACTGCTGCATGAGGGTGATGGTTGGAGGAATAATATGAGGAAGGTAGAATTGTCCTTGAGTACAGGGGCAACAAAGATTACTTCCCTAGATCATGACAGGCTGTCTTTCAGAATATTGATTTACCCATGCATTCCACAGATACATGGCAAAGGCACCTAATCAAGAGTGTCCACAATTCGTGCCAAAAGAATAAAGAGCCTTGAGAAGCACGTGTCAGATCTTCCCCTTAGTACCTCTGTCTCCTTTATCCAGGAATCCTCTATGTCCCCAGGGGAGCTGAAGCTGACTGTGTCTCCTTCCCAAACACAAGTTTCACCAATAGAACCTATGAGACCTACATGTGCTGCAGAGGGCTCTTTCAGAGGTGAGCACCAGGACCCCATTCCTTTCTCTCACACACGGCCCTCAGGTCTCCACGGTAATGCTGTTGAGGTTGCATAGAGTGTATAAGGGCTGTGAGTATTGGTAATGGCCTAGATCAGTGTTCTTTTCTCTTATTGGGTGCATCTTCATTATTAGCTTAGTATGCTCCAGCGACAGGGTCTACCTGTGTTAGTGGGCTACTGAGAAGTAGAGCAGCAAAGGAAGAAGAAAAATGGTTTCCCTGATAAGAAATTACTCTACTGGCTGGGCACGGTGGCTCACACCCACAATCCCACACTTTGGGAGGCCAAAGTGGGAGGATGGTTTGAGCCCAGGAGTTCGAGACAAGCCTGGGCAACATAGCGAGACCCTGTCTCTATTTTATATTAATTAAAAAAAAGAAATTACTTATTGTGATTGGAATACAGGTAGGTTATACGTAGACTTAGCAATGGTTATAAGTGGCTAAAATATTATAGGCTTCTTCAGACAGAAATGAAGAAAACTGAGAGAGGATAAAGTTGAATTTATAAAATCATGATGAGTTCAGGTAGTGTAAAAATGAACTTGTTTACCAAAATCTAGAATATGAAAAGAAGAGGATATGTCATTAAGCTAAAAGAACTAGTTTTGGAACACACAAAAGGAAAGATTTGAGGAACTAGAATGTTTGGTGCCTTCAAATCAAAAGGTGTGTGTGTATTGGTGGTGATATATGCGTGAGTGAAGGGAGTTGTGGGAAAAAAGGCTGAGAGATCATAAGAAGCCTTGTATGAAATACTAAAGAATTTAGGTTTTGACCTGCTGAATTCTGAACACTGGCATGATCAACTATGCTGTTTCAAAATATCATTTTGGTAGCCATTTGAATGGCAAGGAGACCAACAAACACCCTGCTGTAATAGTCCTAGTGAGAGATGGTAAGAATTGATACTAAGTGGTTGTGAGGTTGGAGATACACTAGATCCAGTAGAATCAATAGGATTGATCATTGGCTAGATAGGAGGAAGAGGTGGGGTGAAGAAGAGGAAGGAGTCTCAAGTGACTATCTCTTTTCCGGCATAAGCAAGTGGGTCTAAGGAGTGCCATTCATTCACAGAAGAGGAGGACTAGTTTCAGGAATGGGAGTAAAAGGGAGAGATTATGGCTTAATTCAGTTTTTGTTTTTTATATTTATTGATTTATTGTATTGAGATGGGGTCTCACTATGTTGCTCAGGCTTGTCTTGAACTCCTGGACTCAAGGGATCCTCCCATCTTGGCTTCCCAAAATGCTGGGATTATAGGCCTGAGCCATCATGCCCAGCCTTAATTCAGTTTTTGATGTGTTAACTTGGAGGTAGTTGCAGGACCACCCTGTGAAGGTACTCAAAAGCCACCTCAGGTCGGGCTTCAAGAGAGAAATCAGAGCTGGAGATAGATTTAAAAGTTATGGGCTAGACACAGTGGCTCACACCTATAATCCCAGCACTTTGGGAGGCCAAGGCAGGAGGATCACTTAAGCTCAGGAGTTCAAGACCAGCCTGGGCAACATGGCGAAACCCCATCTCTACTAAAACAAAACAAAACAAAACAAAACTAGCCAGGCATGGTGGTGTGTGCCTGTAGTCCCAGCTACCTGGGGAGGCTGAGGTGGCAGGATCACTTCAGCCCAGGAATTAGAGACTGTAGTGAGCCGTGATCCGTATCACTGCAGTCCAGTCTGGGTGACAGGGTGCAAACAAACAAACAAACAAATAAAGATTTGGAAGTTATTAAGTGGTCTGTTCACTACATAGCTAGATATTCAGGTGCTGGCTGCTTAAAAGGTTACTGGGCCAAGTGAATGAATGTTGCCCCTCCTGTGTTTGGAGGTTATCATCAGAGAAGGCAACTAACATATTTTTTTAAAAATTCTTTTGATGCACTATTAAAGATGAGGTATGAGCTGGATTCATCATTGCTCTGGCATCGTTTTGATTCTTCTTTTTTTTTTTTTTTGAGACACAGGCTCACTCTGTTGCCCCGGCTGGGGTGCAGTGGCACAATCTTGGCCCAGGCTCAAGCAATCCTCTTACCTCAGCCTCCTGAGTAGCTGGGACCACAGGCCAGGCATGTGTCACCATGCCTGGTTAATTTTTACTTTTTGTAGACATGGGCGTTCATCATGTTGCCTGATTCTTATGTTCTTGTGGCATTTTGGTGGATTTTCTAAAGCCACATACTGAAGATCATTGAAAGACAACGTTTTTGTCCAATTAATTTATACTAATTAAGTGTAAGCTGTTTTCAAGAGGAAGGTGGCCTTGGAATACCACCTTACTTTTCAGAATCAATTCAATACTAAATCATTATAAGCCATACATTTGCCTCAGGGATATCTGGAAATTTCCAAATGGACTATGGTTAGGAGTTGCGCAAAGGAACAGACACACATGGTTTATGGTTTCTTGCTAGTATTATCTTGGGAATGAATGAGAAAAGAAACATAATTGGGTTCTATTTGGTCATGGCTGATGGGTCAATTTACAGGTTTTTGTTTTTGTTTTCAGCTGCTTAGTATAACTTATTGATATGTTTTGTTGCTTTGTTCCTGTCTGACCCCTTATGTACCTCTCTGGTTTTTCACTGCAGTACTTCTCTGAATGGCACCAACCCTCCTTCTTTTTCTGGTCCCTGGGAAGATAAGGAGTTCAGTGCTATGGCCCTTACTAACTGCTGTGGATTCTACAACAATACCGTCTGTGCCTAAGGCTGCTTGATCTATTTCTATAACAGTTTTGATCTTAAAAGCTTTGTGATTGCAAAGGTGTTTATGTACTCAGGGTGCCCACAACTCACTCACCAAGATGTTTAACAGTAAGTAACAGTAAATGTAAAAGATTCATTTTGGGCCGGGCTCAGTGGCTCATGCCTGTAATCCCAGCACTTTGGGAGGCCGAGGCGGGCGGATCACAAGGTCAGGAGATCGAGACCATCCTGGCTAACACAGTGAAACCCCGTCTCTACTAAAAATACAAAAAATTAGCCGGGAGTGGTGTCGGGCGACTGTAGTCCCAGCTACTCGCGAGGCTGAGGCAGGAGAATGGCGTGAATCCGGGAGGCGGAGCTTGCAGCGAGCCAAGATCGCGCCACTGCACTCCAGCCTGGGTGACAGAGCGAGACTCTGTCTCAAAAAAAAAAAAAAAAAAAAAGATTCATTTTGGTTCGCTGTATCCCAATAACGAAAAATAGCTTTTGTTTTTCCATTATTTGGCTGAACCAAAAAATGGCATTCCTCATGGGCCCTGCCTGAACTTTCATTTGAAAAAATAAGTATTACTGTCCAACAATGATAGACTGGATTAAGAAAATGTGGCACATATACACCATGGAATACTATGCAGCCATAAAAAATGATGAGCTCATGTCCTTTGCAGGGACATGGATGAAATTGGAAATCATCATTCTCAGTAAACTATCGCAAGGACAAAAAACCAAACACCACATGTTCTCACTCATAGATGGGAATTGAACAATGAGAACACATGGACACAGGAAGGGGAACATCACACTCTGGGGACTGTTGTGGGGTGAGGGGAAGGGGGAGGGATAGCATTAGGAGATATACCTAATGCTAAATGACGAGTTAATGGGTGCAGCACACTAGCATGGCACATGTATACATATGTAACTAACCTGCATATTGTGCACATGTACCCTAAAACTTAAAGTATAATAATAATAATAAAAGAAAAAACTTCATAAAATAAAGTGAAGCACCCACCAAAAAATAAAATAAATAAAATAAATAAATAAAAGAAAAAATAAGTATTACTATGTCAAAAAAGTCTTACAAATCATGCTTCTAGTTGCCATCTTAAAAATTATGTGATGCAGTGTGCTATAAATGTGATTTAGTATGTAATTTGCCTGGGACGGGGGAGAAGCTACATTTATTGGCATTGTGGATGAGCTGGATTTATATTACTGATGTTACCTTTGAAAGGTATATGAATATTTAATGATAAGATTTTTCTGGTTGTCAAACATTTGTAAATCTGCAAACTTCTTAACAACATTACACAGTAAACAAAAAATACTTCCTGTATACTAAGGAAGACTTCTAAGGAATATCCATTTCTTAAAGGCCATTACTTTGTTGTAGTATTCTGCTTTAGTGCTAGCCACATTTGCTCCAAGTTTATGGGGAAGCCTTTAAAACAGTAATTTTCAGTGGGAAGGGGCCAATTTTGCTTTTCAGAGGACATCTGACAGTGTGTCTCCAGACATTATTGGTGATTAAAGTGGGAGGATGCTACTGACATCTAGTGAGTAGAGGCCAATATTGCTACTAAAATTCCTATAACCAAAGGTCAGCTCTCCCACAACGAAGAATTACCTGGTCCCAAACGTCAATTGTGCTGAGACTCAGAAACTCTGATTCAAAATATTTTAGATATTTATTATATTTAATATTATTTATTATATTAATATTATAGCCTTAAGGAAGGGTTTCAAAAGGATACAGGAGTTCCTCAAAAAGTTAAACACAGAATTACCATAGAGCCCCACAATTCCACTCCTACATACACATTCAAAAGAATCAAAACTAAGTTCTCAAACAAGTACATGTACATGCATGTTCACAGTAGCACTATTCAAAATAGCCAAAAATTGGAAACAGTCTAAATGTCCATCAATGGATAAATTGTGTTACATACACACAATGGAATTTTATTCACCCATTAAAAAAAGAAGTACTGATTTATGCTATGTAGAGGCACCCCGAAAACATGCTAAACGAAAGAAGCTAGACACAAAAGTCTTATTATTGCATGATTCCATTTAGATGAAATATTCAGAATATATAAATCCATAGAGACAGAAGGGAGATGGTGGTTGCCAGGGCCTGGGGAAGGAGGGATTAGAGAGTGACTCCTTAACGAGTTTGGGGTTTTCCTTTGGGGTGATGGGAATGTTTTGGAACGAGATAGAGGTGGTGGTTGTGCAACATTGTGAATATTATGTCACTGAATTGTTCACTTTAAAATGGCTGTTTATGTTATGTGAATTTCACCTCAATAAAAAAAATTTTTAGAAGGATTCAGGTACTTGGCTGAGGCAGGAGAATGGCGTGAACCCGGGAGGCGGAGCTTGCAGTGAGCCGAGATCCCGCCACTGCACTCCAGCCTGGGCGACAGAGCGAGACTCCGTCTCAAAAAAAAAAAAAAAAAAAAAAAAAAGAAGGATTCAGGTACTTGTATCTTCCCTTAGCTAATCTACCTCCTTCAATTTCCCAATTCTCTCAGCTCAGAACCACTTGGTCGTCTTCTCAGTCTCGATTCCTATCTTCTCTCCCGTTTTCCAAACTTGACAGAAAAAGGAAGCTTCAATAAATTGTTTCTTGAACTACAGATGAATTTTACTCTATGCCTGGTTTATTTCTGAGAGGCAGCAGAATGCAATGGTTACTGGTATTGGACATGACGCCAGATTACTTGAATTCTGATTCAAGCTCTGCCAGTTATCACTAAGGTGATTTTGGACAAGTTCCTTAACTTCTCTGTGCCTTGGCATCCTCATCTATAAAATAAAGATAGTGAGACCCACCTTATAGGTAAAGACAGTGACACTGCTGTAAGGGGATTATCTGTTTTCTGTTGCTCATAACGGAATACGTGAAACTGGGTAATTTATAAAGAAAAGGAGTTTATGTCTTAGGAGGCTGAGAAGTCCAAGGTCAAGAGGCCACACCCGGTGAGAGCTTCTTGCCAGTGGGGACTCTGCGGAGTGCAGGGGCAGTGTAAGGCATCGCATGGTGAGGGGGCTCAGTGTGCTAGCTCAGGTCTCCTCTTATAAAGCCACCAGTCCCTCTCCGTGATAACCCATTAACTCATGAATGGATTGGTCCATTCCGGACGGCAGAGCCCTCATGACCCAATCACCTCTTCAAGACCCCATTCTCAATATTGCCACACTGGGGAACAGGTTTCAACATGAGTTTCCGAGGAGGCATTCAAATCACAGCAGGGAACAAAACAGTGACTGCTCGCTCCAAGTCTAATGTAAGGTTAGCTATTACTATTAGCTGTTACTAATAGCATTACTATACTTACTATAATACCATAGTTAATAGTATTATAGATTATAGTAGTAATAATACCATTACTATCATTTAGGAACCTGAGTTCATGGCTATCGATTTGTTGAGTAATGTATGAAATTCAGTTCACACAAGGAAGCATGAGAGAAGGGGACTCTATCTCCCTCCAGGGCGGGGGCCAACTTTTTAATTCGGTTTTTAAATTCTCAGGTTCCTACTTAAAGTAAACCTGGCCTAAACTCTCCCTCTTAGAGGGCTTCGCTGTAAATGCGGGAAGCATGCCAATCTCAACACCAGTGTCTGCAGAACACTGTCAAATGCAGGAGGGAACAGGAAAAACAGGAACTCACTGTCTCCTCGATAAACGCGACGGGGCGAGAGGCGCTCCCAGGCGAGGGCGGAAGTGATGTGAGAGGGTGTAGACCGCCCTGGTTGGGTGGAAGGGCCAGTCAATCCTGGGAGGCCCAAAACGGGGACCAATCGCTCTTGGGCTCCGCCCTGGAGGCGGGGAAAACACGCCCACCACGCGTTGTGGGCGGTGCCACGGCGCACGCGCATTCCTCCCACAGCTAGTCTATCCGGGTCCTGATCCGGGACTCTGAGATGAAGAGCTGTTGGAGCAGAAGAGTCCTGAGAGAAAAAGACGGAAAATCGTGGAAAGGCGCTGTGGAAAGGAGTAGTGTGGAAAGGAGACCGCGGGGATGAGGAGAGGAGAGAGGCAGGCTGCATCACCGAATGGGCAGCATGTCTTAAAGTACACTGTTTGTCTTAAAGTACACCGTAAAGCCTCTCTTGTGCCTGTTGTTTAGAGCCTGCCCTTTTTGCTTAATGTGTATGGACATCTTTCTAGGCCAGTACTTATAGAGCTACCTCATTCATTTTATTTATTTATTTGTTTGTTTGAGACAGGGTCTGGCTCTGTTGCCTAGGCTGGAGTGCAGTAGCACGATCTGGGCTCACTGCAGCCTCCACATCCCAGGTTCAAGCAATCCCCCTGCCTTAGCCTCCCGAGTTGCTGGGACCACAGACATGTGCTAATTTTTTTATGTTTTGTAGAGACAGGGTCTCGCTATGAACGTTTGTGTCTCCTGAAGTTCATATGTTGAAATTCTACTCCCCCAGGAGGCTGAACAAGAGGGTAAAGCTCTTATAGGAGGGATTAGGTTATTAGGGTGAAACCCTCATGAGTGGAATTAGTGCTCTTATTCAAAAGGCCTGAGAGAGGTCCCTTGTCCCTTCTGCCATGTGAGGTTACAGTGAGATGATGGCTGTGAGATGATGATGAGGAACTGGCCCTCATCAAACACCAGATCTTCTAGTGCCTTGATCTTGGACTTCCTATTTCCACAACTGTGAGAAATGAATTTCTTTTGTTTAAAAGACGCCTAGTCAAAGGTATTTTATCACAGTAGCCTGCACAGACTAAGACAAATAGTTTCTCCATATCTCTACCATAAATTTCTTATATTTCTTTTCAGTGGCACCTGGCTCCATGTCCTGTGTATGTCTGACTCCCAGAGGCCAGAGGTAGGCTCAGAAGGGTGGGGTTAGGGGATGGGTTAGGTCCAGCTGGTAGTTGATGAGGGTGGCCTGAGGGATCCAGACAGGAAGCTCCATGCCATGTTTCTGGTATAAGGCCAAAGATCAGAACTGATGGAGCCAAATCTGTTCTCAGGTAATGGAAGTGAGGTAAATCCAGGAACGGGGGGAACTAGGTAATCAAATCATGTTGTTTTTGTTTTTGTTTTTGAGATGGGGACTCACTCTGTTACCCAGGCTGGAGTGCAGTGGTGCCATCTCAGCTCACTGTAACCTCCACCTTCCAGGCTCAAGTGGTCCTCCCACCTCAGCCTCCTGAGTAGCTGGGACCACAGGTGCATGCCACCATGCCTGGCTAATTTTTGTATTTTTGGTAGAGACGGAATTTCGCCATGTTGCCCAGGCTGGTCTTGAACTCCTGAGCTCAAGCGATCCATCTGCCTTGGCCTTCCAAGGCCACCGCGTCCGGCCATGTCATCAAATAGTTTCAACACAATTGCCAGACACTCATGATAAATATCTGTCATCAACAGGAAAGCATAGTTCAGGAAATTGATTCAAAATTACCTAAATAAAATATGTTACCACTTATATTTTCATTAGACTGATTAACTTTGATCAGTTTCTGTTTTTAAAAACTCAGCTCTTGCTTCCAGACAAGCAAATGGTGTATTTCTTTCAAGCCCCAAATTTACTTTGTCACTGTCTCAAGGTTCATGCCTCTCACATTCATCAGTAGATTTCCCTTGACTATAAAAATCCTTTCCATAAATTCGAAGCAGGAATCAAAACATAATATTGAAGCAGTTTAACAAATATAGAGTGGGAACTTTTTTTGCTGAAATCATATTTCCACTTGTCAAGAGCTGTTGTTCCATGAAGGGAGGTAAACATTACGACTGTGAGATTGAGTGCCTCATTAAGAAAAATGGGAGGAGAGAGCCCTGTTTTCCATGGCGACAAGACTCAGATTTGAATTATTCATTAAATGAAGAATATTTCTTTATGATTAACCAAACTCAGAGGACAGTGTCACAAATTTCCCACAGAAAAGATATTCTTCAGACACTTGACAGTTGAGGGCTCCTGTATTCATGGTTTTGGAAGCAAATGTATGACTCTGTGAATGGGCAAACTGTCTTTGAACTATGTGACTATAATTTATAGAACAAAAACCAGTATCAATTTATTTCCTTGGTAGATTTCAGAGACAAGCTAAATATTTAAAAGAATGTTTTAGGATGGCTAGAGAATGGAAGACATTATCACTAGTCATATGTTTATAAAAGCAAAACACTCCATTGCATAACTCTTTGCTGCCTAGATGGTGGTCGCCATTCTTGTGGACTAACTGAAAGCCATTTGCTGCCTGGCTGCCCCATGCTACTGCAGACCACAGCTCACGGCACTGTTGAGCTGCTTAGATTTGGCTGACTGTGTCAGCGTGTGCGACTGAGCACAGTGGCACTTAACAAAGGCTTAGAAGGGGTGGGGAACATGCTCCTACCAGCCATATCGTGTAAGAATCACACACAAAAAATTCACTCAATTACTATTCATAATAATAGCTAACATTTACTGAGTGCCTACTAACTGCCAGGCGTTGGATATTACTTGACCAAATTCTCACAAAAACTCTATGAGGTATCTCACAGTCATAAAGCCACAGCCACAGCCCCTGGTGCTAACATGCCCCCATACACCCCCATACACTGAGTACTGACTCAGGAGGAAAGACTGAAGCACATTGGCCAAAATGGGCTGCAGAGGCTCTTTCTTCCTGAGAAGCTGGCTGGAGGAGTGGGTACTACCACCCAGAAGTGTGAGAGAGTTCATGTCTAGGGTAGGGTAAACCTTGACCACTGAGAGACAGGAGACAAAAAGAAGCCAGCATTGTTCACCCTTCCTCCCGTGAGAGGCAGTGGCTTCATATGTACTCCGTGGAGATGCCCTGGAAGGCCAGGCAAACATCTCTGTTCGCAGTGAAGCTATGGCCATCTTGGTAGCACATCTCTTTGTTTTTACATCTCCCCTACCTCACTTCTTTTTTCTCGTCATACTTTCTTCCCTGCAATTTCACCAATCAATAAAGCATCCATCACAAAAATGTGCATATTTTTGCTCTAAGCTTTTCTTGAGACTGTAGGCTCAAAAATGCTAGTACCAGGAGTAGTCTTTAAAAGCAGACCTTTAAAAGTGTGATTTTAGAGACTAGCCCACCTATCTAAAGGCAATCAGAACTGTTTCCCCAGTGGTAAACAGGATAGTATAACCCTGCCATGCAGGGGCATGCATGACAATTACTAAGGCTTTCACCTCCAGTTGACTGGGATGAGGTGCAGATAGAAGATAAGGAATTAGGATATTATGTGGCTGCTGTATTTGATCAGTATGGGAGCAATAATAACGGCACAGAGTGGAGAATAGACTGGCTGCTCTTGAGAGCATTGGAAGTCTTGGAAAAAGAAAATGATAGTTTAAAGCAGCATATTGCCAACTAAGTAACAATATGAAAGCCAGAGGAGTTCTGTGGCAGCCATAAAGGAGACTCATCTCTTGCAGCAGTAGGTTAGACACTGTTGAAAACAATGAGAACACTTGGACACAGGGTGGGGAACATCACACACCGGGGCCTGTAGTGGGGTTGGGGGAGGGGGGAGGGATAGCATTAGGAGATATACCTAATGTAAATGATGAGTTAATGGGTTCAGCACACCAACATGGCACATGTAAGCATATGTAACAAACCTGCACATTGTGCACATGTACCCTAGAACTTAAAGTATAATTTTAAAAAATTTAAAAAAATTAGGTTCAGGGCTGGGTGCAGTGGCTCACACCTGTAATCCCAGCACTTTGGGAGGTCGAGGTGGGTGGATCACCTGAGGTCAGGAGTTTAAGAGCAACCTGGCCAACATGGCAAAACCCTGTCTCTACTAAAAATACAAAACTAGCTGAACATGATGGTGCACACCTGTAATCCCAGCTGTTGGGGAGGCTGAGGCAGGAGAATCACCTGAACCGGGAGACAGAGATTGCAGTGAGCCAAGATTGTGCCATTGCACCCCAGCCTGGGCTACAGGAGGGAAACTCTGACTCAAAAAAAAAAACAATAAATAAAAAGAAAAGAAAAGAAATTAGGTTCAGGATCCAGAATGGCAAAGCTGCTAAAGGTATTGAATGCATAGCTTCAACAGCTTTCCCATGTGGAGGTATTTTCCAGAAAAGAAAAATGTGAGGCGTTAAGACCTGAATAAGAAATATGTGAGTGGCAGAGTGACCAGTGAACCCAAGGCATCAGCATCACCTGCTAGACATGCAGAGTCTCAGGCCTCGCCCCAGACCCACTGAATCAGAATATGCATGTTAACAAGATTCCCTGGCCGGGCACCGTGGCTCACGCCTGTAATCTCAGCACTTTGGGAGGCAGAGGCAGGAGGATTGCTTGAGCCTACAAGTTCAGGGCCAGCCTGGGCAACATAGTGGACCCCGTCTGTACAAAAAAATTAAAAAAAAAAATAGCCAGGTGTGGTCCCAGCTGCTTGGGAGGCTGAGGCAGGAGGATCGCTTGAAGCCGGGAGGTTGGGGCTGCAGTGAGCCATGATCATGCCACTGCATTCCAGCCTGGGTGACAGAGCAAGACGCTATCTCAAAAATAAATAAATAAATAAATAAAATATGTGAGTGGATGAGCCTCAAAATCTGGAGCTCCTAATTGTCCCTAAATCTTCCTGGCCAGCAGAAGCAGTCCCTTTTCTTTCTTATTTATTTATTTATAATGCTGTCAGCAAAACCCTTTTCTCTTGACTAAGGAAAACAGCCTCCCCTTGCCCATCCAAAATAGGTCATTGCAGAATAACTTTCGTTCTTCCCAAGATAAGCCTCCATTCTCTGCCTTTTTTGCCTCCAGTCTGGTAATCTGTGCCAGAGCTCAGCACAGCCTGAGCAGGGAAGTACAGGTCCTGCTCCAGAAGGAGTTAGCCTCCATTCCAAAGGAACTGTAGGACCTGGAGAATATGTAAGAACTGAGGACTAAACTCTAATTTTTTTATCTGCCCAAATTCCTACCTAAGGGGTCTAGGGAGTCATGTCCTACAAACCATAAATTCTCATCAGATGGGTTTTGTTTGACCCTATATATCGTGACTTACTTTTCAATCACTCTGGCATAACATTGAGACAAGGAAGAAATATTTAACCCCAAAATATATTTCCTTGCTATACCTTGAAATTGCCCTACAAAGTCTCTTGTGGGAAAAATACATATCCTGTAGAGAATCCCCTTCCCCCTTTGTTTTCTTTCCTTTCTTTCCAGATCCAGGAGATAATCAACTAAGAGCCAGACACCCTTTTAGGTCTGATAAGAAACATTTTATAACCTGCTCTCTCTCTGAAGTCTGCTATCTGCACAATAAAACTTGGTCTCTCCATAATCCTCTTTCTTAACCTGAACATTCCTTTCCATTAATCCCAGGTCTTCAGATAAACTCAACCAATTGTCAACCAGAAAATGTTTAAATCTACCTATACCCTGAAGCCCCCGGTTTGAGTTGTCCCACCATTCTGAACCAAACCAATGTATTTTATTTTATTTTCTTTCTTTCTTTTTTTTTTTTTTTTGAGATGGAGTTTTGCTCTGTCACCCAGGCTGGAGTGCAGTGGCGTGATCACAGCTCACTGCAGCCTCAGCCTCCTGGGTTCAAGCGATTCTCCTGCCTCAGCCTCCCAAGTAGCTGGGATTACAGGTGCACGCCACCAAGCCTGGCTAATTTTTGTATATTTAGTAGAGCTGGGGTTTTGCCATGTTGGTCAGGCTGGTCTCAAACTCCTGACCTCAGGTGTTCTGCCCGCCTCAGCCTCCCATAGTGTTGGGATTACAGGCATGAGCCACCATGCCCAGCCCAATATATTTCTTAAATGTATTTGATTGATGTATCATGCCCCCCTAAAAATATATAAAACCAAGCTGTACCCCAACCACCTTGGGTACGTGTTCTTAGGACCTCCTGAGGGCTGTGTCACAGGCCATGATCACTCATATTTGGCTCAGAATAAACCTCTTAAAATATTTTACAGAGTTTGACTCTTTGTCAACAGAATCAGGGTAATGTAGGTGGGAGTAGATCTTGAAAATGTAAGACTGGGGAGAGAGAGAGAGTGAGTGCATAAAATAAGGTTTTATAAGAGAGAATTCATTACCTGAGGGCATACATTCATGAGTGGTTATCCAGTGTTTTGGCAAGAGCACTTGAGGTCACTATAAATAGTTTGTTGTGCTGTTTCCTTGAAGCTTGGACACACCAGAAATAATCTTGGCATTGTACTGGAGAAGGGATCAAAAGTCATAGGAAAATGAGAACGTTAGAATATATTTACTATGTATTAAGACCTGCTAACCCGCCACCTGTCTATATACTCCAAGAGCCCAGGGAACTTCCTTATACTAAGGAATAAGAAATACATTGGTGAAAGGAGCCCTGTCAAGGCCAAGAGTGGGGGATACTGCCATGGAACACGGATCTCTAGTATCAAAAGGGTTGATGGAATTCCAGAATACCAGAAGCCAAATAACACTCAACTAACAGAGCAAAGGTAAATACAATTACCATAATGGGCAGCAATGCCAGTACGACAATCAAGGTGCCTTGACCCATAAATATTTTTGGCAACAATTAGTAGATTTGAGTATTCCTAGGGTTGAGACAGATGGACAGCCATGTAGGATATTACTTAATTTATAAAATAAATGCATGAATTGGTAAGCAGAAGGCTGACATCAGCCATCACAATGGAACATTGGTTTCCCTCAGCTAGTTTCCAAGTCTAAGTCAGTTTAGAAACCCATAGCCCATTGATTGAAGGGGAGGCTGAGTCCACTTGAGAAGGAAACTCCAAAACTACCATAAGTATATACATCAGTATTTTTAGAATCCCTCTCTAAAAGGACAAGTGACATTTTTCAAAGACAACCATAAGTATATACATCAGTATTTTTAGAATCCCTCTCTAAAAGGACAAGTGACATTTTTCAAAGACAACTACACTGGGTAAAGAAGAATACCTAGATGTTCTGAGAGCTGGTATTGGGGACCTGAAATGTTATCATGCCCTGTAGTTAGATTGGTGGTTTCCTAAGTCCAGGTGATGAATAGACCCCCTGGCTCAAGATTATATCACAATGTATCCAGAGGTTTTGCGAACTGGCCTTAAGTTTTTGTCCCTGGTTTCTGAAAGTATAATTGAGACAGATACACTTAGAATCTGGGAAAACTGTCACTTTGGTTTTCTGACCTGTGAAATAAACTTCTTTATGGTAGGAAAGGCCAAATAGAAGCCCCCAAGCCACCTCCTGCCTCTGGTTAAGATACTAAATCAGAAGTATTACCATATCCCAAGAGGAATTGCAGAGATTAGCACCAACATCAAAGACTCAAAGTGGGCTCATGGCTGTAATCCTAGCACTTTGGGAGGCCAAGGTGGGAGGACTGCTTGATCCCAGGGGTTCAAGACCAACTTGGACAACATAAGGAGACCTCATCTCTACAAAAATTAAAAAATTAATCAGGAGTGATGGCACGCACCTGTGGTCCCAGCTACTTGGGAGGCTGAGGTGGAAGGATCACTTGAGCCCAGGAGGTTGAGGCTGCAGTAAGCCATGATTATGCCACTGAACCCCAGCCTGGACAACAGAATGAGACCCTGTCAAAAAAAAAAAAAGACGTAAAAGTGTCCAGAGTTCGTCTTCCAGTCACATTCCCATTCAGTTAGATAGACAGTGCAGCGGAAGTGTGCTGGGCACAGATTCCCATTCAATTCAATTATTTTCAAAAGCACAGATAAATAATGGAGGATGGTAACAGACTACCATAAACTTAACTGAGTCATTGCCTCAGTTGCAGTTCCTATAATATCTTTATTAGAGCAAATCAACACACCTTCTGGTATTTGATACGTGGCTGTTGATTTGATAAATGCTTTATTTTCAATCATGGGTTGGCTAACTTTTCCTATAAAAGGCAAGACAGTAAATATTTTAGGCTTTGCATGCCATCTGATCTCTGTTGCACCTGCTCCATTTAGCTTGATTTTGTGTCAAAGCAGCAAAATACAACATGTAAATGAATGAGCATGGCTGTGTTCCAATAAAATTTTATTTACAGAAACAGTTGGAGTGTCATATTTGGCCTGGAGGTTGTAGTTTGCCAGTCCCTGTTAGAGAGCCCCATCAATTGGGAGAGGCAAAAGCATTACTTGACAAGAAGAGCAGTACACTTGACTGTCTTGCCTCTGGCCTATGTTAACTCTCCTGATCTCTGTCAAAGTATAGTCAATGGGAATTTTGACCGTCTTGGTAGCTCACAGCACAGTATGGTAGTTTCATCATTCTGATTACATTATGCTAATTGGGTCTGAGAAGCAGGATGCATCAAGCACTTTACATGCTTTTGACACATTTGCTTCTGAGATTGTGGTTATGTTTTCTTCTCTGCTTTTTTTTTTTTGAGACATAATCTCGCTCTGTTGCCCAGGCTGGAGTGCAGTGGTGCATTCTCAGCTCACTGCAACCTCCACCTCCTGAGTTAAACGATTCTCCTGCCTCAGCCTCCCGAGTAGCTGGGATTACAGGCGCGTGCCACAATGCCTGGCTAATTTTTGTATTTTTAGTAGAGATGGGTTTCACCATGTTGGCCAGGCTGGTCTCGAACTCTTGATCTCAAGTGATCCACCTGTCTCGGCCTCCCAAAGTGCTGAGATTACAGGTGTGAGCCTCTGTGCCCAGACTCTTCTCTGCTTTCAGTTGCTAAAAATGACAATTTTATACTGACAGGGATAGGAATTAGAAGTTACAACTTTTATAGCCAATTACTGCTTTAGCTTTAAGTCTCAGCCAAAATTCCTTAGAAAACAAGGCCTGCAGCAAATGATTATATGCTAATACTTTATGTGGAGTACCATGCCAGAGAAGCAAGGGAAAATAGAAGTATGGCAAGGAAGCAGGGAAAACAAAAAGTGTTAGATCCCGTGTACACACACTTACCAGTCCTCATTTCATCTGGCATCTCTGCAGCGCAACCCTTCCTGCAACCCCTTCCTTCTTGAAATGTATGTCTGTTTCCTTTACATACACTTTCTTACCTCCCACCTCTCTGGCTGCCTGTTTTCTGCTTGCTTCATTAGCTCGTTTTTCTCCACTTGCTCCTTACATGCTGAGTATTTACAGGTATTTTGTCCATGGCCTTTTCTCATGGTAGAGAAACCCCATCTCTACTAAAAATACAAAACTTAGCTGGTCTTGATTCACAAAGCAACTCAGAAGGCTTACATTGTTCTCTTAAGCTCCTGACCCATAGTTCCAATAGTTTACTAAACATTTCCACCTGCGTGTTCCAATGATATTTCAAACTAAGTGTGTCCATAATCAAATTCAAATAAACATACACTGAGCACTAGCCTATGCTGTCAGCTCTAAGTTAAGTTGGAGGAATACAAAGACAAATAACTTCACACTTCTTCCCCAGACGTGTTCCTCCTTCTGCATACCCTGTGTTTTTTTTTCTTTATTTTCAGAGACAGGTCTCCTTCTGTCGCCCAGGCTGGAGTGCAGTGGAATGATCATAGATCACTGCAGCCTCAAACTCAAGCAATCCTCCTGATGCTGCTTCCCACCACGCTGGCCAATTTTTTCTTTATTATGTGTAGAGACGGGGTCCTACTACGCTGCCTAGGATTGGCCTTACACAATCCTTCCAACTTGGCCTCCCAGTGTGGGCGTGGGCCACTGTCCCAGCATACCCTATGTTTTGTAAATAGTATCAGCATTCCCAGTGACCCTGGAAAAGTACTTTTGATCATCCCACCTCTCTTTTCCCCCGGAATCCTATTGATTCTTTCTCTTAACATCTATTCCCTCTGCCTCCTCTCCTCATCCTTTTGCCCCTGGATCATCACAGGTGCTTCCTAATTGGCCTTCAGTCCATGTCTCACACCACTGCCACCAGCTTGACCCTTCTAAGAACAAATCTGGTTATCTCAATGCCTTGCTTAAAACTCTTCAATGACATCCCATTGCCTATAGGGTAATTCTAATCTCTTAGGCTTGTCAGATAAGGTTCTTTAAGACGTGGCATCTGTAGATCTTTCCAGGACTTCCTTTTACCATCCCTATATTCTCCCTGCTTTCTAAAAACATTGTATTATGCTACTGTGTTCAAAATGCTAGGCTGTTTCCTCTGCCAGAGATGCTCTGAAGCTCTCTGCCATTCTTCTCTCACATGTCTTCTTAGCAAACTTTTCCTTCTTTTCAGCTCCCTCATTTCAGCTCACAGGAGTCACAGCTCCAGCCACAACTTCTCTGGAATTCTGGTTCTAGTTCTTTACTAGGAGACAGTGTGGAATAGTGGAAAGAAGCCCTGACTTTAATCTGGTGGCATGGGACTTAAAATCCTCACTCTCCCACCTTCTGGTGGCCTTACTCTTTTCTCCATTAGAAAACTGTGCTAATGGCCTGGTGTGGTGGCTCACACCTGTAATCCCAGCACTCTGGGAGGCCGAGGTGGGTGGATGACGAGGTCAAGAGATGCAGACCATCCTGGCCAACATGGTGAAACCCCATCTCTACTAAAAATACAAAAATTAGCTGGGTGTGGTGGCGCACACCTGTAGTCCCAGCTACCTGGTAGGAGGAGGTTGCAGTGAGCCGAGATCATGCCACTGCACTTCAGCCTGGCAATAGAGCAAGACTCCATCTCAAAAAAAAAAAAAAAAAAGAAAAGAAAAGAAAAGAAAACTGTGGTGGTAACACTTGCCTGGGAGGGAGGCTGTGAGGATGAGTAGCATCCTATGGTGAAGCTCCTGGTAGAAGGTGCTGCAGAAAAAGTAACTTTTTTTTTCAGTTGTGAAATTCACTTAGACTTATGAGCATCATCTCAAAGTCAATTTTTCTTTCTTCCCAAAGCAATTCCTCCTCTAGACATGTCTCTTTCCATCAGTAGCTCTGTCATTCTTTTAGCCATCCCTGCTGAAAACCTGCCGTATTGGATTCTTTTTTTAACCAGCTAGATCCTTTCCTTTTTCTTTCCTTTTGCCACCACTCTAATCATTTTTTTTTTTTTTTTTGAGACGGACTTTCTCTCTTTTTGCCCAGCCTGGCGTGCAATGCTGCTATCTCGGCTCACTGCAATCTCCACCTCCTGGGTTCAAGCAATTCTCCTGCCTCAGCCTCCTGAGTAGCTGGAACAACAGGCATGCACCACCCTGCCTGGCTAATTTTTGCATTTTTAGTAGAGATGGGGTTTCACCATGTTGGCCAGGCTGGTCTTGAACTCCTGACTTCAGGTGATCTGCCCACCTCGGCCTCCCAAAGTGCTGGGATTACAGATGTGAGCCACCATGCCTGGCTCACCACTCTAGTCTTATTTTTCAGAGTGTGTGTGTGTGTGTGTGTGTGTGTGTGTGTGTGTGTGTGTGTGTGATGGAGTTTTGCTCTTATTGCCCAGGCTGGAGTGCAATGGCACTATCTCGGCTCGCTGCAACCTCTTCCTCCCTGGTTCAAGCAATTCTCCTGCCTCAGCCTCCCAAGTAGTTGGGATTACAGGCATGCACCACCACACCCAGCTAACTTTTTGTATTTTTAGTAGAGACGGGGTTTCTCCATGTTGGTCGGGCTGGTCTCAAACTCCCAACCTCAGGTGATCTGCTCGCCTCGGCCTCCCAAAGCGCTGGGATTACAGGTGTGAGCCACTGCGCCCAGCCTTTTCAGAATTTTATACAGGACAATTGCCAGTGTCTTCTGGCTAGTCTGAAACACCATTTTATTAATGTCACTCCCTTGTGCCAAAATCCTCAATGAGTCCTTACTAACCGTGGAATAAAGTCTAAACTCCTTAGCATATATTAAAAACCTCCACAATCCACAACCTACAGTAGCCAGATTTAGCAAATAAAAATACAGAATTTCCAGTTAATTTTGAATTTTAGATAAAGAAATACATAGTTTTTAGTATGTTACATGCAACATTTGGGACATACTTAAACTAATACATTATTTGCTGTTTATCTGAAATTCAAATTTAACTGGGCATCCTGTATTTCATCTGGCAAACCCATTTGACCTTAACCTCTCTTTCTGGTCCTATAACTCAATACTCTCCATGGACCTCAGCTACTCTTGGTCTATCCTCAGGTCTCATGTTTCTTGTTGCATGTATTTTTGCTGTGGGTGCCCAAGAAGAAAAAGCACAGCCTCTGGGATCAGAAAGATCTGAGTTTGAATCTCAGCTCTCTAGCTTACTAACTCTATGACTTGGGCAAGTAATTTAACTCTTCTAATCTCAGTTTTCTCTTCTGTAAAATATGAACCCTGACATAACTGACATAAGAGACATAAGACATATGACATAACTGACATAAAAGAAAGTGGTTGTGAGGATCAGATGAGCTATTCAAAACCTAGGACTGTTGAGGCCTAGTGTATGTATTCAACACGTGAGTTCATTGTCATCATTGCTAGCATTTTTGAAAAGCAGACCTATGTCACCTCTTTCAGTCCTTGGTGATACAGTTGACCATGATTTGCCAAGAAGCAATGTGGTCTGGGTTAAATTTAGAAGTCATGAAGGCTGGAATGGAGGTCATCTCTCCTGGGTGTGCTTGCCTTACCAGGTCAAGCTTTCTGGCAGCAGGAGTGAAACAAGCTGTGCAGCGGGGAGGATCCAGGGACAAGGAGCCGAGGGGGTCTCCCAACACTGGGAGCCATCCTGCCTCCACTGGCCAAGGTTCCTCTATCCTACAAAATCTTTTCTCTTTACCTAACTCCTCTCAAGCCATAGCCCATCACTCTCTTTGTTTGCTTAAGACCAAATGTCTTTAGAAAGTGGTCACACCCTTGCTGTTTCCATTTCTACATGTGAAGCTCAGTTTACACCCCAGTAACTCTTTGAAACCGTGCTTTCAACCCTCTTTAGTTACCTCCTGGTTGTTGGATTCAGTGTATTCTTTATTGATGTTGGAAATGCTGACCGCTCGTCTTTTTTTTTTTTTTTTTATTGATCATTCTTGGGTGTTTCTCGCAGAGAGGGATTTGGCAGGGTCATAGGACAATAGTGGAGGGAAGGTCAGCAGATAAACAAGTGAACAAAGGTCTCTGGTTTTCCTAGGCAGAAGACCCTGCGGCCTTCCGCAGTGTTTGTGTCCCTGGGTACTTGAGATTAGGGAGTGGTGATGACTCTTAACCAGCATGCTGCCTTCAAGCATCTGTTTAGCAAAGCACATCTTGCACCGCCCTTAATCCATTTAACCCTGAGTGGACACAGCACATGTTTCAGAGAGCACAGGGTTGGGGGTAAGGTCACAGATCAACAGGATCCCAAGGCAGAAGAATTTTTCTTAGTACAGAACAAAATGAAAAGTCTCCCATGTCTACTTCTTTCTACACAGACACGGCAACCATCCGATTTCTCAATCTTTTCCCCACCATTCCCCCCTTTCTATTCCGCAAAACCGCCATTGTCATCATGGCCCGTTCTCAATGAGCTGTTGGATACACCTCCCAGACGGGGTGGTGGCCGGGCACAGGGGCTCCTCACTTCCCAGTAGGGGCGGCTGGGCAGAGGCGCCCCTCACCTCCCGGACGGGGCGGCTGGCCGGGTGGGGGGCTGATCCCCCCACCTCCCTCCCGGATGGGGCGGCTGGCCGGGCGGGGGGCTGACCCCCCCCACCTCCCTCCCGGATGAGGTGGCTGCCGGGCGGAGACGCTCCTCACTTCCCAGACGGGGTGGCTGCCAGGCGGAGGGGCTCCTCACTTCTCAGACGGGGCGGTTGCCAGGCGGAGGGTCTCCTCACTTCTCAGATGGGGCGGCTGAGCAGAGACGCTCCTCACCTCCCAGATGGGGTCGCGGCCGGGCAGAGGCGCTCCTCACATCCCAGACGGAGCGGCGGGGCAGAGGCACTCCCCACATCTCAGACGATGGGCGGCCGGGCAGAGACGCTCCTCACTTCCTAGATGGGATGGCAGCCGGGAAGAGGCGCGCCTCACTTCCTAGATGGGATGGCGGCCGGGCAGAGATGCTCCTCACTTTCCAGACTGGGCAGCCAGGCAGAGGGGCTCCTCACGTCCCAGACGATGGGCGGCCGGGCAGAGACGCTCCTCACTTCCAAGACGGGGTGGCGGCCGGGCAGAGGCTGCACTCTCGGCATTTTGGGAGGCCAAGGCAGGCAGCTGGGAGGTGGACGTTGTAGCGAGCCGAGATCACGCCACTGCACTCCAGCCTGGGCACCATTGAGCACTGAGTGAACGAGACTCCGTCTGCAATCCCGGCACCTCTGGAGGCCGAGGCTGGCGGATCACTCGCGGTTAGGAGCTGGAGACCAGCCCGGCCAACACAGCGAAACCCCGTCTCCACCAAAAAAATACGAAAACCAGTCAGGCGTGGCGGCGCGCGCCTGCAATCGCAGGCACTCGGCAGGCTGAGGCAGGAGAATCAGGCAGGGAGGTTGCAGTGAGCCGAGATGGCAGCAGTACAGTCCAGCTTCGGCTCGGCATCAGAGGGAGACCGTGGAAAGAGAGGGAGAGGGAGACCGTGGGGAGAGGGAGAGGCAGAGGGAGAGGGAGAGGCAGAGGGAGAGGCAGAGAGGCAGAGAGGCAGAGAGGCAGAGAGGCAGAGGCAGAGGCAGAGGCAGAGCTATTTTTTTATTTTTTTGAGACAAAGTCTCGCTCTGTCACCAAGGCTGGAGTGCAGTGGCATGGTCTTTGCTCACTGCAACCTCCCGCTCGTCTTCATATGTAAACCTTATGGCATTGTCCTCTTCTGGTTCTCCTCCTACTTCTCCGACTGCTCTTTTAAGTGTCTTCTGGCTGCCCCTTCCATATGACTCTCCTGAGCAGGATGGTCGTAGAGTGTGGAAGCCTAGCTCCTCTTGCTCAAAAGTCCATTGAAATAATGAATAAAGTACACATACAGAGGAAAATAATTTATTGCTACAGAAAACCAAGGTTGAAATCATATATAAACTAGAAATCTGGGGGGATTTCTTCCAGCAGTAATGATGGGCCAGGATTGAAAAGAGCCAGTGAGGGCGCGTACCACCCTCCTTCTTGAGCAAGGACAACTTATCTAGAAAGTAAGTGGCAAAACTCCCTGGCCGACCCCACTGCCACTCTCTAACTCAGAGAGGCAAGGACAGTGTTACTCTGGCAGAGAGGAGGGTGAGGTGTGTTGAGGGGCCTGCTGAGAGGCCCACCACAAGAAGTACCTTCTGAGTAGCTAACTCAATTTTTAAGATGAAAGCCCATGAAATAAATAAAACTGCAAAGCATAAACTTGATTTTGACAAAGCCTGGGGAGTGATTCCCTGACAGGGGTAGAATTGAAGGAAGTGGTTTTTACTGCACACTTTACAGAACTTCTTATTGGTGTAATGTGGGGTATGAAAGGGAAAATAAATTTTTGTTCATGAAGTCATTGCTGAAGGCTTTCCCTAGCTGCTTAGCTTACTAATACGGTCTCATTGCTTTGTATCATTCTGAACCACCATGCATTCCATTCCCTTTTCATTGTAGCACTTCTCTAGAGGGCACCATCTTTTGCCAGTCCCTAGGTGGAAAAGACTTTGGAGTTTAAGCATACCACCATGCGTAAGACTGGTCCATTTCCTCAGCATTCCTCATTCAGGCTACCTTTTTGTTGGCAAAGCTAGTGACTTCCCATTCTACAATCAATTCACCAATATCTCTAATAGAAAATGTTAATGTTTGGTTTTGGTTCGCTGTATCCTAACAATGAAAACTTCCTCAACAATATTTAAAATTGTCTGTGGATCCTACCTGAATTAGGTTTGAAATAATAAACATTACCATGTCAAATAAAATCTTAACATTTTAATTCCTCATAGTCATTCTATAAATTGTATGACGTAATGTGGTATAGCAAAGAATAGCACTTGTGGAGAAAAACTCTATTTCTAGACATTTTGAGGGTGAGCTGAAATTCTTGCAACTACAGAATCATTTGAAAGGAGTGTATAAACTTAATGGACAGTCCCCCCACTCCCACATTTACACAGCTGTTACATATCTCTTTAACTATTAATATTGAAACAAAAATACTTTCTATTTACAAACTTCTGGGGTATCCTGCTCTTTAAAATTCTTCACTATGGTTTAGTATTAAATAGTCATGTCTTTTTCCTTATTTATTTTTTATTTTTTTGAGATGGAGTTTTGCTCTTGTTACCCAAGCTGGAGTGCAATGGCACGATCTTGGCTCACCACAACCTCTGCCTCCCAGGTTCAAGCGATTCTCCTGCTTCAGCCTCCTGAGTAGCTGGGATTACAGGTATGTGCCACCATGCCTGGCTAATTTTGTATTTTTAGTAGAGATGGTGTTTCTCCTTGTTAGTCAGGCTGGTCTTGAACTCCCGACCACAGGTGATCCACCTGCCTTGGCCTCCCAAAGTGCTGGGATTACAGGTGTGAGCCACTGCACCAAGCCATCTTTTTCCATTTTAATAAGAGATCATTTAATAATTTTTCTATTAATAATTTTTCTATTAATATTTTAGCAAATAAATTTTAAAAATGATTTCAAAAGAATACTCACATCCTCTATGTTTACTCAGTCTGTTTTGCATTATTGTAAAGGAATACCTGAGGTAATTTATAAGGAGAAGAGGTTTATTTGGCCCACTGTTCTGCAGGCTGTACAAGAAGCATGGTACCAGCATCTACTTCCGGCCAGGACCTCAGGAGGCTTCCAACCATGCTGGAGGTGAAAGGGGAGCAGGCGTGTCACATGGTGAGGGAGGGAACAAGAGAGGGGACAGGAGTGCCATGCTCTTTTAAACAATCAGCTCTCCTGTGAGCTAATAGAGAACTCACTCATTACAGTGAGGATGACGCCAATTTGGTCATGAGGAATCCACCTTCCTGACTCAAACGTCTCCCACCAGGCCCCAACTCTAACACTGGAGATCAATTTCAATATGAGATTTGGAGAGAACAAATATCCAAACTATATCACCACTTCATCATTCAACCCACCAAGCTCAGAGAACACAGCACCAAAACAAAAAAAAACCCTTTGATCCTCTTCCTCATCCTTCTCCCCCATCTCCCATGTCTTTGAAACCTGACTCAAAGAAAGAGGGAAGCCTCAGTAATTTGCTTCTTGAATTATAGCCATGTTCATCCTAGGCTTCCGGAGACAGTGGTTATAGTGGGTTTGCAGCACACTCACTGGAGCCAGACTGATATGGTTTGGATCTGTTCCCCACCCAGATCTCATCTTGAATTGTATTCCCATAATTCCCACATGTTGTGGGAGGGACCCAGTGGGAGATAAGTGGAATCATGGGAGCAGTTTCTCCCATAATGTTCTCATGGTAGTGAATAAGTCTCATGAGATCTGATGGTTTTATCAGGGGTTTCCGCTTTTGCATCTTCCTCATTTTCTCTTGCCACCACCATGTAAGAAGTGCCTTTTGCCTCCCACCATGATTCTGAGGCCTTGCCAGCCTTGTGGAAATGTAAGTCCAATTAAACCTCTTTTTCTTCCCAGTCTTGGGTATGTCTTTATCAGCAGCGTGAAAATGGACTAATACAGTAAATTGGTACCAGTTGAGTGGGGTGTTGTTGAAAAGATACCCAAAAATGTGGAAGCGACTTTGGAACTGGGTAATAGCCAGAGGTTGGAACAGTTTGGAGGGCTCAAAGAAGACAGGAAAAATGTGAGAAAGTTTGGAACGTCCTAGAGATGTGTTGAATGACTTTGACAAAAATGCTGATAGTGATATGAACAATAAGGTCCAGGCTAAGGTGGTCTCAGATAGAGATGAGGAACTCGTTGGGAACTGGAGCAAATGTGACTCTTGTTATGTTTTAGCAAAGGGACTGGTGGCATTTTGCCTCTGCCCTAGGGATATGTGGAACTTTGAACTTGAGAGAGATGATTTAGGGCATCTAGTGGAAGAAATTTCTAAGCAGCAAAGCATTCAAGATGTGACTTGGGTGCTGTTAAAGGCATTCAGTTTTAAAAGGGAAGCAGAGCATAAAAGTTCAGGAAATTTGCAGCCTGACAGTGCGATAGAAAAGAATCCTAGCTGGGCGCGGCAACTCACACCTGTAATCCCAGCACTTTGGGAGGCTGAGGTGGGCAGATCCCTTGAGGTCAGGAATTCTAGACTACCCTGGCCAACATGGTGAAACCCCGTCTCTACTAAAAATACAAAAATTAGCCAGGCATGGTGGCTCACACCTGTAATCCCAGCTACTCAGGAGGCTGAGGCAAGAGAATCACTTGAACCCAGGAGATGGAGGTGGCAGTAAGCCAAGATTGCACCATTGCACTCCAGGCTGGGCAACAGAGTGAGACTCCATCAAAAAAAAAAAAAAAAAGAAAGAAAATCCCATTTTCTGAGGAGGAATTCAAGCAGATATTTGTAAATTCAAGCAGATATTTGCATAAGTAATGAGGAGTCAAATGTTAATCCCCAAGATGATGGGGAAAATGTCTCCAGAGCATGTCAGAGACCTTTGCAGCAGCCTCTCCCATCAAAGACCCAGAGGTCTAGGAGGAAAAAATGGTTTTATGGGCAGGGCCCAGGGTCCCTGTGCTGTGTGCAGTCTATGGACTTGGTGCCCTGCATCCCAGCTGCTCCAGCCATGGCTGAAAAGGGCCAACATAGAGCTCAGGCCGTGGCTTCAGAGGGTGCAAGCCCCAAGCCTTGGCAGCTTCCATGTGGTGTTGAGCCTGCAGGTGCACAGAAGTGAAGAATTGGGGTTTGGGAACCTCTGACTAGATTTCAGAAGATGTATGGAAATGACTGGATGCCCAGGCAGAAGTCTGCTGCAGGGGTGGGGCCCTCATGGAGAACCTCTGCTAGGGCAGCACAGAAGGGAAATGTGGGGTTGGAGCCCCCACAGAGTCCCTACTGGGTCACCACATAGTGGAGCTGTGAGAAGACGTCCACCATCCTCCAGACCCCAGAATAGTAGATCCACTGACAACTTGCACTGTGCTCCTGGAAAAACCACAGACACTCAATGCTGGCCCATGAAATCAGCCAGGAGGGAGGCTGTACCCTGCAAAATCACAGGGATGAAGCAGCCCAAAACCATGGGAACCCACCTCTTACATCAGTGTGACCTGGATGTGAGACCTGGAGTCAAAGGAGATCATTTTGGAGCTTTATTTTTAATTAATTAATTAATTTATTTATTTATTTAATTTTTGAGATGAAGTTTCACTCTTGTTGCCCAGGCTGGAGTACAGTGGTGCGATCTCAGCTCACTGCAACCTCTGCCTCCTAGGTTCAAGCAATTCTCCTGCCTCAGCCTCCTGAGTAGCTGAGATTACAGGCACCCACCACCATGCCTGGCTAATTTTTGAATTTTTAGTAGAGACAGGGTTTCACCATGTTGGCCAGGCTGGTCTTGAACTCCTGACCTCAGATGATCCACCTGCCTTGGCCTTCCAAAGTGCTGAAATTACAGGCATGATCCACTGTGCCTGGCTATTTTGGAGCTTTAAAATTTGACTGCCCCGCTGGATTTTGAACTTGCATGGGCCCTGTAACTCCTTTGTTTTGGCCAATTTATCCCATTTGGAATGGCTGTATTTACCCAATACCTGTACCCCCATTGTATCCAGGAAGTAACTAGCTTGCTTTTGATTTTACAAACTCACAGACAGAAGGGACTTGCCTTGTTTCAGATGAAACTTTGGACTGTGGACTTTTGGGTTAGTGCTGAAATGCGTTAAGACCTTGGGGGACTGTTGGGAAGGCATGATTGGTTTTGAAAAGTGAGGACATGAGATTTGGAGGGGCCAGGGGCAGAATGATGTGGTTTTGCTCTGTGTTCTCACACAAATGTCAACTTGAACTATGCTCCCATAATTCTCATGTGTTATGGGAGGGACCCAGTGGGAGATAATTGGAATCATGCGGGCAGTTTTCCCCATACTGTTCTCATGGTAGTGAATAAGTCTCATGAGATCTAATGATTTTATCAGGGGTTTCTGCTTTTGCATCTTTCTCATCTTGTCTTGCTGCTGCCATGTAAGAAGTGCCTTTCACCACTCACCATGATTCTGAGGCCTCCCCAGCCATGTGGAACTTAAAGTCCATTTAAACCTCTTTTTCTTCCCAGTCTTGGGTAAGTCTTTATAAGCAGCATGAAAATGGACTAATACGCAGACTACCTGGATTCTAACCCTAACTGCCATTTAATAGCCATTATCAATAGCTGATATTAGGCAAGATACTTAGCCTCTCTGTAACTCAGTTTTCTCACCTGTAAAACAGGGATAATATGTACCCACCCCACAGGGTCATCATAAAAAATCAGTCTATAATAGTGGCTGTCGCACAGTTAGTTTGGAGTGTTAGCCACTGCCATTATTACCATGGAGCTCAGTCTTTGGCTACAAATTAATTTGTTGGGCTTATTTAAAAGTTTGGCCCAAACACATGAACAAAGAGGAAATTTGGAGAGGAAGGGCTGAATTTCTAATTCTGCCTTAGTCTCCTATTTATTTATTTTAATTTAATTTAATTTTTTTTTTTTGAGACAGGGTCTTGCTCTGTAGCCAAGGCTGGAGTACAGTGGAATGATCTCAGCTCATTGCAGCCTCAACCTCCTGGGCTCAAGCAACCTCCTGTCTCAGTCTCCTGAGTAGCTGAGATTACAGGCCTGTGCCACCATGCCTGGTTAATTTTTTATTTTTGTAGAGATAGATCTTGCTCTGTCACCCAGGCTGGAGTGGAGTGGCATGATCATTGCTCACTGCAGCCTCGACTTCCTGGGCTCAAATGATCCTCCCACCTTGGCCTCCTGAGTAGCTGGGATAGACTACAGGCATGCACCACGACCTCCAGCTAATTGTTTGAAAATATGTTTTAGACATGGGGACTCACTATGTTGCCCAGGCTGGCTTCCAACTCCTGGACTCAAGTTATCCTCCCCTCTCAGCCTCCCAAAGTGCTGAGATTACAGATGTGAACCACCATGTCCAGCTCAGTCTCCTATTTAAAGCAAATCTGGGAGCAGCTCTCCTCAACGGGAAACAGAATGATCAGAAAAGTGAAAGTAACGTGTGTTGAGACCTTAGCAAGCACCAGGTGCCATGCATATCTTACATACAGTCTTCAAAAACCTAAGCTTTACATACTGTTATTATCTACTTCTTACGGAGGAAACAAGCGAAGAGTGATGAGCTTGCTAATAAATGGTGGAGCTGGCATTTGATCCCAGGAGCTCTGGCTTTAAAACCCACCTGTTTAACCAAGAGTGGCAGGGATTTTTTTTTAAAATGAAACACACCACTGTTCCTATTTCTTAAGTCTAAGCCTCTTTATATTTTTTGGAAATTCAAATATCTATACTCCTTATGAATAGCACATAAATCTACTTCCCCATCTTAAGCTCATCCCCTCTGGCTGGTCCAATAGAGTACTTTAGTTTCAAGAAAAATTTATATTTTGAGCTTCCCTGCTAAACTAGGAGTTAAAGAATGCTGACCTTAAAGCCTTGGCTGTAGCAGTAGATTTTGCCATGACTGTTGTGGAATAGGCTACTAGGCAGGGATGGGAAGAATTTGGGATGTAAAGCTGGAAATTACTGGGATATCAATGGCTGGCACTTCTGGGTTTTATGTCTTGTATTCCCTACTACTCAAGGCCCCCAATCTTCAGTCTATGTTAGGCATTCACTGTCTTCCTTCCTATCTCTTAATATAATGTCTTTCCTGTAGGTCCTGATCCTTAGGATGATTTTTCTCTTCTAGTCTATGCTGTATCCATTTCAAGCCAAGATATCACTTTTAACTTTCTAGGTTCTCAGGAAAGCAGGCTTCTTCCCTATCTCTATTTTGTCTAGGTTTCCTGCCCTTTAGCATCGCAGTGAAATTTTTAAAATAACAGTTACGAGTTTCATCTATTCAGTCAGCATTCCCAGAGTACTGCTCACAAAAAATTTTTTGATTTGCTTTTTTTGTGATTGTGTATACTCTATCTTTTTTACTTGTTAGTGTCCATATCCATTTTTATTTTCAGGGTGAAATTCTCAGTGTTATACACCCTTGTTTTGTTTTGGCTTTGTATTTGAATTTGCTTCACTCTATTTTTCTCTACTTTTAAGGCTTTAAAAAAATAGGTCCTTCGGCATTTTCTTCACTCTTTTTTTTTTAATTGACATGACATTCGTAGCATAATATTAATCATTTTATTTTTTGAGGCAAGGTCTCTCTCTGTCACTCAGGCTGGAGTGTAGTGGGGCCATAGCTCATTATAGCCTCAACATCCCAGGCTCAAGCAATCCTCCTGCCTCAGCCCTAGAGTAGCTGGTACCACAGTTGTGTGCCACTATGTGCTAACTTTTGTATTTTCTGTAGAGACAGGGTTTCGCCACATTGCCCAGGCTGGTCTTGGACTCCTGAGCTCAAGGGATCCTCCCATCTTGGCTTCCCAAAGTGCTGGGATTGTAGACATGAGCCACCGCACCCGGCCATATTAATCATTTTAAAGTATACAATTCAGTGGCGTTTAGAACACTCACAATGTGTACCACCTCTATATAGTTTCAAAACATTTTCATTAGCCCAAAGGACAACGCTTTACCCATTAAGCAGTCACTCCTCATTCTACCCTCTTTTAGCCCCTGGAACAACTAATCTGCTTTCTATCTGTACAGATTTTTCTATTCTGAATATTACATATAAATGAAACCCACATATGACCTTTGTGTCTGATTTATTCTACTTAGCATAATGTTTTCAAGGTACCTGCATGTTGTAGCATGTATCAGTCCTTTGTTCCTTTTTATGGCTGAATAATATTCTATTATATGCATATGTCACATTTTATTTATTCATTCATTCTTTTATGGACATGTGGTTTGTTCCCATCTTTTGGCTATTGTGAATAGTGTTGCTGTGAACATTCATGTACACGTATTTGTTTAAGTATCTGTTGTCAATTCTTTGCAGTATATACCTTGAAGTACAATTGCTGGGTCATAGGGTAATTCCCTGTTTGATTTTTTGAGAAACCACCAAACGGTTTTTAACAATGGTTGCACCATTTTATATTCCATCAGCAATGTACAAGAGTTCCAATTTCTCTAATTCCTTAGCAATACTTACTGTTTTCTTTTTGTTGTTGTTGTTGTTGTTGTTTGGTTTTGGTTTTCTAATTATAGCAATCCTAGTGGGTTTGAAGTGGTATCTCATTGTGGTTTTGATTTACATTTCCCTAATGACGAATGACATTGAGCATCTTTTTATGTGGTTGTTGCTCACTGGTATATCTTCTTTGAAGAAATATCTACTTAAGCACTCTGCCCATTTTTAAACTGAGTTGCTTGTTTTTTTCTGTTGAGCTGTAAGAGTTTTAAAAAATATATTTTTGATACCAGGCACTTAGCAAATATATGAGTTGCAAATGTCCCATTCTTTAGGTTGTCTTTTCACTTTCTTGGTAATGTCCTGACATAAAAGTTTTAAATTTGGACACAGTCCATTTTACCTATTTTTTTCTCTTATTGCTTGTGCTTTTGGTGCCATATCTAAGAATTCATTGCCAAATCCAAACTGATAAAAATTTACCTTGATCCTTTTTTCTAAGAGTTTAGTAGTTTTTGTTTCTACATTTAGGTTTTTTTTTTTTTTTTTTGAGGCAGAGTCTCGCTCTGGCTCTGTTGCCCAGGATAGAGCATGATGGCGTGATCTCAGCTCACTGCAGCCTCTCTGCTTCCTGGGTTCAAGCTATTCTCCTGCCTCAGCCTCCCAAGTAGCTGGGATTACAGGCATTCACCAGCATGCCGGCTAATTTTTGTATTTTTAGTAGAGACAGGGTTTCACCATGTTGGCCAGGCTGGTCTTGAACTCCTGACCTCAGGTGATCCACCTGCCTCAGCCTCCCAAAGTGCTGGGATTTACAGATGTGAGCCACCACATCCAGTCTTTTTTTTTTTTTTTTTTGATCCATTTTGAGTTACTTTTGATCCATTTTGAGTTACTTTTTGTATATGGTGTGAGGTAGGGGTCCAAAAAGTGTCATTCTTTTGGATGTGGATATCCAGTTTTCCCAGAACCATTTGTTGAAAAGATTACTTCTTCCCCATCAAATGGTCTTGTCACCCTTGTTGAAAATCAATTGTCCATAGATGTATGGGTTTACTTCTGGTCTCTCAATTCTATTCCATTGATGTTTATCTCTGTCCTTATGCCAATACCTCACACTGTTTTGATCACTGTAGCTATGTAGTAAGTTTTGAAATTGGAAACTATGAGTCTTCCAACTTTGTTATTTTTTTGATATTATTTTAGATAATCAGGGCCCCTTGCAATTCCCTATGAATTTGAGAGGATCTACTTTTCCATTTCTGCAAGAAAAAAAAAGGCATTGGAATTTTTATAGGAATTGCATTGAATATGTAGATCACTTTGGGTAGCATTGCTGTCTTAACAATATTAAATATTCCAATTTCCAATAGATGAATATGAGATATCTTTTCATTTATTGATGTCTTCTTAACTTTCTTCCAGCAATGTATTGTAGTTTTCAATGCACAAGGCTTTCACCTCCTTAGTTAAATTTATTCCTAGATATTTTATTCTTTTGGATGCTATTATAAATGAGACTGTTTTCTTAAGTTCCTTTTTGAATCATTCTTGCATGTCCACTATTAATTTGTACTGAAATCTTCTAAGCTTTTCATTAACTTGTCACTTTGTAATCGTTCTCAAGTCATAAATTACCCAACAATATCAAAAATATTTATTATTTAAGAATATCACCAACTTCTGAGCACAATTCTTTTTTCTCTTTCTTATTACATCTAGTACAGTGTCCTCTTTACTTATAATATAGGTATTCAGTAAACTTATTAATTTACCAATTTTTATTCATTATTTATTTTTATGTATTTTTAAATTTTAGAGTCAGGGTCTTGCTCTGTTGCCTAGGCGAGAGGGCAGCAGCACAGTCATAGCTCATAGCAGACTCAAACTCCTGGGCTCAAGCAAGCCTTCCCCCTCAACCTCCCAAGTAGCTAGGACTACAGGCGTGCACCACCATGTCCAGCGAATTTTTAAGTTTTTTGTAGAGATGGAGTCTCTGTATGTCACCCAGGCTGGTCTTGAACTCTGGGCCTCAAGTGATCCTCTGCCTCGGCCTCCCAAAGTTCTGGGATTACAGGTGTGAGCTACCACGCCCAGCCCTTGATTCATTACTTTAAAAAATGCAAAATCATGTCATGTAAATATCTATCCATGCTTTCTTTCTATTCCTATTAGCATTGCCTTAGTCAGGCACATGCAGTTTCTCCCTGTGGAATTTTCAGGTTTTTTTAAATATTGTCTCTTCTTCCTTCCTAAATCTTGATGGTAATTTGTTTTTGCAGTCTGGATCAAGATCAAAATTGCTGCAGGCTACCTCAACTTGTCTTTGGTTCATCCATGCTGCTCTTAAGGGAGAAAGAGAGAAAGGGTTCAGGTTCAGTTATTAAAATACCTCTTCCATGAAGTTTCCCCTAGACTGATTATTGAAAAGCTAAAGCTAATTACCTCTCTTTTTCCATCTCATTTGCGTGAAATCGTAATCTCTCCAGCTTTGTATCTAATTATGTACTCACTCTTGCCTTAATTAAAATGTATTTAAAATCACAGAATTAGAAGTTGGAGGGGATCTTAGGAATATAATGCAGACTCCTGGTTAAATGTGGTCGAATGAGCACATTCACTTGTCGCTGATGCCTAGCCAAAGCCTTCTAAAATGTCAATATATTCAAAATGCATAAACCAACAAGGACAAAAAAACTGGGTAAGAAGATGACAGTGACTACACTTCAAGAGTTGTAAAGCCGATGGAAAGGTGGAAACTGACCTAGCAGAGTGATAACCCATTAAACTATTAATGAAAAAAACTCAGAGCAAGCCAATTCCCAGAACTCCAGAAAAGCTTGGGTATTAGAGGTGGTAGGTATCTCTGAAAGGGGAAAAATGACTGAAAAAAAAGCCATAGTTGAGGGTAGGGATACTTTACAGAAAATGGGACTTAAACGAAAGCCAATATTAGACAGTGACAACCTAGCTCCCTTCTCCAACTCGGTTCTGAGAATTCTGCAACCAGCTTACCCTCTTCAACCCACAGGAAACTGGAAAATTCCTCTTTGGGAAAATGTTCCACCCCAAGAGCAGGGAAAACCTTCCAAGCTTAATAAGATCATTCTACACTGATCAGCCCAACCTCCTACTCTGCCTCACCTCTGGTATTGGTCTCACTGTTCTTTCTTTTAGTTTAATTTATCGTGGTAAGAACACTGAACATGAAATCTACCCTATTAACACATTGTTAGGTGTGCAATATGTTTTTGTTGTCTATAGGCACATTGTCATGCTGCAGATCTCTAGAGCTTATTCATCTTGTTTAACTGATACTTTATGCCTATGATTAGTCACTGTCCTATAAAGGATCACCTTCAGACAATAAAGGAATTTCTCCAGCATGAAGGACAGAATGAACAAAATGGAACTCAGAGGAAATCAAAGCAATGGAGTTGGCAGGAAAATGTGTTTAAAAAATACCTACTGTCTGTTCCTGTTGCTAGGAAAAGATATCATATCTCCCCTTTCCCCAAAGAAAGGAGGCTTTAAAAAGGAGAATTGAGAAGAAAAGAGACTCCTGTAAGTGGAAAATGCTATAGTAGAAAAAAAAAATTCAACAGAAGGGAAGGAAAATAAGACGAGGAAAATAAAGTGGTTTCTGAGGACTGAAACCACATAGTTTACTGTTTAAATTTACAAGACATTACTCTTTCAGTCTCTTCACAAATAAAACTTTATTATAAAAGGGACCTCTTTCATGAGGCAATAAAAGAAGCAAATAACTTTGTTTATTCTGGGATTTATTTCCCCCAGAAACTGTTAAAATAAACATCAAACTGTCCGATTTACCAATAGATATCATCAAGTGACAGTTTACTCCCCAAGAATTGTTTTTTTCTTTTTCTTTCTCTCGCTCTCTTTTTTTTTTTTTTTTTTTTTTTTTTGAGACAGGGTCACGCTCTATTGCCCAAGCTGGAGTGCAGTGGCATGATCATAGTTCACTGCAGCCTCCAGCTCCTTGACTCAAGTGATCCTCCCTCCTTAGTCTCCTGAGTAGCTGGGACTACAGGCATGCATCACCACACTCAGCTAATTTTTTTATTTTTTGGTAGAGACAGGGGTCTCACTATGTAACCCAGGCTGGTCTCAAACTCCTGGGCTCAAGTGATCCTCCCTCAGCAGCCTCTCAAAGTGCTGGGATTACAGGCATGAGCCACCAAGACTGGCACCAACACTCTTTGAATCCGTCACCTCAAAATCTTGCTGTGTCCACCAACTCTAAACTATTATCCTTATCCAATTCTGATCAAGCCCTAGCATTGAAAGACCTGCCTTAAACCAGACTTCAAAACTTCATAAATATGTCAACTTTTCCCTGCCCCTTCTGAGAGGCTACTAAGACTCTGTCAAGTTAGTGTTCTTCCTTACTGCCATAGGAATAAAGTTGTCTTTGTTTAATCAATGGCCTGTTTTAGTGATATTTTGGTGGAGCCAAAATTATTACCTTTCAAAAATTAGTACAAAAAGACATAATGAGACAGAAGAAAAGAGAAAAGCAAGTTAAAAGATCAGAGATCTAACATCTGAATAATATAATAGAAATTTCAACAAGAGAAAGAAAAAATATTGGGAAGAAAAATACTAAAAGAAATAATTTGAGAAAATTTCCCAGAACTGAAGGCCATAAATTTCTAGAATACAGGGCATGATGAAATCAAAGGAGACCCACACCAAGGTTAAAATCATTGTACAATTTCAGAAATGTTGAGATACTATAGAAAGCCGAGGAAAAGTGCTTGGTTGCCTGCAGATTAATATTATTGCCACCAGATGGCAAGAATTCCTCAAAGGCTCTAAGTCTAAGATTTTTGTTTCATTTTCTTCTTCAGATCTTTCCAACGCATTAGAAAGGGAATTCTCATTTGGCTTCTCTCCATCTAGTCTGGCTCCATCAGAGATCTGACTCTTTTCTTCCTAAATGGCTCTGCTGGAAGGTCACTGTATAATCAGCCTGGAGGAGTAAGTGCATTCTCTTTGAGGAATTGACTCATGTGGCTTTGAGGTTAAAAGAAAGACTTTTAAGAGAATGGGCTCTGGACTGCAGTTGTCTATTGTGAACAGAAGGACTTCTGTCATGCAGGGATTCCACAAAGCATTCGTTCATTCATTCTTTCATTCTTCCAACAAGTTTTATTGATGCTGACTATATGCTGGGTACTGTGTTAGGCACTAGGAATAATACTTCAGTGAAAGAAAATCAGACATGGACTTTGTCTTCATGGAGATTAAATTCTGAGGAGAGCAACATTCCATAAACGTATACACACACACATATATAAACAAATATATGTAGCTATATACATACATACATACATACATACATATATATTTAAATAAATTGCGATGAGTGCTATGATGAGCTAGGTATGTGGAGAAAAAGAGACCTATTAGGTCTCTGAAGAATCTGATGGATTCCTGTAAGAGTGGAAGTAAGCAGATCAGCTAGGAAGCCATTGCAGTTTTCTTAGAGGGAGATGAAGATGACTTGGATCAGGGTGATGCCAGAGGAAAGAGAAGTAGATGAATTCAAGAGAAATTGGAGGTAGAATTGACAGGATGTGGTCACTAGATCTGGGAAGTTAGAAAGTAGATGCATTAAAGATGACTCCCCAGTCTCTGGATGAAGCAACTGGCTGGATGATGGGGTTGCCATTTTCTGAGGTGGAGAAGGCTTGGGGAGGAAGAGGTTTTGGAGGAGGGGATGGTGGATAGAATCAAGAGTTCAGGGGCCTGACGCTATGGCTCACACCTGTAATCCCAGCACTTTGGGAGGCCGAGGCGGGCGGATCACCTGAGGTCAGGAGTTCAAGACCCAGCCTGGCCAACATGGTGAAACCCTGTCTCTACTAAATATACAAAAAAGTAGCCAGGCATGGTGGCACTCACCTGTAGCCCCAGCTACTCAGGAGGCTGAGGTAGGAGAATTGCTTGAACCCAGGAGGCAGAGGTTGCAGTAAGCTGAGGTTACACCACTGCACTCCATCCTGGCTGATACAGTGAGACTCCGTCTCAAAAAAAAAAAAAAAAAGAGTTCAGGGTGGAATGTTAATTAAATTGGCCTTTCTCCCCAGGCATTTAGGTTATTGTTTGGATGCCACTGGTCCAGGCTAGAATGGGTTTTGCTCTGATCTACTGTGTAATAGAATGACTTGGCCTGGTTTATTTGGTTTAAATTGGCTCACAATTGGCATTCATTAAGTTAGAAACTGTTGTTAACACAGTGCCCCTAAAGAGAAATAGGAAAATCAGCTTACATTTGTACTGTCTTTTCTGATGTGGGCATTTGAGAGTTAAAGAGAACTGTCCAGGCTCATGCCTGTAATCTTACCACTTTGGGAGGCCAAGGTGGAGGGATTGCTTGAGGCCAGGAGTTTGAGACCAGCCTGAGCATCACAGGGAGACCCCATCTCTACAGAAAATTATAAAATTAGCCAGGCATGGTGGCACACACCTGTGGTCTCAGCTACTCAGGAGGCTGGGAGGTGGGAGGATTGCTTGAGCCCTAGAGGTCGAGGCTGCAGTGAGCCATGTTTGCACCACTACACTCCAGCCTGGGCTGCAGTGATGCCCTATCTTTAGAAAAAATAATAATAATAATAATGGGCTGAGCATCTTCTACATTTTTTGTCGCATTTGTTTGCACTCTATTCATAAGGAGCACACAGTCTCGAGGACAAGAAGCTTCTGGAAAATGCAAGCCCAGTTGTTTTGGTGGATCCTTCTGAATGATTATGCACAGGTAAGATCCTGAGTGTGATTGTGAGGTGGCAGAGAGGAAAACTTCTTCCATTGCAAACAATATCTCTGAAGATAGAGAACATATTTGTCCTATTTTATCCCCAATATAGTGCTTAATAACATATTTACACAGTAAGTGCTGAATGAAGCTGCTCCACCTGGGTTGTTTTCAGTCTCCAGACCTGTGTTGAACTCTCTGGAGGATTTGAAACCCCTCTTCCCGAAGAGCTGCTACATAATTAGCTGTGTGATGGGACGAGGTGCCTCTCTGGACTCAACAGGGCTTAGGACCTCATTTCCGGGGGTGCTAGGAAAAAGACACTTCTCCTTCCTTCTTCCTACACCCCCTTCCATGGAGGTCTTTTGCCACCATCAACACCGTGTTAAGTCAGAATTTAAAACCAACTTAGCCCTCAACATTGATGTTTTCATTTGTAACCTCAAGGTGGAACAGTTGGTTATGTACTGTGCCCATAATCAGCAGTTACCTCAGTCTTTTTCTTTGATTCATGCTTTGCCCTCTCTTTGTGCCCTACCCTTTTGTTTCGACTATATGCTATTTTGAGGGCAAGAATTGTATCTTTTTAAACTTTATATTTCCATACGACTTATTTTTGTCTCTTTTTTTTGTAATAAAAAGTGTATATTTTAAGTAGTATATACATAAACACAGTGAAACGATTACTACAGTCAAGCAAATTAACATATCCATCTCCTCATGTTACCTTTGTGTGTGTGTGTGTTTGCATGTGTGTATTGTGATAGCACTCGAAATCTTCTCTCCATCAATTTAGAACAGTTCTTTACAGCACTGGCAAGGGGAAGGAATGGCCTGGGAGAGCCTTATCTCCCCCCCGCCGGCCACCAATTTTCATAAACTCCGCAACCCCCCTCCAGAATCATAATTAATACATAAACAAAAGTTTGTAATTATAGACAGAAGCATATTTTTGGTCGGGCGCAGTGGCTCACGCCTGTAATCTCAGCACTTTGAGAGGCAGAGGTGGGCGGATGACTTGAGGCCAGGAGTTTGAGACCAGCCTGGCCAACATGGCAAAACCCTGTCTCTACGAAAAATACAACAAACGAACAAACAAAAAGCCCCACGGGTGTGGTGGCATGCATCTGTGGGCCCAGCTACTCTGGAAGCTGAGGCAGAAAAATTGCTTGAACCTGGGAGGAGGAAGCTGCAGTGAACTAAGAATGCACCACTGCACTCCAGCCTGGGCAACAGAGTGAGACCCTGTTTCAAAAAAAAAAAAAAAAAGCATATTTAGAACACACATTATTTACTACGCAGAAGTAGCCTTGAGACAAGTCCTCTAGCTTCCCCTTCCCTCCAGATTGCTACCCCAGTCTCCCTTGTGAAAAACCTGCCACTCCCACTGCTCAAGAAAGTGTTAACAAACTGTTGTTAAAGGACAGGAGCCAATGCCTGGCGAAGGCTGCAGCATTCCTCTGAAAGCTGGGGTAATGTTGTTTTTGTGCTGGTGGCCTGTCCTCTAGATTCGCAGAAGACTCACCCTTATATAACTTGGGGTTCTTGTTTTCCTGATCCAAAGCTCTTTATTTAATAAACTCTTTGGGATAATGATATGTCTGAAGCCCTCTGAAAAGTTCCCTTTGAACTTTTATCTGAAATGATAAGAAAAAAGTCAGGCTGCACCTGGAATTCAGACTTTGTTTCAAGTTCTTTCAAAGCAATGCAGATATGGAATATTTAAACAAACTACAATTCTGGAAAGCTTTTTAAGTGAAAGTTTTGGTTCTTAGCTTTTGGAGGTGTAGTTTGGAAATATCATACCACATTTAAGCCTCAATCTAAATAATAAAATGTGTAAAATAGTTTTCCTATATACTATTTTCCCCAGTTCAAAAGATTTTGTCTTAGTCCAAGCTTTTTTCATAAAAATTATAATTGTTTGATAGTATAGTCAGTTAAAAAACCAAAATATGAGGTTTAAACATTGAAAAGGACGTGGTAAAATTGTCATTATTTGCAAATGACATTATCATATATACCTGGGAAGCCTAAGGGCATCAACTTAAAAGTTATTAGAAATAGGCCAGGCGCAGTGGCTCACGCCTGTAATCCCAGCCCTTTGGGAGGCCGAGGCAGGTGGATCACAAGGTCAGGAGATTGAGACCATCCTAGCTAACACGGTGAAACCCCGTCTCTACTAAAAATACAAAAAAAAAAAAAAAAAAAAAAGAGCCGGGTGTGGTGGCAGGCACCTGTAATCCCAGCTACTCGGGAGGCTGAGGCAGAAGAATCGCTCAAACCCAGGAGGTGGAGGTTACAGTGAGCTGAGATCACACCACTGCACTCCAGCCTGGGTGACAGAGCAAGACTCTATCTCTATTAAAAAAAAAAAAAGAAGTAATAGGAGCATTCACTAAGGCAGTCATTGCAAACAATACATAAAAATTAATAGTATTCTTATATTTCAACCACAACCAGTTCAAAAATATCACAAGTAAAATTTTTTTGATCACAAATCAAAACAACAACAACAAACCCTAACAGGAAGTAAGCAGGACCTAGATGAATAAAAATATAAAACTTAATAGAGGACATAAAAGGATTGATCTCATGTCAAATTGTAATCCCCAGTGTTGGAGGGGGGACCTGGTGGGAGGTGACTGGATCATGGGGATGGGCATCACCCTTGCTGTTCTTGTGATAGTGAGTGAGTTCTCATGAGATCTGGTTGTTTAAAAGTGTGTAGCACCAAAATCAATTGCAACAAAAGCCAAAATTGACAAATGAGGTCTAATTAAGCTAAAGCACTTCTGCACAGCAAAAGAAACTATCATCAGAGTGAACAGGCAACTTACAGAATGGGAGAAAATATTTGCAATCTACTCATCTGACAAAGGTCTAATATCCAGAATCTACACAAGAAAAAAACAACCCATCAAAAAGTAGGCAAAGGATATGAACAGACACTTCTCAAAAGAAGACATTTATGCGGCCAACAAACATATGAAAAAAAGCTCATCATCACTAGTCATTAGAGAACTACAAATCAAAATCACAACGAGATACCATCTCACGCCAGTTAGAATGGTGATCACTAAAAAGTCAGGAAACAACAGATGCTGGAGAGGGATGTGGAGAAATGGAACACTTTTACAGTGTTGGTGGGAGTGTAAATTAGTTCAACCATTGTGGAAGACAGTGTGGCGATTCCTCAAGGATCTAGAACCAGAAATACCATTTGACCCAGCAATCCCATTACTGGGTATATACCCAAAGGATTATAAATCATTCTACTATAAAGACACATGCACACATATGTTTACTGCAGCACTATTTACAATGGCAAAATCTTGGAACCAACCCAAATGCCCATCAGTAATAGACTGCCTACAGAAAATATGGCACATATACACCATGGAATACTATGCAACCATAAAAAAGAATGGGTTCATGTCCTTTGCAGGGACATGGATGAAGCTGGAAGCCATCATTCTCAGCAAATGAACACAGGAACAGAAAACAAAACAAAACACTGTATGTTCTCACTCATAAGTGAGAGCTGAAGAATGAGACCACATGGACACAGGGAGGGGAACATCACACACTGCAGCCTGTTGGGGTGTGGGGAGCAAGGGGAGAGAGAGCATTAAGACAAATACCTGATGCATACGAGGCTTAAAACCTAGATGACAAGTTGATAGGTACAGCAAACCACCATGGGACATGTGTGCCTATGCAACAAACCTGCACGTTCTGCACATGTATCCCAGAACTTAAAGTAAAATTTAAAAATAAAGAAGTAAAAAATAAAATAAAAGTGTGTAGCAGCTCTCCCTTTACTCTCTTCTTCATGCTCCAGCCATGTAAGTTGTGCCTTGCTTCCCTTTCACCTTCTACCATGAGTGTAAGTTTCCTGAGGCTTCCCCAGCTATGCTTCCTGTACAGCCTGCAGAACCAAGAGCTAATTAAACCTCTTTTCTTTATAAATAAAATAAAAGGATTGATCAGAAAATTGCATTTTATATCCATTTTTTTCTATATTAATCTATGGATTCAATGAAATCCCAACAAAAACTATAATTAAATTTTTTTTGTAACTTGACTTGATTTTTAGTCCAACTGGAAGAGTAGTTACATGAAATTGACTGCAAAAAAAATTTAAATAGTGGTAAGGGATGACTAACCCTTAAATAGAGCCAGCCTCCAGCATGGCCCTAAATGATCTCTGCCTCCTGGTTTTTACACCCTGGAGTATCCCCTCCTATATTGTACCAGGGTAGTAGGGTTGCCAGATAAAATATAAGATGCCCAGTTAAATTTAAATTTCAGTTAAACAATTTATAGTATTTTGGTATAAGTATGTCCCAAATATGTTTATATGCATGAAATATACTTGTACTAAATAATTTATGGCTTATTTGAAAATCAAATTTAACTGGGAATACTCTGTTATTTGTTAAATCTGGCAACTCTATTAAACCAGGGTTGGTCTGTGTGACCAACAGCATAAGATAGAAGTAATGGAACATCACTTCTGGGGTTAAGTTAAAAAAGACTGTGGGTTAAGTTAAAAAAGACTGTGGTTTTTGTCTTGGACATGTGCATTCTCTCTCTCTCCCAATCTGTGTCTCTCTTTGTCCTCTTGAGAGGTGACAGCGTGCTGGCAGTCCTCACAGCCCTCCCTCACTCTCGGCGCCTCCTCTGCCTGGGCTCCCACTTTGGCGGCACTTGAAGAGCCCTTCAGCCCACCGCTGCACTGTGGGAGCCCCTTTCTGGGCTGGCCAAGGCCGGAGCCGGCTCCCTCAGCTTGCAGGGAGGTGTGCTGGGAGAGGCGCGAGCAGGAACCGGGGCTGCGAGCGGCGCTTGCGGGCCAGCTGGAGTTCCGGGTGGGCATGGGCTTAGCCGGCCCTGCACTCGGAGCCGCCGGCCGGCCCTGCCGGCCCCGGGCAATGAGGGGCTTAGCACCCGGGCCAGCGGCTGCGGAGGGTGTGCTGGGTCCCCCAGCAGTGCTAGCCCACCAGCGCTGCGCTCGATTTCTCGCCGGGCCTTAGCTGCCTTCCTGCCGGGCAGGGCTAGGGACCTGCAGCCCGCCATGCCTGAGCCTCCCACCCCCTCCATGGGCTCCTGTGCCCCCCGAGCCTCCCCAATGAGCGCCGCCCCCTGCTCCACGGCGCCCAGTCCCATCAACCACCCAAGGGCTGAGGAGTGCAGGGGCATGGCGCGGCGCGGGACTGGCAGCCAGCTCCACCTGCAGCCCCCATGCGGGATCCACTGGGTGAAGCCAGCTGGGCTCCTGAGTCTGGTGGGGACATGGAGAACCTTTATGTCTAGCTCAGGGATTGTAAATACACCAATCGGCACTCTGTATCCAGCTCAAGGTTTGTAAACACACCAATCAGCACCGTGTGTCTAGCTCAGGGTTTGTGAATGCACCAATGGACACTCCGTATCTAGCTACTCTGGTGGGGATGTGGAGAACCTTTCTGTCTAGCTCAGGGATTGTAAAGGCACCAATCAGCGCCCTGTCAAAACAGACCACTGGGCTCTAGCAATCAGCAGGATGTGGGTGGGGCCAGATAAGAGAATAAAAGCAGGCTGCCCGAGCCCCAGTGGCAATTGGGTAGGGTCCTCTTCCACTCTGTGGAAGCTTTGTTCTTTCGCTCTTTGCAATAAATCTTGCTGCTGCTCACTTTTTGGGTCCACACTGCGTTTATGAGCTGTAACACTCACCGCGAAGGTCTGCAGCTTCACTCCTGAGCCAGCGAAACCGGGAACCCACCAGAAGCCCGAACACATCCGAACATCAGAAGGAACAAACTCTGGACACGCCGCCTTTAAGAACTGTAACACTCACCGCTAGGGTCCGCACTTTCATTCTTAAAGTCAGTGAGACCAAGAACTTGCCAATTCCGGACACACTCTCGGTCTGGAGGAAGCAAGCTGCCATGATGTGAGCAGCCCTTATGGAGAGGTCTACAAGGCAAGGAATCAAAACCTCTGGCCAACATCAGATGAGGAACTGATGCCTGCCAACAGCAACAGGAATGAGTTAGGAGTGAATCTTTCAGCCCCAGTCAAGCTTTGAAGTGCCTGCAGCCCCTACCAACACGTTAACTGCAACTCCATAAGAAACCCTGAATCAGGACCACCCAGCTAAGCTGCTCCTAGATTCCTGGCCCTCAAAAATTGTGTGAGATAATAAATGTTGATTTAAGATGCTGAATTTGGGGGGTAATTTGTTATGCAGCAATAGATAACCAATACACTGACCTAATTAGATATTTAATCACAAAGTTACAATGATTAAAACAGTTTGGTATATTATGCAGAAACCTATACTTCAAGGGAGCAGTATTGAGCGTCTAAGAATGTATATATGAGAGATTTGTATATTACTCAGGCATCATTTTAAATCAATATGGAAAAGATTAATAAATAAGTGGTATTATAATCACCTAGCCATTTATTTTATTTAATTTTATTTTATTTTTTATTTTATTTTATTTTATTTTTAGACGGAGTCTCCCTCTGTCACCCAGGCTGGAGTGCAGTGGTGCATCTCAGCTCACTGCAACCTCCACCTCCCAGGTTCAAGGACTTCTCCTGCCTCTGCGTCCAAAGTAGCTGGGGTTACAGTTGCCTGCCACTATGGCTGGCTAATTTTGTATTTTTAGTAGAGACAGGGTTTCACCATGTTGGCCAGGCAGGTCTTGAACTCCTGACCTCAGGTGATCCACCCGCCTTGGCCTCCCAAAGTGCTGGGATTACAGTTGTGAGCCACCACACCTGGCCCTAGCCATAAAAATTTTATTGTGTATTTTGAGGTTTATAACAATATTATGGGATACACATGGATAGGAAAATGGTTACTATTGTGAAGCAGATCAACGTGTCTATAATCTCACATAGTTACTTTTTTGTGTGCAATAAGTGCAGCTAAAATCTGCTTATTTAACAAAAATTCCTAATAGAATACAATTTTATTTAGTCCTTATGCTGCACATTAGATCACTAGACTTGTTCATCCTACACACCTGCTACTTTGTAACCTTTGACTTATGTGTTCCCATTTCTTCTCCTCCGCCGCAACGCCTTGTAACCACTGTTTTACTCTCTATCTCTATATATTTGACTTTAAGAAAAAAGATTCTACATATAAATGAGATCAGGCAATATTTTTCTTTCTGTATCTGGCTTATTTCACTTACATAATGTCCTCTGAAGTCCGTCCATGTTGTGGCAAATGACAGGATCTCCTTTTCAGTGGCTGAATAGTATTGCATTTTATATATATACAGTTTCTTTTTCCATTTATCTCTTGATGACAGTTAGATGTTTCCATATCTTGGCTATTGTGAATGAGCATGCGAGTGCGGATATCTTTATGAGATGGTGAATTCATCTTCTTTGGGAATGTAACCCAGAAGAGGGATTGCTAGGTTGTATGGTAGTTTTGTTTTTTGAGACAGGGTCTCACTTTGGCTGCCCAGGATGGAGTGCAGTGGCGCAATCTTGGCTCACTGCAGCCTCAACCTCTGGGGCTCAGGTGATTCTCCTACCTCAGCCTCCTGAGTAGCTGTGAGTACAGGCACGCACCACCATGCTTGGCTAATTTTTTGTATTTTTAGTAGAGACGGGGTTTTGCATGTTGCCTAGGCTGGTCTCAAACTCCTGGACTCAAGCAATCAGCCAGCTTTAGCTTCCCAAGGTGCTGGGATTGCAGGCATGAGCCACCATGCCTGGCCTTATTTTTAATTTCTTTAGGAACCTCCATACTGTTTTTCATAATGGCTGTACCAATGTACATTTCTACCAACAGTGTACTAGGATTCCCTTTTCCTTTCATCACTTAGCCATTTAGAACCTTGCCAAAAATAAAGAGAATCTCCTGTCTCTGGACTAGGCTTTCAAATGAAATGAAATGGAAAGTAGAGGTGGGGTTTTGCCATGTTGGCCAAGCTGGTCTCAAATTCCTGACCTCAAGTGATCCGCCCACCTTGGCCTCCCAAAGTGCTGGGATTACAGGTGTGAGCCACTGCACCTGACCTCCATCTCAGTTTTCTAACGGAATCATTAAATAGCAAGTAAGCATTAACGAAGAAGAGTGTGACTTCTTACATGTGTTCTGCAAACATTGCACATACTCTTTCCATATTGTAGTACAAACACACGGAGTCTGGGAAGGATCACACAAATCCTATCAAAAATTTCTTAATAATCATTATTTGTTAGCTCCCTTGTCCTACTAAAAGAAAATGAAAACAAATCATTACATGTTAATAACAGAAATTTGCCTAGGGTTTCCCATGACAATCTCCTAAAAAATTTAAAATACAGTTTTAAAAAATATATAGTAAAGAACAAAGAAGAACACAAAATGACCCATAATCTCACTACCCAGATAAGCTCATTGACATTAAAAAAAATAAAGTAATACATTAATGGAAATTCAAATATTCCAATAGCTTTTTAGAAAAAAAGGACACTACATTTAATGCATTGGTGTACGATGTGACCCAATTTTAGAGAATGTGTGTGATGGTGGAAAATGCATCTTTAGAATTGATGAATTATGTTATTTCTTTCCAGACTTTTTTCTTTGTGTATTTTTAATGTAGTTGATATATACATATGTAAAATGTATATACTGTTTCTGCCCTTTTTCACTTAATATTATATAAACATTACATTAGTGCTTTTTAAAATTAATGATTATCTTTTTAATGTAACTTATTTAATTAAATAATATTTAAATATTACATTGTAATTAGCTTAGCCATTTTCCTTTAGTTGTTTCCAGTGTTTGCTCTTATAATTAATATTTTTTCCTAAGTCAAACTGCATCCAGCTTTATTAAAGATACTCTTCATAAACAATTATGATAGTCCAGGCAGGACATGGGCAGACAGTTGTTAACAGTATACAACAACGTTCAAACTTCCTCCTTCCGTGGACCATCAAAATCAGAAAGCCAGTATAAAAACCAATGAAATCTGACTAAAACACCAAAAGCAATGGCAACAAAAGCCAAAATAGACAAATGGGATCTAATTAAACTAAAGAGCTTCTGCGGGGCAAAAGAAACTACCATCAGAGTGAACAGGCAACCTACAGAATGGGAGAAAATTTTTGCAATCTACCCATCTGACAAAGGGCTAATATCAAGAATCTACAAAGAACTTAATCAAATTTACAAGAAAAATACAAACAACCCCATCAAAAAGTGGGCAAGGGATATGAACAGACACTTCTCAAAAGAAGACATTTATGCAGCCAACACACACATGAAAAAATACTCATCATCACTGGTCATCAGAGAAATGCAAATCAAAACCAAAATGAGATACCATCTCATGCCAGTTAGAATGGCAATCACTAAAAAGTCAGGAAACAACAGATGCTGGAGAGGGATGTGGAGAAATAGGAATATTTTTACACTGTTGGTGGGAGTGTAAATTAGGTCAACCATTGTGGAAGACAGTGTGGCGATTCCTCAAGGATCTAGAACTAGAAACACCGTTTGACCCAGCCATCCCATTACTGGGTATATACCCAAAGGATTATAAATCATTCCACTATAAAGACACATGCACACATATGTTTATTACAGCATTATTCACCATAGCAAATACTTGGCACCAACCCAAATGTCCATCAATGATAGACTGGATTAAGGAAATGTGGCACATATATACCATGGAATACTATACTGCCATAAAAAAAGATGAGTTCATGTCCTTTGTGGGGACATGGATGAAGCTGGAAACCATCATTCTCAGCAAACTATCACAAGGACAGAAAACCAAATACCGCATGTTCTCACTCATAGGTGGGAATTGAACAATGAGAACACTTGGACACAGGGCAGAGAACATCAGACACCGGGGCCTGTTGGGGGCTGGGGGGCTGGGGGAGGGATAGCATTAGGAGAAATACCTAATGTGAACGATGAGTTGATGGGTGCAGCAAACCAACATGGCACATGTATACCTAGGTAACAAACCTGCATGTTGTGCACATGAACCCTAGAACTTAAAGTATATACGTATAAAAAAAACCTATTGAAATCTTTATCTGATGTTCTGAGTAGGGAAAGTTTCAAGCGACGGTTGGCACTCCACGTTTAGCATGTTGTTTAACACATTTTTACAAGGAGACCCTGACTTTCAGGAAATGAAATTACAATGGCAGAATTTATCTGAAGATTCACAATCTACAAATGGAACTGCCACTTTTTCAACGGAGACCATCTCAGTGGCATCGCTGGAAAGTCCAGATTGCCTGACACACTGGTAACCAACTATTGGAGGTCAGGTCCCAACAGGTGTCTGCGTTTAAAGGAGTTAAGTCAATGCTGAAGGCAGAAAGAGAGAAAAGGACATAAAAGTTAATTTTGGTTTTACCACACCTCCAGGGTGTTTGTGCTACGGTGGCTATGTGTGTCAACATCAATAAATCCCTTCTCCTAGGAGCTGAGAGGAAGTCTCTCAAAACTAGAAGGGAAAGGTGTTTTCCCAACGTCAATCAATCCAGATTCAGAGACATTCTATTAGTGACATATGCCCCTCCCACCCACAAAAAAAAAGCGTTCTGTGTACTAACAACATAACTTTAAAAAAAGTAAAATAGGATTCTGCATTTTTATAAAACAATAAAAAAATAGCATTGAAACTTCCTTTGCAAAAATTGTAACAGTGAGAGAAATCTCACCTGACTCCAACTTGCTTCTAACCTCACATGCTAACTGCCTTTGCTCATTCCTGGACATAGGCCAAGCTAACTATGGGAGGAATTTAGTTTATAGTTTTGTTTTGCTTTGTTGTTGTTGTTGTTGTTTAAACAGAGTCTCATTCTGTCACCCAGTCTGGAGTGCAGTGGCGCCATCACAGCTCACTGCAGCCTCAAGTTCCTGGGCTCAAGTGATCCTCCCACCTCAGTCTCCCAAGTAGCTGAGACTCAGGCATGTGCCAACACACCCAGCTAATTTTTAAATTTTTTGTAGAGATGGGGTCTCACTATGTTGTCTAGGCTGGTCTTGAACTCCTGGGCTTAAGTGATCTACCCACCTCGATCTCCCAAAGTTCTGGGATTACAGACATGAACTACTCCACCCAGCCAGCCTATAGTTTAACTTTGAAGCAAGGATAATAATAGTCCCTCTCCAAACTGACCCCATCTGGGGAGTTAAACTGCCTTTGTAAGGCTAATGAAAGGCCACAAGGTTAAGATTATGGGGAGGACCTGAATTCTGCTAAAATGTGGGCATAGTTAAACAATAACCAGCTGTTGTTCCCTAGCTTGGTTTTTCTATAATTCTTTCCAGTTCAGAGGTGATGAAGCTAGAGATCACAAGATCTGTAACTTCCTCAGTTACTCCTATAGATAATTTACTATCGTGGAACCCGAAATTGGTCTTTGAGATGTTTTTCAGACTTTTGCATTCTGGCAACTAACTGAGTCCACCTGGACCCATGACTCATACCAAGGAACTAACTGAACCAGTCCTGTGACTCCCCACTCAGAGACTGACTCAACAAATAAAGACTGTTTTGGACACACCTGTGATTACATCTTCAACTAATCAGCAGCACTCATTCCCTAACCCCTGCCTGCCAAATTATCCTTAAAAACCCTAGCTTCCAAGCTTTCAGGGAGATGGATTTGAGAAATGTTTCCTGTCTGCCCACTCAGCTGCCTTGCAATAATTGAACTCTTTCCCTACTGCAACACTGCTGTTTCAGCATATGGGCTTTTCTGTGCAGCAGGCAAGAATAATCCATTGGGATGTAACAGTATTTCAAACTGTACAGTCACCAGAAGTACAGATTTATCAAAAATGCATACACTTCACTTGGCATCTCCAGCACCTTCAGCTTTCTGTGCCTTCTCCGTTCTGGCATCTCCATTTTCTGCAGGTTTATTCACCTCTTTGTCAGAGTTGGCTCTTCCTTTTTCCCCTTTGGATACTTTCTCTCCCTTTTTTGTAGGGGCCTTTTTAGGCTTCAGCTGTGGCTTTGGCAGAGCAGGCTTTCCAGACAACTTTGTGGATCTTCCCTGTAGTTTGTCCTTTATCTTGGCCTTATCTTCTTTAGCATCCCCTTCAGCCTTTCTCTTGGGCATGGTGGCAATGGTGGCTGCACACAGGTGCTGGCTGCAGGGATGCAGCAATGCATGGGGATACGGTGGCACACGGGCTTTGGTCAGCCTAGGGGGTCGTTCTCACCTCTTCTTCTTCACAGTGCTCCTATAATTAATGCTTTTTGCTTTTGAGATGGAGTCTCACTTTGTTGCCCAGGCTGGAGTATAGTGGTGTGATCTCAGCTCACTGCAACCTCCGCCTCCTGGGTTTGAGCGATTCTCCTGCCTCAGCCTCCCCAGTAGCTGGGACTACAGGCATGCACCACCATGCTCAGCTAATTTGTATTTTTTTAGTAGAAATGGGATTTTACCATGTTGGCCAGGCTGGTTTTGAACTTCTGACCTCATGTAATCCGCCCACCTCAGCCTCCTAAAGTGTTGAGATTACAGGCGTAAGCCACTGGGCCTGGCCTGACGGTCTTCTTAATTTCGACTAAACAATTATATTCACAAGACAATTGTAAGGGAGAAAAAATGCTTCCTTCTACCCTTCCAGACTCTGTGACTGCCTGAGAATTAAATTGAGAGGCAGATTAACAGGAGAAAAACAGTTTTAATTACATACATATTCATCGGAGTTTCACAAAAATATGAAACTCAAGGAAGCAGCCAGATGATTGAGACTTACATATCATCCTGAGCTACAGAAAGAAATAGGGGTTTAGAGACTTCTGTTGAGAGTGAGGCAAATCATGGGAAAGGGAGAGGAGGAAATGTGTGGTAAATAAAGTTTGCCTTATGCAGATAAGTCTCTCAGGTACAGAGAGTAGCTCTCTTTCTTGTATAGACATTTTTACTAATGAAAATTTCCTTTATAAATGTAAATTTCCTTTACAAAAGGGGAAATTTAGACTTTATTTTGGATAGTTGAGGCGGAGGTAAAGAGCTTTCCTGGAGTCAGTGGGTTCTCAGTTGCCTTTAGCTCAGAATAATCAATATGCCAAAATGGCATATTTGGGGCTGGCATATTCTTAACTTCTTCACTACCATAGGCTTCACTTGGCATCAGGTTCTCTTAGAAGGATATAGAATAGGAACCACAGCTTGCCAGAAGGCAGTGTCAGCTGTGGCTCAGCCAAGACAGTAGTCCTAGCAGCTTTCCGTGTAGCTGTCCACATAGCCATCCAGCAGAGTTGTCAAGTACAATACGGATGTCCAGTTCAGTTTGAATTTTAAATAAAATATATAGACTATATATATATACTATACAGTGTACATATGTATATATATACTCTCTTTCTCTCTGTATCTCTTTCTCTCTCTCTCCCCCACCCCATATAACATACATATACACACTATATATATGTATATAATATTTATATACATGTAATCCCAGCTACTTGGGAGGGAGTATATAGTATATATATACACTCCCTATAATATCTATACTTCCTATATATATGCTCCCTATATATATAGAACTATAGGGAGTACATATACACACACACACACACACACACACACACACACACTACACACTCCCTCTCAAGTAGCTGGGGCTACAGGTATATGAATGCCATATACATATTTATAGTGTGTGTGTGTGTGTGTGTGTGTGTGTGTGTGTGTGTGTGTTATATGGGGTGGGAGAGAGACAGAGAAAGAGAGACAGGGTCTTGCTCAATTGCTCAGGCTGGAATGCAGTGGCAGGATCATGGCTCACTGCTGCCTCGAACTGCTGGGTTCAAGCAATTCTCCCACTTCAGCCTTCCGAGTAACTTGTAATACAGGTGTGCACCACCACACCCAGTTAATTTTTTAAAAATTTTTTGGAGATGGGATCTTGCTATGTTGGCTGGTCTTGAATTCCTGGCCTCAAACAATCTTCCCACCTTGGCCCCTCGAAGTATTGGGATTACAATTTGAGCCACAGCACTTAGCCAAATATTTTTTTCAGTGTATGTTCCAGGTATTGCATGGGACCTGTGTTATTTATTTATTTATTGAGAGACAGTGACTATGTTGCCCAGGCTGGAGTGCAGTGGCTATTCACAGGTTTGAACATAGCTCACTGCAACTTCAAACTCCTGGGCGCAAGTGATCCTCCTATCTCAGCCTCCAGACTAGCTGGAACTTGTGAAGGGAAATTAAATTTGGGGACCCCAAACTCATTTAGCCAAAGGGAAAAGCGAAGCTGGGAACTGGGTCACACAAACCTGCTTGCCTCTTTTTGTTCCTAAATAAGATGGCTACAAGATGAAAAGCTACACGCCTCCCCTACATTTTGTCCACAAGGAAATTTCTGGTGAGCTGTTAAAACTTCACCATGGCAATGCAAATTGATAGCTTATCTTTACAGGTGCAGTCACCCAGCCCGTCAGACACAAATGCATATCTGATTATTCCCCTACCCCGTTTTGTCTGTGTTATCTTATGTAAAATGCAGATTCCCCACATTTTTCCTCTGCCCCTTTCGTTTATGTGAAAACTGTGTGCTTCTCAATATCCCGCCCTTTCCCCTTTAAATTTAGAGCCGTCAAAATCATCTTCAGAAAAAGGCATAGACCTGTCTCCCGGGCCTGTCCTTAACTTTGGCAAATAAATCTCCTAAAATGATTGAGACTTGTCTTGTCATTTTCCTAGACTGATAGACTACAGGCACGCGTCACCCCATCTGGCTGGACCTGTATCTTTATTCACTAAATCTGGCATTTCTAAACCAGAAGATACTTTCTTTGGCTTCCAAGTGACATCTCAGATGCAAGAAGACAAGATCCACATTGAATGGGTGTGGGACTACCCATTTAAAAATCTAATGCCTCGGCCAGGCACGATGGCTCACACCTGTAATCCCAGCACTTTGGGAGGCCCAGGCAGGTGGATCACGAGGTCAGGAGATAGAGACCATCCTGGCTAACACGGTGAAACCCCATCTCTACTAAAAATACAAAACCTTAGCTAGGCGTGGTGGCAGGTGCCTGTAGTCCCAGCTACTCGGGAGGCTGAGGCAGGAGAATGGCGTAAGTAAACCCGGGAGGCGGAGCTTGCAGTAAGCCTAGATCACGCCACTGCACTCCAGCCTGGGTGACAGGGAGATTCAGTCTCAAAAAAAAAAATAATAATAATAATGCCTCACATTAGCTACTATGTCTCTCTCTCTTTTTTTTTTCTTTTTTCTTTTTTTTTTTTTTAAGACAGGGTCTAGCTCTGTCACCCAGGCTGGAGTGTAGGGGTGTGATCATGGCTCCCTGCAGCCTCAACCTCCCGGGCTCAAGTGATCCTCCCACCCCAGCCTCCCGAGTAGCTGGGACTACAGGCATACGCCACCACACCCAGCTAATTTTTGTATTTTATGTAGAGATGGGGCTTCACCATGCTGCCCAGGCTGGTCTCAAACACCTGGCCTCAAGCGATGCTCCCATCTCAGCCTCCCAAAGTGCTGGGATTACAGGGGTGAGCCACCATGCCCGGCCAGCAACTATGTCTTATAAGAACTTCACAGACAGTTTTAGAGTCCTTCCAAGGGACATATTTGTTACAAGAGACACAGTACTCAGGGAATCTCAAACTAAAACCTCTTAACAGAAATTTATAGTTTAACTAGTTCAGATACAGTTTACCAATCAGGGTCATTTTACCATAAGTAGGTTGTCAAGCAACAAAAGTGACATAGTTTCCTTTCTCCTTCTCCTTCTCCTACTACAACTGACCCTTGAACAACACAGGTTTGAACTGCATGGGTCCACTTATATATGAACTTTTTTCTGCCTTTGCCACCCCTGAGACAGCAAGACTAACCCCTTCTCTCCCTCTTCTTCCTCAGTCTACTGAACACGAAGATGATGAGGTGAAGACCTTTATAATGATCTACTTCCGCTTAATAAAGATATATTTTCTCTTCCTTATGATTTTAATAATGTTTTTCTTTTTTCTAGCTTTCCTCATTGTATAAATATAGTATATAATACATATAACATATAAAATATGCTAATCAACGGTTTATGTTATTGGTAAAGCTTCTCATCAAGTAGTTAAGTTCCTGGGAAGTAAAACATTATACTTAGATTTTCAACTGTGTTGGGAGGTCAGCACCTCTAACCCCCAGCTTGTTCAAGGGGGAACTGTATTACTATGATCTATTTTTTACCCATAGAACATGTCTGACACCAAATATGTGGTGTTTTTTTTTTCCCATGCCAACCTCAAATTCTCCTTCTCTCCAGAAACCAACTGGGTATCCAATAATTCAATTGAATTCAATTCTGACACTAGTTACCTGGTGTTAGTATCAGATGGCACAGTTGAAAGGGCCCAGTCCCACAAGACTGCCCACAAGACTTCAGATGCCAATCACAAGCTGAGCCTCCCATACTTCTGTCTTAATGGCTATAAACTAGGGGTTTCCACAACCCTCTCCTCAGGTTCAATAATTTGCTAGAATGGCTTGTAAAACTCAGGAAATCATTATACTGACATTTAGCAGTTTATTTATAAATGATATTATAAAGGCTACAGATGAACAGGCAGAGGACAAGGTGTGAAACGGGAGATGTGCAGAGCTCCAGTGCCCTCCCTGGGCACCCCACCCTCTCGGTGTAACTGTAGCAGATCCATTGTCCCATGTGCACAGCAAGTCAGTAGGCAGAGACACCAGGGTGCAGCAGAGAAAGAGGTTTAATTGTAGGGTCTCCGAACTAGGAGATGGGAGGAAACCTCAACTCCATCTCCCAAGCAATCTGGGGCTAGAGATTTTGTGGGCTTTTTTTTTTTTTTTGCGATGGAGTTTTGCTTGTGTCGCCCAGGCTGGAGTGCAATGGTGCCATCTCGGCTCATTGCCACCTCTGCCTCCCAGGTTCAAGCAATTCTCCCGCCTCAGCCTCCAGAGTAGCTGGGATTACAGACTCCTGCCACCATGCCCAGCTAATTTTTGTATTTTTAGTAGAGACAGGGGTTTCACCATGTTGGCCAGGCTGGTCTTGAACTCCTAACTTCAGGTGATCCACTCACCTGGACCTCCCAAAGTTTACAGGCGTGAGCCACCGTGCCCGGCCTGGGGCTAGAGATTTTAAGGGTTTTGGAGTGGGCTGAAGTGTGAAGATCATTGATTGGTTGAAGAGTGCAGGGTAAAGTCATGGGACAGAAAGATGAAGAAGCTGTATTCTCATGCTGATTCCATTTCTCTGTGGGGGTCTTCAAACTGGTTGGTTTCAGCTGTTTCACTGGAGTTTGGGATCTGAAAACATCTTAGGCAACCTTCAAACAAAAGCCATATGATTCTAACGGCGGTGATCCTGTCTATAGGAATAATGGGGGTGCAAATGGGCAGTATCTAGTGCTATTGACTTTCAGCAACAAGGAAATGAGCCAAAGTGCAGCCTGATTAAGGCTTAATTATAACGAAATTTCTGCCCAGAACTCAGCATGAAATCCTTGTCAACCCTGTGGGGATGGCTTCATCAGCCGCTCGATGTGTTTTCCAACTCAGAAGCTCTCTGAAGCCCTTTGTTTAGGGTTTTTATGGAGGTTCTATTACATAGGCGTGATTGCTTAAATCATGGGCCATTGGTGATTTACTCAATCCAGCTTTTCTCTCCCTCCCTCGGGGTGAGTAGGGCTGAAAGTTCCAATCCTCTATAATCACATGTTTGGTTCCTCTGGCAACCAGTGCCCATCCTGAAGCTATCTATGGGCTTCCAGCCACCAGTCATCTAATTAACATAATTCATGTACACTCGAAAAGAGCTTGTTGAAAATAACAAAAGATGCTCCTGTCACCTCGATTGCTCAGAAAATTCAAAGAGTTTTTAGAAGCTCTGCGCCTGGAACCAGGGATAAAAACCAGCGATTTTAACAAAAGACGCTCCTGTCACTCCTATCACTCGGGAAGTTACCAGAATTTTAGAATCTCTGTACCAGAAACTGGGGGCCTGAAGACCCAATATGTATTTCTTACTATATCACAGTATCACAGTCCTTATTAGGTTGCCAGTGGAAAAGATGTAGAAAGTTAACCAAAAGTCAAATTTTCATGTAGGAGAGAAAAGGTTTTGCTAACACTTCACCCACAAGCTTCTTTATCAACAAAGTAACTCATCATTGGAACCTGTATGCTCTATTTATATTTTCAGTATACATTAGTTGGCCAAAATTTAGGTATAAAAGTAGGGATAGCAACAAAAAAAGAAATCATTTCTTCACTTCTTTTTTTTTTTTTTTTTTTTTTGAGATGGAGTCTCACTCTGTTGCCCAGGCTGGGGTGCAGTGGTGCAATCTCGGCTCACTGCAACCTCCGCCTCCTGGGTTCAAGCAATTCTCCTGCCTCAGCCTCCCAAGTAGCTGATTACAGGCATGCACCACCACGCCCGGCTAAGTTTTGTATTTTTAGCAGAGATGGCCATGTTGGCCAGGCTGATCTTGAACTCCTGACCTTGTGATCCGCCTGCCTTGGCCTCCCAAAGTGCAGGGATTACAGGCGTGAGCCACCATGCCTGGCCGAGAAATCACTTCCGTACCAGAGCAGTTTAAATGGATGTGCCTGGCAACCTACTGTAAACCAAAAATAAAACTCTAAGCCCCCTCAACCATCTGAATGGACCCCTCTTCTTGGCCAAGGGCATTCCAAAGTTGACCTGAGAAACTATTCCGGCCATAATGGGAAATGGGTGTTGAACATGCCTCATCCTACCCTCCTCCCTTTTGGAATTACTGATAGAATGGACTCTTTAAGTCTGATAAGAAACATTTACAATCTATTCTCTCTGAAGCCTGCTACCTGGAGGCTTCACCTACATGATAAAGCCTTGGTCTCCACAACCCCTTATCTTAACCCAGATATTTCTTTCTATTGATTCTAAGTCTTTAGACAATAACTAAACTCTTTCAGAGAAATAAAAGACAAAAGAAATAATTCAACAATATTACAAAGAAATGAAGGGCATGAATTCCCAATTTCAAGGGACCCATTGAGAACCCAGCATAACAGGCAAAATAAAGATACACACCAAAGCACATTATTATTAAATTTCAGAACATTGGAGACAGAAAGGACCTAACAGAGAGGAAAATAAAATCACTGGAAAGGATAAAGAATCGGAATGGTATCTGACTTCTCAACAGCGACTCTGGTAGTAGAAGTCAATAAAGAAATGTTTTTTAAAACAAAAATGTTTTTAAGTTCACATTTTATTTAGGTTGAAATAAGCTGTACAAAATTGGTATTTCTGACCAAAAATAACAGCCATATTTTCTATCATATTTATAGATAAACCACAAAACACTTATTGTAGTCAGTTTTTCAGGTTTTGATTTTAATCTAGATAAGGAAGTAGACATAGTTATGAAAAAAGAAGAGAACAGACACATCAGCTGTCTGTATCCAGGGCTTCTGATTCTGTCTTGACCATGAAACTAAAGTGTTCCACATACACCTGATGAAAAGCTTACGACACAGGAAGACATCAGCTCAACAAAGGAATGCAAATAGCAACAAGCAGAAGGAGAACAATGATGCCAGACTCTTCCATTCAAACTTGTTCTTCTAGGATCACTTGATAAAGATCAGACCTACAATGCCACCCTTGTTGGGTGAGCTCACTGCTTCTCTCACTCTCTGGTAATTCCCATAACTGTGCATTAAAGGGTTTTTTTTGTTTTTGTTTTTGTTTTTGTTTTCTTTTGTTTTTGAGACTCTGTCGCCAGGCTGGAGTGCAGTGGTGTGATCTCGGCTCACTGCAACCTCTGCCTCCTGGGTTCAAGCGATTCTCCTGCCTCAGCCTCCCTAGTAGCTGGGACTACAGGCATGTGCCACCACGCCCAGCTAATTTTTGTATTTTTAGCAGAGATGGGGTTTCACCATGTTGGCCAGGATGGTCTCAATCTCTTGACCTTGTGATCGGCCCGCCTCGGCCTCCCAAAGTGCTGGGATTACAGGCGTGAGCCACTGTGCCTGGCCGCGTTAAAGGTTTTTAACAGTATACTTAAAAGTCCTACCAGTGAAAGGTGAGTTGTAAGATTCACTGTGACATTTTATGAAATGTATTCTTTCCTCCTACACCTACCCAAAATTTATTCCTTCAAAGTACTGATAACTAACTTAACTTCAAAGTACTGGATCCACAGTGATACTAAATGCTGTGTCTGAAATGATTTTAAAACAATTCTACCAGCCTGAGCAACAGGGCAAAAACCCATGTCTACAAAATATACAAAAGTTAGCCAGGAATGCTAGCGCATGCCTGTAGTCCCAGCTACTCAGGAGGCTGAGGTGGGAGAATCGCTTGAGCCTGGGAGATTGAGGCTGCAGTGAGCCCTGACTGTGCCATTGCACTCCAGCCTGGGTGACAGAGCAAGACCCTGTCAAAAAATAAAAAAATAAAATAAATAAATAACAATTCCAGAGTGCCAGCACCAGAGAGTATGCAGAAATGGAATTCGGCACTTGTACGTCTTCCATTTTTTCCCATAGAAGGAAACTTACTTAAAACATCCTTTTAGGGTCGGGGGTGGTGGCTCACATCTACAATCCTAGCACTTTGGGAGGCTGAGGTGGGCGGATCACTTGAGGTCAAGAGTTCAGGACCAGCCTGTCCAACATAGTGAAACTGCATCTCTACTAAAACTACAAAAAACTAGCTGGGCGTGGTGGTGCGGGCCTGTAATCCCAGCTTCTGGGGACACTGAGGCAGGAGAATCACTTGAACCTGGGAGGCGGAGGCTGCAGTGAGCCGAGATTACGCCACTGCACTCCAGGCTGCCCAACAGAGACTCTGTCTCAAAACAAACAAACAAAAAATAAAATTAAATAAGCATCCTTTGAGGTATTCTTACTGATTTCTGAATCACTTGTAGGAAGTTCTTACTTGCTGTATAGTTTGATATGTGCACCTACAGTTAAATCCAGATCATGTTTTATATCAAAATTTATGTTAAGTAAAACCAAGTTATTTAACCTTTGGTCTGTCAAAGTTTTCCTCAGCTATAATTTGAGATGCTTTCATTTATTTTCATAGTGCTCATTCTCAATCTTCATTATAGGAAGAATACACAGGACTTTCAACAATGTGTACACATTAGGGAGTTTTACTGATGTCAGGCAGACAGAGGGCTTCAAAAATGCCAATAGAAGCTCTGCCTCTTTCTGTCTGTGTTTCTACTTGATTCTCCAACAATGAAATTGGCTGAGAGCATGTTCAGATTGGCTCAGTCACTTCAGTAAAAGTCAGCTTAGTGTTTCTCCGATGTGTCAAATTTGAGCTGTCCCATGACAGAAGGTGCCAGAGATCAGCATTTGCGAGCTATGAGACCCTGTTCTGAGAATAAATCTTCAAGTTCCAGAGTAATGCGCTGCACTGTTGGAACACACAGAGATTCCTTATAGTAACTCTCAGAGGTTAGTTGAGATTCTAGGTTACCTTGCTGAGCTCTGCAGAATTTCCCAGAGACTTTTATTTGAATATCAAGATTGGTTATCAAATTCATGCCTTCCCCAAATTCATGATAAGTTTTAATATTTTCCAATACTTCATTAGTGATACGATACCACCATGAAGCTGCTGGCTGCAAAGAAAACATCAGAGATTTTCCCCTAGAGATTTTTTTCCCAAAGCCTCTTGTAAGATAAGACATTTTTAAGAACATTTATAAAAATGAAATCAAGGCCGGGAGTGATGGCGCTCACCTGTAGTCCTAGCACTTTGCGAGGCCAATGTGGGAGGATCACTTGAGCCCAGGGGTTTGAGAGCAGCCTGGCCAATCATAGTGAGACTCTGTCTCTATTAATTAAAAAAAAAAAAGAAAGAAATTAAAATACATTAATGCACTGCAGAATACAAATGCTCAGCCAGCTACACAGTTATGTCATCTGAGACTTGTCTCACTATTTATATATTTATATCTCTAAACATAAAACAAATGCTGGCAGGAGATCCAGTAAAATTTCAAAAGCATCATGTCTATCTGTCCATTGAGAATGAAAAATTGCCTTCAGTTCATTATTCCTTTCTTTGTTGTTCTGAGAAAGGACAGAAATTACATAGTCAAGTCCTAAAAGTAGTTGTGGTGAAGAATGAATAAAAGAACAAACTTCCTCAGTCCTTCATAATACAACAGATATCCCCATAATAGGCACTGATTTTGCCAACCACATATTTAATTTTTAATTTTTTAATTTTAATTTTTTATTTGTTGAGACAGTCTCGATCTGTTGCCCAGGCTAGAGTGCAGTGGCACAATCTTGGCTTATGGCAACCTCCGCCTCCCGAGTTCAAGTGGTTCTCCTGTCTCAGCCTCCCCAGTAGCTGGGATTACAGGCGATTGCCACACACCCAGCTAATTTTTATATTTTCACGCCCAGCGGGGTTTCACCATGTTCACCAGGTTGGTCTCGAACTTCTGACCTTAAGTGATCCTCCCGCCTCGGTCCCCCAAAGTGTGGGATTACAAGCGTAAGCCACCATGCCTGGCCTGCCAACCACATATTTAAGGCACAGGAAGAGCAGAATGTGTAGATAGTTTGGGGATATTTCAGTTAAAAATCTTGAAGCAGCAACCTCCATTTTTGAAGAAAATCTATTGGCCATATTGTACATCTGGCCACAACAGCACTCCACATTTAGCCCCACTTCCCGATTTTTGTAGTGTGAGATCACACAACCAAAATGTCTGCTTCAGCTTCACAAGGAAGACACTCACATATTTCTCTGTCGGGTAAGAGACTCATCAATAAACCTCTCCACTCCGGGCTGGTGTTCTTTCTCTGCTATGTCCACCACAGCATCAGTGATCACAGAAAAGAAGTATGATCCCTCACTTCCTGGGGCTTTCTTCCCAAAAGCAGCTCTCACAGATCTCTAGCAGCTGTTCCTGCTGTTTTCCAACAGAACAGCTGGAAAGACGCTGTTGCCTCAAAGGGTTTTCTCAGGACCTTGTCACCAGAATTTATCTGGTACCTTAGCGGTGTTTGAAAGATATCAGGAGTAAAGAGATATTCCCAGATTTAATCAAACTCATGTGCATCCAGAGGTAGGTTTTGTTTTCTCAAAAGAATAAACATTTAAATAAAGATTTTTGGTATTATTTGTTTTTCTTCTCTTCAGGGATTAAAAGTAAAATGTTTTCACCTTGTTCCTCACTCTCTTTTACTACATTGAGCTTCTGAGTCTTGCTGTCGTGTGTTTCTTTATGTTTTTGTTCCTGTTCAGAAGTTTTATCAATATTTTTTGTTTTAATTTTGTTTCAGTGTCCTGATTTCATCTTCACTTAATTCTTTTTGATTGACTACTACACTGGAGTGTTTTTTTATTCATCTGAACAAGATATTACAAGTTCCTTTAAATAGATGACATTTGAAAAGCATAAATTGGCTTCTCTGCCCACCCTCACCCTTCAACTGTCAGCGTATCCTCATTCTTCTTGGATGCAGGACAAGAGTTCGGGTACGAGTTATAATACAGGTGGGCTGTCTGCTGGGGCGCACCCGGTCCAGCCTCCTCAGGCTGAGCCGGTATGCAAGCCAGACTTGGCTGGGGCAGACCAAGTGGGTGGGGTGCCTCCAGCAGCAGGTAGCATGGCCAACGGAGGTCCAGGCTGGGGAGTGGTACGTCGCTGGCCGGAGATCCCGGCTGGCAAAGTGACCAAGAAAAAAATATTGTGTCAATATCATCTGGAGGTAAGAAAATATTACACATTCACAGACGCATAAAAGTATATCCAGACCCAGATAGAAAGCTTACAGTTTTAATTTTAAAATTTTAACCAGTTATATTTCATCCAAGCAGAAATACAAAAATCACTGAAGCAATTCTCCCCCAATTGAGTACAAATTCTTAATAGATTTGATTCAAAAAATACAAAATAGACAAACAGGAAAAAAGGAACAAACTGCTGTTTTTCACCTTCAGAGACAAGATTTCTATAAACCATTTAATTAGTTAATAAAGTCCACCAAAAAATAAAAATAAAAAACAAAAAGCATAACTTGTTTTTGAAAAAAAGGCATAAATATTTTCAATTGAATTATTTGACTCCAACTTTCTTTTCTGAGATTTTTAGCCTTCTTTGTGTGCTCTTAGATTTTTAGTGAGTCCCTGTTCTAGTTATCTATTGCTGCAAAACAAACCACACTTCTATACCTAGCAACATGAACACAACAATTTTATTATCCTTATGGAATTCAGATAGGGCATGGTGTGGATGTTTTGTCTCTGCTCCATGATTTCCAGGGCCTCAGCTGGGACGACTCAAATGCTGAGGGGTGGCTTGAAAGGCTGGAAATGGAACCATCTGGAGCCTTCTTCACTCACAGATCCGGTGCCTGGGCTGGGATGACATGAAGGCTAGGCTTAGCTGTGGCTGCTGACCACAGAACTTGCATATGGCCTCTCTCTATGGCTTGAGCTTCCTGCAGAATGTTGGCCAGGCTCCAAGAGGGAGCTTCCCAAGAGAGAAGGTTCCCAGAGATCCAGGCAAAAGCTGCATGGCCTTTTATAGCCTAGTCTCAGAAATCACAAAGCATCTCTTCTTCCACACTCTGTTGCAGGGATCAGCAAACTATGGCCCAATGCCAAATCCATCTGCGATGTCTTTTTTTAAAATAAAGTTTTGTCTGGGTGTGATGGCTCACGCCTGTAATCCCAGCACTTTGGGAGGCTGAGGTGGGCAGATTATGAGGTTAGGAGTTCAAGACCAGCCTGGCCAACATGGTGAAACCCTGCCTCTACTAAAAATACAAAAATTAGCTGGGCATGGTGGCGTGTGCCTGTAATCCCAGCTACTCAGGAGGCTGAGGCAGGAGAATCACTTGAACCTGGGAGGCAGAGGTTGCAGTGAGCCGAGATCGCACCACTGCACTTTAGCCTGGGCAACAGAGTGAGACTCCATCTCAAAAACAAGAAATAACAATAAAATAAAAAAATAAAGTTTTATGGGAACATAGCATGTTTAATCATTTATGTACTTTCACACTACAATGGCAGAACGAATTAGTTGCAGTAGAAATCATATAGTTTGCAGTCTAAAATGTTTGCTGTCTGGCTCTTTACAGAAATAGTTTGCAGAGCCCTGCTCTATTGGTTAAAGCAATCACAAGCCTGCTCAGTGCCAAGGGGAAGGAATAGACCCCACCCTTGGTGGGAGGTGTGTCAAAAAATGTGCAGTCATTAAAAAAAAAAAGAATCACCACACTTCCTGTTTGCCTCATATTTTTATTCTTGTTTGGTTTTTTAACTTTGTAAGCTACTTATAAGAGCTCTTCTAACTATTTGAATGTACGCTAAAGTCATTTCGGTTAAGAGAAAGTTAAAAAATGGAAGTCAATTATGTTATTTCAAGTTGTAGTCTTTTGAAACTTCCCAATGTCAGCCCCTTTAGGTAAATATTTGGTTAATAATTCTTCCAAAGAAAGGTTAGAAAGGTTAACTTTTGTTCAGAGTTAAAGGACAAAGAAGACCTTTATTTTAGTTCCTTAAAAAAAAATAGTTCCTTAAAAAAAAGAAAAGAAAGAAAAAAGGGCTGGGCACGGTGGCTCACGCCTGTAATCCCAGCACTTTGGGAGGCTGAGGTGGGCAGATCACGAGGTCAGGAGTTTGAGACCAGCCTGACAGACATGGTGAAACCCCGTCTCTACTAAAAATAGAAAAATTAGCTGGTCAAGGTGGCACGCTCCTGTAATCCCAGCTACTCGGGAGGCTGAGGCAGAAGAATCACTTAAATCCAGGAGGCAGAGGTTGCAGTGAGCTGAAATCAATCCACTGAACTTCAGCCTGGGTGACAGAGCAAGACTCTGTCTCAAAAAAAAAAAAAAAAAAAAAAGTAAATGGTAAATGGTAAACACTTGTTGAAACAGTTAAGCCTCTCACCTGGTCAACAAGTTTCAGGTTATATAAATCATTCCCTATTGATGAACATTTTTATTTAAACATGCTATATTGGTACTATTTTAATTAAATCCCCAATTTCCTCATCTGTACAGTGAAGGAGTTGAGTAGGCAGTGGTTTTTAACTCTGGTTACATATTTAAATCATGGGAGCCGAGACCCCATCCTAGATAATCAAATAAGACCTCTGGAGATGGGGCCACTACAGATTTTAAAACCTCCTCAAATGATTTTAATATACAGCCGGGGCAGAGAAATATGTGGCTAGGTGACTGTAGGCTCTTTCCAGAGGGTGAAATTCTGTGAACGTAAGGGCGATGTGAAAATGGGAAATTTTCCCATATTTGCTGCTTATACTACTAAGAACATTATTTGGAATGACTGTTTGTATGTTTTAATACAGTAACCAGCATGACTTCAACATCTCATGGTCATTTGAACTACCTGAGTTAGCCAGAACCTAAGTCAAATGTTTCAATTTTCACATATCTTTTGATCTACTAATTATTTCTGTCATTCTATACTATACGTTTACTCTGAAATAGACCCTGTGTTTTATTTGTTCGTTAATGAACTGCTACTATGGCATCATTTTCGGTATGACATTGACATGTGTCTGTAAATACGTATTAACATTGTGTTTCTCGAACAAGTGTGCCCTTACATCACTTGGGGAATCTTGTTAAAATTAAAATTCTTATTCAGTAGATCTAGGGTGAGAATCTGGCCTAAGAATCTGCATTTTTTTTCCCTTATCGTTACCTACAGAGGATCTGCATTTCTAACAAGCTCCTAAATTATGTTGATGCTATCTGTCTACCATCCATGCACTACAGCTTGCGCAGCAAGGCATTAACAGATCCATCCAGACTGATGTAACTCAGAACTGCAAGTCAGCCTCAGCATTAATTGAGGAAAAGAATAGGGTCACAGGAAAAAGAAGGGGTGCTAGAGTCATTAAAAATTTTTATGCTTTGCATAATGGCACCTCTTTTTTTATTTTTTAAAAGAAATAACCCATTGAGAAAACTATAGAACTTTGTCACTGGTTCTTTCCATAGGTTTCATCAATTATTTTCTTCAGCCGTGTGACACCTGTCGTCTACAGTATAGGCTCATGCACTGGATATTTCTAAAGGCAGATTTAGCAGCTGAGAGCCCATTTCATTAGTATGATATAGTGGGAAAATGCACTGGACTGGATTTTAGAAGACCTGAGTTCTTGTCTTTATCACTTTTTGATTGTGTGACCTTGGGCAGGTCACTTAATCTCATTGAGCCTCAGTCTTGTCTTTAAAGCTAGGCTAGTAATCCCTGTCTACCATACAAAGTATTAAGAAGAGCAAATAAGATAGCTGTGAAAGTGCTTTGTAAATTACAAAGTTACTTAGACGTGTAAGTTATTATCATTATTGTCCATGTGGTACTGACTGAAGGCCTACGTGTAAAAACACATTGGCTCTTGATGCTGTTAACCCTCAACTTCCTTTATCAGTAGAAGGAGGTTTAGCAAGAATTAGATGATGAATAAGCCACATGGAATCTTTCTCTGTCTGGGTTCAAAGAATGAAAGAATCAAAGAATGAAAAGATGGAGTCTTAAGAGTCAGAGAAAGGCAGGGCTTGGTGGCTTATGCCTGTAATCCCAGCACTTTGAAGAGGCTGAGGCAGGCAGATCATCTGAGGTCAGGAGTTCGAGACCAGCCTGGCCAACATGGCGAAACCCTGTCTCTACTAAAAATACAAAAAAATGAACTGGACATGGTGGCATGAACCTGTAGTCCCAGCTACTCAGGAGGCTGAAGCATAAGAATCGCTTAAACCCAGGAGGTGGAAGTTACAGTGAGCCGAGATTGCACCACTGCACTCCAGCGTGGGTGACAGAGCAAGACTGTCTCAAAAAAAAAAAAAAAAAAAAAAAAGAATCCTGGGGAGAAATGGTTAATTCAAATTTCCTTATTCATGTGTATTATATACTTGACCATTGTTTCCTTTCCAATTCCTTGTCTGGCATTGGAAAACACCAGTGATGTTGATGGGAAGGTCTATGCAACTGCTTGTGAATAAAAGCCAATTTTGAATTAAAAAAAAAAAACAGAAGAAAAAACCAGGTTTCTCTGATCCGTTCACATAACTCAGTGTAGAGGAATAGTTAATACCATGTCTTTCCTTCACTCTGTAGAATGCTTGCTGTAGACTGGTAATTTACTATCATGGTTATTGAGCAAACAAAGAGGCTTGGCTTTCATTACAATAGAGGAAGAAAAATACTGGTGTGGAAAGAAACATATTTGGCCAGGAGCAGTGACTTATGCCTGTAATTCTACTACTTTGGGAGTCTGAGGTGGGAGGATCACTTAAGCCCAGGAGTTGGAAACCAACCTGGGCAACATGGGGAAACCCTGCCTTTACAAAATATACAAAAAATTAGCTGGGCATGGCGGTGCGTGCCTGTAGTTCCAGCTACTCGGGAGGCTAACGCGGGAGGATCACTTGAGCCTAGGAGGTTAAGGCTGCAGTGAGCTGTGATCGCGCCGCTGTACTTCAGCCTGGGTGACAGAGTGAGACACTGTCTCAGAAAAACAAAAGGAAAGAAAAAAACTGATTTAGCTTTTGTGGTTGGATAAAAAGTCTACATGATGAGATAGCTAGTGAGTCCATAAATCATCTCAGGGTGGTAGTCTGCAAGTGGGAAATTGAGTTAACTTTCTTGTGGGTATGGCAAATAGCTTTTTAAAATTTATTTATTTATTTTTTGAGACAGAGTCTCGCTCCGTCGCCCAGGCTGGAGTGCAGTGGCGCGATCTCAGCTCACTGCAAGCTCCGCCTCCCGGGTTCACGCCATTCTCCTGCCTTAGACTCCGAGTAGCTGGGACTACAGGCGCCCGCCACCACGCCCGGCTAAATTTTTTTTTGTATTTTTAGTAGAGACGGGGTTTCACCGTGTTAGCCAGGATGGTCTCGATCTCCTGACCTCGTGATCCGCCCGCCTCGGCCTCCCAAAGTGCTGGGATTACAGGCGTGAGCCACCGCGCCCGGCCGCTAATTTTTTTTTATTAGTTAACCTCAGATATTTTCATAAACACGTTTCAGAGTCCCCCAGACTCTGTTCTGGATGAATATAGAAACTTTTTTGATAAGTTTCTTGTAAGAAATTTCCACAATGGCAGAAATTCATCCCTACTGTTCAGTTCACCTGAGGCCGGTGATCCACTACCTGATTTTCCAAATTCAGGTTCCACACTCAAATAACTTGCTCCTTCTATCTCTGGGGTTGTTTCATGAGCAGAGCAGCCAGTGTTCTTCAATCTGTGGTTGCCCACATCCTGACCCTGATAATCTTTCTTGTTAGCAGACAGAGATGCCTCTACTGACCTGTGCATACATTGCAGACTGATACTCTCTGAAATCAACCCATGATGGCTGGTGACTTTGCTATCATTGCAGGAAGTGTGATGGGTGCTTTGTGTATTTTGTGATAAGAACGACTTGTTAAGCTTTGAGTGAAAGCCAGAGCCTCAGACACCGTTCCACTGAGAAAACTTGAGACTTCTAATATAACATATCAGGCATGTGATATGGTTATTTACCTGTCTTTTCCAGAGTATTGAATCTGGAACATGTATGTAGGAATTTCCTTACCAGTTTTAGTTTTAACAAGCACTTTTTTTTTTTTTTTTTTTTTTAGAGGTAGGGTCTTACTTTGTTGTCCAGGCTGGAGTGCAGCATTGTAATCATGGCTCACTGCAGCCTCAAATTCCTGGGCTCAGGTGATCCTTCCACTTCAGCCTCCCAAGTAGCTAGGACTGCAGGCATATGTCACCACATCTGGCTTTTTTCTTTTCTTTTCTTTTCTTGTAGAGACTTGATATGTTACCTCGGCTGGTCTCTAACTCCTGGCCTCAAGCATTCCTTCAGCTTCTGCTTCCCCAAGTATTGGGATTACAGGTATGAGCCATTGTGCCCAGCCTTAATAAGCACTTTGACCCTTTGGGGAAGACCAAGGTAAAAGCATGAGAACCCCAGGAGAATTTCCTATTGAATTTCTAGAAATAAGTACCCTAATTATGGTGTAATTTTCATCTAATCTAATTTATCCCTGGGAACGTTGCCTGAGTATGACCAGCTATTCTTAAGGAAGCCTGACTTTCTAGTGCAGTGTATTCCAGAAGCCACCATCATAAGGATGTTAGAGAACCCCTTCAGTATCCTTGGCCCGCCATTCAGTCCGAATTTTAGGGGGAGGCTGGGGAGTGCTAGTCTGTCCGCAAGCTTGAGGTTGGCTCAGGGATCTCTTAAACCTTCAGAGTAGACCCAGAGGATTGGCCTTTGGTTAAGAGGTTCTGTTTGGTCTTGTGTTAGCTATTAAAGAGAATTCCAGGGTGACAGTATATCGGGTACTCTAGGTTACCCGAGCATTTTTTTCCTTTAAAGAATTCCAGAGCATTCAGTTTGACTCAGAATATTTGGAGCTTAATTAAAGCAAAAGCAGACCTTTCCTGGGGTAGCCGTGGGCTAGAATAGTTTACCCCATCTCCACCTCTGTCATCCTGCAGTCTCCTGAAGATTCACTGAGGTTCAATGTGGGTTACCCAAGGACTTATGTACGTTCCAAGGATGACGAAAGATGCAGAGCCAGCTGTAGCAGTGCTTATCTTTAATGCCACTAGTTAAATTTTACGCACGCCGTGGCTCATGCCTGTCATCCCAGCACTTTGGGAAGCCAAGGTGGGTGGATCACCTGAGGTCAGGAGTTCAAGACTAGTCTGGCTAACGTGGTGAAACCCCGTCTCTACTAAAAATACAAAAAATTAGCCGGGCACGGTGGCACTCGCCTGTAATCCCAGCTACTGGGGAGGCTGAGGCAGGAGTATTGCTTGAACCTGGGAGGCAGGGGTTGCAGTGAGCCCAGATCGCGCCATTGCACTCCAGCCTGGGCAACAAGAGTGAAACTGTATCTCAAAAAAAAAAAAAAAAAATTTTTACTCTACCCAAATAAACAGAATAAACAAGCATCACTGTGCACCATTTGTGAGGTCAATATTCCCATTGCCTAAAATAAAACTTCACTCTTGCTTGATATGCTGATACTAGGAGGGATATGACAAGGCTCAGATATACTGGTAGGGGATACTTCAAGAAAACGTATTGAAATAATGTCTTTTAAATTTTATAAAATAAAATAAAGCTTGTCCATTTTTTTCTGTTCTTATATTTATTGAGCTCAATCCCAGTTTATTTTCAGAAGTCATCTCAGACATAGTAGTGGGTGCCAGAGCATTCCCACCAACCAGGAATTCCATGTATATATGGATGTATTTATCTCCTCCCTTACCCACTGTACCTTAGAACCAACCAAGAATTTCAGCATAATAAACCGATCTTTATCACACTGTCCTTGTAGATTGACTTCAGCCTTTAAACTGACTGTACTTTGAGCCCTTACCTTATCAAAACGGATTTACCTAGAAGTGGAAGAGTCCAAATTAAGGATAAAAAGTCAGCCAATGGTAAAGGAATATAGTAGCTTCCACATCCCACTTCACATTTGCATCCCATTATAATAAAATGGTTCTTTTTTGACACAGCCCCTCTGACATTTTGACGTATTCTTCTTTGGGTAGAGTCCTCTCTTTCTATTATTCCTAGAATAATCTTCATTTTTGTCAGATAATGGGCCCTGAATTTTACTACATTTTTTTTTTTTTTGAGACGGAGTCTCACTCTGTCGCCCAGGCTGGAGTGCAGTGGCACGATCTCGGCTTACTGCAAGCTCCGCCTCCTGGGTTCAGGCCATTCTCCTGCCTGAGCCTCCCGAGTAGCTGGGACTACAGGTGCCTGCAATTACTCCCAGCTAATTTTTTTGTAATTTTAGTAGAGACAGGGTTTCACCACATTAGCCAGGATGGTCTCGATCTCCTGACCTTGTGATCCACCCGCCTCGGCCTCCCAAAGTGCTAGGATTACAGCGTGAGCCACCGCGCTCAGCAATTCTACTACTTTTTCCCAACTTTAATGTATAGGGTATTGCAGGGTTTTCTAGCTGAGTTGTTTGTAAGCCCATTGACTCTTAACAGTTTTCAGAAAATGTGCAATAAAAATAATTTCTAACACTAACAATAGCAAGGCACAGAATCTCCTCGAAGCTGCAACCAATGCAGCATCAATCCTGTCCTCCAGCAGCTGAGATACTGGGGACTGAATTTCTCTGAATAAGCTTGTCATCCATCAGCATCTGTCTCATTATAAGAATAAACATCTCTCTGGAGTAGAAGAATGGGCAGGAAATGAATAACAGTACTCTTCTATAAGTAGTCTACCTGCAGAAGCATACAAAGGTGCATCTATACCAGCCTGTGTTAAGAGTAAAATATGGAAGAGAACAACATAATCCCCTCCAATGTGGCATAGAAGCCACACAGGATTGTTTCGATGTGAAGACAGATCTCAGGGTTTCTTTCTGCCTTGATATTTCTGAAGCCTATGTTGTTAAAATTAGCTTTCTTAGTCTCTTTTTCACTATTGCTATTGTCTCATTAAAGTAGCTTGTTTGTAAGAGTCTTGCAGAGTCCACAAAAAGCCTAAAATTGCTGTAGCACAAATAAATATAGAAGTTATAGTAAAATCTAGAAAACTACCTAGTGTATTGTAATTTCTTAAGCTGTAAGTAATTATTAGTAACGAAGGATTTATGGGATTCGAGAAGATGGAATCTCACAAATGCCAAACCAACTGTTTGATTTCACAGACAAGATTGATGGCAACTGGGAAGTTAAACTTTAATTATAGTGAGTAATTTTATTCTTCCGTATTTTAGCAAAGCTTCTATAAAAAGGCTTACTAATTTGAATTTTAATTCTTTTCCTTGTTTCAGGCCTGCTGAAGGTGATAATGAGCGCCAAAATTTTCACAAGTAAGTAGAGGGCAAAGAGAAAGAAAAAAGGAAATTGCCACAGCCCTGATAGCCAGCTCTTTAGAACTGATAATACATTCCTTTCCTAGTCAATCCATTCCTTCCCAGAGAATTGGGGATTCTATTGGCTTCAAAAGCATCACATGATAATTTTCAAATTTATAGGGTAAGAAAAGATCAGTTTCCCTAGACTGCCAATAAAGGACAGAGTTGCTATTCTTATCTCTGGTCGTTTCCCATCCCTTGATCTGTGTTTTTCTTAAGTATTTTGCATACAATTAAGATGATAGAGAGGCTTTGGGTGAGAAGAACAAAACTTCTCACTTATATTTTCTCTTTTTCAGGTAAGAACAGAAGTCATCACAACCTTTGTTCTCTGTAGATTCGCCAATCTGTACTCCATTGGGATCATGTTAGAAGACCTCGGTGAATACATGACCAAACTCCCTACTTCTCTTTTCTCCTTTTAAACCTCTGTAGGAATACAAACAATTTTAGAAATGAGAATATTTAGTTATGGAAAAAGTGAAGACCTTGGTGGGAAGTTTGTTTCTATAGAATGAAAAGCATGAATTCTAAATTTATAAAAATTAGTAGGAACCGGAGCTGGACGCAGTGGCTCACGCCTGTAATCCCAGCACTTTGGGAAGCTGAGGTGGGTGGATCACATGAGGTCGGGAGCTCGAGACCAGCCTGACCAACATGGAGAAACCCCATCTCTACTTAAAATACAAAATTAGCTGGGCGTGGTGGCATATGCCTGTAATACCAGCTACTTGGGAGGCTGAGGCAGGAGAATGGCTTGAACCCAGGAGGCAGAGGTTGTGGTGAGCAAGATCACATCCGTGCACTCCACCCTGGGCAACGAGAACAAAACTCCGTCTCAAAAAAAAAAAAAAAATTAGTAGGAACCAGGGAAATAGAAATAGGAACAGTGTGAATTCCCTATAAACTTCGTAATCAGATGAGTATAGGATTTGTAATGGAAAGGTGGAACAAAAGGATGTTTCTTAAGAATACATGTTATTCTTCATTGAAAGTTTTTGTTTGTTTGTTTTTTGGTTTTTGGTTTTTGTTCTGAGACAGGGTCTCGCTCTGTTACCCAGGCTGGAGTGCAGTGGTGCAATCTCAGCTCACTGCAACCTCCACATCCTGGGTTCAAGCAATTCTCCCACCTCAGCCTCCTTAGTAGCTGGGACTACAGGCATGTGCCACCAAGCCCAGCTAACATTTTTGTATTTTTAGTAGAGAGGGGTTTCACCATGTTGGCCAGACTGGTCTCAAACTCCTGACCTCAGGTGACCTGCCTGCCTCTGCCTCACAAAGTGCTGGGATTACAGGGGTGAACCACTGCACCCAGCCGATTGAAAGTTTTAAGTTATGTACCCTTTAAGTTAAGGAAGATTGACAATCAGAAGACAAACAAGTAAGGAAGAGATAGGAGTTAGATGTTCGGAAGGAATACAACAGGTTTGGACTTTTGCTATCTCATGATAGGTTTTGGCTTAGATTTGCAAAGCTAGCATTCCAAAAGTTGTTTCATTTCCACCTAGGTATTACTTAATCTACCACTAGATGCCATTCTCACAGATAATGGTTAACTGGGTCAAAGATTGGCATGCTTTTGATTTTCTTTTTCAAATAATATTCTGCTAAAGAAGCTAAACATAATTAATTCCTAGAATTATCTCTAAATTGAATTATACACATTAGAAGTGCTTTCAAAGAATATATACTTGGTTATAATTAATTACATCCTATACTTATTCTCAAATACTATAATCATTGCTTATTCTACTGTTATCCTGCTTACTTCATTTTATCTAAAAATTATTTTAGATGGAGTCTTGCTCTGTCTCCCAGGCTGGAGTGCAGTGGTGCAATCCCGGCTCACTGCAACCTCCACCTCCCAGGTTCAAGTGGTTCTCTTACCTCAGGCTCGCGAGTAGCTGGGATTACAGGTGCATGCTACCATGCCCAGCTAATTTTTGTATTTTTAGTAGAGATGGGGTTTTGCCATATTGGCCAGACTGGTTTCAAACTCCTGACCTCAGATGACTCACCCGCCTAAGCCTCCCAAAGTGCTGAGATTACAGGCGTGAGCCACTGTGCCTGGCCCATTTTATCCAAATCTTAAGGAGAGGAAAATTTTCAAATTTACCAAGGACTATTCATGAATTTGGTCTTCTAAGGGCCCAAGCCAGAGTTCTGGGATCTTCACCAGCTTTGTCAGGTATCAAAACCTCTCATTTCTTTCACTGAGGCTTTAACAGTGCTAGGCTGGTATCTGCTAAGCTTGAATAAGCTTTAGGGAACCTTCTCAGTGCACCTGATTATGTCCTTGAGTCTCAGAGATTTTTTGCTTCCTGAGCTGAAGAAGAAATAGAGGAACACTCCTTCTTGACTACCTTGATGTTTAATTTTATGTGTCAACTTGGCTAGGCTAAGGTGCATGGTTGTTTGGTCAAACACCAGTCTAGATGTTGCTGTGAAGGTATTTTTAAAATAAATCAGTAGACTTTGAATGAAGCAGATCATCCTCCATAATGTGAGCAGATCTCATCCAATCCACTGAAGGCCTTAGGAGAAAAGACTGAGGTTTCCTGAAGAAGAAATTCTCTTAAGACTGCAACATAGAAACCCTGCCAGAGTTGCTGGGCACAGTGGCGCAGGCCTGTAATCCCAGCACTTTGGGAGGCCAAGGTGGGTGGATCACCTGAGGTCAGGAGTTTGAGACCAGCCTGGCCAACATGGTGAAACCCCATCTGTATTAAAAATAAAAAATTATCCAGGCGTGGTGGCAGGCCCCTGTAATCCCAGCTACTCGGGAGACTGAGGCAGGAGAATTGCTTGAATTAGGGTGGTGGAGGTTGCAGTGAGCCAAGATCATGCCACTGCACTCCAGCCTGGGTGACAGAGTGAGACTCTGTCTCCCCCACCCCCACCAAAAAAAAAAAAAAAAAAAAAAAAATGAAACCCTGCCAGAGTTCCTAGCCTGCCCGGTCTGCCCAGTCTGCTCTATAGACTTTGGACTCAAGCCTGCAAGCCTCACCTCTTACCTGAATTTTCAGTCTGCTGACCTGCTCTGCAAATTTTAGACTTGCCAGCTCCCAGAATTACATGAGCCACTTCCTGAAAATCTCTCTCTCTCTCTCTCTCTCTCTCTCTCTCTCTCTCTCTCTATATATATATATATATATATATATGTATATACACACACACATACATGCAATGTGTAGGTAGATGCATAGATCTCCTATTGGTTCTGTTATTCTGGAGAACTGTGACTAATACAACTTTTCTAATAAGAAAGTTATTCCTCTATCTTTACTTTCCGCATTTTTTCTATTTGGGACTAGCATTTGTAATTTGCATCAAATACTTGTATTTATTTACAAGCATTACTTCATGAGCTCATGAAGCTCTGATATATTTCTATTGTGCTGCTTCTTATTTTTATTGGAGAACCTTATCATCCATTTATCTTCATAAAAAGAGAACATTTCAAAATTACATTCAATAGAAAGTAATGTTATAGCAGAAATACAAAGTGAAATCTCCATACTTTGTTAAAAATTTTTTTCAGATGGAACTCTTAAAAACATTTTAAGTCCTTGAGTGTATCTACTGGATAATATTCATTTCCTTTTTTTTTTTTTAAATATAGTTAACTATATTTAGTGGATTATGGGTGGAGAAGAAGGATATTTGAATATTTAAGACACAAAAGACAAGATTGATACCAAGACTGACAACACAGAACAAATGCCAATTTACAGGAGAGAAGGTAGAGATGTTAATAGTGATAAATTAAGAATCCTTTGGAACTTTTTCATAATAGGCTGGTAGTATATAGAATACATGACTACCTCAAGCTCCTTTCTCCTAATCTCTCTTGTTGCCTGTAGCTTCAAAAGTGTCCCACCGGGAGAGTGACTTTTCCAAGACTGTCATGGGTATCTTTCTCACTGGGGCTTGTGCTTCCCAATGCTTGTGTGGCAGGTAGGTGCTTCTTTGAGTCTTGGTGACAGAAACACATAGAAATATGATTTAGTCCTTTAAGGAATAAAAAGGAACCCATCCAGTTTTCAAGGGGGAAAAAAGTTCAAAACAATCAGAAACTTTTTTTTTTTTTTTTGTACCCAAAGCAAAACTTACTCAGGCTTTTTGGAGCGGGGAAAAAAAAAAAGAAAAGAAAAGTAGACAATATGCTTCTTATCTTTGAAGAAATTACGGATGGGTAGATGGGTTAATTTTAAAAAGGAGAAGACACATGCTACTATTTAAAGAAGCCCCAGAAAGACTTAAACTTGAAATCCGCGCTGTGGCAGCAGCTTTCCTCATTACCCTCATTCTTAGGCATCTTCTATGTCCCCAGAGGAATTGAAGTCAACTCTGTTTTTTTATTCAGTACAGTGTCCAGCAGCAACTATGACAACTATGTGTGCTGCAAAGAATTTTTCCAGAGGTGGGTGTCTCCAGGGCCACAGAGTTCCCTCTCAGTACTTTACAGGGGAAGTTATTCTCTACTCTACACTTGAAAGTAGAGAAGAAAAGAAACACGTGTGAAAGTATTTGGAAGTGCATAAGTGGTGTGTGTAAAGGGGAATGTCATGTTCAGCCTTGTGTTTTTCCTTCCTTCTTCCTACTGGAACCCGTTTGAGTCTTTGTTACCCAGTTAGTAGAAGCTGTAGATCTGAGTAGAAGTTTTCTTGTTTGTCAAAAGAGCATTACCACTAGTGGTTGAGAGGGTGCATTTCCAGAGAGAAAGAGGGGGCAGCAGCCCTTTTGCAACTTTTAAACAGCGATGAGAATTCTGGCCCTTTGTCTTTAAGCATTATATTAAGCAGACTTTGACGTTTTTGTTTGAGCATTTTACTCAACATTACTAACCCCTTTTCCTTCTCTGGTCCCTGGGAAAACATGGACTACCATGCAAAAGCTCCTACCAAATGCTGTGGCATCTTCAATCACAGTTCCTGCCCACCACAAGCAGGCCAAGTCCCTGAGCCACACACCTGAATTGATAAATCTTCTATAGAAGCATAGATTGGGCATCCTTTGCTTGTCTCCAGCTTCTCTGCATTGCACCGTTTTGCTACATACCATGAGAATGACTCAACCTCTTGCACGCTCAAGTACCTGACTTTGAGCAGTTACCTTTCCTAAGTGAAAAGTGAGCATCTGAAAAGAGATCACTTGCTTTAGAAATATATTAAAGATGCCTGTTGTGCGGTGGGGGGAGGGGGGAGGGATAGCATTAGGAGATATACCTAATGAAAATGACGAGTTAATGGGTGCAGCACACCAACATGGCACATGTATACATACATAACAAACCTGCACGTTGTGCACATGTACCCTAGAACTTAAAGTATAATGAAAAAAAAAAAAAAGAAATATATTAAAGATGGGTTTCCCTATAAAGAATGACTCCAAAACATGAGAGATGGTCCATCTGAATAAATCCTTAAGTGAAATAAAGACCATGATAGACATTACTGATGCTGGTATACTTTGGACAAATGAATCCGGGGAACAGAAGAAACAACATGGACCTGGGCGCAGAGGCTCACACCTGTAATCCCAGCACTTTGGGAGGCCGAAGCAGGTGGATCAGGAGTTCGAGGCCAGGAGTTCGAGATCAGCCTGGCCAACATGGTGAAACCTCGTCTCCACTAAAAATGCAAAAAATGAGCCGGGTGTGGTGGCGTGTGCCTGTAGTCTTGGCTGCTCAGGAGGCTGAGGCACAAGAATCGCTTGAACCCAGGAGGTGGAGGCTGCAGTGAGCCAAAATCATGCCACTGTACTCTAGCCTAGGGTGACAGAATGAGACTCTATGTCAATAAACAAACAAACAAAACAGAAGAAGAAACTACAAGGAGACTGGGAGTCTTTATTAGGAGAAAGGAAATTTAGTTTACCTGTAACTGGAAATAGAGCTTAGAATTGTATTTATGGGCTAAGACAGTGACATGTACCCAGGTATGGGAGAAACTTCAAAGCCTTGCTGACCTTTGGCCATACATACAAGCAGGTGTTCTCTCTTACAAAAGCCCCTTTCAAATCCTAGGCACATTTTAGTCACACAACTGCAAACTCAAAATTAATTTGCCTCAGTTCTAGTGGTGGTCAGGTCCAGTGGTCAGGTGGTGGGTGAAGACTGCAATTTTAAATAAAATGGTTAGGGAAGGACTTGCATTTAAGCAAAGACCTGAAGGAGGCAGGGAACAACTCATGGAGATAGCTGGGGACAAGGCTTCCAGAAGAAAAGTAAGAGCAAAGGTCTGACAGTGAAAGTTTGTCTAGGGTGTTCTGGGGCCAGCGAGGAGGCCTGTGAGGCTGGAGTGAAGTGAGGAAGGGAGGTGGAGGAGCTGGAGCTGGGGTGGCAGTGGGGCCCAGGTTGTGTGGAACTTCTGTAAGCACACAGGCTTCCCCTGAGTGAGTTGGGAGGGAGAGGAGTGACATGACTTGACTTTTGTTTTAACGGGATCATTCTAGCTGCTGATGAGAACAGACTAAAAGGGAACAAGGATAGAAGCAAGGAGATCAGGACGAGGTGTTTTCAGTAAGCCAGGAGAGAGATGACAGTAGCTGGCACCAGGACGGGAGCAACCGAGGTGGCAAGAAGTGGTACGATTCTGAATATATTTCAAAGGTAGATGGATCTGCTGGTGGATTAGATATGAAGTGTGAGAGAAAGAGAGGAGGCACAGATGAGTCCAAGGTTGTCAGCCTGAGCCATTGGAGGGATGGAATTACCTTAACTAAATAGAGGAAGACTCAGGGAGAGGCAGGTCTTGGGAGAAGCATCAGAAGTTCAGTTTGGGATGTGCCTAACAGAGACATTGAATAGGCAGCTGAATACATGAGTGTAAACAAGTCAGGACTGCAGTTATCAATTTGGGAGTCATATACATGGAAATGAAAGCCACAAGACTGAATGAGTTTCCCAAGAAAGAAAATATAGACAGAATCTAAGGGAAAGAGCCAAAGACTGAGCCCTGGAGCACTCCAATGGTTAAAGTCAGTAGGAACCAGCCAAGGAGATGGAGAAATAGCAGCCATTGAGGAAAGAGGAAAGCCAGGTGAGAGGGGTATTATGAAAACCAGAGGAAGGTCGGGCACAGTGGCTCTCACCTGTAATCCCAGCACTTTGGGAGGCTGAGGCGGGCGGATCACCTGAGGTCAGGAGTTTGAGACCAGCCTGACCAACATGGAGAAACCCCATCTCTACCAAAGATACAAAATTAACCGGGCGCAGTGGTGCATGTCTGTAATCCCAGCTACTCAGGAGGCTGAGGCAGGAGAATCACTTGAACCCGGGAGGCAGAGGTTGCAGTGAGCCGAGATCGCACCATTGCACTCCAGCCTGGGTGACAAGAGTAAAACTCCGTCAAAAAAAAAAAAATAGAAAGAGAGAGAGAAGGAAGGAAGGAAAGAAAGAAAGAAAGAAAGAAAGAAAGAAAGAAAGAAAGAAAGAAAGAAAGAAAGAAAGAAAGAAAGAAAAGAAAAGAAAAGAAAAGAAAAGAAAAGAAAAGAAAAGAAAAGAAAGGAAAAAGAAAACCAGAGGAAGAAAATGTTTTACGGGGGAAAAAGGGGATCCACTGTTGAACAGTGCCGATGAGTCAAGTAAGAATGAGGGATATTTGCCTGGGATTTTGCAATGTGGGGAACATTAGTAATTGTAACAAGGGCAGTTTATGTAGAGAGCTGGGGGTAGAAGCCTGAATGAGTGGGCTCAGGAGGGAACGGGATTAGAAGAACTACAGACAGGGAGGATAGATGACTATTTTGAAGAGTTCTTCTGCAGAGAGTGCAAGAATAGAGCAGTAGCTAGAGGTGAAAGTGAGGTGAAGAGAGGGTTTTTTTCTTTTTTTAAAGTGGGTGAAATAATCCTGCATTTGCACACTAATGGAAATGTCTAATAGAGAGAAAAAATGTTGATGCATCAGAGAAGCAGAGAATAGCTGGAGAAATTCTTTTCTCAGCACGTCTCATAGAACTGAAGACATTCTAACCTATGCCAAAGTTTGTTCCTATCCTATGCACAGTGAAATGTCAGCAATTCTGGTCAAGGAAATAGTTTCTGCAGGGGCAGAAGTGGAAAGAGTTTCCGAGGTCCTTTGGAAAGTCACACCCCTGTATCTTGGAGCCTGAGGGCAGGGTTTGTGTGGACAAAAGTGCTAACCCAAGGGTCTCAGCTTTGACTCGAAGATAAATTCTTCTGGGCATTTGCATGAATCCCACCCAAGCAACCTCTCTGTACAATATAGCTTATAATAAGACCTCGCTAAAACAGATTTTACCATTTGTGATTATTGGAAGAGACAAAAATCAAAGTTTCCCCTTTTACCTCAGAGACAATTGTTTCCATAGAAAATTAAGGCTGTTTACAAAATTACATGGGAAATTTTACTTCGCTTTGTAAAAGGCTTCAGACATTATCTTCAGTGTGATTGCAAATAATAAATTCCAATTTAAGGAGATACCTGGGGTAAGCCTGTGCTTTCTTATACCAAATCAAAAATTTTTTTCTCCATTTCACTGAGGTTCTGTAGTAGGCAATGCTGTCTTAGCATGTTTTGAATTATTATAGCATAGTACTAGAAAATAATAAAACTGCCTTTTCTATAAAAATATCCTATCAGTCTGATTTTTAAATAAGTGAGAAAAATTTCTCTCCTTAGGTATGGTTTGGAGAAATTTTAAATGGTTGATACCTTCCTAAGCACTCCTTAAAAAAAGAAAACCAATTCAATCAGCTTTTCAATATTTTCCACTGAATTACCCCTAATAGCAGAGGACAGCAAACACATACTCTGGAGAATATGGGGTGTGGCCAAAGTGGCCAAGGAAATCACAAAATTTCTTTGAAGTCTCCTTTTTAAATATTAAAATTCATATGAATTTTTCATTTTATACCATACTAATGCAAAGTGTAAAATACACATTAAAATATGTTTTAAATTATCATTCAGAGGGAAAAGTGTTCTACTTGTCTCACTGGTTCAATGAAGAAGCTGCTTTTCATCGATTCTGTCCATGTCAGAAAACTGGGCTGAACTGAAAGCAGCTAACACCAGATTCATCATTTAGGCAATCTGTCTTCTCTGTCTTGGAGAAGTTTTGAACTCAGTGACTCTAGAACCCAGACCTACAAAAACATATTGATAAAATTGCAACAGTTTTTCACTGCTTTATGTGCGATGAAAGGGTAAAACTAGGAAATATTCTTAGAACGCTGCTGGAGAGAAAGTTATGGTGCAATATTTTCAGGTTCCTGTGAAAGAAAATTTCAATAGTTGCATCATCCTACTTACAAGCAAAATAACCTACCTCATATGATGGGGTCTCCAGTCTGGTTACCCTCTCACTGTTTCAGGAACATTCATAAGAGCTGGAATGTGGTATCTTTTTTGTCAGCACTTCTTTTAAAATGGTCTGAGACTACTTACTAAATCAGAACTTCTGGGTGCAGGGCACTAGAATCTGCATTTTAGCAAGCCTTCCAGGTTGTTCTGGTGCACATTACATGTTTAAACATTTTCTGGAAGAACATAAAATGAAAGAAATCAATTTCAGTGTAAAAAGAATCAGAAGAAACAATAGAGAAGAAAATTGGGACAATTTTATGACTTTCTCCAGCAATGATTATCTGATCAGGCAGAGAGTAAGTTCTTGCTGAGGGTTGTAGCGGACAAGTTAATTTCCTTCCCAGCATCCATTTCCCCCTTCTCCCTCCCAAAAGAATGTCATTTTCTTCATCCCTCTTTCCTGCATCAACGTGCCCCAAGTGAATGCCACCCTCCCAATTCCAAAGGTAGTTCGGATAAATCCCATCCTAAATGCCAATGACTGGTCAGGAATGGGCAGATGACCCAAGGGGCCAACAAAATATGATAGGAGTCCTGTTAAGGGGATTCTAGGGAAAGTTTCTGCTTCTATGAAAGAGCTACACAGAAAAAAGTAACACTAGGTTATGATCCCAGGAACTGCTGCCTTCATCTTGCTGTCAGCCTAAGGATAAGCCAACAATGAGGGAGGCTTTCCATCCAGAAAGATGGAAAAAAACTTGGTCATAAGGTAGTTGAATTTCCTTACTGCTAAACTTCCTATTGTGTGCAATAAGTTTTCTTGTTTAACCTACTTTAAGTAAAGCTTCCATTACGTGCAACCAAAAGGAACCCAAATCATGTGGGGGTTATTCAGGGTTGATGTTTTAAAAATGAAAATTTGAATATGGCGTGGCAAAGTGGGTGTGACCACAGAAGGAAATGACAACCAGGCTTGAATGGAAGTTTACTGTACTCACAGGCCCAGAGAGGGGTCACCACATACCACACAGGTCCACAAGGGAATCGTCAAGTTTTGGTCATGTGGCGGAAGACAGGAGCTGGGGGAAGCTTAGACGTGAGTCTTTGTTGAGGTTTCCTTGGGAAAGGCAAGGCAGAGCAGAGAAAGCAGCTTGGGATTGACTAGTTTGAATAATTCTGACCAGCTCTGGGCTATAGGAGTGGTCTGCAGTTGCCTGATTTAGAGCAGGGGAAATATTGGTTTGGTGTCTGAGAGATCGATAAGGAGATGGCAGGGCTATCGACTTGGGATTGGTTGGTTTGTATATGAAAAATGTGCTCCTAGCCAAGCCCTTTGCTATCTCTAAGAATTAGCAAGACCTGAAAGGGGCAGTCTTTCTCTGGCCAGCAAGATGTCAAAACATCATGAAATACAGAAAATAAAAAACACAATTAATACAACTGGATATCTTCAAAACAAATAATGGCAGTTAAAAGCATAAGATTCCAGAGTGTTAGTAAGGGTTCTTCAACTGTAAAAAGAGTCCATTTAAACCAAAGGAGTAGAGTTCTAGGGAGACATGATTGTCTGAGAAGCACATTTATCAGAGCTAACCAAGCAAAAAGGGGAGGTGAGAGATGAAGACAGGGAAGATCAGAGGCATTTCCGGCAAAGGGAAAATGTGTAAAATCCCTGGGGCAGAAGAGAGCATGGCTCTGGGGTAGCCAGAGTGGAGGGAAGCCAGGGAAAGTGGCAGTGAGACAGGCTGGAGGTGGGCGGACGCAAGGCCATGTGGGGCCCTGTAGTCCATTGTAAGGATTTGGGACTTTGTTTTAGAGAAAAATGAGAATTCCACTGAGAGACTTTGCGGAGATGGGGAGAAGAGGGGACCAGATTTCCGTACTGAGAGGTCAGTCTGGCTGCTGAGGCTTGAGGAAGCTGTGGCAATGGTTCAGGTGAGAGATATTGGTAGCTTGGACTAGAATGGAGGCAGCGAGGATGAAAAAAATAAGTAGGTTGTTGATTAATTTGTTCTAAGCTGAAGGTGTACATTTGGCAGATTTCCTATAGATCATAATGAAATCATGGGTAGTAAAGTGAGGGAAGGATCTAGTGAAGAATGAGAAAGAAATAGGGCCTTGAAAAGAGTCCTAAGGAAGCCGAAGACTTTCGAGTCCTTTAGACTCCAGGGCTTGGTAAACTTATCCTGTAAAGGATCAGATAGTAAATATTTTAGGCTTTGTAGCCAAGAATCAGAATCAAGATATTATGTGGGTACTTATATAACAGAGAGGAAAAAGAAGCCATAAAGCTGTTATCGACAAAATTCAAAATATAATAAAAATTGAGGACAACCTTTTTATAATATAGTTCTACCAATGAGAAAAATGAAATTTTCTTTTGGGGGAATGATAGTTTTGCTTAATTGGCGTTCACTGTTAGTGTTCCCTATTATCAAAATAAATTGTAAATGTTCATCTATTAATGTGATGAGATTTTACATCTTTATATATTTCAAATGTCTTTTCACACAGACACATAATGCCAAATGCTGATATCAATTCAGGAACGTACAATCTTTTTTGTTTTTTTGAGATGGAGTCTCGCTCTATCTCCCAGAGTGCAGTGGCGCGATCTCGGCTCACTGCAAGCTCCGCCTCTTGGGTTCATGCCATTCTCCTGCCTCAGCCTCCCGAGTAGCTGGGACCACAGGCGACCGCCACCACAGCCGGCTAATTTTTTTGTATTTTTAGTAGAGACGGAGTTTCATCGTGTTAGCCAGGATGGTTTTGATCTCCTGACCTTGTGATCCGCCTGCCTTGGTCTTCCAAAGTGCTGGGATTACAGGCGTTGAGCCACCACGCCTGGCCCAGGAACATATAATTTAAATTGAACATATTCATTGCTTGGAAAGGTATTTATAGAATTGTATTAGATTCTTCTTTTGACAGTTGGTTTTTAGCATGTCATTGCCAATAAATCACTTTCTTTCTTTTCTTTTTTTTTTTTTTTTGAGCCAGAGTCTCGCTCTGTCGCCCAGGCTGGAGTGCTGTGGTGTGATCTCGGCTCACTACAACCTCTGCCTCCCAGGTTCTAGCGATTCTCCTGCCTCAGCCTCCCGAGTAGCTGGAACTACAGACACGCGCCACCACGTCCGGCTAATTTTTGTATTTTTTAGTAGAGACGGGGTTTCGCCATATTGGCCAGGATGGTCTCAAACTCCTGACCTCATGATCTGCCTGCCTCGGCCCCCCCAAAGTGTTGGGATTAGAGGCGTGAGCCACCACGCCTGGCCTACACTTTCTTTTTCTAATTTTAAAACAATTTTTTAAATTATTTTAAAAAATTTAAATTAAAAATGTGGGAGGCTTCAGGAATTTGCGTGTCATCCTTGCACAGGAGCCACGCTAATCTTCTCTGTATCGTTCCAATTTTAATACACGTGCTGCCAAAGCAAGCACTGATAAATCACTTTCCTAAACCACACAGTTAAATATACTTTGAAATTACCTTTGCTCTTGCATTGAGTTAAAAAAAACTCTGCTGGAATGGTCATTTGAGTTCAGAAAATATATCTGTTGCAAATGGAGACTGGAGATCTTGCTTTTTGTTTCCAGTTTTGACAGCATGGGAAGTAGGTAAAGTAATTTCATATTACTTGTGATTGAGACATGAGCCATCTAAACGACTTTACCATAAGTTTTGAATATAAGCACTGTTTTGCCTCATAATTTTAGATTGAATTTATTAAGAAACATCAAGTCTGTAGCAAAAGCTAATTCTAAAGTAATTAACAGTGATTGCAGGCAGCTCTTCTATTTGAAAAAAACTTCAATCCTAGCCCCAAGCTCAAAAGATTGCAATAAAACCTTACCATTGCTGAACCATTGACTGCTGTGGGGGTGGTGGGGCAAGTCAGGATATTCACACAATTCCTCAGTTCCCACTAAAGACTCAGTATTGATTCCTTGAACAATCCACAACTGAGCAGAATCAGTAACCCATGTTGATTCACCAAGATCGAAGGAAAACCACTCCACATCATTTGTGTTAATTGATTATTGTCGCTCCCATTGTCCTCAACTCAGAGAGCAACCCTGCATGCCAAAGGCTAATACTAATTTTAAGCAGTTTGTTTCTTCTGGACACATTTCTTCAGCAACCAAACATGATTTAATTAACTAGCCATTAGTAAATGGCTTTCCTTGATTAGCTAACAAATGAGCCATTGGGATTCTTACCTACAAAAAGGTTGAAGACTTTTTTTTTCATTTTTTATTTTTGTGAAGACATTTTGCTGTAATGAGATATTTCATTTTAAATTTTCTATTTTTTTCTGACTGTTGCCTTCCTGTAAGTTGGAAATCTTGTGATGAGTACTTCTGGTATTGTCAACATGTATTCTTTCAGCGCAGGTATAATGTCATTGTACAATGTTTTGCCGTTTAATTTAATCAGAATAATCCACACTCCACTGTGCCTTAGAAGTATGACAGTAACATTTACTTTTCTTTTCTGTTTTGACATGATGGGTATAGACTGGTAATAAAAAAATAAAATATCATAGGTACAGTGACACATGAGACACTTGAAACCCTGTCAAGTGATAACTGTGTCACTGTGATTTGTGGCATGCCAAGCCACATTGCAAAGTAGTGATAGCACCCTACAGTGTCTCTATCACAACTACTCAATCTGCCATTGGAGCACAAAAGTAGACATGGACAATATGCAAATGAATACATGTGGCTGTGTTCCAAAAAAACATTATTTATGGACACTGAAATTTGAAATTCATGTCATTTTCATGCATCGTGAAATATTATTTTTCTTTTCATTTGTTTCAACTATTAGAATATGTAAAAAAAAAAAAAACATTTTTAGCTTGAAGGACCTGTTAAAAACAGATGGCAGTCCAGATTTGACTGCAGGCCATAATTTGGTGAATGGAAGATTGTTTCAAGATAAAGCCTAGAAAACAGCCACTGGGCCAGGCATGGTGGCTCACGCCTGTAATCCCAGCACTTAGGGAGGCTGAGGCGGGCGGATCACCTGAGGTCAGGAGTTTGAGACCAGCCTGGCCAACATGGTGAAACCCCAACTCCACTAAAAATGCAAAAAATTAGCCGGGCATGATGGCATGTGCCTGTAATCCCAGCTACTCAGGAGGCTGAGGCAGCAGAATAAGCTTGAACCCAGGGGGAGGAGATGGCAGTGAGCCGGGATCAAGACACTGCACTCCAGCCTGGGCTGTAAGAATGAGACTCTGCTTCAAAAAAAAAAAAAAGACAGTCACTGCAACTATCAGTTATTTGTTGAACTCAGAGGAAGCAGTTGGACAATGTGAGAAAAACTGCAGATATAAGTGGATCAAGTAGTGAATTGAAGGTGAGAGAACAAATATGGAAAGTATAAGCCATCTTTTTGCGAAATATGGCTCTAAAAAGGAGGAAAGAAATGATGTAATTTAAGAGAAGACTTTCGGTTAAAATAGGTGCGACTTGATCATGAGCACTTAATCTCCATTTCTTCTTTCTTTTATAATAAGGAAAATAATACCTATCTTGATGTTTCTTAGAACAGTCAAATGAGATAAAGAATGTTTTAAAGGCACCAGCATGATGCCTAGCATATAGTAGGTTCTCAAGAGTTAATTAATAAATATTCATATATACTTATTATTTGCTTTGTGAAAAACAAGTTTATTGCTTCCCATGTAGCTTTGTTATTTAGTTCTCGAACTATTTTTTCTTTAATCAAGGTTGTATTCCCTTACTGAGGTGCTTTGAAAGTTGTTAATTAAATCAGAAGTTAACTGATCGATCAAGATACTATACTGCAATTTTAATAATTTGGATTTTGTAACTTCCTCAACTTTCCTCCTGCTAGACTGAATTGTAATCTTTTTAGTCTGTCTTCACATGGGAGCCACTTCATCCTTTCGATCATTTTCATTGCCTTTTAAAAATCATACTAAAATTATACAAATAATTATATAAACGAATCATACAAATCATACACTAAGTTGGCATAATAGTGGGCTTATATTTATTCTTATTACTTTTTTAATATAACTTTTTTTCTGTAGGGCATACAGAGTTACCACATAACCCAGAAATTCCACTCCTAGGTATATACCCCAAGAGAAGTGAAAACATATGCCTACGCAGAAACTTGTATGTAAGTGTTCCCAGCAGCCTTATCATAATAGCCCCAAAGTGGAAATAACCTAAATATTCAGCAACTGATGAATAGATAAATAAAATGTGTATATCTATACAGTGGGATTTCATTTGGCCATAAGAATACAGGAGGTACTGATATGAGCTACAGAGCGAAGGAAACTTGAAAATATTTTGCTAAGCGATAGAAGTTCATCACAAAAGACCACTTACTGAATGATTCCATTTACATGAAATGTCCAGAATAGACAAAATGACAGGGACAGAAAGTAGGTTATTGGTTGCCTAGGACTTGGGGGTACAGGCGAGAAATGGAGTGACTACTATACTAATAGGTATGGGGTTTCACTGTAGGCTGATGCTTTATAGTCTGTGTCTGACGATCTGGTATCTGGAGTCCCTGTGGATGTGTCTTTTGAATGTTGTTTTGCTAGAGGGATATTTTCTCCTCCTGCATCTGTCTGTATTTGACTGTGTGGAGAACTCTGTATTTGAGATTTTATAGTTAGAAATAATTTGAAGCCTAGATGAATGTTACATTTTTTCAGGTATCGTCTTTTTTTTTTTCTTTTTTTCTTTTTTGAGCAGGAATGAAAGTTTATTAAAAAGCTTTAGAGCAGGAATGAAAAGAAAGTAAAGTACACTTGGAAGAGGGCCAAGTGGACATCTTGGAGGTCAAGTGCAATCAGGTATCATCCAAACCTAGGCTAGAGGTTTTCTGGGCTACCTGAAAAATTTGAATGGCAGCTGGATAGCGGACCACAAGGGCCGGTTTACTTCCACTTCACCTCTAGTTCCTGGGTACAGTCAGTGCCGTGTCAAGCCACATTGGAACCTGAGGCAAAAGAAACATCAGTAATACTGATCTTGTCTTCATTTAACATTTTGATATTTTGTTCATCATGGATTTTTTCATTAATTTTGATGCTTAAAAAATACTGCATTATTATTATCTGGATTACCGAGGTTTTTTTGGTCCCCCTAAATTTTGTGGACATGGTGAGTACTTCACTGGCCTCACACTACTTCCAGCCTTGGTATCTGCCTTGGGATTTGTACACCCTGGGCAGTTTGAAGAGAGCAGTTGTGGGTCCCTCCAACTTCCTATAAAATCCCATGAAGGTCTCCTCCTTTATGATACCATTTATAATTAACTATAAGACTTCCACAGGATTAGGGGCCAAAACATCACATTTAGTAGGCTTATCAGATTACTTTTCATCCTCAAAGTAATGGGTTAATAGAAAATTGGAAGGAATAAAACCACGTGCTCATGCCTGTAAATCCCAGCACTTTGGGAGGCTGGGGCGGGTAGACCACATGAGGTAAAATTAATATTTTAGAAGCTAATAAAACTTATAATATTGATATTAACAATCAAATATATTGGGATATTGAACTAAATTCCCTTCAGCATATTATCCCTATGGAGCAGGATTGGCCTGAAGCATATTTTGACTTCAGCAACAATAATTATAGTTTGTAATCACTCAACAGATACATACTACACACTGCTACAGATCAGGTAGGCAAATGAATTGTTGTAAAGTTAGTTCAAATATATGAGAAAGCTTATGATAGAATTTTTGGTTGGTTGAGCTATCTGTATAAGTCCAAACCAACTGGTTATTAAAAATGTGTGGAATCTGTATGTACATTTTGATTATCTATTTGATTATATGATATTGCAAAGCAAGTGGTAGCTCTCAAACTAGGAGTGATCATTTTGTCATGATAAGGCCTTGATCACGGATCAGGGATGTAGACCGCACTGTGGATTGTTTTGAGCATGACTATTTTCTGAGGGGGAAAGCTCCCTCCCACACACACAGAGCGGTGGTGGTGCTGGAGTTACAAGAAAGATGATAATTGATGTAGCAAATTCTGAAAAAAGAGAAAGATTAGGATCAAAGGACGGTTGTGTGGATTAGAGTTGGTGAGAAGTTTCACCTCTTTTTCTGTAGCAGCGAGAGAAGACCCTTTATACATGGTTGAGAAGCAAATGCATGCAATGAGATGAAGGCCTGATTTTTTTCTCTGGAAGCTTAGGTAGCACAGTAGTCCCTTCATCCAAAGTTTCACTTTCAGCAGTTTCAGTTACCAGTGGTCAACCATGGTCCAAAAATATTAAATAGAAAAATGCAGAAATAAATAATTCGTAAGTTTTAAATTGCACGCTGTTCTGAGCTGCGTGATGAAATCTTGCACTGGCCCACTCCACTCCCTCCACCTGGGACATGAATCCTCCCGCTTCCAGCGTATCACACTGTATATACCACCCGCCCTTCAGTCATTTAGTAGCCACCTCGTTATCAGACCACAGTCCTTGTATTCAAGTAACCTTATTTTACTTAATAATGACTCAAGTGCAAGTCTTAATGCTGGCAATTCGGACATACCAAAGTAAAGCCTAAGTGGCTTTCTTTAAGGGAAAGGTGGAAGTTCTCAACAAGAAAAGAAAAAGTTGTATGTTGAGGTTGCTGAGATCCATGGTAAGAACGAATCTCCTATCTGTGAAGTTGTGATAAAGGAAAAAGAAATGCATGCTAGTTTTGCTGTCGCACTACACATGGCAAAAGTTATGGTCACAGAGCATTGATAAGTGCTTAGTTAAGGTGGAAAAGGCATTACATTTTTGTTTGCAAGACATGAAGAGAAAACATGTTCCCGACTGACAGCCATGTGTTGCACCAGATTAACTTCATTAAACTTTATCATAGGTCTGCATGTATAAGAAAAGGCATAGTATATATAGGGTTTGGTACTACCCATAGTTTCAGGCATTCACCGGGGGTCTTGGAACATATTCCCTGAGGATAAGGGAGAACTACTTACTGTAAAGGAAAGGAGAAAGAAACTTAACCAGAATATGCAAATGTGTATAAATCTATAGGGGATCGTAAACTGAAGGAACTAATGCCTGATGGTCTCTCTCTCCTTTGTGAAAAATGAAACAATATGATCAGCTAAGAAAATGTAGTGAAGGTTTGGAATAGCTACTGAGGAGGACGCAAAGAACTGTGCAGCAGAATTGTTGGGTAGTATTTAGGCCTGCAAATATATACCCTAATGTGCACCAATCCAAACAACTGGATAGATTTCTCAAGCAGAATTCAGTCCACGTGTAGGACTAACAGGTGTTTCTGTAATGGATGTAAAAGGAACACCAGGATGCAAAGGAGTTCAAGGCGTTAGTAAGGGTACAGTTGAAACCTGTGATTCATTTCAAAGTACACATTCTATGCAGATTTTTCAAGAAAAAAACATGCAGCAACTTAAGAACAGAGACTCTTCCCTTCCGGGGCCTAGGATTACTCCTTATACTCAGAAGATATTCAGATATTTTTGAATGAGTGAATTAATTAACAAACAAAAATCTGACTTTGCTAAACATTTCTGAATGTATTAGGTTTACTTTTGTGATGAATATGTTGATTATTTTAGAGAATTAGAATTCTGTACCAAGAGCCACATTCCTATAATTTACTTATACTAAAATGACTAGACCAATGCCAAATTCAATCTGGAACACAAAAGTTTATTAGAATAAAAATACACATACGGTATCAACACTAAAATTATTTCACATCGCATTTAGGTTTTACCTCCATTAGTTTTTTTTAATGCTTATAAAGTCTATGCTCTAAATAATTTGCACATTTGTAAACAAATCTTAGATGACCAAAGATGCAGTGTATCTATCAGATATTGAATATCAAAACTTAAGGATGGGAACTGATAGCGAAATCCAATTACACTAAACATTCCTAAATTTTTGGAAAGAGAGAAAAAGATTAAAATAATTCACTTGAAATGAGGTAAGATGTATATGAAAAGGTTTTTAGTAGCATATATCACAATGTTGAGATGAGAATATTAAAAACATTCATGGAAAATTCACTTTGATGTTTTGCATAGTCTAGGTTATTTTTTAAAAAACAAAAAATTAAAAATTACCCAAATTCCTTATTAGAAAAAGAGACAATTACCTGGTTCTACTTAGGATCTGTGTATGTTCTAAGTCTTTCTCTCCTTTAGAAAAAAAGAGATAATCTGATTCTATTTTGGATCTGTGTACATTCTAAGTCTTTCTCTCATTTAGAGAAAAACATTCTCAAGTCTATAGAAGAGGAAAAAAAATTAAGATTAGGACCAACATTTCAAGCTGCCTTTTGGAAAGAAAATTAAAAACAGAGGTAGATGGTTAATTATTAGTGGCCAAGTTACTCAGGTGACTAATTTTTTCTTGGTACACATTCACCAAAATTTTATACTTGAAGCCAAATAGTAAATAACTTTAGGAGTAGAGAGTAATACCTAGCAGAAGTTATTTTCTTTATGTCAAAGAAAAGTAATAGAAGCAAACCAGGCTTACGACCCCTGTTAAGGAGATGATTGTTTAAAGCACTACAGTTCATGCACTTTTTAAAGCAGGAGAATGAACCTTGCCCCTAAGCTTCTTAGGTGTATCTGAGGCCAGCCACAAGCTCCATCAGGCCTGTTCAGTCCAAGTAGGACTGTAAGGTGCCTCGGCGCCGGACATCGCAGGTCCAGCAATGGAAGCCTCCTCCCAGGGAATTGGCATTACGAATGTTAACTTTAATGGTAGTGATACCTGCATTGAAAGAGAGATGAGGTCAGTTAGATGGACTAACATGACGATTCTCATAGAGAAAGTAGGCCTACAGACTTGGAGGAGTCCTGTGGTTCTAATCCTTAAGGATACCCAACCCAGAATAGTATTTTCTCTTCCAATTTTATTTTCACCAACTATATTTCATCTGCTAATATAAAATCTTCTCCAAAAAGTCAACAGAGAACTCTGAAGTTTTGTTCTATTGACTATTCACAAGTCAATAGACTGAGCAGATGTACCTACCAAATGTTCAAAATGGTCAAGTACTAAAATCTCAAGGCCTTTTAGAATTATACATTAACTACTTTGTCAGACTGTTTCTAATTTTACCATGTTAATTTAGTAGGCAAAGCAAAATTTAGCTGACCTAAAAAGCTGACTTTACATATTCACATATAAGGAGAGTTTATCTGATACAGATTAACTTCACCAGGCCACCATAAGGAAACAATGGAACAGAGCTGGTGTTTTAATATCTGGGTTTGTATGGTTATACAGGTACCAAAGCAAATCCAACAATCAGTTTAATCTGGTACCATCTGTAATGACAAGGCTATGATGTGCATGGCCTATTTAACCAATGGTATTTAGGAAGAATCTGTTGTGTTAGATATAGTGGGGTTTTAAAAAGAAAATCTATTATTCTTCCTCAAGGAGCTAATTATTTTGAGAGGAGGATAGGCTACAAAGTCACTAAAGGGTCCATTGGTATAGCCAGGGAGAGGAAGGTGGCATGAGCCATTCAGAAAGACTTTCCTAGTCGCGCATGGTAGCTCACACCCATAATCCCAATGCTATGGGAGGCATAGGTGGATGGATCACTTGAGGTCAGGAGTTCGAGACCAGCCTGGCCAAGCCCCTCTCTACTAAAAATACAAAATTAGCCAGGCATGGTGGTGTATGCTTGTAATCCCAGCTACTCAGGAGGCTGCGGCAGGAGAATCGCTTGAACCCAGAAAGTGTAGGTTGCAGTGAGCCGAGGTCACGCCACTACACTACAGCCTGGGCGACACAGCTCTGTCTCAAAATACACACACACACCCCTTTATAATAGCTCATATGAAAATCCTTTCCCTTCAACATTTTTCTCAATAATACTAGAATCATTGGTCTAAATTTTGAATATCAGGATAAGTAAACTACTTAAGTAAAACCTGGTCCTGCTCTTCAGTTCAAAACTGAATGATTTACTGACACACTTTCTTGCATTTCGCTACTTTGTTAACTATGCTTATCACACATAAAAGTCACTTCTGCATCCGTACCCTTTTGAGTCCTTTGAAATATGTGATGACAGGACACTTTTAAAGGACCCACAATGATTTCTTATTTGAAGAAGGGCTGAACAAGCTATCTGCTCACCTGCAAAGGGGTGGTTTTCTGCACATGGGCACCAAAACGTTGGCTAAGTCATATAAGATTTATAAACTTATTGTTAAGGGGATGTCTCAGGAGCTCAGGATGCATCTCCAACTTGTTGGGGCTACGTGTGTTGAAAATAAAAATACTGACTTTCTGTGAAATAATAACTTGGTGCCTCTAAAAGGAATCAAAATTGAATTAGACAAACCATTTATCAAACCTAGCATGTCATTTCTTTAGTTCTTCTCATTTAACGTTTTCATGTATGACAACATGTTTCATTTGTTGTACATACCCAGCTTTTCAAACATCTTTTGAATTGGAACTTCATTGGCATCCACCATAACACGTTTTTCATCTAGCATTAAGACATTCATGGAAAGCCATTTGGATGACATCCAGAGTGGATGATCTAAAAACAGCAACAACTGTTAAACCATGTCCGCTATCATTTTTGTTTAAAGCAAGGATTTACAAGTGAAGAATATTAAAGTGACAGCTCAGTTCTTTCAGTAGTTCACTTTCCATGTGAACATTTATTTTAATCTTAAAACAATTTATCTATAAATGGTATGAATCAATCTGTACTCATTATACATTTGAATTTCACCCTGTTTTCTTTTAAAAGTCATATCTTGGCTGGGCATGGTATAATCCTAGCACTTTGGGAGGCTGAGGCAGGAGGATTCCTTGAGCCTAGGAGTTTGAGACTATTGCCCAGAGATGGTGCCTCACTGGGGAACACAGCAAGACATCATCTCTACAAATAAAAAAAAATAACTTGCTGGGCATAGTGGCCTGCATTTGTAGTCCCAGCTACTTAGGAAGCTGGAGTGGAAAGATCACTTGAGCCCAGGAGTCTTGAGGCTGCAGTGAGCTGTGACTGCACAACTGCACTCAAGCCTGGGTGACAAAGCAAGACACTGTCTCAAAAAAAAAAAAAAAGTCATATCTTGCTTTACGTGATGTTGTTTTATTCTGTCTTCTCCTTACTTCATTTTCTATGGATGAAAAAGTTGCAAACACAAGTCCCAGCCTTGTTCTGATGCTCACAGTCCCAAGCACCACTTCACACCTTACTGAGGAAACACATTCTCTAAGCTGCTAACATTTGGGCTGCTCTCTATAGGAGAAAGATCCTTGGTCACTAAAGTAATTATTTTAGTCTAACAGTGTATGAAAGTAAACATACCGTCTGGGATGATTGGTGTTGGAGGAGTAATGATAGTCCATCCTGCTTTCTTGAAAAGATCAATCTGTAAGACCAAAAAAAACCCCCAAAACCGTTAAATCTACATATACTATTATTATTATTAGTCTCTAATAGCCCTTATCAGTAATAATTCTCTTTGAGAAGCTGTCTTCTCAGCTTCCAAAAGAAAGAAATTAAAATTTCTAAACATTTGGGTGATTTTGTCTGAATCCTAATTAAAAATGTACATAAAATCCCCAGATTAAAGTTAAAAAGTAACAGAAATGTTACAGCTTTTAAAGATAGTCTTAACTTTTCTCAGGTTTCAGAGACTTAAAAAACCAAAGATACTGTCCTTAAGAAATTCTCATTTTAAAAATTGAAAAATTTCCTATTTAGTTACAAGAAAACAAAAATGTGACTACATCAAACCCACAGTCCTTCTACTTCTTGCCCATCATTTTGTATCTAGGACCATGGTATAAAGACAGTTGTTAGCTATGCATTCTCAAAGAACCATATTGTCCTTAGTGACCTTTTACAACTTAGCCGTCCCTGTGTTCACATACCCACTTACTATACGAATAAATGATAATAAAATGAAATGAATAAGTAGTCATGGTCATCGGGTTTAAAAATAAAAAACAGAAATGAACAGTGACACAGTATAACAGTGGTTTTTAAAAGTTGTACTGCAGCCTTGCAAGTAACAGAAAATCACTCATCACCTAACTGGAAGTAGGAGGCTATGGACAGAAAGTAGGAGGCTGCAGGTGAAGGGGATAGACCAGCTGCAGTGCAGTGGCTTCACTTTTCCCTACAGAGCAGGGTTGGCCAAAGGGAGGCTACCCCACTGTAGAGGGAATACAACCACTGCCCAGTGGCATTGCCCTGGCCATGCAAGGATGATCTTGTCCAAAATTCGCTGCTGTGGAACCACTGTTGCAAGTTATAACACCATCGTTTGATAAAAATACACACATATGCACAAACTTGAGGCTCTGACAACAGCAAGTGGCCAAAGTCTGATGATCCCATACTAATTATTGTGTCAACTATGTATATTTCTGCATGGTGGACATCTTGTAATAAGCCATAAGGAATCCAATGTTTGATCATAATAATGTTGAGTACTGCTGAATCTGTCATTTAGAACCATTAGGAACCATGGAAGTGCTTAAAATAAAAGTGGCAATTATTTTAGTTACTAGATTCTGTTGCTTTTCCAGAGTCCCAAGAAATCTCTTACCTGGTGACATGGTCGGTCAGGGTTGGAAAGCACAATACCAGGTCCAATGATGTTGAAGGTAGCATCAATATGCATGGGATTGGGATCTTTAAAGGAGATGATATGCACTCTGTAGTCTGGAGCAAGATGCCTACGCATCCATTCAATGCCTAGGTAGTTTGTAACCTGAAAACAAAAGAAAGACATACGATCGATAAATATTTGGTTCTATGTCTAGAAAACTAAAAATATTCAAGGTGAAAAAAATTTAGGATGAAAATATTTTAATTTGGAAGTAAAGAATACAATAATATAGTGTGAAATTTCAGAGGCAGCCTGCGTTCACCTGGCTTCTCTGTGCAAAAATATCTCTTCCAGCTCGAATGAAGTCAGCAGCATCAAAGCATGGCTCAAACTCAGTTGTCACAAATTTTCCCTGAGCAGCCAATTTGTGTCTGTCTTCTACAGAGTGGATGGGATAATCCTAATTGGAACAAGAATGAACACACACAATGCACTGGATCATGAGAAAATTATTCATAAGGCATACAGTACTAAGAAAATTAGTTTAACATCATTTCCCAAAATATTACTACTCAGTTCTAGACTAAAACATGCCTGGGAAAGAAGCGGGTCCATGATAAATAAACCAAAACAACAATAAAACAAGAAACTAGCATTATAGTAATTTCCTGATACAACAGTCCTCCTTTACCCATGATTTCACTTTCCATGGTTTCAGTTACCTTCAGTCAACTGTCGTCCCAAAACATTAAGATATTTTGAGAGAAACAGAGAGACCACATTCACCTAACTTTTAGTAAAGTATATTTATATAATTGTTCCATTTTATTATTCATTATTGTTGTTAGGCTCTTACTGTGCCTAATTTGTAAATTAAACTTTATCATAGGTATGTATATATGTACAGGAAAAAACAAAATATATAGAGTTCAGTATCAGCATCCACTGAGAGTCTGGAACATATCCCCTGAGGATGAAGGGGCACTATGTACTTAGAAAAAAATGGTACACACCAGGTGAGATGGCTCATGCCTGTAATCCCAGCACTTTGGGAGGCCAAGGCAGGTGGATCACCTGAGGTCAGGAGTTCGAGACCAGCCTGGCCAACATGGTGAAACCCCGTTTCTACTAAAAATACAAAAATTCGTCAGGCATGGTGGCATGCACCTGTAATCCCAGCTACCCAGGAGGCTGAGGCAGGAGAATTGCTGGAACCCGGGAGGCAGAGGCTGCAGTGAGCCGAGATCACGCCACTGCACTCCAGTCTGGGTGACAGAGCAAGACTCCATCTCAAAAAAAAAAAAAAAGTGATACAGAGGCAGTAACTGATTCTGAGAATATTCCATGAACCGTACGGAAAGTAAACAGGATGAAGTCATTCTGTTCTTTTAGAAAAGGAATTTGGTCCCGAGCTTAACTCATACCATAAAACGAGATGCCATGTTTCCCCTGCCAAATTTGATTGGGAGTGGCAAAACTAATTCATTATTTATTTCTGTCTTTAAACCCAGAAGCTATTTTGATTTTTAAATTTTTTTCTATAAAAGATCAAATGGTAACTGATTTAATAAGGGACATACATTTCATTTTACTGTGAATTTGAACTGTAGATCAGGTTCTTTTTCTAGAAGAAGAAAGTGAACTTCAGTCTAGTGACTTTTCTGGTTCCACTAATGAACAGTGGTACACCTGTAGGCAAGTTTTTCCCCATCTAATGGAATGATACTACAGTATGATTAGGGTTGTTGTGAAAAACAAACAGGATTGAGGATGTAAATAAAGGGTTTAACCCAGGACCCAGAACAAGGTAAGCACCAAAAAGTGTTAGCCATTATTATTATTATCATAGGATCATTTACTCTTATCATATTCATCATAAAATAATCACTTTTTAAAAATAAGATGATGTTTTCGGTTTCTAAAATGCATAATATATACAAGGTATCAGAGAATCTCTATCTTACTCTTTGTGGATCATTTAGAAAAGTTAGTAATAAGCTAGCCTATAATTAGGGACTCACCTGGTTATAAAGCTCATCAGCCATTGTGGGCTTAGGAGCTGTTGTCCACTTGGCGCCACGGTGGAAGTAGTCTTTGATAATTGACCTGTACGCTCGGTACTCAAAGAAGCGTGAACGCCATGCCATGGGAGCCTCGATAATCTCATTGCCCACAACTATCAGGATGTCTCGAGGCATTGCACTGTATAAACCTGTCAGACCAAAAAATTCCATGACAACTTCAGTAGTGTTAATTTCCAAGACAAAAAAGGTCTATATAGGGCCAGGCACAGTGGCTCATGCCTGTAATCCCACCACTTTGGGAGGCCAAGACGGGCGGATCACTTGATCCTCTTCAAGAGCAGCCTGGCCAACATGGTCAAGCCCCATCTCTACTAAAAGAATACGAAAACAATTAGCCAGGCATGGTGGCACGTGCCTGTAATCCTAGCTACTCGGGAGACTGAGGCAGGAGAATCACTTGAACCAAGAGGCAAAGGCTGCAGTGAGCCGAGATTGTGCCACCACACTCCAGCCTGGGCGACAGAGTGAGACTCTGTCTCAAACAAACAAACAAAAAATGTCTATATAATATTACCTCTTTTTTTGGTTAAAAAAATTGCTAGAAATACATGTGTGTATATATATATGAAAATAGCAAAAAATTCGAATAACACATACTAGATTGTTAACATGAATTGTGTGGTGGGGGGGAAGCCCAGAAAAAAAAGAAAAGAAAAAAAAGTGAAGGAATAAAGTCCTTGTACAAAGAGATCTTGAACCACCAAGCTTTCACCATTTGTAAGCTCCTTTCTTGCTATACAGAAACACAGCTCTTAAAGGACTATCGGTATCACAAGATAAAAATTGAGCCAAGGATCAATCTAAAACTAGAAATTAGAACAGTGACCTAAGGCACAAGAACAGTCATGCAGCAATGTCAGTTAAAAATAAAATGGAAATGTTTCTATTCCCCTTTTAATTTCTGTTCTTGAGGAAAATTAAACGAATCCACTGTTATTATGTAAGGAAATGGCTATAAAGTTTAGGAAAACTTGTCATTTCAAGGAGATTCCACGAGATGGAATGGAGTTTAGAATGTATACATCTTAATCATATCAACATGGACCAAACCATTCCTAAATAAATCTTTAAAGTTTTCAAGAACTAGCAAAGCAAAGGACTCTCCAAGAAATTTTTTGGAGCTTTCCCCTTACACATTAAGAAAGAAATTGAAAATTCAGACACTGGCAGTTTAGTTATCTGACATCACTTACCCGTAGACTCAAAATCAGGAGTTTTATACTTCAATGACCAGTCAATGGGGTCAGGCCTCCTTACTGTCACTCCTTCCGTTTTTAAAATATTGCACATTTCTTCAATTTCAGCAACAGCCTTTTTCAAATGATCTTTGGGAAAATAATGCCCTCCTTGCTTCTGGTAAAATGGCCAGTACTTTTCATATGTGTTGGCCTGGAAGTAGAAGCAAATAAACACAATACTTACAGGAGAAAAATACAGCTCATGATAGGTTCATAGGCAGTAAACAGCTCTTTGTATAAGGTATTGGAATTGAGACTCCAACCACTCCATGTTCAGTGCTGATCCCTAGCATTGAGCACATAAGCCCTCTGGGCAGACACTCAGTATCTGTTGAATGAAGAACTCTAAAACATCTTGATATTTTGAGGCCTTTTGCTCCTCCTGCCTGAGATCTCATGGCCAACCACTAACAGCATGTTTACCTTCAGACAGACTTGGAATCCTCTTGGCCAGTTTTTTTGCCATGCTTTGCAGACAAAACAGGACATAGCACTTCTATTAGAGAGCCTCAATAAAATGAAACAAGAGAACACACAAACTAGCATAAGAGAATAAAAGCACTTATACTAAGCCAAAACCATGGGCTATCCATGCATCTCAGAATTCTGTCTAGAAAATAGCACCTCAAGATATTTTGTGAAGGGAAAAAAAAAGATATTTTGCCCCGTTAAGATCAGGAGCATACTTTCAAATATGCTTTATTTCTCTTAAAACCCCATTATTGGCCAGGCATGGTTGCTCAGCCTGTAACCCCAGCACTTTGGGAGGCTGAGGCGGGCAGATAGCTTGATGTCAGGAGTTCAAGACCAGCCTGGCCAACATGGGGAAACCCCATTTCTACTAAAAATTCAAAAATTAGCCAGGCATGGTGGCACGTGCCTGTAGTCACAGCTACTTCAGAGGCCAAGGCAGGAGAATTGCTTGAACCCAGGAGGCAGAGGTTGCAGTGAGCTGAGATCGTGCCACTGCACTCCAGCCTGGGTGACAAAGCGAGACTCTGTCTCAAAAAAAAAAAAAGAAAAAGAAAAAGAAAAAGAAAAAAAAAAACATTATTGATTTTCCCATTCAACAGAATTAACACTTGCCAAAATTGTGTGACAGTGCAAATCTGCCTTTGGTAATTCCCTGTCAATATGCCTCATACCAACCACACCTCTCCTTTTTCTAATCCATTCAGCTCTCACATCTCTTCAAGTCTTTTTGTCATACAAGGAAGTGATATGATAAGCAAATTCACAAATTTTTAATAACTGAAAAAAAATTTAGAAAGTTTCCAGGGCTATGTGTATTTTAGAAGACAACTAAAGAGAAAACATTTGAATGCTTTAAAATGGCTCAATCAGTTTGCTAAAAATTATTGTTGAATAGGGTAGGTGCAACAGCTGTTAAATATTGTTGTTTGTTTGTTTTTGTTTTTGAGATGGAGTCTCACTCTGTTGCCCAGACAGGAGTGCAATGGCACCATCTCAGCTCACTGCAACCTCCGCCTCCCACCAGGTTCAAATGATTCTCCTGCCTCAACTCCCTGAGTAACTGGGATTACAGGCGCATGCCACCACGCCCGGCTAATTTTTTGTATTTTTAGTAGAGACAGGGTTTCACCATGTTGGCCAGGCTGGTCTCAATCTCCTGACCTCGTGATCCACCCGCGTCGGCCCCCCAAAGGGCTGGGATTATAGGTGTGAGCCACCATGCCCGGCCAAAATATTGGTTTTCAAAAATGTAAAAATCTAGACAGATTCTGCATTCAGATTGTTTTCCAAATGTCTAAGTTCTTAGTCAATTTCTCAATCATAAATACATTGAGAAATGTACGTGATGCATCTTCCCATTTTTCAAGCTAAATGAAGCAGAACGCCAATCAGAGAATCCAGACTCTAAGAAAAAGCCTTGAACCTTCATCAAAAGATTAGCAAAGCAATGTACATTGATATATTTTAAGTTTAAAAATGTTTTAAGTGTTTTAATTTAAATTTTTGTTTAAAACTGGTTAAAGCAGGTATTTTAAAAATGTTTATTTATATAATTGATGAACTGACAAACTACTAGTCCTGATCATGTCAGATATGACAGTCTCCACCATAAATCAGATAATTTCAGATAGCAATAAGTACTAGAAAGGTGTAAAACTTGGTAATGGGCTCAAGTGTGTCACAGTGTGTCTACTTTAGCTGGATATTCTCATTTGGTTTCCCAGCAATCCTATCAAAGAAACAGGGCAAGTTCTCATATGCTTATTTCACATGTAAGGAAAGAGGCTCTGGCAGGTCACATGCTTGCTAGCTATCTGGACAAGCAGGACTAGAACTCAAGTTCTCTGACTGTTACTCAAAGAGTGTCCCTAATACATCATGGGACTTGGCCATGTTATACTGGTTTGAACACTTCTAACTAGATGTGCAAAAACTTTTAAGACTGGAATTGCTTAACAAGTTCAAATTGTCCCAATGGCTTTTACTCATCAAGACTGATCAAATGTCTAGATGTTTAGCTCTTTAATGTCAAAAACAATATCTTTTCTAGATTTTGTGTCTCGACTTCCATTTTTATCTCAGTCTGACAAATATCAAATATATGAAAGTGGACCCATCTCTGGTTAGTTCAATATCCAGGTTCACATCAGTTACGCTGGAACCTAGCTTGGTGAATAAGGAATAAGCCAAGAAACAGGTCTTTAGAAAAACTGAATGATGCCAGTGAAAGTCTTAAACAGAGGCTGGTAAAAAAAGGTCCATAGGCAAATTTGGCCTGCTGCTTGTTTTTGTAAATAAAGTTTTACAGGAACGCAGGCACATTCATTTGTTTACGTATTGTCTATGGCTGCTTTTGCACTACAATGGCACAGCTGAGAGTTGAGTAGTTGCAACAGAGACCGATGGTCTGCAAAGCCTAAATTACTTATTATCTGGTAGAAAGATGAAGTTTGCTGACGCCTGGGGTCTGAATCATTAATTAGCTCTTTTACTAAGGTCTATAGGCAAACAGCAGGCTGAATTTCTGGACTAATGAAAAATGTTATCATCATTAAACATTTTTAAAGACCAAGCTACCCTTTCAAAAAACAAAATAAAAGCACTCCACTGTTTTCTACTCCTAGGAATTTCTGCAACAGCAACCAGAAAGAGGATAATAATGACTCTTTATATTCCTCTCAGATACATGCTGGTACTACTCATCCATTCACCACTTCCTCCTTCTCATGCCAGGCACATCTCCTACAATCCACTAGGGACAAGAAGCCTTTGAAAATTTAACACTGGGTTACAGCAGATGCAGAGTTATGCTGTCTTGCCAGACTCATTCCAAAGTATCCTCCGTGACTATTTGTGCAGGGTGAAGCTTGCCTTGATAAATTAAACCTTCCTGGGAGAAAAAGGTTATTTGAACAAATGTGATTTTTTCTTGTAGAGTTTATAATCTGGCAAAGGTTGGGCAAAGTACAAATGATCAGGGCACAATACGTTTTACAAGAGATAGCTAGAAATTGTTTACACTTCCTTTATAACCCTGCTAAATGAGCCAGCAATCATTCACCAAGTTGTTTGCAAGATGATGAACACTATATTAGACGCTTAGCATATGATGCTTTTAATAATCTGTTGCAAAGGTATGTCTGCATTCCTTGAACCTTTATATTCTTTCAAAGCCTAAAACCCTTTACAAAGGTTTGCCAAGTGAATTTTTAAATACTGTCTTTGGAAGGCTAAGAAATGACAACAGAAATGTATTTATCCAGCTGTAAGCTTATATTACACTAATCTTGATTAATCTTGTATTTTATAAAAGGTCCTTTATCAAGGGCTTTATTTTTAAAAGACAAAAGCAAAACAAAAAACATATTTGAGGCTGGGCACGGTGGCTCACCCCTGCAATCCCAGCACTTTGGGAGGCCAAGGCGTGTGGATCACGAGGTCAGGAGATCGAGACCATCCTGGCTAACACGGTGAAACCCCGTCTCTACTAAAAATACAAAAAAAACAAATTAGCCAGGCCTGGTGGGGGACACCTGTAGTCCCAGCTACTTGGGAGGCTGAGGTGGGAGAATGGCATGAACCCAGGAGGCGGAGCTTGCAGCGAGCCGAGCTCACGCCACTGCACTCCAGCCTGGGCGAGACAGCGAGATTCCATCTTAAAAAAATATATATCTATATATATATATATTTGATAGCAGATATTTACTATATTTTGCAGAACAAAAAGTCACAGAGCTTTAAAAAATTATGCTTCCCAACAATTATGTTCCACATTCCTTTCCTTAAAATTTCTCTAGTACTTATATCTTCCAACATCTTCTGCTCTGATTGCCTATGGACAGTTTACTACATTATTTTTTCTTTTATTGTTCCCAAACTGATTAATATATGTGTCATTCTTCTCTACTACGAGGCATGGCCTTGCTTGCTAGGATCCATGCATGTCTTAGATTTACTTTCTTCTCCCTCAAAACCAGGCTTAGCACATGGCATGAAACAGAAATAACCATTATTTCCTGTCTAGAATCAAAGAGAGAAAGAGAAAGAAGAATAAACAAACAAAAAGAACCAGACGAATGAAATCAATACTGCTAATGTTACTGATATCTACAACTATTACACCGACAAAGTACCTTTGGAATGTAATTGGCAAACTGGATCCATACAACTATAATAAGTTGTTGTGTTGTCCTTTAAAATACTTAACATGTAACCTTTTATCTTTAGATTAATCCTTAATCCTGTTAGGTAGATAGCAAACTAGCAAACCTCTTAATATCTTCATTTTACTGTGGCCCAGAAATTTGTGGAATCTTGTACAAGGTCAAATAGCTAAGTAACCGAGACTAGCTATCAAGTTTTTATCAAATACCTAATTAATCCCAGACTCCTGACTTCAGCATGGTACTTTTTCCACAAGTCCATGAAATGACAAAGTCTAAAGTCATAAATCAAGTGACAAAGAACTCAAAATTACCTCTGAGAATTCTGATTCTGTAAAATCGCATGATATGAAAGTCTATCATTTTAAAGACAAGTAGAAGGATAAATTATTGCTTGGATTTAAATTTTAATTTCACCCAATTAAAATGGTTAGGGGATGGGACTTTTCAAGAAAAGACTTAAAAAGACTACTATGCCTTTTAAAAACATGTGGATGGTGTATAAATTAATCTTCTCATCAAATTCCAAATATCAGAACCAAAGATAGTTTCAGAACAATTAGAAGTTATTACTTTTTCTATTTCCCTGTCTTCCAAGTCTAACTCAGGAGTCATTTTCTTCAAGAGGACTTCTTAACTGGCCAGCCCTTGGTCATTCCTCTTTCCTGGCACTTCAACTGCCTTGTCAGTCGACTGGAATAAGATACTTGGTCTTCGTTTCTATGTGAACATCAAATCTCTTCAAATAGAAAGGAAGATCTTTTATATTAATACCTCTAGAGCCCTGGTACATGGTAGGCAATATTTCTGAAGACCACGACAATGCTGTTACAGAACTTCTTTCCTCAATCCACTTTACAAATAAAAGTGTAAATATTCAGGAAAAATTTAAGGACACTAAAGATACATTTGTAACCCATTATTAATAGGAGTCTAGGCTGTGTCTACAATGTGGAAAGTGGTCCCTTAGATATGGAATCCTTATGCAGTATAGAACCTGAACACCAGCCCATAGAGGCCCTGGATATAAGAACGTTACAGATAAAAACCACTAGGAGTTTTTGTTTGTTTGTTTGTTTTTGAGATGGAGTCTCACTCTGTTGCTCAGGCTGGAGTGTAATGGCGCCATCTCAGCTCACGGCAACCTCTGCCTCCTGGGTTCATGCCATTCTCCTGCCTCAGCCTCCCAAGTAGCTGGGACTACAGGCACCCGCCACCACGCCTGGCTAATTTTTGTATTTTTAGTGGAGACGGGGTTTCACCGTGTTAGCCAGGATGGTCTCGATCTCCTGACCTCGTGATCCACCCGCCTCAGCCTCCCAAAGTGTTGGGATTACAGGTGTGAGCCACCGCGCCTGGCCACCACTAGGAGTTTTTAAAAAGAGAGATATTACTTGTTGCCAGGGAAATCCTGGAAGACTTTGTGAAAGGTGTCATTGAAGCTAGGTGGTGGTAGGTTTAAACTACAGACTAAAGGGCACAGGAAGATGGATGGAAGAGACTTAGGTAGGGGCAAAGATGCAGGGCTTGTGAAGAAACAGTGAGTAGTCTAGCTTAGCTGCCTTATATGGTTGTCTTATAAAGTCTGCTGAAAACCAGGGTGGAATATTAGAGGATAGAGGGACTTGACCAGAAATGAACACCTGCTAATCTGCTGTACTAACAGATGAGTCAATAACTGGAATGGGGAATCCTGGAAATGCAGACAAGAGTCAGATTGTGAAGGATCTTGAATACCATGAAGACTTTATCCTAAACAATGCGGGGGGTGGTGGGGTAGTGGGGGTCGCCTAGCAAAGTACAGGAGGAAAAGAAGCAGGATGAGTAACATGATCACATCTGAGTTTTAAAAAATCACTTGGATTGCAGCTGCCAGGTGATTTGGTGAGAAGAGTGAGTAGGAGTGACCAGTTAGGAGTTAACTGCAATAGTCCAGGCAGCAGATGAGCTCCCAACCTTTAGGGAGAGGCAAAGCAGAGGAATGAGGCAAGATTCATTTTTGACAAAAGCCTTGTTACATCACGTGACATAAGGAGAAATCAAAGATGATTCTTTTGTGTTTTAGCTTGATTAAATAGGAATGCCAATAATTAAAAGGCAGGAATGAGGAGGGATCCACTTGAGCAGGTGGCTGGCAACTGAACTCCAGATGTGCCAAGTTTGAAGTCCTGTGGCAATATCCCGTAAGGAGTTTAACTCGTTGATCTGGAAGGAGTTCAATACAGAGATCCGGACCAGAGAGGAGGTGGGAGCGGTAGCTGTGAGAATGGCTAAGAGAAGGGGGCTGAAAGTAATATTCTGTTCAACCTTGCCATTACAGGCTGTGACGGAAGAAGATCTGAGGACAGTGAAAGAACTATTATTCCCAGAAAAGCTCTCTCAGAATCCAAGGGAAGAGCTTCAGGAAGCTCTTCAGGAAGGAAGCAATTATCATTGGTGTAAATAGTGTCAAATACCACAGAGGTGTCAAGTAAGATAACTTAATCACTGGATTGAGAGGTCTGGGAGTAAGCTGAAGGGAAAGCAGTCAGAGGGTAGCAGCAGCAGGTGAGGAGGGAGCGCACTTTCAGACATGTGAATAGCCTTCCTTTACCTTCACCTCGATGGTGAACGGTGGAACACAGGCGTTTTCTGCTCTGCCCACTATCACTTCCTCTAAGGGGTCCCATTCGTTGTAAGAAGAGACAGGGCAGTCCTTGGGCAGAGGCTCAGTGGCTTTGTCGTCAGCTGCACAGGAGTTCCGGGAGGAAGCCGTAGCTGCCTGGGTGCTCTGGAAAGTTCGCTGCACCCATCCTGTCAAGGTTCGTCCAAGCTTCCAAGAACAAAGAAAAGATTATTGTATTGCATTGCTCTATCAGTACTTACAGAGAGGAGGAAGTGGAGATGGAGTAAAAATCCAGCATAACATTGCCACTTAAACCCCTTTAGAACAGCATAAACCAAGACGTTAACAGTGTGTAGGTGGGTAGTGGGATTACAGATAATTTTTTTAACCCTCTTGTTTATCTACAAATTGTCTTCTTATCTATTAATTGCTGTAACTCTTTAAAACTCCTCAGAAGACCGTGTCCCCAGCTACCATACACCCCCATCTTTATCTCAGAATGCAATTCCTGCACTCAAGCTTTAAGCAACTGTTTTGCAGATGGGTCAGTCCTCCTCTCAGAAAACCATAGACAGCTGCTCTAAAACTTCCCGCCAGTCTCAGCTGGGGACGGAACCTCCTTTTCCCTTAAGTATCAAAGGTTACCAATATTAGGCTTTTTATTTATTTTTTTTTACAAATGAAAAGTTGGGAACATTTGTAAAGGACCTTATCTTTCAGAATAACCAGCTTCAAATCAAATTTTTTTCATCTTTGACATACACTTCGCATTCTTTGGCACTTCAATTCTGAGAGTGAGCAACTGCCATCTGCTCCATTTTACAGATGGTCCACAGTACCCTAGCCAAGGTCAGGATTAGCTCAGGCGTAAATTCAAACAAATAAGAAGGAGATCTAAAAACTTCAAAAGCCTTTTAAAAATGCATGGCCTATAAAATCTAGAGCAGGGAGGGTCCCTCAACCCCTGAGCAAACCTCAACCCCCCAAATCTCTATCCTGCTCTGTTAAAAGCCTTAGGAAGTGGGCAGGAGGAGAACTCGGGTGGAGGCAGAAGAAAGACGGAGAATGACAGCTGTTCAGGAACCAGTTGCTGGGAGGAAGCCAGAATGTCGGAGCGATTCCAGTACTAGAAGCATGGGAGGGTCTGCTGCCAGGGCAGCCGAGGGCGGGGAGCGCAGAAACTCTGCTTACAGGCTGCACTCGCCCCGACTCCTCTCCAGACGTGGGATCCCATGTTATACTTGGAGTGAATCTGGTCGCTCGCTCCCCGTCCCCGATTCCCACTTTGCTTGCCTCTTCTCCCCATCCATCTACCCCACACGCATTTTCCAGAAATCTCCCCAACTCGACGCCCACTCAGGCTACTGAACCCCAATAACGCCACCCTTTTACTAAGAGGAGCCTCCGTCGTCCCAACCCCTTGCTCCGAGCGGGAAGCTTGGTGCAGCGCACCAAGGTCCGGTAGAGGGGGGCGGCGCCCCCTGCGCCGTGGGCCAGCAGGCCGCGGACGCGCAGACAGCAAGTGGACCCCAAGGGCTGGAGCCGCAACGCAAGTTCCCCCTGACTGGGGGACGCCGCCCAGCTCCTGGAGCCTGCGAAGGCTCTTGAAGCTGAGCTTCCCAGGGATACCAGAAGGGACACTCTCGTGCAATTCCGGCTAGGGAAAGCGAGGGAAGGTGGCGGCTCCGGGCAGGGAGCGAGCGAGTGCTCCACGCCGCCCGCAGGATCGAGTGAGTCACGCGGCCGCCAGACGAGGCCGGTGGCGCACGCACCCGAGATCCGATGTAGTGCACCGCCTCGGCGCCGCGGCTCCCGCCGCGCAGACACCGCACCCGCAGCATCGCCCTGGCCCGGCTGGTCCACGCGCGGAATGTTCCTGGCCTCTGGGCCGCGTCGGTCCAAGCCTTCCCGAGAGCGCGCCCGGAGCGGGGTGGGCGGGCGCGCGGGGCCCGAGGCCTTTTGTAGCCGCGCTCCGCCCCGGCCGCCCCCCGCGGCCCCATTGGCTGCCGGGAACAGGTGGTGGGGCCGGCGTAGCGCCCCGAATTAGGAACTGTCGGGAAGCGCCGCGGCCGCTGGCTCGAGCCTCCGATGCTTGCCCTTTTTTAGCCAGCGGGGCCACTGACGGCTTCTGTTGCACGTCCGGACCCGGACCCAGACCCGAGCGTCGCAAGAAGGCCCGTTGGAGTCTCGCGCAACTGGGCAGGACGCGACTTCTGACGAAGTGACAATGGTCTATGCATATATTAAGTGAATATTTGAGAATTTAAATATGCAAAGCGTGAGTACAGTGTTACCCTTAAATTCACATATGCGCACTGAACCAGTCACCTCATTTTTCGGTAAACGAAACCACCTAAAGATTAGGTGGTTTCTTGGTGCAACATCGGGTTTGAGACTGCAGAAAACTAAGTCTGGAAATTGGGCCATTTGTTCCCCGGGGAGGCAGTGCTTTCCTTCCAGTACCCCGTCGGTTGTTATTTGGAACACCTGGCATTTCACATGGTCTTTGGCCATATGCCCCTGGCTTGAGAAACTCCGTCATGAAAATCGACAAGTGTGGGTCAGAAATAAGGGAGGACGACAGTTTCGTTCCTTCCATTTCATGTTTTAAAATTTTTGTTTCAACTTGATCAGGATTCTTTTTTAGAAAAGTATTTTCCCTCACAGTGCAGTCTTAATTGCTGTGGATTTGTACAGAGCTAGAGAACTCAGGTTAACATTTATGCTCCTAGCAGGAGGGGGGGCAAGAGATTTGAGTATTTCATTTTTGTACTTATAGAATTATAACTATTCATTTTTGATGAGCTGTCTTTTCAATTTTGGTATCTCAAGCTTGTTTTCCAGAGTTCATGGATGGAAAGCACCAGACGAGCAGATGGCATGGTGGAAAGAGCCTCCGAGAGGGAATTAGGATAACTGAGTTCCAGTCCTGAATCACTTATAGACTACTATATGTCTTCCTGAATTGCAGTCTTCTTATCTGCAAAGTGAGAACAATAGAATTTACTGTCCCTAGCACATGGGGGGTTGCTGAGAGGCCAAAATGAGAGATTGTACATGCAGAACTTGATGCGTGGCATTAGAGCTGTATGAGGCCGGGTGCAGTGGCTCACGCCTGTAATCCCAGCAATTGGGAAGGCCGAGGCAGGCGGATTGCCTGAGGTCAGGAGTTTGAGACTATCCTGGTCAACATGATGAAACCCTGTCTACTAAAAATACAAAAACTAGGTCGGGCGCGGTGGCTCATGCTTGTAATCCCAGCACTTTGGGAGGCCGAGGCGGGCGGATCACGAGGTCAGGAGATCAAGACCATCCTGGCTAACATGGTGAAACCCCGTCTCTACTAAAAATACAAAAAAAAATTAGCCGGGCGTGGTGGCGGGCGCCTGTAGTCCCAGCTACTCGGGAGGCTGAGGCAGGAGAATGGCGTGAACCCGGGAGGTGGAGCTTGTAGTGAGGCGAGATGGCGCCACTGCACTCCAGCCTGGGCGACAGAGCTAGACTCCGTCTCAAAAAAAAAAAAAAAAAAAAAAAAAAAAAGCCGGGCATGGTGGTGGGTGCCTGTAATCCCAGCTACTGAGCTGAGATCGAGCCACTACACTCCAGCCTGGGCGACAGAGCAAGACTCCATCTGGGGAAAAAAAAAAAAAAAAAGCTATATGAGGTAATGTGTTACTACTCTAGCAATAAGGAGGCCCCCAAATGCCATAATATGGTGAAAGGAGTAAGTCTAGGTTCATAACTTAATTCTGCCACTTAATTTGCTGTGTGACCTGGAACCAAATCCCTTTATCTTTCTAATCAAGGCTTCATACTTCTAGTGAGGTTTTGGGAAATCTCTAACATTTCTCAAAATTTAAAAAGTACTTACTCCCAACAATAAAATGCAGCCACCTCTGAGGTCTGATTCTCTTAGTGTACTGAGGGCAGCCAGAGATGTGCTTCTCCTGAAAAGAACTGAAGAGTACAGTAAGTACACATAACAAGCCCTTGAGATTACTATACCATTTCTGCTTGAGATTGGAGGACATCCTCTTGCCACCCATTAAAAGCACTATTTTAATTTTGCAGATGTAAGAATTGGGAGTGTCTGGTAATAATGAAGTTTACGATGTTGTTAAGTTTTACATAATGAAAAACTCATAGCCAAAGAGCATACCCTTATCTCCTGGGATCCAGCAGAAAGTGTGTGGATAGCGCCACCCAAACCAGTCCTACTGTTATAAAAGCAAATCAAAGCACTCACTCCTCCTTTTTGCTATGCCTCTGATTTACTTTCATTCTTTGTCCTTTTTCCCCTTTTATACCACACTTTTATTCATTCACTACAATTATATTTTTTCATTCTCTTCTATGTTCTGTTTTTGAAAAAATTTGGTAACAATTTCTAGAGTGACCTCATCAATTTAAAGTACAAGCTTTCCATATTAGATTGTTTGTCTAATACTGGGCCAACTCTGCAAAGTATCTATATAGTGATAGTTGGCAACTCCGTGGTCTTTAGTTGCTGCCTTATTCAGAAGAAATGGAATAGACTGTGAAGTCTTGTCTTGCCTTCCCCTATTGGCAGTAGATACCATTAAATACTTTGATTGAACCAATAATTTTAGGATCTTGGTGGTCTCATACCTAGTCGTTATGCATATTCAAGTCTAATAGTAGTTCATCTTTGTAGCTTAACTTAAAGGCATAATTTAGGATAGTGTGTGTATAAAGGGGTCTAAAAGGACAGGGAATAGAAAACATACCAGAAGCATGGCAAAAATTCAGCTTTTCAATTCTTCCTCATCACTGTTGCTTTCGAGATATGCCCAACTCTCCCTAGTTCCAACCAACAAAGCACAGAGTTTTTGAAATGTGTCTTGAAATTAAAAAAGCAAGTAAAGTCATTGGATTAACAAAATAAACAACAAAAGAGCCCGTTGTAAGAATTTATTATTTCTATATCATGGTTGACTTCAGAATCTGTACATAGGGCATAAACAAGTACAGAGGAAGGTGTTCCTAGAACTTAAGAATACAGATACTCTGTGAAATTGGTTAAGCACACACATATACACACAGATACACTGGATGAGATTAGCTATCTACAGAAGTCACCTATTCTAAGAGACATTTGTACCTACAGTTTAGGGGAAGGATATCTCTCAAAGTAAATTAGAAACAATAATGTATTACTCAAGTTCAAACAAGGTGACTAAAGTATATTCTCATGCCTGGAATGTAAATAAAGCTGCAATTTTTTTAGAAAATATTATTTGGGCTGCATCAATAAAATATATTTGGAAGGATACACAGATACTGATAACCTAAGTTGTCCCTGGGGAGGGGACCTGGATGACTAGGAAACAGGAATGAGAGAGATTTTCCACTGTAAGCCTTATTGTACCTTTGAACACGTGAGTGAATTACCTAATAAACAAAAAACATATTTAAAAGACTGCATTTGCAGGGTGTGATTATCAACATGGAGTTTTTAAAAAGGAAGCCTGAGTGGCCAACCTATCGGAGTCTGTTCATCCAGATCTACCTAAGGATGGAATCAGAATATTCTGGCCTCTGGAAAGGTTAAATCTATTGAGGACAAGAATAATTCTGTGGGTTTTTATGAAATATCCCTCAAAACTATTCACCTCCTCTAACTTGTGAGCTCACCAAGCTCATCCCTGGGAACCTTGGCATAGGGGAGTTACCCTGCAGGCTGAGCACAAGTGATCTGATAGCTGGAAAGATGAAGATCTCATTGTAAAGTATTAAATCAGTATTCTGCTGGGTGTGGTGGTTCACACCTGTAATCTCAGCACTCTGGGAGGCTGAGGTGGGTGGATCACCTGAGGTCAGAAGTTTGAGACCAGCCTGGCAAACATGGCAAAACCCCATCTCTACTAAAAATACAAAAATTAGCCAGGTGTGTTGGTGCACACCTGTAATCCCAGCTACTCGGGAGGTTGAGGCAGGAGAATTGCTTGAACCCATCTGAGACCAGCCTGGCAAATATGGCAAAACCCCGTCTCTACTAAAAATACAAAAATTAGCCAGGCGTGTTGGTGCACACCTGTAATCCCAGCTACTCTGGAGGCTGAGGCAGGAGAATTGCTTGAACCCAGGAGGTGGAGGTTGCCCTGAGCCGAGATCATACCACTGCACTCCAGCCTGGGCAACAGGAGAGAAACTCTGTCTCAAAAATATTAGTAATAATAATAATAATAAACATTCTAGCTTATCCCTCAGAGTGTGGTGAGTTCTAGCTCAGTTCTTGCTTCCTAATTATGTTTCCCTTCTTAATGTTCTCTTTTTCCTGACTACCTAGTCAATTCCAGGTAAACTGATGGAATTTACTTTCTAAATCTGAAATGCTGTGGGACTGGCCTGATCCCACAATAGCCTGTGTTCCCTGGAATTGCCTGCTTATATGGCTGTTGGCTCCTTAAGGACAGGGAGTCTGTTTTACCCACCAGTATATCCCTAGCACAGTGCCTGACACAGCCAGAGTCCTTAATCAATTGTTCAATGCCACTCTGATGGCCCAGGCTAGAATAACCAGAGCTCCCTCTTTGGTACTTTGCAGTCTTTGATTTCAAATGAGTTACAAAATCTTGTGAAGGCAGCCTCTGCACTGTCCCTTACGAGTCATTTTAGGATTTTTACTAGTTTTGAACAGCTGTGTTATTACTGCTCAACATCTCCCAATGAGGTAGATTCTTTCATTGGAAGACAACTGCAAAACACTAGCTCCAGCTAAATTAAATGCCAGCTTTCTCCAAGTATTTAAAATAATCTCAGCTTAGGTTAGCACTGAAACTGATACAGCTTTAAGAAAACTGAGGAAGAAACATTTGAAGTCTGCTCCAAGGGATCTTCTTATTTTTTTTACTTTAGTCTTCAAATACCCTTCTGGAATTTAAAAACAGTAAACACCATTCTCTTTCTTAAGGTTCTGACTAAACTTAAAGGCAAAGGCCAACCCATTTGCCAAATTGCTGCTTTTTTTTTTTTTAATTTAATGTAGTCTCACTCTGTTGCCCAGGCTGGAGTGCAGTGGCATGATCTCAGCTCACTGCAACCTCCGCCTCCCGGGTTAAAGCGATTTCTGGCTAATTTTTGTATTTTTAGTAGAGATGGGGTTTCACCATATTGGCCAGGCTGGTCTCGAACTCCTGACCTCACAATCTGCCCGCCTCAGCCTCCCAAAGTGCTGGGATTACAGGCATGAGCCACCATGCCCGGCCAGCTTCAATTAATTTTAAAATCATTTCTACTCTAATAATAATAACTACTATTTACTGAGCACTTACTATGTGCCAGATAAGAGCTTCACATGTTATTTCATTTAGTCATCTATGAGGTATTCTTATAATATTTTTGTTTCAAAGATGAAGAAACCGAGCCCTACAGGATTAAACAAATTGTCCTAAGTGAAACAGTGGCCAAGTGGCTAATAGAGCCAAAATTCAAATCCAGGCCTCTAAGACTCAAAAGCCTGAGCCCTTAACTTCTAGGACACTTGATTTTCTCACAGATTCTCAGGAGAATAGCTACTGCATGATGCAGGGTGCATACATGTAGTCCAACTACTTTCAGTGTTCACCACTCCTGTAAGCTGCATATTGTGTCGCATGCTGCCATCTTGATATTTCAAGATATCTCTGAGTGTTTTTTCTGGGAGTTATTTATAACTGTCCTTCTTAGGATAATGCTATACCCATAAAGACTGCATGGTAATGAGTCTTTGACAAACTGAACTTATGTGGGTCAGCTAGAGCTGAATGCTAAAGAGATAGAAAGTCCAGAACTAGTATAAGGCCTCTAAACAAGCTCAGGTATAGCTTAGATCTCTGTTGGGAACTCTACAGAGGCAAGAGAAGGTATTTTAGCATAGGGGTAGCTGTTGCTCCCTGCACTGTAGTCAAAGAAGGGACAGCAGGAAGGGGAAATTGCCTTAGAAGGGTCTGTCCCATTGGGATGGTTCTGGAAATACAATGTATGTTCATCCTGACTTAATTACAACCCTCGGACTTTTAGTGGTAGCTAAAATAGCTCCACTCACGCCACTGAGAAAGCTGTGCCTTACATTTCCCCTAAATTGACACTTCCCCACCCCTCCTTTGTTTTTTGAGACAGAGTCTCCCTCTGTCATCCTGGTTGGAGTGCAGTGGTGCGATCATAGCTCACTGCAGCCTTGACCTCCCAGGCTCAAGCAATCCTCCCACCTCAAACTCCCAAGTACCAGGGACTACAGATATGCATCACTGCCTGGCTAATGTTTACATTTTTTTGTAGAGATGAGGTCATACTATGTTGCCTAGGCTGGTCTCAAACTCCTGGGTTCCCATGATCCTCCTGCCTCAGCCTCCCAAAGAAATGAGATTACAGGTGTGAGCCAACCTTTCCCTTTCTTAACCCAACAGCCTCTAGCACTGGTTGTGCTAGTCAGACAGTGCGTATCTAGACAGTGCCCAAAAGTGAGGAAGTCATATTGGCTAATTCCAGAAATGATGCAGAAGTTAGTGAATCTCTATCATTATGTTACATGATATTGGTGCCACGAAGATGCCACTGTCCATAAACAATCCCTGGTGTTGCAGGAAATATTTTTGGGGCACCTTAGTGGTAAGAAGGCAGCTGTCACTGGACCTTCTCCCTCATCTCATTCTTGTAGCCTAAATTCCTTTCCCAGTACTTTTTCAAACATCTTCTCCAAGCTGATTCTCTATTTACACTTTTTGTCTAAAGCCTCAAAAAAATGCTATAAGAAACAGATTGAATGACCAACAACAATTAAAGAATGGTTAAGGAAATTATTACACATTCAGCATTTGGCAAAATGCTTGGGTCTTAGATGAATAAATACATTTTTCTTAATATTTCTTAAGTGAATGAATAAATTTAGGATTTATAATAAATAAATTTCATCATAAGATGAACATGCACCACTAAATAATGTTTAAAGAGAGTTTTTCTTTTAATAAGCTAGGATGTGGAGGATGTGTCATTTTAAAATATGTCAGGTTGACATATTATTTTGAGTTGAAAACATTAGAGAAAATTTAGTCTTAGAAAAAGGAAGCTGACCTGTCTCTCTGTATATAGTAAGCAATAAAGATTTCTCTGGGAGGAGTACCCTCTCCATACTAGGGCGAGAAAACAGCTCTTATCACCAGAGACTTGGAATTGCAGTTGACAATGGACCTAAACAAACATACTTAATGAAGTAACTCTTATCTTTCACCAGTTTTATACCCCACCATATATCTCCTAGTGACTCCTCTAGAAAATTCACTGTCCCTAGCCAGATTGTCTTTGTCCTGTCATTTCTACTCAAATTTATTGTTCCTTGTCTAAAAAAGTATAAAAGCATCTTGCTTTGACTACTTCTTCACACTTCACTTTCCTGTGGAGATCCTTATGTACATGTAAAAGTAATAAAATTTGTACGCTTTTCTCTTGTTAATCTGCCTGCTCTCAATTTGGCCTCTACATCCAGCTAAAAAGCCCACTAAGAGCTAAAAGTGGGGTTGGAAGTGATCTCTGGCTTCCTCACAATATTAACTGAAAAATAACCGAATATGAAATTGTATGTACAGTATTCTCTGAACCATGTTGAACATATGTATGCACATAAAATTCTGGAAAGAAATTTACCAAAATTTAAATAGTGACAATCTTTGCGTGGAGATGTAATGGGTAACCTTTATATTCTTCTTTCTGCTTTTCTGCAATTTGTATACCTTTCTCTATGAGACTTTGCTACATTTATAATCAGAAAAAAACCCTAATCGCTATTATTTTTAGAAGCAAAAGGCCCTGTGTCTGCTTAGAAACAACTCTTGTTGTCACAGATATTTTCCCTTGCAGCTCTGCCCTAAGAAAACTGTAGATACTGCTCTGGGAGAAAACCTCCCACAGCCACCTGGCTCCTCTCATGTCCATACACGCTGTGATCTGGCAGAACAGGGAGATTAGCGTGGGAAGACACTTCTGCCTATCTCTCTGTTGTGCACTTTGCCCAGTTCTCAGTCTGTGCTTGCTATTTCGCTCCTGTCTGTCTCGCTTGTTGCTGGTAGGGAATTTTCCAGAATTATCATTCCCAGCAAAAGGCACTTCTCTAGCTGGGCCCTGGGAATTGAAGAAGTAACATTAGCCAGTTTTCTGCATCCCTCTCGAATATTCTTACTTGTCTTGGGCAACATCCCAGGAGGAAGCACTCATCTCCTCCACTTATGGTCATTTAAGTGACAAAACGTCCTCCATAGTCACGTTCTCCCTGCTAAAGAAAGGTCTGTTCAAATAGAATTATTCAGAATTTGCAAGCTTAGAATCAAAGTAGGGTCCAATATTGAACTTTTGCTTAGGAACTCTAAATTACTGTTTACCATGCTATTCAGAATTTAAAAGCAAAACTGAATACGAAGACCATATAAGACTATATATTGCAAAGGCTAAACTAGAAATATTCAGCTATAAGATGGAAATGGAATGACCTGTGAGGCATGAGGTTTTTATGAAGGCTTGATTTAGTAATGACAGACTATGTCAGCCAACACACTGCCTTTTCTGGAAAGTTATGTTGTTCATGTGACAGCAATTAAATCATTTCAGGGGACAGATTTCAGACATTCCCAAGAGAATGCATCTGCAACTTGAGATACTTGTGCTTTTCTGGCACAATTCTGTAGCAACCAAATTTCTGACTCTGCAGCCAATTTAGCACTGGGAAAATCCAGTAATTCCCAGATATTTACAAACAGCCAATGAAGATAAATGTTTACTAGTATAGGACTAATCCCTCATTGACTCTGATTAGATCAAACAGTACTATTTCATGGTATTCCTGTTTTTTTTTTTTTATGTCCAAACCTTCTGTAACATCTCCAGAAGAATGAAGCAACTTCTTCCTGTGTACCACAGCACACCTTGTTAATACTTTTTTTAGAGCACTTATACATGGCTGTAACAGCTTGTTTACATATCTCTTTCGCCAGACCTCTGGAGAGCAAGGGCTACAGCTCCTGTTGTACTTAGCACAGTGATTATCACTTAATAAATGTTTGTGGAATCAATTGCCTAGTCAAAGTTTTATTTTTTCCCTTGGAATTTGTACCTCACTTTAAAACAATATTTACAATGTTTGAGAGAGGCATATTTACAGAATTTTAAAACTAAGAGGGATCTTATTTTATAGTTGGGATAACCTCATGGCCCAAGGCTAAATGATTCATCCAAATTCACCACACTCTGCTGAGATAAATTCTCAGTGCAATTCTTTTTTCAAGAGTTAAGTGAACTTTTGGAAAACAGACTTTGATTTTATACTCTGGGAATTCAAATCTGAAAACCTTAAACTTCCAAGTCTAGCAAAATGGTGCTATAGGTCTCAAGAAGGGCTTTAAGTGTGATTATATTAATTTTTAAAAAATTAAAGACAGAATCTTGCTATGTTGCCCAGGCTGGTCTTGAACTCCTGGGCTCAAGTGCTCCTCCTGCCTCAGTCAGCCCCCCAGAGTGCTGAGATTACAGGCGTGAGGTACTATACCAGACTGATTAAGTGTGGATATCTTAAGTAGGTATTCTGCACAAGTCAGCCTTCTAAACTTGTGGAAGTCTGTCTGTACTTTAATATGTTAAAATAATTTTCATGAGTTTGTGGGAAATTTTGTTTTCTATCTGTTTTTGGATTTACAGAAAAGTTACAAAGATAGTACAGAGTTCCTGTACACCCATCGCCCTGTTTTGGTTTACCCTGTTATTGTCTTCCACAGCTAAGATACATTTGCTAAAACTAAGCTACCAACACTGTAAATCATTATTAACTAAACTCCAGACTTTACTTGGATCTTACCAGTTTTTCCACTAACATTCTTTTTCTGTTCCAATATCCAATCCAGGATACCACACTATATTTCGTTGTAATGTCTTCTGTGATTGCCTCTGCTCTCTGACAGTATCTTAGTCTTTCTTTGGTTTTTCAGGACTTCGTCAGTTTTGAGGAAAACTAATCAGATATTTTGTAGTCTATGCTTTGAACTGGGTTTATGTATTTCTCATGATTGGACTGGCATTATGGAGTTCTGGAAAGAATACTACCGAGATGATGTGCCCTTTTCATCGTATCGTATCAGGTAGTATGTAATATTCTCATATCACTGATGGTATTAACCCTGTCATTTGCTTAAGGTAGTGTCTGCCGGGTTTTTCCTCTGTAAAGTTGGTTGGTGTTTTTTCCTTTTCATACTTTATTCTTTGGAATTGAGTCTCCGAGACCAACTCCCCTGGAAAGGAAGAGGGGTTTACATACATATATTGCTTGGAATTCTTCTGCAAGGAAGATTTATCTCTTTTCCTCTCCTTATGGAAAATTTAGTTTGATAAGTAATAATTTTCTTAGTTGGAGGAAGTTAAAGTTATAATTGTGCAAGACAGTAACGTTTGGCAGATATAAAATAGTTGGAATATGAGTTTAAAAGATAAAGCCCTCCTTAGGGGATATCATCATGGCCAACACATTTCATATCAATAAACTTTCCAGACAACTGAAGCTTTTTCCTTTAACACTAAAAGTTTTTAAATATATAAACTTCTCCCATTTGTATGGCTGCCTTTCTAAGATGAATTAAATACTTTTCATCTTCTTGAACAGAATATCCTGAACACAATTTAACCTTTTTACAAAAATTGGTCATTATACTGAAATTCACAGCAGTGATGACGGTTGAACTTGATGACCTCTAAGGTTTCTTCCAATCCAAGTTTCTATGGTTTGATAACTATCCAACAAAATTAATGAAGCTATGCTCCCAAATAATCAAAGACTTCTTGTTTTTGCAGGGTTTTTTGTTTTGTTTTGTTTTTTAGACAAAGTCTTGCTCTGTTGCCCAGGCTGAAGTGCAGTGGCACAATCTGGGCTCACTGCAAGCTCCACCTCCCAGGCTGAAGTGATCCTCCCACCTCAGTCACCTGAATAGCTGGGACAGCAGGTGCATGCCACCATGCCCAGGTAATTTGTGTATTTTTTGCAGAGATGGGTTTTTGCCATGTTGCTCAGGCTGACTTCTTGTTTTTAACTTAAGGTTTGTATCTTGGAGTAGTGGTACAGAAAGTCTCAGCCTCACTTCTAGACTAGAAAGAAGCAATAGGTATTCTTACAAAGGCATCCAGGGATGCACATAGGAATCACTTGGGGAGCTTGTTAAAAGGCAAATTCTGATTCAGGCCTAAGATTTTGCATTTCTTTTTTTCTTTTTTCTTTTTCTTTTTCTTTTTTTTTGGAGACAGAGTCTCACACTGTTGCCCAGGATGGAGTGCAGTGGCGTGATCTCAGCTCACTGCAACCTCCACCTCCCAGGTTCAAGCAATTCTTGTGCCCCTGCCTCCCGAATAGCTGGGACTACAGGCACACACCCATCTAATTTTTGCGTTTTTAGTGGAGACAGGGCTTTGCCATGTTGGTCAGGCTGGTCTCAAACTCCCGGGCTCAAGCGATCCGCCTGCCACAGCCTCCCAAAGTGCTGGGATTACAGGCATGAGCCACTGTGCCCAGCCAAGATTCTGCATTTCTAACAACCTCCCACGTGATACCCATGCTGCCAGTCCATAGGTCACATGCTGAGCAAGGACTTAGGGAATCCCACACACCAAATATTGTGGTCTGGCTGTTGACAGGGCTGGTGAGTTCCTAAGGCAGTTGGAGCTTTTCTCTCATGCTGCAAAATATTTTAGACATGGATTGTTTTTTAAGTACAGTTGAATATTACAAAAAGAAGGAGCTAGGTGACAAAAATTAAAAACACATTCCTCTAATAGAAACCAAAGAAAGGAATGAAAATTATTTTCCTTAAATGACCTTTGATGCTATGGTTCCTTTGATTCAGTGAAAGGAGGTATCCAGATCACATCAAAATGACAATAAGCTAGTATTATCATCAGTTGTGTGGAGAGAAGGTCTACTTCTAGAACTTGAGGCTTCTTACCCCAAAATTGCACTTGAGGATTTTAGGACAGCATCAATGCACATTTTATAACATTGTTTCTGCTACTATTTTCTCATAAGCAGAAGTCTGTCCTTTAGGATTTAAGCCATAGTAGCCAACCCCTTAGCCCTTTCAAATTAAGCTGATAAGATACACAGAATCTACTTATTTAAATATAAAATGAAGTATATGATTCCTGAGTGAAATACAGTGCCTTTATTAGGGCAACTAATAAAGGTCTTTCAACTATGAGAAGTCTTTCACATCACTGTATGGATGACCACACAGCCTGTCTGAGACAGTTCCAGTCAGAAGTGCAGTGCTCAGGGAAGTGCACCATGAATGCAGATGTGGAGATCAGAATTGACCTGGAGATCACTGCTTGACCATTAACTACTTGGATAACCTTGAGCAAGTCACTTAATCTCTCCACGCCTACTTGTACAAACTAGTTAACCTCAAGGTTCTGTTGAAGTCCTAGTTTCTCACCATTCTATTCTAATACCTTAGAAAGGTATTTTGTATACGTTTCAAAACAACGTTGGCTGGGAGCAGTGGCTCATGCCTGTAATCCCAGCACTTTGGGAGGCCAAGGCAGGTGGATCATCTGAGGTCAGAAGTTTGAGACCAGCCTGGCCAACACGGTGAAACCCCATCTCTACTAAAAATACAAAAAAAAAAAAAAAGCTGGGCATGGTGGCACATGTCTATAATCCCAGCTACTCTAGAGGCTGAGGCAGGAGAATTACTTGAACCCGGGAGGCGGAGGTTGCATTGAGCCAAGATCGTGCCACTGCACTCCAACCTGGGTGACGGAGCGAGACTGTATCTCAAAAAACAACAACAACAAAAACAATGCTCATCTCTTTTTATAATGCCATGAAGAGAGCTGATTTTGCCAACTTTGTGCCTAACCGTTGAGCAAGTAGTAGCTTGAATGTTATCTTACACCAAGTAATCAGCAGAGGAAAAATAGCTGAGATTTTGACTTCATTTCTTGAATAGATTTGTTTGTGTGTATAAGCTAGCCAGTGGTTTAGTTAACACTGTGCAGAATTATTGCCCCAGACAATTACTAAAGATCAAAGTTTGTAGCATGAATTATACCACTTGGTAAGATTCTGCATTTCTCATAACTGAGTAACAAATTTATATTAGAGTTGGTGTTAGGCAAAAGTGATTCTGGCTTCATTGATTGAATTGTAGAAGGCAAAGAGAAAAACTGCCAATTGCTGCCTAAAAAATTTTCAAGTTCTTCTGCTAAAGAAAAAAAAACACAAAAAATAAAAGGATACAAAAGATTTTAGGTTGGCAGATGTGTACCTCAGACAGTGGCAGGCCCTATGGCAGAGTAAAACACAGTATACCATCATAATAAAGAGTGTGGGCTCTGGAACCAAACTACCCAGCTTTAAAGCCTGACCCTACAATTTAAGCTGTATGACCTTGTGTAAGTGACTTAACCCTTCTGTACCTCAGCTTTCTCAAATATAATAAGGATAATAATAGCATGTAACTCATAGAGTTATGATTAAATGAATTAATACATGTAAAGCACTTAAAATAACCACTCACATGTTAGCTACTGTTGTTATTAGGAACTGAAATGGGCAGAAGGGGAACTAGTCAGGACAGGAAGGCAAACTTGGTGACAGAAAGGAAGAAAAAGATGCTGAGAGCAAGCTTAGAAATGAGGAAGAAGGTACTTTCCGTATCTGGTTCCTACAGTGCGCATTCTCTCTACGTGACTACAACACTCTTGTGGAAAACTTTCTGCATGTGTATGCACGTGCGTGTGCGTGCATGTGTGTGTGTAATGTTTCAAAATGATTTCATACATATCATCTCATTTGATTACCAGCAGTCTACAGAGATAAAGTCTCTATGTAACCTAGCAAATTACTTCTGGCTGTCACAGAACGTGGGGTAGGTAAACACAGGATGAATCCTGAGAGCACCAAAGCACAGCATAGAAGAGCACCCACAACAAGCCATTCATTCCTAGATAGATTCTGAGAAGTAGGATGCTGGGTTTTTTTATGTATCACCAGGGATGTAATGTGGGGCCACATCTTTGTTTCCCAAGATGATCTCACCATAAATTTCCCAAAAGCATTGTATTTGATCATCTTCATATCTTCACATTCACCAAATGTACTTCATGTTCCTTTGCAGTAAGCATATTTTGTATGCCTGCCTAGCCTTTATTATGTATCAGATCCACTTCAAAGTAGCCACTCTGTTGAGCCCTGGAAGATACTTGTATTGCTGTTTTCTTCTTTTTCAAATACAATTTGAAAATTTAAAATACAATTAGGGGATCAGTAGAAAACAGCTATATGGTGATGACATAGAACAATCTCTAGCCAAGTAATGGGAAATATGTCTCAGAGAGGTCACTGGCTTATTACTATTAATTAAAATAATAATTAACACTGACCACTTAATATGTGCCTGGCAGTAGCCAAGTGCATTACATGAATTTAGTTATCATGATATTGTGGTATTCCCAGCATATAGCAAATGGTAGGAGCTCAAGAAATATTTGTTGGATAAATGAACCTATGAGGTAGGTATTAGTTTTATTTCCATTTTACAAATGATTAAAATCAGGTGTAAAATTTTAAAGCCTTGTCTAAGGTCACATAACTATTAATTGGTGGGTGTGGTTTGCAAAGCCAGATTTGGTTATAGCGTAGCATAGTGTAGTGGTTCAGAGTGGAAACTTTGGAGCCAGCCAAGCCACTTAGTTTTGAATCCTAGGTCTGCCACTTACTAGCTGTGTGAACTTGGGAAAGCTACTTAACATTTTGCGCCTCAGTTCTCTCAACTATAAATTAAAAAAAAAAAATAGTTCCAACCTCCCAAGGTTATTGGGAGGATTAAATGAGATCATACTGTAAACACTTACAACTGTACCTGGTACTCTATCTGTGTAGCTATTACTGTTTATTGGAGCCTTACATTACATGCCAATAGAGCTTTTACCCTTCAAAAGAAATTTCTATAAATTATCTCATAACATCCTGATAGATGATAATAATTACAATGAACATCATACAGGTTGAGTATCCCTTATCTGAAGTGCTTGGGACCAGAAGTGTTTTGGACTTTGGATTTTTTTGAATTTTGGAATATTTGCATTATACTTAACTGATTCAATATCTGGATTCAGAAATCCAAAATCTGAAATGCTGTAATGAGCATTTCCTTTGAGCATCATGTCAGCACTCAAAAAGTTTTTGATGCTGAGCATTTTGCATTTTGGATTTCTGGATTAGGAATGCTCAACCTGTAGTATGTCACTTAATCTCACAATAATCTATTTCAAAGATTTTAAGAATCAGGCTCAGAAAGGTTAAATGAATTGCTCAAGACCATACAGCAAGCCAGTAGCAATGCTAGCCCCTGCTGGAAGAAGGTAGAATGAAAGATCAAAGATGACTAACACATAGCATCAACTCTTACAATCAGGAGGGAGTAGAGCAGAGGTCCCCAACCCTTGGGCCACAGACCGCTGCCAGTCCACAGCCTGTTAGGAACCAAGCCACACAGCAGGAGGCGAGCAGGACTGAGCGAGCATTACCACCTGAGCTCCACCTCCTGTCAGATCAGCAGCATTAGATCATCATAGGAGTGTGAATCTTACTATATACTGTGAACTGGCATGCAGAGGATCTAGGTTGTGCGTTCCTTATGAGAATTTAATGCCTATCTGATGATCTGAGGTGGAACAGTTTCATCCTGAAATCATCCTCCTGCCACACCCCATCTGTGCAAAAATTGTCTTCCACAAAATCGGTCTCTGGTGCCAAAAAGGTTGGGGACTGCTGAAGTAGAGGAAAGACAGACAGGAAAACAACTAACTCAAGGCAGAATTAAGCCAAGTGCTAAAAAGGTGGGAAGGTTACATGTTGAGGAAAACCAGAGGAAGAATTGTTGAATTCTATCTGGGCGTAGTGTGTTTGCCAAAACTTCATTCCAAAGGCACCAGGCGGGTCAGGCACTATTTCATGGTTCTGAAACATACTGAGTTCACTCAAAGTCAGAAAAGTTTGCAGGTCTATAAAGAAGTGGGACAAAGAAAATTCTGAAAAATGCCTAGGCATTCATGGCTACTCTCACATATTTTAGGGTGTGGGAGGGAAACAGTGACCTTCATTTCAATGGACAAATGAAACATTCAGTACCAAGGATGGGGTGAATAATGTAATTATTCTAAACAAAGTTCCCTATCTGCTCAGTTTGAGAGGATTCAGAACACGTATCTTCATCCTTTTGTCTTCAGTTTTGCTATTTTGGAACCCAGCGGGTCATTTCTTTTGGAGTCAGCCCTCCCATTCCAAGGCTAAAAGGTCATGAGATCTCTCTCTCCCCTGTCTCTCAGGGCTTGCATTGTTTTGGCAAGATCTTGTCCATCAGTGAGAAATAATGGTGCAGCAAACAGATATTTCTGTCTCCTCTGTCTGATTTTAGTGTCTTAGAAAGAAGAAATCAAGACTTCATCCCATTTTTTGGATGGGGTGTAGCAAAGCACTAGAGGAAACTTTGATGAAATGGATACCTGAGAATTAATATGAATAAGCCATTTGCAGACAATCTCTATCCTATCTGTAGGCTGGCCTTGTTTCTGGCTCAGTCCCCAAGACCAGGTCATATTTAATATTAGGTCAACTACTAGACAAGTCTGAGTGTTCTAAAGATCTAAGAGTTATTATAGCAGGCTAAAATTCTCAACTCTAATATACCTTAGGTATAAAACCCAAACCAATTTTTTTTAGATTTTTCAAGCTCATTCTCCTAGATTCAAATAAAAACTAAGTGGATTTCTAGTATTTGAGGAAACAGACAGATTTAACTATTAAACACCTAGCATTTTGCTCAACGCTGGGATGGGGAACAAAAATTATAAAAGATTAGAAAAAAGAGGTACAAATTCCCAAATCACTTAAAGATCTCACTGGAAAAATAATACAAAGTCACTTTAAACAATTGTCTAGCAATGCAAACAGAATGCAACTAGATGCATAAATGTATGGACAGTGCTACAGGACCTCAGATTAAGACAAGAACAATTTGAACTAAAGATGTGAAATACATCTTCCTGGAGGGAAGTTAAATTTGCATTAAGGATTTATAAATGAATGTCCTGGAGTAAAGCATTTACTTGGAGGAGAGAATACCATTAACTCTGCCCTGTCCACCATTGTACTATAGTGCTCTGGATGTCATTCCCTCCCATTTACCGCACATTTCCTGGTACAGAATGAATAAAAAAAAAATGGCATTCAAGCTTTCCACGACTAAGTCCCATTTTACCAATCCAGCCTTGCTGCTACTCATTCATTCATTCAACATATCTTGATTTTACACTTAAATCCTTTAGGTACTGTGGTAAGTACAGAGCACCTGGAGAAGAGCAAGACTCATTTTCTGTCCTTAAAGGGTTTAGAAAGACAAGGATACCACAACTAAAACATAATACGATAACTGCTCTAAGAGGTACGCACAGGGTATCAAGGAAACTCAGAGCAGGAATACTTATCTTGGAGGAGGGAAAGCGATCGAGGAAAGTTGATAAACTTGCCTTGAAGTTGCTATGAATAAACCATTTCTGGACAGTATCTTCCTTGTTCCTGGAGCCTGGTCTTCTCTCTGGCTCAGTCCCCAAGATCTGATCTTACACAATACTGGGTCAATGCTTAGACAAGTTTGAAAGCTCTATAATTCATTTAGATAAACTAAATTGTCAGATTTAATATAACTCAGATATAGTCCTCAAACCAGTCAAAGTATAAGAGATTTTTCTTGGCTGGTTTAATATAGTTACAATTTAGGGAGAGATTGGAGGGATGGTGTTTAATTAGGACATTTTCGCAATGATCCAATAAAAGTAACAAAAATTCCTATTGATGGTAGAAATAGAAAAGAGTAGATGAATGTTTAGATAAGCTGGCAGCACACAGTTTCCAAAGGTATGGTATAGTCAGTCTTAAGATACAGTATTTGGGCTGGGCACAGTGGCTCACACCTGTAATCCCAATACTTTGGGAAGCTGAGGTGGGCGGGTCATGAGGTCAGGAGATCGAGACCATCCTGGCCAACATGGAGAAACCCCGTTCCTACTAAAAATACAAAAATTAGCCGGGCGTGGCAGCATTGTGCCTGTAATCCCAGCTACTCGGGAGGCTGAGGCAGGAGAATCACTTGAACCCAGGAGGCAGAGGTTGTAGTGAGCTGAGATCACGCCACTGCACTCCAGCCTGGGCAACAGGGTGAGACTCCGTCTCAAAAAAAAAAAAAAAAAAAAAAAGCCATAAGTATGGTAAAGATAATACTGACCTTCTGTTAATTTCTTAAACACAAAAAGCATATTCCAATCTCAGGGCATTGGCACAGGCTTTTCCCTCTTCCCTTTCCTCTTCCAATTCTTCTGCTTGGTTTCTACTTATCCTTCACGTCTCAGCTGGAATGTCACTTCCTCAGAGACCTTCTCTCCTTTCCTGTTGTGAAGTAAGAAATATATATATGGTCTCTGCCTCTAGTCTCTGGCCTAGAGCTCCCAACACCCTTGTAATTTCCTGAGTTACAGGGGTGCTAGGAGAATCTTTGGTTCTAATGTTTGGTCTTCACTCTCGTTCCTGACATGGAGCTCTTAAATCCCGTGGACTTTCCTGAGTGATAGGAGCAGTCTTTTGTTCTACCAAGGCAATTCTTGCCCGGCTCCTAGATGAGGGCTGGTCACCGGAAAGCCCAACCATGATCATAAACTTGGAGCTTTCAGCCCCTACCTCCATTCTCCAGAGAGGGACGGAGGCTGGAAATTGAGTTAATAATTGATCATGCCTACGTGATGAAGGCCCCATAAAAATCCCTTAACTATGGGGTTCAGAGAGCTTCCAGGTTGGCAAACACACATCCATGTGCCTGGAATGTGGTACATACCAACTCCATGGGGACAGAAGCTCCTGTACTCAGGACCCTTCCAGATCTCACCCTTTGTATCCCCTGGCTGTTCATCTGTATCCTTATTACATCCTTTATTAATAAGCCAGTAAATGTAAGTAATGTGTTTTCCTGAGTTCCATGAGCCATCCTAGTAAATTAATAGAACCTAAGAAGGGGGTCATGGGAAGCCCAATTTACAGACCGTCCCTGGTCAGAAGCACAAGTCACAATCTGGAACTTGTGATTGGCATCTGAAGGTGGGGGGCAGTCTTGAGGGACTGGGCCCTGAACCTGTGGAGTCTGATGCTATCTCCAGGTAGATAGTCTCAGCATTGAATTGAATTAGAGGACACCCAGGTGGTATCTGTGGGAGAATTTGCTTGATATGTGGGGAACTCCCCAACCAACACCTGGTGTCAGAAGTGCTGTGTTGAGTGGCTGAGTGGTGTATGAGAGTAGGAAAAACAATTTGTTTTGTTTTTCCTATCCTTAATACCTGTTTAAAGTAGCCCTTTTCCGTTTATTTCTTTCAAAGCAATTTTCATCACCTTTAATTATCAGATTTATTCACTTGTTTACTTCTTCAATGTTTGACTTCCCAGTAGACTATAAGCTTCATGAAGGCAAGGATTACAGTGTTTTTATTGTTGTTGTTTGCCACCAAATACTCAGCCTCTGGTATAGTAACTAGCAAGAAGTAGATGTTCAATAAATATTTGTTTTAATAAATATATAATTATTATGTTTGTTGAAAAGTGTGAACCAACATCATAGGGAAAAATTACCTTAACATTAACTTCTAAAAAATGATGAATCAAGCAATTTCCTGAAAATGTGCAAGAACAGACTTTCAGAATGATGTTCTATGAACTGTAGTCTGCAGGTCATTTGAAATCCAGCAAATATTTTCATCCTCCTTCTTCTGATTCTATAACTTATTCTATATCTAGAATTACTCTAAAGACTAATTCTAACCTGGATACAAGATAAAAAGTAAAGATGGAAGATTCTAAAGAACAATTTTAACAATGTCCCATTTAGGGGGATTTTCATTACATACTTTATGAACACAGGTTCGGCATATTAGCTATCCGTGGAAATAAGTCACTTACTACATCTACATGAGCATGTTGAGATGAAAGTGTTTGCAAATCATGCTTTTTCAAGGGTGGCTAAACAAATCTCTATTCATCTATTACAACTCATAGTCATTGCTAATGTTCAAATATATTAGGGTTGAACATAACACAAAAATGGAAATGCTGGAAAGATTAACATTATTTAATCTACAGATGACTCATGCTACTGGTTTAACCATTTTCTTTAGATTTTTTTCATATACAGGAATATATTTTTATATACATATATAATATGCTGAAGGGACAAAAATATTGCATGATCATTATCCTAAAGAAACAGATTCCAATTATTTCTTTTGAATTATAGACTTACAGTTAATTAAGAATTTTTATAGTTAATTAAAAATTAGACAGATTGTAACCTTGAATGTAACAAAGGACATAAAGAGAAACCATTTGTCACATGTACCTTTTCGGGAAAATCTCACAAAAGATTTTGTTTGGCAAAGCTATTTGAAACAATTTAAAGCTAGAAATGTTTCTAGGCTATAGCAAGATGAATTCCATCGGTTTGGATTTTGACCTACCACTAAATTTTGGATTTAGGAACAGTCTCATTTTTATACTTAACACAAAAATTAAATTTTAACTTAGAAACTGAGTTTTACACAGCTTGAGGCTTGTGAAAAATTATGTGAAAATAAGTCAGTTACTGCTAGGGTCTCAGTGTTTGTGTCCTCCACAAAATTCATTTGTTGAAATTTTAACCCTTGAGATGATGGTAGTAGGAGTCAGGGCCTTTTGGGAGGTGATTAGGTCACGAGAGTGGAGCCCTCATGAATGGGATTAGTGTGCTTATAAAAGAAACATGAGGGAGCTAGCTAGTCCCTTCCACCATGTGCAGGTACAATGAGCTGTCTCTAGACAGGGGGCCCTTACCAGTCATGGAATCTGCCAGTGCCTTGTCTTTGACTTCCCAGCCTCCAGAACTGTAAAAAATAAATTGCTGTCATTTATAAGCTACCTCGTTCGTAGTATTTTGTTACAGCAGCCTGAACAGACTAAGCCAGATAATATATAGAGACAACAGATGGCTTCATACACCTAGGTGTGAATCCTGGGAAAATTGAGTGGAAACCACAGTTGAGAACACCAACGTCCTAACAATCCTGTAGCCTTCAGGCTTAGTTGGTTCTGGACTCCCTCTAGTGGTTCAATTCTAGTGCTTTAATTGATGTTCTTCAATTCATAGAATTAACAAATTTCTGGTCAGATTAAAAACAACTAAGCAAAAGAGCCACACAACTCCCATTAGAATGGTTTACCACAAGGAGGCCAGGTGCAGTGGCTCATGCCTGTAATCTCAGCACTTTGGGAGGCTGAGGCAGGTGGATCACTTGAGGCCTGGAGTTCGAGACCAGCCTGGCCAACAGGGTAAAACCCTATCTCTACTAAAAATCCAAAAGTTAGCCAGGCGTGGTGGTAGGCACCTGTAATCCCAGCTACTTGGGAGCCTGAGGCAGGAGAATTGCTTGAACTTGGGAAACAGATGTTGCAGTGAGCTGAGATCCTGCCATTGCACTCAAGACTGGGTGACAGAGCAAGACTGTCTAAAAAATAAATAAAATTTTAAAAATAAAAAGAATGGTTTATCACAAGGAGATTATGTCATTGAATGGCATGATAAATATGGATGTTCAGATGGCTGAAATCATAGTGTTGCAAATGGTTAGACCTAAAGGGACAGAATGGATTTTACTGGATGATTGGGAAAGACATTTATAGTTTTGCTCAGAGTGAGTGGATAAGAGCTGAAGGCCCAGTAACAGAATTCCTTGTTGCTTTTGTTTGCAACCTATGGTAAAGACTGGATCTTTTAGAGAAAGAGTGAAGTGAAATAATATTTCCTGTGCATATGGATTCTATAAGGTCAGAGGGTTCTTGTTTGACCTTGTATAAAATCAACCTCTTAGACCAACCAAAAGCAACATGTAGTTTCCTTCTCATCATATTCCTAATAGCATAGTTTGTGCCTCTGTTTTAAACCAATTCAGAAAATTTTGAGGCCGATTTAACTTTATTGGCTCCCTGTTTTGGCTTTGGTTATTCCACTCCATTAAACCTTTACTTCTTGGCCATTTCTGCACTGTAAATATAAGTAAATCTACTAACTCTTTTACATGAGATCCCTTTACATATTTAAGACAGTTATCCTGTCCTCAGTAAGTCTTCTTTCCCTCTCCCAGATCCTTAAAGCTTCTTGGAGCTGAATAGAAGGAACTCGATGAGGTACAGGCTTCTGATAAAATAACTTGATAGGCATGTAATTCACACCTTTAGGGGTCGGTAAAAACGATGGCTTTTTTTTTATTTCAAAAAATGCAAAGCTGTTATTTAAAAGTCCCCAAACCAAAAAGAACTGAAGCCAATGGGATTAAGAGGAAAAAAGAAAACAGGAAGTAATGGGTGACTTATCCATTTCAAGACCTCCTCCTGCTATTTTCTGATTCCTAAATTGTTCCAGAATCGATTTAAGCAGACAAGTACAGCTGAGACCAGGTAAGTTACTGTCAAGTCAAGAAGTCTGTCATGTCTGCCATGAAGTTTGGACAGAATGAGATCAGGAACTGGCATGGGTCTTAAGATCCCAGATCTGACAGTACTTCCCATTGATAAGATATTACTACACAGTCTGTAATTGATTATTTGCATAGATAGAAAAAAAAAACTTCCCAGCAACTTAAGCACTCTAAAATATCAGTTTTGTCAACTCACAAATTTGGGTTGCAGTGAAAGTGGGGAAAATAGAGGTAGGAAGATGTAAGTCAAATAAAAACAAGGTATATCTTCTTGTCTTTGAGTATCTGTAGTTCTTTTTTAACGGCAATTAAGAGGGATAGAAAATGTATTCCAGCTGATAAAAAGGAATTCCCTGTGCGAAAGGGAAAGGCAGAAAGCAGCTGGAAAAAAAAAATAGCAGGCAGTTGTCTTAATAACGTAGATAGGTATCGCCTCTAATACAGGACTTAGTACTGTTGTGCCCCAATTAGACAGTAAGCATTGATCGCATGAACTTTAGTGATTAACTTGTTGCCAAAGAATATTCAAAAGAATATCAGAAATCAGAACAAATGTACTGTTGGTGTGCTACAAATCCATCAGGTAGCCTAGTTTTCCTTCTTTCCTCTCTACAAGGGATTTTAAGCGCTACCGTGTGCTTCCCTCCCACTATGCTGGTACTTTCCCATAGGAAGGGTTGTGCCTGGACCTCCCAGATTGGAACCCCGATTACCGAAGGTCCCAAGGCTGTATTCTCAGTTACGCCAAGTCACCTGAGACATTTGCACCAGAGCACCCAAAATTCTGTGCCCATGCGGATAGTTAGAGTTTCTTCACAAAATAGCAAAGTCTCTAGGTTGCTATTCCAACGGCGGTAGTACTGATGCTCCAGTTCGAAGGCCAGGAAAACAGAATGTAAAGCCGGTGACTTCCAAGATATATGTAACCACCAAAGTACATGCTTAATGACCTAGTGAAGTGAGCTTAAGCCGCCTCCCAGACACCTGTAACGAAGACCATCTCGGGAAAGCTCTGGGTTAGGCAACTCGATTTCACGAAAGCGGACACCAACGCTCTACCCAGAGGCCCGAGCGTCGTCTAACGTTTCCATTGGCCCTTTCGGCCTTCACTCAGCTGCTAGCAACGCAGTCTGCCCTAGCGCATGCGCGCAATCTGCTTCCGGCCTGCGAGCTCGGTGTTCCGCTTTTTGTGGGCCGGGTGGGTTTCCTAATCTGGTTTCGTCTGCCTGGTTCATCTGTGTGCGATGGCTCCGGACTCGGATCCCTTCCCTGAAGGGCCGCTCTTAAAGCTGCTACCCTTAGACGCTAGAGACCGGGGCACCCAGCGCTGCCGCCTGGGCCCGGCCGCCCTCCACGCCCTGGGCGCGCGCTTGGGCTCGGCAGTGAAGATCTCGCTACCCGACGGCGGCTCCTGCCTCTGCACTGCCTGGCCTCGGCGGGACGGAGCGGACGGCTTTGTGCAGCTGGACCCGCTGTGCGCGAGCCCCGGGGCGGCGGTCGGGGCGTCGAGATCCCGGAGGAGTCTCAGCCTGAATCGCCTCCTCCTAGTGCCCTGTCCGCCCCTGCGGCGCGTCGCCGTGTGGCCGGTGTTGCGAGAGCGGGCAGGCGCGCCCGGTGCCCGGAATACAGCCGCGGTGCTGGAGGCGGCACAGGAGCTGCTGAGAAACCGACCGATCTCCCTGGGCCACGTGGTGGTCGCTCCGCCAGGCGCTCCTGGCCTGGTGGCTGCCTTGCACATCGTCGGCGGGACGCCCAGTCCCGATCCCGCTGGGCTGGTCACCCCTCGTACCCGCGTCAGCCTTGGCGGGGAGCCTCCGTCGGAAGCCCAGCCGCAGCCCGAGGTGCCCCTGGGAGGTCTTTCGGAGGCGGCCGACTCGCTGCGGGAGCTCCTCCGCCTCCCGCTCCGCTACCCGCGCGCCCTGACCGCGCTGGGCTTAGCGGTGCCTCGCGGGGTGCTCCTGGCGGGGCCCCCCGGAGTGGGCAAGACCCAGCTGGTGCGGGCCGTGGCGCGCGAGGCGGGCGCGGAGCTGCTGGCAGTCAGCGCCCCGGCGCTGCAGGGTTCCCGGCCTGGGGAGACCGAGGAGAACGTGCGGCGGGTCTTCCAGCGCGCCCGGGAACTGGCCAGCCGCGGACCCAGCCTCCTCTTCCTGGACGAGATGGACGCCTTGTGTCCCCAGCGGGGCAGTCGAGCACCCGAGAGCCGCGTAGTGGCCCAGGTGTTGACGCTGCTGGACGGCGCCAGTGGGGACCGCGAGGTCGTGGTTGTGGGAGCCACTAACCGGCCGGACGCTCTAGACCCAGCGCTGCGTAGGCCCGGGAGATTTGACCGAGAGGTGAATGGGCTTGGCGGGTTTGCCCACTGTCGGTGGAACCTCGGCCGCTTCTGGCGCCATTTGGCTGCCCCGGAGGCGTTTGCCTCTTAGGTTTGAGCATCGGTGAGGTTGGAGTTGGGGCTCTTTGCAATGCAGAGAACACGTTCTCTGCCGATATATGATCTGTGAGTCAGGACCTGTATTTCCCCAGAGTCAAATTGTCAGGACCTGTGAGTCAGGATCTGAGAGTCAGGACCTGTTTCCCCAGAGTCTAATTGTTTTGGGAAGCGAGGTGTCCATTACAGATTAATTTTGTTGTGCAGGTCCTATAATCAGTAATGTTAATTCTTAAGAGAATTTTGGTCACCTACAAGCGTGTTAAACTCATTTTTTGGAATGAGAATTTAAAGAAGGATAGCCTCAAGAAGTAAGTGTGTTGAAATAAAAAGGGAGAAGGTGGGGAAGAACTAAATGGAAGCAGGCATTAACTCTTCTGGATTTATTCATTCCTTGTCATAACACCAGCATCCTATTCCACAATTGAGGAGGTACCCACAACTGCTCCCTGAGTTGTCAGGGAGGTTGAATATTCAGAGCTGTCCTATTTTAAGCTTTGGTCCTAAATTGACTTGAATTCTAAAGAACAGTTTGAAATTTAGTGACTGATATTTCTATTTTGTGATAGGATTCAAAAGAGAAATGATAATTACACACTTTTAGCTCAGTTAGTTCAGGACTTGAGTGGATTTCTTCCTTGCACTATCTAGTACCTGTGTCCTTAAGGGCAGGGACCTAGCTATCTATACCTGGCTTCTAGAACTTTGTGTGTTCTTAAAAATAACAAAAACTTGTTAAATGACATAGAATTTTCATTGTGCAACTTTCTAGCCAGTGTTACTCCTCTGGAATATTAGGATTTTCGTATATTCAGAATCTAAAGTATACGTAAAGTGCACGGTACTAGTTCCAAAGTGGTTCACTAAATTGTCGTACATGTTTGTCAGGATAAAAAACATATTATTATTTTGGCCGGGCGCGGTGGCTCACGCCTGCAATCTCAATACTTTGGGAGGCTGAGGTGGGTGGATCACCTGAGGTCAGGAGTTCGAGACCAGCCTGGCCAAGATGGTGAAACCCCGTCTCTGCTAAAAATACAAAAAATAAGCCGGGCATGGTGGCACATGCCTGTAGTTCTAGCTACTCTGGAGGCTGAGGCACCAGAATCACTTGAACCAGGAGGTGGAGGTTGCAGTGAGCTGAGATGGTGCCCGCTGCACTCCAGACTGGGCAGCAGAGTGAAACTGTGTCTCAAAAAAAAAAAAAAAAGAAAAAAAAAATATATATATGTATACACACACATATATAAAATTTTTTTGGAAGTAATTCTTTTTTAATTGATCTATTTTTATTGATACATAATTGTGCATGTTTTGGGGTACATGTGATATTTTGGTACATGCATACAATTTGTAATTATCAAATCAGGGTGCTTAGGATATCCATCACCTCAAACATTTATCATTTCTTATCTGAGTGTTGGGAATATTTCAGATTCTCTCTAGTAGCTATTTTGAAATATACGAGAAATTATTGTTAACTATAGTCACCCTACTACACTATCAAACATTACACATATTCCTTCTACCTAACTGTATGTTTGTACCCATGAGCCAACCTGTCTTCATCCCCTCACCCCCAACCCTTCCCAGTGTCTGGTTGCTATCATTCTGCTGTCTACCTCCATCCATGAGATCAACTTTAAAAATAATATATTTTAAACTATATACTTCTTCTTCTTTTTTTTGTTTTGCTTTGCATATAGGTGGTCATTGGGACTCCCACACTTAAACAAAGAAAGGAAATTCTGCAAGTGATTACCTCGAAGATGCCCATCTCCAGTCATGTTGATTTGGGCCTTCTTGCAGAAATGACAGTTGGCTATGTTGGTGCCGACCTGACAGCACTCTGTAGGGAGGCTGCCATGCATGCCCTCCTTCATAGTGAGAAGGTAAGAAGTGTTAATTTATGAACATCTATGTTAATCTATTATTGTAACAGATTAATTTGGGGGTTAAAAAAAAGCGGTGAGTACATTTTCCTTAGAACATTTGATAGCTTCCACAGCTGTTGCTTATACATTTTACATCTCAACTCTATATAAATAGTATATGATTGAGGGTGGGGATAAAGGGCTGAGTCCTCTGGGTCTACTGAGTGAATTTGTTCCCTACTCTTATAGTAACTCCCTAGTGCTGAAGCCCAGAGCAGCCAAGAAATAGTGTGGCCCCAGAAGAATCAAAGAGTTTTTTTAATTTGAATTTTTTTATTTTGAGGCAATTTCAGACTTAGAAGTTACAAAAATAGTACAAAGAGTTTCCATATACCCTTCTCCTAGATTCTCCAAATGTAACATTTGCCACATTTGCTTTATCATTCTCTCTTCATGTGTATTTCCTTATATATATACATATATATAATGAAATATTTGAGCATATACTACATCCATGATGCCCCTTTACCCGCGAAAACGTAAGTGTATATTTCTGAAAAACAAGGACCTTAACCACAGTATGATGATCAAGCTGAGAAAATTAACGCAGACATAATACTTGTACTTAACCTAAATAGGCCTTAATCTAGAATCATACTTCAGGCTTTCTTCTATGAAAACATAACTTTTTAAGAGTCAGTTATTCTGTGGAATATTCGTCAGTTTGGGTTTGACTAATGTTTCTTCATGATTCAATTCAGGTTTTGCATTTTGGGCAGGAATATAATAGAAATGATCCTGTGTCTTTCTCATTGCATCTGTTAGGCAGCACATGATATGTTTCTGTTCTATCACTGGTGAAGTTAACTTTGATTTCTTGGTTAAGGTGGTGTCTGTGAGATTTCTCCATTGTCAAGATACCGTTTTTCCCTTTGTTATTAATAAGTATCTAGTGGGAGAAATAAGCTTTTCTAACCTAGGAGAAGATTGGGCACTTGGAATTGTATTTAAATTTGTCCTTGATCTGCAGGTCTGTAATTCATGACTATTTCCTAACAATATTTAAGATATTAGATTAAATATAATACTTTTCAACTTTGTTGGTTGTAAAATCCAGTATTTTGTATATAATAAATAGTCCTGAATCCTTAAACCCATTCAGGAAAAAACTGATTTCAGCAGGCTAAGGATTCTGAAACAGAGTTTTCAATCTCATTTGTAACATCAAAATTGTCTTTTCATCTTAAACTGCAAAAGAATGATTTATTATCCTAAATTTTGAAAAACCTTTTTACCTAAATAATTTATACCTTGCCTCACTTCCTTTCCTTTATTTCTACAGTTACACCGAAGGTGGGGAGGAGTTATGTGATCTTCTAGTTGATCTTTTAAGTCTTCATCTTGTAGGTTTAGACCAAAACTACTTGAAGTTTTAAAGTTCTGTGTGTAAAGATGTGAGAATAGATGTCTTTTGAGGGAGACAATAAGTAAGCAGGAGATGGGAAGGGAGATTTACATTCAGGATTTCCTCTGCTTTGAAGTTCCAGGTTTGACCATAAGCACCTCTCACTTAGGTGGACCAGTCAGCTGCTGTCGTCCCAGGGTGGAGCCCACTGCTACTTCAGGAGGGGCCTGCTCAGGTGTAGTTACCACAGGTGATGGCTGAGTTCAGAAACAACCCAGGGGAAGTGGAAGGAAGAAAGGCAAAAAGCATGAAGGGACAGACAACTGGGAAGGTACTGGCTCCATCTTTTATTCTTTCCCCCACCAGCTGAGGGGCTGCTGCTACCTCTCCCTGTACCAGGGCAGATAAGGGATACCTTACACTTTGTTAAACTTTTTGTGAAGTATTCCTATTAAAGGATTAGAACTGTAGTTTAACACTCAGACACACACAGAGGGGAAAGAATGTATAAGCCCAAAGAATCAAGTAAAATAATGTGTACACACATGATCTTGAACTATAAATGAGATTTTCAAATATTAGTTCGTGTTACCTAAAGATTAGTTAATATTTGGACATCAGACACCTAACATACTATCAGCCAGTTAAAAAGGCTTTTTTTTAAGTATATAATAGGGTTATTCATGAGAAATGAAGATAGAAAATTATAAAGAACTGCCTACCTGAAATCTCACTTTCCAGAGATGACAATTGTTAACACTTTTGGGAGAATACTTTACAGAATAGCTCTATACATACAGATTCACTTAACATCTGTTTACAAATAAGAAAAGACAGTTTGTTTTTGAAAACGGGAATTTGTGGACAACTAGATGTTTAGAATTGGATATAAGAGGGCAAATACTTTAATAAATACAGTACAGATATTTTTAATAAAATTTTCAGGACTTTTTAACTAACAAAAAAAAATGTGTTTCACTAGAATGATCAAGGAGAATGTAAAGAGTCTCCAAAATATAACCTGAGAGTGAAGACGACTTCTCTAGGCATAACATAAACCTTAATAGCCAAAAAAGAGATTATTTGCTGAGTTGACCATTTGGGGGTGGCAAAACAATACTATAAAGTAGTCAGACTAGGAAAAATACTTTTAGTCCAATTTCCTTGATAGGGAATGAACAAATCTTACAAATCAGTAAGAAAAGACCAACAGTCCAAGAGAAAATGGGTAATGGGGTATGAACAGGTAGTTGACAATAAAAGGAATGACAATAAACATGAAAGATGTTCAACCTTGATTTCTTCTAAAATTATTGTCTTTATTTTGAAATAATTAAAACTTATAGGAAAGTTGCAAGATAGTTACAAAGAACTTCCACTAAACCCTTTATCCAAATTCACCAATTTTTAACTTTTTGCCAAATAAGCTTTATCATTCTCTTTTGCTCTCCTTGCTCCCTCTCCTCTTCTCTTTCTCTCTCTCTCTGTCATCTCCATATATATGTATTTATATGCACATAGTATTTATTTATTTTGGACTATTTGAGAGAATGGGTTGCATATATCATGACACTTTATCCCTTAACATTTTAATGTCTATTTCCTAAGAACAGAAATGTTCCCATATGTCACCACAGTATGGTGATGTATAGTGTTGTGTCCTTAGAGCCTCACATGTAGAGGCACAGAGTGTACATTGGTTCCTCATTGGTGATGCTAACTTTTATCAACTAGTTCAGGCAGTGCGCAGTTTCTCCACTGTGGAACTGCTATTTTTCCCTTTGCCACTAATGAGAAATCTGTGGGGAGACACTTTGAGATATCCTGCTCCTCATCAAACTTTCAGGCTGGGCACAGTGGCTTACACCTGTAGTCCCAGCTGCTCAGGAGGCTGAGATAGAATGATCACTTGAGCCCAGGTGTTCGAGGCTCAATGAGCTGTTGCCTCAATGCCACTGCACTCCAGCCTGGGCAGCAGAGCAAGACCCTGTCTCATAAATGAATAAACTTTTACTCCCCTCAACATAGCATCCAATTCTTGCTCATAACAGCCTTTACTATCATGATTGCAAGACGGGCGATTTTTTTAATTCCAATATTCCCTCTACCTCATTTTGAATTGAAGAAATTTAGTTAACACAGTAATGAATGAGTACTGGTTCTTCCTGTCATATTGGCAGACATTTAAGAGTTTGGAAATGGGCCACGTGCGGTGGCTCACACCTATAATCCCAGCACTTTGGGAGGCTGAGATGGGTGGGTCAGTTGAGGTCAGGAGTTCAAGACCAGCCTGGCCAACATGGGGAAACCCCGTCTCTGCTAAAAATACAAAAATTAGTCAGGTGTGGTGGCTCATGCCTATAAATCCCAGCTACTCGGTAGGCTGAGGCACGAGAATCATTTGAACCCAGGAGGCGGAGGCTGCAGGGAGCCAAGATCACAGCACTGCACTCCAACCTGGGTGACAGAGTGAGACCCCGCCAAAAAAAAAAAAAAAAAGAGTTTGATAATGTCTGTACTGGAGAGGTGTGGAGAGAACACAGCTTCATATTATCGGAGAAGAATAAATTGTTGCAGCTTCCTTAGAGGACAATTTGGTAATAGCTGTCAAAATTGTATATGTGTGTACTTGTAAACCCAGTAATTCTACTTTGAGGAAATTATTACATAAAATACTTGAACATGAGTTTGAACATGGTGGCTCATGCCTGTAATCCCAGCACTTTGGGAGGCTGAGGTGGGAGGATCGCTCGAGCCCATGAGTTCCAGACCAGCCTGGGCAACATAGGGAGACCGCATCTCTACAAAAAAAAAATATATATATTTTTTTAATTAGCCAGGCTGGTGGCACATACCTGTAGTTCTAGCTACTCCGGAGGGTGAGGTGCAAGGATTACTTGAGCCTGGGAGACTGCAGTGAGCTATGATAACATCACTGCATTCCAGCCTGGGTAACAGAGTGAGACCCTGTCTCAAAATAAACAAATACTTGAACATGAGCACAAAGACTTTTTCAGTTGCAGCTTTGTTTTTAATATCTAAAGACTGGGGATGACCTAACGTTTGTCAGAAAGGTGTAGTTGGGGTAAATTCAGTAGTGTATTATGGAATTGTCAAAAAGAATGACGTAGAACTGTGTTAGTTGACATGAAAAGCTCTCTAAGATAGGTGAAAGAAGAAAAGTACAGGCTGATATAGTATGGTTCCATTTGTGTATCTGTTTAAAAGGATATATGTATGCTTACTAGCATAACATACTGGAAAAATACACAAACTCTTGACATCTTTCGGGGAAGAATTACTGGCAGGAATTGGCAGGGAGACATTTAATTCTTTGTACTATGTATATAAATTGTTTTTATAATGATAACAAAATAACTTTACAAATCCAAAAGAAGATTTTAAAAACAAATTGTGCTATAAAAAAAGACCAACCTAATTTTTGGTTTGATTTTGCTTTTTTGGGTGTATTTCTTCAGAACCAGGACAATCCTGTGATTGATGAAATAGACTTCCTTGAAGCTTTTAAAAATATTCAGCCCTCATCGTTTCGAAGCGTCATTGGATTAATGGATATCAAGCCTGTTGACTGGGAGGAGATTGGTGGCCTTGAAGATGTAAAACTGAAGTTAAAACAGGTAAGACAGATAATCTACTTAATCCAGTAGGATATTACAGATTAACATTCTGTGCATTTATGATGACAACATACTGCGCTGAAACTGCTCTTGCTCCTATCACTAATGTGATCCTAACATCTAAATCCAATGATTGCTTTTCAGTCCTTATTTAATTGGACTTCTGTGGATGTCTAAACTGGTTTTTATAATTTCCCACCTCGACCCTCTCTTTGTTTTTGCTTTAAAGAGTTTATAACCTAAGGCTGGGTGTGGTGGCTTATGTCTATAATCCCAGCACTTTGGGAGGCCAAGGGAGGAGGATTGCTTGAGTTCAGGAGTTCAAAACCAGCCTGGGCAACATAGCAAGCCCTTGTCGCTATTTAAAAAAAAATAAGTTTATAATCTAAGGCTGGGCGCAGTGGCTCATACCTATAATCTCAGCATTTTAGGAGGTTGAGGTGGGTGGATCACCTGAGGTCAGGAGTTCAAGACCAGCCTGGCCAACATGGTGAAACCCCGTCTCTACTAAAAATACAAAAATTAGCTGGGCATGCTGGCAGGTGCCCATAATCCCAGCTACTCGGAAGGCTGAGGCAGGAGAATCACTTGAACCCGGGAGGCAGAGGTTGCAGTGAGCCAAGATCCCACCACTGCACGACAGCCTGGGCAACAGAGAAACCGTGTCCGGGGGGAAAAAAGTGTATAACCTATAGTCTTAGCACTTTAGAAGGCCGAGACAGGAGGATCTCTTGAGGCCAAGAGTTCAAGACCAGACTGGGCAACAAAGTAAGACTCCCCATCTCTATTTAAAAAAATTATTTTGACACATGTTTGCTCTGTCACCCAGGCTGGAGTATTGTGTCACAAACACAGCTCACTGCACCCTTGAACTCCTGGGCTCAAGCAGTCCTTCTGCCTCAGTGCCCCACCAAGTAGCTGGGACTACAGGTGCATACCACCACGCCTGGCTAATTTTTAAATTTTTTGTAGAGATAGAGTCCCACTGTGCTACTCAAGCTGGCCTTGAACTCCTGGGCTTAAACAGTCCTCCAACTCGGCCTCCTAAAATGGTGGGATTATAGTCATGAGCCACCATGCCTGGCCTACAAAAAATTTTTTTAAATTAGCCAGGTGTGGTAGCACGTGCTTATGGTCCTAGCTACTCAGGAGGATCACTTGAGGCTTGACCCCAGGACACCCAGGAGATCGAGGCTGCAGTGAGCTATGATTGCACCACTGCACTGCAGCTTGGGCAACAGAGCGAGATCCTGTGTCTTTAAAAAAAAATTAAAAAACAATTTTGACTGGGCATGGTGGCTTACACCTGTAATCCCAGCACTTTGGGAGGCCGAGGCAGGCAGATCACCTGAGGTCAGGAATTAGAAACCAACCTGGCTGGCATGGAGAAACCCCATTTCTACTAAAAATGCAAAAAATTAGCCAGGCGTGGTGGCGCATGCCTGTAATCCCAGCTACTCAGGAGGCTGAGGCAGGAGAATCGCTTGAACCCGGGAGGTGGAGGTTGCAGTGAGCCAAGACCACGCCATTGTACTCCAGCTTGAGCAACAAAAGTGAAACTCCATCTCAAAAAAACAAAAACAATTTATAGGCCGGGCGTGGTGGCTCACACCAGTAATCCCAGCACTTTGGGAGGCCGAGGCAGGAGGATCACGAGGTCAGGAGTTCAAGACCAGCCTGGCCAACATGGTGAAACCCTGTCTCTACTAAAAATACAAAAATCAGCCAGGTGTGGTGGCGCAAGCCTGTAATCCCAACTACTGGGAAGGCTGAGGCAGGAGAATCGCTTCAACCTAAGAGGCTGAGGTTGCAGTGAGCTGAGGTTGCACCACTGCACTCTAGCCTGGGACAGAGTGAGACTCCGTCTCAAAAAAAAAAAAAATTATAATCTAAAACGGGGGTCAACAGATTTCTGTAGAGAGAGCCACATAGTCAATGTTTTAAGCTTTGTGATCCACAGTCTCTGTCATAACCACTCACCTCTGCCGTTGTAGCACCAAAGCAGCTGTAGACCATATGTAAATTAGTAATTGTATTCTGATAAAAGTATAGACACTGAAATTATATAATTTTCACATGTCAGAAAATATTCTTTTGATTTTTTTTCAAGCATTTACAAATGTAAAAACTATTCTTAGTTTGGGCTGTACCAAATAAAGGTGGAAGGCCTTAGTTTGCCTGGATCTCTGATCTAAAAGACGTTAAATGGATGCAGTACAGGGACTGGTAAAAGCACAAAATTGAAATGAACAATATGGCTACCTGATAGTGGATTTCACAGTGGAAGCTGTGGGACGCAACTCTTCAGATCCTCTCACCTGCGTTACAGTTTCAGAAATTGATTTTGCCAATTCGCCTACATGTGATCCTGCCCTAATGAACTAGGTTTCTCTAACCACACACATAACAGACTGATATATAAGTAATAATTATAATTTATTCATCTTAACCAGGAGATCTATCTCCAGTGAACCCTAGAATTTTTGAGTCCATGGATAAGAGCATTTATAATATGCGCCAATATTTTTTATGCATTGTCTCATTTAATGTTCACAAGATGCATGAGAGAAATTAACCACACCTTCCTGTTGGAAGCACTCTGTTTCCTTAGCTTTGAGACATTAAGCTTTTCTGCCTTTCTGGCCACCCTCTCCCCTCCCTTAAATGTTAGTGCTCAAGAGGCTCCCAGAGTCCTCCTCTTGTTGGAGCTGTGGGTGATTTTATGATGATCTTGATGTCCACAGCATCCCTGAAAACTGTTGACTCAGAAATCTGTATATCTAGAGTAGACATTTCTTCTGATCATCAGAACTACTTCACTGCCTGCCTACTGGATAACCCCAGGGATGTCAAACTCAGCATGTAAAAAGTTCAGCTAGTCAGCTCTGCCCCCACACTTGGATTCCCTACCTCAGTTAATACAGCCAGCCACCCCATCCCCTAAGTCAGAAATCTGTCTTCTAAAGGCATAGCATCAGAACTTTGTCCCTATGTAAAGTACAATTCTGTTTTATGTTTCAAATATCCATCCCTTCCACACCATCTTCACTGCTTGTGACACTCCAGCCTTATTATTTTTGTAGGCTGAATCATTGCAAGAAACTTGTAGCTGGTCTCCCTGCCTCTAGTTTAATTTCCTTCCAGTCCATTCTCCATACTGCTTCCTCAGTGCAGACTAAAGCTTTCAAGGCCTATTGTGATCTGACTCCTACCTCCACTTCAACACCGTTGCTCCTTGCTGGTGCTCTTGAATTACATTGTCTGGGGTCAGTATTGGTTCTGCCACCTCATTAGCAGTAAGACCTAGGCAAATTACTTAACTTTTTTTAGGCCCGAGTTTTTTTGCATCTGTAAAATAATGATTAAAGTGGTTAAAAACCATTTACCTTAAAGGTAATGAGGACTCATTCATTATTCGGTTTACTGTTACTGAGTGCCTCCTTTGGGTAGGTGTCATTCTAGCTGCTGGGGATTTTGAGGTGAGCTTTGCTTACGTTCTAGCAGAGCAGAATGACAAACCCAACGTGGAAAAATAATAATAGTGAATACTTGCTTTAAAAGTAAAGGATGGGCAGTAGCATAGAGAGTGAGTAGGAGGAGGGGGTTCCGCTTTAACCAGGTAGTTAGGAAAGACTAACTCCAAGGAATTGACACCTGCGCTGAGACCTGAGTGATGAGGGATAGCCACACGAAGATCTTGGGGAACGTTCAGGCAGAGAGAAAAGCAAGGAAAGGCTCTGAGATGGGAACAAACTAAGTGTTTAGGAGACAGTCAGATTATATAAGGCCTTGTCAGCTGTGGCGAGTAAGGAGTTTGGATTTGGATTTTATTCTAGTTCTAATAGTAAATCATTGAAGGATTTTAAACAGGAAGTGGTATCACCTGATTCAAATGATAAGATCTCTGCAGTGTGGAGAATGGACTGTTTCCAGCTCATAATAGGAGGCTGAGAATTGTTAAATGAAGAAATGAATTTACTGGATGATATGACATTTTATTATTATACTAAAACAACTCTTCTCTTTTTGTGTACTTTCAGAGCATTGAGTGGCCTCTGAAATTCCCTTGGGAATTTGTTAGAATGGGCCTGACACAACCAAAGGGAGTTCTCCTCTATGGGCCCCCTGGATGTGCTAAAACCACTCTGGTGAGGGCCCTGGCCACAAGCTGTCACTGCTCTTTCGTTTCAGTGAGTGGAGCTGATCTGTTTTCACCGTTTGTTGGAGATTCAGAAAAAGTGTTGTCTCAGGTTTGTTTATTTCCCCATATGTTTAAATTTACTTTTGAATTTTTATTTCATTTCTTATGGACAAACCTTTTTAAAAATATTACTAGTGTTTTTTCCAGTTAAAAAATTTATACGTTTATTGAAAAATTTAGAAAATATAGGAAAGTGTAAATATGAAATCCTTCATAATCCTCCTACCTACTGTTAACATTTTGGTGAATTTCCTTTGTCTTTTTTTCTGTTTTAAATAAAATCAAAGGTAGGTTTTATATATCTATAGCTTTATCCTGCTTTTTTAAACTTAATATTACTACTTTTGAAATTTATAGTATTCTTTGAAAATATGGTTTTTAACTCTTACATAATACTCCATTGTTTCTTGTTTTATTTACTCATTCCCCAATTCATAGACATTCAGAATCTTTTTTATATCTATTTTAAAAATTATAAATAGTGGCCAGGCATGGTGGCTTATGCATGTAATCCCAGCACTTTGGGAGGCCAAGGCGGGTGAATAACTTTAGGCCAGGAGTTCAAGACCAGCCTGGCCAACGTGGCAAAACCCCGTCTCTACTAAAAATACAAAAAAATTAAGTGGACGTGGTAGCGCACCCTATAATCTCAGCTACTCGAGAGACTGAGGCACAAGAATTGCTTGAGCCTGGGAGGCAGAAGTTGCAGTGAGCTGAAATCGCATCACTACACTCCAAACTGAGCAACAGAGCAAGACTGTCTCAAAAAAAAAAAAAAAAACAGGATTATAAATAGTAATATCACATGACTAATGTATAACATATAGCTTTTTAATATTTTTTTCCTAACAAAAGATATTTCGACAAGCAAGAGCAAGCACTCCAGCAATTTTGTTTTTGGATGAAATTGATTCAATCTTGGGAGCTCGCTCAGCCAGCAAGACAGGATGTGATGTTCAAGAACGAGTTCTTTCTGTTCTCCTGAATGAATTAGATGGTGTTGGACTTAAGACAATAGAGAGAAGAGGAAGTAAATCAAGTCAACAGGGTAAATACAAGGAGCTGAAAAAATGAAGAGGTATTTATTAGCCAGAATGCACCTAAAATCCAGGCCAACATTAAATATAATGCATATATGCTATAGCTTTACCTATGCTGAATTCATCTCATAGAAGGATTTATATAATTTCAGTTTGACTTTGTTAGGACTTTTAGAGCTAATAAAAATTGTGATTTGGCTAGGAAAGGTGAGGTACATTTTATAATAAATTATCTTAAATATAAGAATGTGAATTTTATTTTTCCTAAGAATGAGAAATATAATTTTACTTATTGCTAATAGAGAAGGCAGTTTATTCTTGTTTGCATGTCCTAAAAACCAGTATTCATTTCTTTCTAAAAATGTTTATGTAGACTGGGCACAGTGGCACACGCCTGTAATCCCAGCACTTTGGGAGGCCAAGGCAGAAGGGTTGCTTGAGGCCAGGAGTTTGAGACTAGCCTGGCCAACATAGCAAGGCCCCATATCTGAATGAATGAATGAATGAATGAAAAACAAAGGAGATTATTATTTCCAATAGTCTTAGTAATGGAACATTTCCAGTTTTCTTGAGGAATGAGTTTCTTTGGTTTTAATGAATTAAAATGGCCTTTGGAAGTCCCCTCCCTCTTTCTGAGTCTCTTCTCCAGATGAGTTTGGTATCCTTAAATTGTCCCTGATACTTTTTCTTTTATTCCTCTCTCGTTCTCATTCTTTTCCTATTTTAAAAATTGTCATATGGAATTGTTGCATACACTCCTTAGGAATATGTCACACTAGAATTAGGAGGTATCCACGAGGTTATCTAATCAAATCATTTCAAAATGCAGGAATTCCTTCTATAGCATCTGACAGGTATTCACCCAGCATCTGCTAAAATACTTGCAAATATAGGGAACTTTGTACTTTGAGGGATTACGTCACTGGAGAGCTGCCTGATTATTCAACAAATGATTTTGAATGCTTAGTATATGTAAAGCCTTTCTCTGTCTGCTTTTAGACATTTCTTTATCCAGGATTTGCGCACCTGCAACTTAGATTGTCATTTCAAAGAAAAATAAAAGGTCGAGTAAATCTTCCTCTTTAGGGATATGAGAGTCAAGACTTTCTGTAGCCATATATCTCCACCGGTTGGTCATAAGTATCTGTCTTTTTAAGTAGCCTGTTTAAGGTGTAAGCCTTCATTGGAGGCTCAGGTGCACTCAAGTCACCAGATGAGTGTTCTCCCCTTTGGGATAAGGCTTTTCATAGGTTCTCATATGGAGAATGTTTCTCTTAGCTACTCCCTTAGCCATGCACACAAAGTAGCTCTTTGGTTAATGATTTGTTTCTGGGATATCTTGATATCAAGAAGCTGGTCTGGAAAGCGGATATAAGCATTCTGGTCCCAAGAAAAGGATATCCCTATTTGAATTTAAATAGACCTTCTGATTTATAATTTTTAGAAAACTTATTAACAACTGATTGACATTACTTTGTGTTGTGTGTTTGCCCTCAGAGTTTCAAGAAGTTTTTAACCGAAGTGTCATGATTATTGCAGCAACAAATAGACCTGATGTGTTAGATACTGCTTTGTTACGACCTGGAAGATTAGATAAGATCATCTATATCCCACCTCCAGATCACAAGGTAGTCATTTACACATTTACTCTGTGTGAGCTCAGCAGAATTGAATTCCAACTTGGATATAGGTGTCCATGGTGTTCTACTTACCCTGGGTTCCGCCTTCTTCCTTGCCTGGTGGCCTTTCATGACATCATAATTTTGATCTTCCTTTGTTGGATACTCTGATCTTGTTCACAGAGAAACATAAGCCTAAATATATGGTGGTTATTTTTTGTGTTGTGGCAGACTCTAAATACTGAGTCTACTCAGCGTTATTTTGCAACTAGAGTGGAGGAATCCTAAAGTGTTAAAAGGGCTTTGAAGATTGAGTCAGCATCCTTATCATACAGTGCAGAAGTCTGAAATTACAGAGATTATGCAGTGTATCGTGGTCAACCAGTAAATTTGTTGTCCGTAAAGTACGGTGCAGAAATCTGAGATTACAGAGATTATGCAGTGTATCATGGTCAACCAGTACATTTTTTGTCGTTAACATCCAGAGCCACTGACAGGGAGGGTGAAAGGCACAGAGTGAATTTTTTTGTTCCTTGGGCTTTTATCAAGTTTTGAAGGGATAGAAAAATAAAATTTAATATCTATTATACCTTTAAGTTGTATCTGATAATTCATGTATTTGCTTCTTAAGCCATGTCTGATAGTATTATTTGTACCCAAGAGAGAGATTTAGCCGGGCGTGGTGGCTCACATCTGTAATCCCAGCACTTTGGGAGGCCAAGGCGGGTAGATCACCAGAGGTCAGGAGTTCGAGACTAGCCTGGCCAACATGGTGAAACCCCATCTCTACTAAAAATACAAAAATTAGCTGGATGTGGTGGCAGGCGCCTGTAATCCCAGCTACTTGGGAGGCTGAGACAGGAGAATCACTTGAACCCGGGAGGTGGAGGTTGTAGTGAGCCAAGATCGTGCCAGTGTACTCCAGCCTGGGTGACAGAGCGAGACTCCATCTCAAAAAAAAAAAAAAAAAAAAGATTCATAAGTTTTTTATGATGTCGTTATTTTTACCATTGTCATATAAGCCATTGATGACTTAGTCTTTCTAACCCCTATATATATTTTCTCGGTAATGTGAAAGGAAACTCAAGCTAAAAATATTTTAATAAATCATTGTGTCAAACATAAATGTTATAAGATTTAAAATACTGTTTTTTATTTTGTTCCAGGGCAGGCTTTCTATTTTAAAAGTCTGTACAAAAACCATGCCAATAGGGCCTGATGTCTCCTTAGAAAACCTCGCAGCAGAAACCTGTTTTTTTTCTGGAGCTGATCTTAGAAACCTCTGCACAGAAGTAAGTTAATTATTGAAGAAATTTGTGGTTCAAAACATTTCTGCATCTTTTCAAATCTTCATTCACTCAGCAGTATTTACTAAAAGCCTGTGTGGTACCATGTGATGTGAAACAGACAGATGTGGCCCCATCCCTCACACAGCTTATTGTAAGTGTGGGGTGGTGAGGAGGGTGGTGCAGAGAGGCAAATCTTAATACTGAGTTGGCAATTGAAAATATGTAGTGAGTTGCGGAAGTAGAGGGTACTGTGGGAGCACCTAGGAAAGACACCAGCCCAGATTTGGCACATCAGAGAAGGCTTTCTGAGAAAGGAGATGTATAAACTGAAATTGGAAGGACAAATCGGGAGTTAGCCAGCTAAGAAGGGAAGGGGGAATGTTTGAGGTGGAGAGAATAAAATGTGCAAAGGATTGAAGATAAGAGATGGTGTGACATTATTGAATCTTAGAGTGGAGAATGGCAAGAAATAAAGCGAAAGAAGTGGGCTAGGCGTGGTGGCTCGTGCCTGTGATCCCAGCATTTTGGGAGGCCAAGGCGAGAGGATTGCTTTAGCCCAGGAGTTTAAGATCAGCCTGGGTAATACAGTGAGACCCCATCTCTAGAAAAAATAAAAAATTAGTCAAATGTGGTGTTAGTCCCAGCTACGTGGGGGACTAGTAGTCCCAGCTACTTGGGAGGGGGAGATGGGAGGATTGCTTGAGCCTGGGAAGCGAAGGTTGCAGTAAGATGAGATCGTGCCGCTGCACTCCAGCCTGGGTGACAGAGTGAGACTCTGTCTCTTAGGAAAAAAAAAAAGCTGAAGGAGTAGACAATGGCCAGGACACACGGGTCCTTGTAAACCACTCTAAGATACCCTTTTTCGTAAACTTTTACTAAATATAACATTCAGAAAAATGCACGGATCATAAGGGTACAGTTCATTGAATTAAAGTGATCACATTTTTATAATCACTACTTATGTCAAGAAATAGAACATTATAAACACCCCAGAATCTTCCTTTGGGCCCTTTCCCAACCTCTGTCACCTACCTTCTTCCAAAAGAGAACTATTGGCTGGGCTTAGTGACTCATGCCTGTAATCCCAGCATTTTGTTGGGGCCAAGGCAGGAGGATCATCTGAGCCCAGGAGTTGAGACCAACCTGGGCAACATGGGGAGACCCTGTCTCTACAAAAACTTTTAAAAAATTGTCCCAGCTACTCAGGAGGCTGAGGTGGGAGGATCACTTGAGCCTGGAGGTCAAGGCTGTAGTGAGCCATGATTGTGTCACTGTACTTCTGCCTGGGTGACAGAGCAAGACTCTGTCCCCCCCCCCCAAAAAAAAAAAAAAAAACAAAAAACAAAACAAAAGGGAACCACTCTCCTGACTAACAACAGTGGGGATTAGTTTTGTCTGCTTTTGAACTTTATATGAATGGAAGCATGTGGCATATGTTATTTTCTGTCTGGTTCTTTAACCTAAAAAGAAATTTATCCATAGTTTTGTGTGTAGCATAGTTTATAATATTCTAGTATATGAATATTCTACATTTGTTTATCCATTCTTTTATTTTGGAATATCTGGGTTTCTACTTTTTTGCTATTATGAGTTATGCTGCTGTGAACAGCCTTGTACATGTCTCTTAGTTCCCGTGTCTATTTATGTCTATTTGTAAACATAGTTAGCTACAAGGAGAATTGCTGGGTCATAGGGTATGTGTTTGATCTATTCCTTTATAATCAGTGCTGGCTGAAGACTCTTCCCTACTTAACGATCAGGAAGATATTCTCTCATCTTTAAAAATACATATGGGTTCATAAAATACATATTAATCTGCAACTTGCCTTTTCTTTCTTCTCATTTAATGCTTTCTTTTTTCCCATTAATGTAAAGAGGTTATGGTCTGCAAAGTGGATTTCTAATCACCTTATTTAACTTTTTAGCATAATGTTTTTAGTGACATGAAAATTAGAATCCTATGAAGTGAGGCTGAGATTTTCCATTCAGAGTTTAAAGTATTACCATATATTGTTAAAAAAAAAAGAAAAGAAGCCAGGCGCTGTGGCTCACACCTGTAATCCCAGCACTTTGGGAGGCTGAAGCAGGTGGATCATGAGGTCAGGAGTTCAAGATGAGCCCGGCCAACATGGTGAAACCCTGTCTCTACTAAAAATACAAAAATTAGTTGGGCGTGGTGGCAGCCTTCTGTAATCCCAGCTACTTGGGAGGCTGAGGCAGGAGAATTGCTTGAAACCAGAAGACGGAGGTTGCAGTGAGTCCAGATCGTGCCACTGCACTCCAGCCTGGGCAATAAGAGCAAAACTCCATCTCAAAGAAAAAAAAGCAAAAGAAATTGTTTTCTATTGCTTGTCTCTTAATAGGCTGCTTTGCTGGCTCTGCAAGAAAATGGACTAGACGCAACTACAGTGAAACAAGAGCACTTTCTAAAATCACTTAAGACTGTAAAACCGTCGTTAAGTTGCAAGGACTTGGCTTTATATGAAAACTTATTTAAGAAAGAAGGATTTTCTAACGTGGAAGGTATTTAAAAATCACCTTAAACTCTTGTTCAGTTCACATTAATTGAAATGTGAACTTGCCTGTCGTTTGCAACTTCACACTTTTAGAATTTGTGTTTATATTTCCTGTAAGTGAATAAATAAAACAAAACAAAACAAAAAAAACTTGTGCCTGATAAGCTAAGGCTCATTTATTTTTAAAAGGCATATTAAATAAAATACTGTAATTTAGGAAGAAAGTGTGTGTGTGTTGATTTTGTTGTAAGGGGTGGTTGGTTTTGGGTGATTGCTTTTTTATTAAACCCTGAAATAATTTCATACTTACAGAAAAGTTGCAAAAATAGTACAAAGAATTTTTATGTGCTCAAACCCAGATTCACTAATCTTTAACATTTTGCCACATTTGCTTTCTCTGTCTTCCCCACCCCTTGTACATATACACATACACACATTTTTTTTTGAGTGGTTTGAGAATAGATTATATACATAATGTCCCTTTCCCCCCTTAATACTTGAGTGTGTATTTGTTACAAATAAGGTTATTATATGACCAAATTCAGCAAATTTAATACTGACACAGTATTTTAATCTATCATCCAGTGAATTTCATGTATGGTCACAATAACGTCCTATATGGTAATTTTCCCCATTACAGGATCCAGTCTAGGATCACACATTTCATTTAGTCACCATGTCTCTTTAGCCTCTTAACTTGAAACAGTGTCTCAATCTTTCTTGACCCTGACATTTTTGAAGAGTATAGACCAATTATTTTATTGAGCAGTTCATTCCTGGACTTGTAGTTGATGTTTTATCATGGTAGATTCAGGTTATGTATTACCAGTCGAGCACTACATAGGGGCATTGTATTCTCAGAGTATCACAGCTGAAGGCACATGACATCTGTACCTTCTTGATAATGTTAATTTTGATCATTTGTTGGCAGTATTGTCTGGTTTCTCCACTATACTGCTATTTTTCGTTTTGTAGTTGTAAGTAGTTAAAAGTTTTTAAAGAGACAGGTTACATGTACATTTCTATTTTCATTTATTACAGAATAATTTAGAATACTAGAAAATACAGAAACAAAAAAAAACCCTTTAGTGTTTAACCTTCCAGTCCTTCATGCATGTATAGATAATTTTTAAAACCAGAAAGGAATGATACTGCATAACTCTTGTTCTTCTCACCTAACAATATCTGGTAAACATCTTACTAGGCCATTCTCCACCCACAAGGTGCTAAGTTGGGTGCTGGAACGTCCAGTGAACAAGGCAGGCATCAGACAAATTGTCAGTGAATTAATTACAATGGTCAGACGTGCTTCAAAAGAAGTAGAGGGTACGATGAGAGACTACTGCATGAAATGTATGAAGTCATAAAACGTTAAGCAGTTATTGGAAAGTTTCCTATTTCTGAGTGCAGCCAGGACTACTGGGAATAATTAAAGAAAAAACGTGATTTGTAGGTATAAAATATTCAATTAAAATAACACACTGACCTTTGCTTTTGAGTAATATGAAAATACCTAGAAAACTTACTGGAATTCTTACTATACATTTTCTTTGTTGGTTATTAATCTTATTGAACAAGGCAGCCATCCTGCACCTGACAAACCCTGGCCTGAACCCCTTAACTCAGACATCTAGCTGTGGGCCCCTGTTCTTTTCCAGAAAGTTTCTAGTAGGCTGGTAATTTAGCAACCATGCTTGTTCAAGGCTGAGCTGATTTGAAGATGTCTTTTTAAGTTGTAATTAAAGTCAGTCCTCCTCATCTGTGGGTTCCACATGGGCAGATTCAGCCAACCATGTGGGTTGAAAATACTTGAAAAAACAAACAAAAACAATACAACAATAAAAAATAGGCCAGGCGTGATGTCTCACACCTATAATCCCAGCACTTTGGAAGGCCGAGGCGGGCAGATCACCTAAGGTCAGGAGTTCAAGACCAACCTGGTCACCATGGTAAAAACCCATCTCTACTAAAAATACAAAAAATTAGCTGGGGCATGGTGGTGTGGGTCTGTAATCCCATCTACTCTGGGACTCAGGTAGGCCCCAGAATTGCTTGAACCCAGGAGGCAGAGGTTGCAGTGAGCCAAAATCACACCACTGCACTCTAGCCTGGGCGACCAAGCAAGACTGTTTCAAATAAATAAATACAAATTTTAAAAAATCACAAATAAAATACAATAGTGTAACAATTACTTGCATAGCATTTATATTATACTAGGTATTATGAGTAATTTAGAGATTTTTTTAAAGTATAACCAGGAGGACGTGTGTAGGCAACCTGCATATACTATACCATTTTATATCAGGGACTTGAGTATTCGTGGATTTTGGTGTCTGAGAGGGGTCCTGGAACCGATTCCCTGCAGATATAGAGGGATGACTGTAACTTCTCAACAGAACATTGAAAGCTTCCTGAGCATAAAGACTATGTGTCTCTTCTCACTGAAATGCTCAATAGATGACAAAATGAGATCAAGAATTTCTTTGATCCTGTTCGAATCTGATTTTAGAATGGCTCTGGACAACTTCCAAAAGCTGTATTCTTGATCTGTGAGAAAATTAAAACACCAGCTTCTGAACACCTTCTTTCTGGTATACTGGGAAGTGTAAACAGTTTTCCCTATAAACTGAACTCAAACTGCTTTCTGGGCCACATTATTGCTTAAGGCTGACTAACCTTAAACAACATAGAACATCCCTGGAACCTCCAAAATTCAGCAAATCCAGTGCTATAAGCCTGGTCATAAGGCAGCCACTGAAGGATGAGGTCAGGATTAACACATCCATCATCAGGAACAGGGAGAAAGAATGTCAACAAAAAATATTTAATAATGAAATTTCTATTTTTCTCAGAAAAGCCTGAGCTGGACTGATTAAATTCCTGGCCAGGCATGGTGGCTCACGCCTGTAATCCCAGCACTTTGGGAGGCCGAGGCGGGTGGATCACCTCACCTGACTCAGGCTGGTCAGGAGTTTGAGACCACCCTGGCCAACATGGTGAAACCCCGTCTCTACTAAAAAAAAAAAAACAGTTGGGCGTAATGGCTCACGCCTGTAATCCTGGCAACTCGGGAGGCTGAGGCAAGAGGATTGCTTGAACCCGGGAGGCAGAGGTTTCAGTAAGCCAAGATCGCACCACTGTACTCCAGCCTGGGCGACAGATCGAGACTCCATCCTAAAAAAAAAAAAAAAAAAAAAAATCTAAATTCCTGGGGTATGAACCAAGCAGCCATGTCTCCATGCCCCTGCAAGCCTGAGTGGCAGTAGCTAGAGAAAGGCTCTACAAGTTGCTGGTAACTGGAGGTGGGTGGGGAAGACCCCCCAAGGGATTATGGGCTCCGGGGCAGCCACAGAGGGTGATGCTGGTGAGTGTCCTGAGTGGGCTGCTTTGGGGGCTGCCAGGGTCTGAAGGGCTGGGAGCTGTGCCTGTTTCTCATCCTGGTCACCCAGGCAGTACTGGCCTGGCGGTGCCTTCTGGGCACCCTGGCCAGTACACAGGGCTTGGGGGCAGGGAGGACCCTAATTTCATGTCTATCCTCTGGTTGCTGGTGGTGAGGCTATGAATTCCATTACATTTTGGAGTGGGAAGTGTTCTTATTGCTAAAGAACTGAATGACAAACTTCTTTTCTGGGGTCTTGCCTTCACAACCTCAGGCAAAAGGGCAGAAAATCTGAAGGTTCTTAAGTCACATACAGTTGACCCTTGAACAACACAAGTTTAAACTCCTTGGGTCCTCTTATAATTAATTATTTTTTAGATGGAGTCTCACTCTGTCGCCCGGGCTAGAGTGCAGTGGCACGATCTCGACTCACTGCAAACTCTGCCTCCCGGGTTCAAACGATTCTCCTGCCTCAGCCTCCTGAGTAGCTGGGATTACAGGCACCTGCCACCACACTCGGCTAATTTTTCTATTTTTAGTAGAGACGGGGTTTCACCATGTTGGCCAGGCCGGTCTCGAACTCCTGACCTCAGGTGATCAGCCTCTTGGCCTCCCAAAGTGCTGGGATTTGCTTGGGTCCACTTATATGTGAATTTTCTTCCACCTCTGCCACACTGAAGCAGTGAACCAACCCCTCCTCTTCTTCCTCCTTCTCAGCCTACTCAATTTGAAGAGATGGAGACCTTTCTGATGACTCACTTCTGCTTAATGAATAGAAATATATTTTCTCAGCCAGGCCCGGTGGCTCATGCCTGTAATCCCAGCTACTTGGGAAGCTGAGGCAGGAGAATCACTTGAACTTAGGAGGCGGAGGTTGTAGTGAGCTGACATCGTCCCACTGCACTCCAGCCCAGGCGACAGAGCAAGACTCCGTCTCAAAAAAAAAAAGTGATATTTTCTTTTTATGATTTTCTTCATTTTTATTTTCTCTTGCTTGCTTTATTGTAAGAACTTTACCTATATAAAAAGCAAAATATGTGTTAGTCAACTGTTTAGATTATCAGTAAGGCTTCTGGTCAACACTGGATTATTAGTAGTTAAATATTGGGGGAGTCAAAAGTTATATGCAGATTTCTGACTATGTGGAGAGCAGGGGTGTGTAAGTTCCCCTAATCCCCAAGTTGTTCAAGGGTCAACTGTACTTGTTTTGGTGACAGTTTTTTATTGTTAGTTTTTTAAGAAACAGGGTTTTGGGCCGGGCGCAGTGGCTCACGTCTATAATCCCAGCACTTTGGGAGGCCGAGGCAGGTGGATCACTTGAGGTCAGGAGTTTGAAACCAGCCTGGCCAACATGGTGAAACCCCGTCTTTACTAAAAGTACAAAAAAAAAATAGCCAGGTGTGGTGACACATGCCTGTTAGTCCCAGCTACTTGAGAGGCTGAGGCAGGAGAATGGCTTGAACCCGGGAGGTGGAGGTTGCCGTGAGCTGAGATCACCCCACTGCACTCCAGCCTGGACAACAGAGCAAGACTCCATCTCAAAAAAGAAAGAAAGAAAGAAAGAAACAGGGTTTTGCTCTGTTGCCCAGGCTGGAGTGCAGTGGCACAATCATAACTCACTGTAACCTCAAGCTCCTGTGCTCAAGCAATCCTCTCGCCTCAGCCTCCCAAGTAGCTAGGACTACAGGCCCACATCACCATACCCAGCTAATTATTAAAATTTTTTGTAGACTGGGTGCAGTGGCTCATGCCTGTAATCCCAGCACTTTGGGAGGCCGAGGTAGGTGGATCACCTGAGGTCAGGAGTTCGAAACCAGCCTGGCCAACATGGTAAAACCCTTTCTGTACTAAAAATACAAAAAATTAGTTGGGCATGATGGGCCTGTGATCCCAGCTACTCAGGAGGCTGAGGCAGGAGAATTGCTTGAACCTGGGAGGCGGAGGTTGCAGTGGGCTGAGATTGCACCATTGCACTCCAGCCTGGGCAACAAGAGTGAAACTCTGTCTCAAAAAAAAAAATAAAATTTGTAGAGTCTGGCTATGTTATCTAGGCTGGTCTCAAATTCCTGGCCTTGAGTGATCCTCCCACCTCTGCCTCCGAAAGTGCTGGAATTGCAGGCCTGAGCCACGGCACCTGGCCAACAGAATTTATTGAGTAAATAATTCAAAATTGCTGCATTTGCCGTAATATTATTAATTGTAAAATATAAATGAGTCACCCAAAGCACAGTGTTATAATTCTTGAATCAGGGAAAGACCAAACTACATATTGACTTTGATATCTCAAAAGCTTGATATACCCAGGCATTATGAAAAGGAAGAAAAGTGTGGCTTTCTGGGTTTAATTTTTATTGCTGCAAATAGGAATAAGATCTTAAAGGTTATATGGGCAAATTATATCTGTAACTAACTACGTATAATTTGTGAATTTTAAAAATGTTTTATTTTAAACATTTCCAAACATACATAAAAGGAAGAGTACAACAAACCCACACATACCTATCACCTACGTTAAATAATTATTATTTTGTAAAATATTCCTAATTTGTTTTTTAGTTGAAGTGTTTTTGTTTCTGTTTTTTTTTTGAGATGGAGTTTTGCTCTTGTTGCCCACGCTGGAGTGCGATGGCGCTATCTTGACTCACTGCAAACTCCACCTCCCAGGTTTAAGTGGTTCTCCTTCCTCAGCCCCCGGAGTAGCTGGGATTACGCAATTACAGGCGCCCACCACCACACCTGGCTAATTTTCGGTATTTTTTAGTAGAGATGTTGGCCAGGCTGGTCTCGAACTCCTGACCTTACGTGATCCACCCACCTTGGCCTCCCAAAGTTCTGGGATTACAGGCGTGAGCCACCGCACCTGGCCTAGTTGAAATATTTTAAAGTAAATCCCAGACATCATAATATTTCTCCCTTAAATATTTCCACATACAAGCTCTGAAAAAGGGAGAGGCCATTTAAAAAATATAATCGCCGGCCAGGCGCGGTGGCTCACACCTGTAATCCCAGCACTTTGGGAGGCCAAGGCGGGCTGATCACGAGGTCAAGAGATTGAGACCATCCTGGCCAACACGGTGAAACCCCCTCTCTACTAAAAATACAAAAATTAGCTGGGCATGGTGGCGGGCGCCCATGGTCTCAGCTACTCGGGAAGCTGAGGCAGGAGAATTGTTTGAACCTGGGAGGCAGAGGTTGCAGTGAGCCGAGATATATATATATTGCAGTTATTGCAGTTATATATATATTGCAGTTATATATATATATAAACTGCAATACTATTATCACACCTAAGAAACTTAACAATATCCCTTTAATATCATCTAATGTCTGGATCCTATTTAAGTTTCCCACTTGCCCCCAAAATGTCTTTTTACAGTTGATTTGTCTTTTTGTATATTCAAATAAATACCCCACCTTTGGTAAGTTTTCTCAGACCCCCTTAGTTAGAATTAATCACCTGTCTTGGCAACAGATCATGCCTTGCATTAGAGTTATTTAGAGTTACTAAATTGCAAGCACCTTGAAGTAAGTGATTTGTGTCTTACTACTCTTTTTAATTCTGCTATGCCCCCATCCTCAGAATAATGCCTAGACTACTAAAAAACTGCATTACATTTTGAAAAGAAATGATACTGGCAAAGCACGGCTCTGTGTTTAAGGTCATTAATAGGCAATGGCTACACATTTTTAATTTCAATTTTGGGCTCATGAAATACTAATGTAAAATTTATTTCTTCTTCTTCTCTCTCTCTTCGTCCTGTTTCTCTTTCTCTCTCCCTCCCTTCCTTCCATCCTAGAAAAACTTCTGTTTCTTAATAACATGAGGTTTTTTTGTAGAATCTTCTGACAGAAGTAGCCTTAGAAGTCTTTCATTAAAAGGCTTCTCTGATTCTAGGTAATACAAACCAAGGAGAATTAATGTTGAATTTTCTTTGAAGTATATAACGTAGATCCATCCAATTAGCAAATGTCTCTAGTTACAGTTCTGGGGTTAAACAGTAAGAACGCTTGCCAGAGTAAGGGAGTGGGAAACTACATTTATGATCAGCCTTACATAAAACAAATCTTTGAGGCTGGGCGTGGTGGTTCACACCCATAATCCCAGCACTTTAGGAGGCTGAGGGGGGCGGATCACCTGAGGTCAGGAGTTCAAAACTAGCCTGGCCAACGTTGCAAAACCTGTCTCTACTAAAAATACAAAAATTAGCGGGGCGTGGTGGCACATGCCTGTATTCCCAGATGCCCAGGAGACTGAGGCATGAGAGTCGCTTTAGCCCATGAAGCAGAGGTTGCAGTGAGCCGAGATCACACCACTGCACTCCAGCCAGGGTGACAGAGCGAGACTCTGGCTCAAAAAACAAAACAAACAAAAAACCAAATCTTTGCATATAGTAACTATTTGTTGAGTGCCTACTACAAGCAGGACAGAATGCTTTACATATATTCTAACATTTTTTCCAACTCTCTCCCCTGCCAGGTTTGCCCCCATTTTGCAGATATATAAACTGAAACTCATGAAGGTTAAGTAGTTTACTTAAAGTCAGCTATTAATAATAAGTATAGCAGGGGCAGGCTCTGAACTCAGGTCCATTTGACTACAAAACCCAGGTTTAGAATGAAAATGGGGTTGAAACACAGCAGGGTCTAGCCAATTTCAGGGAACGTTAAGATGTTGCCTTTTAACTTTAACTTACAGCTTGAACTTCAAACTGTTTGTTTTAAAATAACTGGTCCTTTACTTATTGCAGTATTTAACAGAGGGGTGCAGACAGAACCATGGTGTTGGGCACCAGACAGACCTGCGTTCTGATGGCATCGCCGCCACTTACCAGTGACGTGACCAGAGCCTCTCTGAGTCTTAATAAGACTTTGCACCCACCTTGCCGAGGGGAATCTGGCTCAGTGTCTGGCACACACACAGCCCCTGGCTCTGTGAAATTGTTACCATTGCAGCCGCCTGCAAACTGCAAAGTGAGGTTGCTGGCTTAGAGGAGAGTTAGGAGGGAACCCAAAGACTAAACCAGCCGGCAGGGTCGTTTGCAGAAAGACCTTCTCCTGACAGCCTCCCCAGCTTATTCTTTTGTTTGTTCTCCCTCGACCTCGGGTTTTTGTTTTATTGTGTTTATTTGTTTGTTTTTGTTTTTTTGGGTTTTTTTTTTAGCAGAAAAAGTCAGGACGCCCTGGGAGTTATTCTGAAATAAACTTTACAATTTAATTTTAATGATCTCCATAGGTGCACAGACCACATTTTGGAGCTTTTAATGTGATTGGATTAATTCTAATTTACCCGCCTGCACCTGGGAGCCTCTCCTGGGACCCTCCGGTCTGCAGCTCATTTTTCCGGACCCCCTTTTATTGTTTATTTGCTTATTTAAATATTTTGTTTTATTCTATTTTATTTAAAACAGGGTCTCGCTCTGTTGCCCAGGCTGGAATACAGTGGTGTAATCTTGGCTCACTGCGACCTCAAAGGCCTGGACTCAAGCGATTCTCCTGCCTCGCCCTCCTCAGTAGCTGGGACTGCAGGCATGCAGCACCACGCCCGCTAATTTTTTTTAGTAGAGACGTGGTTTCGTCACGTTGGCCAGGCTGGACTCGAGTGATCCTCCTGCCTCAGCCTCCCAAAGTGTTGGGATTACAGTCCTAAGCCACCGCGCCAGGCCCGGATACCCTTTTAGAAGGGTTGGCTTTCCCTCAGGCCTCGGCTATCTGCGCTCCCCTCTTAGGGGGTTCCACCTCCTACTCCCCAAACCTCCAAACTCCTCACAAGCACCTAGGGGGGCCAAGAGCGACCGGGGTCGGCAGGTAAGGAAGACCGCGGCGAGCGGCAGGGGGCGCCAGCGCCCGCGTTCGGGCGCTTCACGTCAGCCGCAGAATGTCCTGCAGGGGGCGCCCGGGAGTCGCGTGCCCAACGGGGAAAGCGAGTCAGGTCCCTCGCGCTCCCCGCCCCACGCGCGTGACCAGAGCGCGCTGGCCCGGCCCACCCGGGGCGGTTGTGGTCGCTATATATAAGGTGGGGAGGCCGCCGGCCCGTTCGGTTCCGGGCGTTACCATCGTCCGTGCGCACCGCCCGGCGTCCAGGTGAGTCTCCCATCTGCAGAGACGCGGACGCGCCGGCCCGCAGTTGGCCTGCGGAGCGCGGTGGACGGTTTGGCGCCCACCAGGCGATCAATACTTTGGATTTTTAATTTCTAGATTTGGCAATTCTTCGCTGAAGTCATCATGAGCTTTTTCCAACTCCTGATGAAAAGGAAGGAAGTAAGTTTTAAAAACAATTGAAAATCTTGACTAAAGTTTTCATTTTTAAAGATGAAAAGATGGCACAGATTTTGAACAAAGTATAAAATAAATACAGTTGTTTTGCTGTGTTTCAAATGTTTCATATTGAAGTGTCCAAATGTGTCCCCTCCACCTGTTATTTGTTAGCTCATTCCCTTGGTGGTGTTCATGACTGTGGCGGCGGGTGGAGCCTCATCTTTCGCTGTGTATTCTCTTTGGAAAACCGATGTGATGTAAGTAGGTCTCAATTTATAAAAACGTTTTTGGCAGTGTTTGGATGACTTTTAGTTTATGAAATGTATAAGTTTCCTATTTTTTTCCCATGGATGAGAATGCCAAATTGTGAACTGGGAGTCAGGGTTAAAAAGCATCTTTTATCAGAAAACTCTTATGATATTGTCTACCAATGGGTCAGAAAATGAAAATTAGAAAAAAAAAAGAAAAAATTTAAAAAAACCCATGATATTAATCAAATTAGTTTATTTCTTGTGTTTATTCTTTTACCCATTGGCCCTTCTCCACTCTCTGGCAGTGAAGTAAAGCTTGTTTTTTTTTTTTTAAGTTTTGAAATTTAAAGTTCTTCAGTGGTTTTGGGAGATATATATCATGAAACAATCATTTTAATTAAAATTTTAAATTTTAGCTTATTAGATTTTTACTAATGTGGTAGAATTGATAGATTCAGTTGTCTACGATGAACCTAATCTCAACTTTGGGTAGAAGAAAGTAAAAAACAAAAACATGTATCCTGGAATATGAGGAAAAGATAAACTTGAAACTGTTGGAGGCTGGTGCAGGGCTGGAGAGGGCAGTCCTCTAACCGCTGGCAGAGGAGCCTAGAGCCCTGGAGTTCACCACCTGCAGAGTTCAACCTGCCCCTCCCACAGACTGAGATAAGAACATTATTGCATGTCCTTGGCTTGGCAGTTTCACTCCCATGGTTATTTGGTTTGTGGGATCCTTCCCCAATGCAGCCCAATCAAGAGAATACAGACCTCCTACCCTTTAGGGGAACTGATGTTTAATGTTTGAGCCACACCATGAAACTCCCTTAGAGAATTTTCAATCAATTTTAGTTGCTACTGATGGTTCCTGATCATTAGCAGACACATGCCTTAGTATGAGACTGGTTTTGTCCCTAACATGTTTATAAACCCAGTATCAGTGTTGGTTTAAATTCACATCTTTTAATGTTTAATTGGCTTTCTTTAATTTTAGCCTTGATCGAAAAAAAAATCCAGAACCTTGGGAAACTGTGGACCCTACTGTACCTCAAAAGGTATTGTTAAATTAAAAACAAATGATTTATATTTTGCCCAAACCTTAGCACCTTTGTGAGCAAAATAGATTTAGTACCTTACCCTTATTGTGTAACTTAGATCAATTGTGCCTTCATCGAGTAATTAAAATGAGGAAATTTTAAGAGCCTACTCTATGCCAGGAGCATTGTCCATCCACTCATGAGAAGCATATACACTTTTGGAACTATGGCTCACATAATACCTGGCAAACTTAAAAATCTGGATACCGGCCAGGCACGGTGTCTCACACCTGTAATGCCAACACTTTGGGAGGCCGAGGCGGGTGGATCACTTGAAGTCAGGAGTTCGAGACCAGCTTGGCCAACATGGTGAAATTCCATCTTTACTAAAAATACAAAAATTAGCTGGGTGTAGTAGAACGCACCTGTAAACCCAGCTACTGGAGAGGCTGAGGCACGAAAATTGCTTGAACATGGGAGGCGGAGGCTGCAGTGAGTTGCAGTTGTGCCACTGCACTCCAGCCTGGGCAACACAGCAAGACTGTCTTAAAAAAAAATCTGGATACTGCTAAGTGAAAGTAGGGCACATGTGTTTGATCTTTCCCTCTGATCTCATAACACTTAGGAGCCCAAGGGCTTTGTAAAAAGATGGACTGATAGAAACCAGCTCACATTACTATTTTGTGCATGTTTTAGATATGGAAAGAGGTAGGTACAAACACAATGGTGATGCTTTTTCTAAAGGGGAGTGTGGACAAATCCGAAAGAGGGACATGCAAATGAAAGTCAAATTTTTAACAAAAGGTTTTTTTTTTTTCCTTTTTTCTCTTCAGCTTATAACAATCAACCAACAATGGAAACCCATTGAAGAGTTGCAAAATGTCCAAAGGGTGACCAAATGACGAGCCCTCGCCTCTTTCTTCTGAAGAGTACTCTATAAATCTAGTGGAAACATTTCTGCACAAACTAGATTCTGGACACCAGTGTGCGGAAATGCTTCTGCTACATTTTTAGGGTTTGTCTACATTTTTTGGGCTCTGGATAAGGAATTAAAGGAGTGCAGCAATAACTGCACTGTCTAAAAGTTTGTGCTTATTTTCTTGTAAATTTGAATATTGCATATTGAAATTTTTGTTTATGATCTATGAATGTTTTTCTTAAAATTTACAAAGCTTTGTAAATTAGATTTTCTTTAATAAAATGCCATTTGTGCAAGATTTCTCAAAGATTAGGTATATATTTAAATGGAAGAGAAAATATTTTTATGGGAGAAAAATACATTTGAACCATGAAATTTCATCTTTTAAATAACATCCAGTACAGATTTCTGTGTAAGCTTTTTTTTCCAAGTTCATTCATTCACTAGTAGTTTATTGAGCATCTACTATTTGCAGTATAGCTAACAAAGCCAAAATTTGGTGGGATACGAATAAAAGATGGTAAGTACAATGAGGAAAATGAAGTGGGGATGAGGTTGGAGACTCGCATGAGGACTGACCTTGGAGGAAGTGTAGGATTCTGGAGATGAATTGGAATGCAAGGCATACTGAGATCTGCCCTAAAGATGCCAAGCCAGGCTGGGCGCGTGGCTCACGCCTGTCATCCCAGCACTTTGGGAGGCTGAGGCGGGCAGATCACAAGGTCAGGAGATTGAGACCATCCTGGCTAACACAGTGAAACCCCGTCTCTACTAAAAATACAAAAAATTAGCTGGGCGTGGTGGCGGGCGCCTGTAGTCCCAGTTACTCGGGAGGCTGAGGCAGGAGAATGGCATGAACCCGGGAGGCAGAGCTTGCAGTGAGCTGAGATCACACCACTGCACTCCAGCCTGGGTGACAGAGTGAGACTCCGTCTCAAAAAAAAAAAAAAAATGCCAAGCCATACTGTGATGTTCCTGTGGAGGCTAGGGAGAGGAAGATGGGGAGCCTTGCCAGCGCTCTTCAGAGTTTGGGGCCACTCTTCCCTCTGGCCAATGGTAACTTGAAGGCTGAAGATACATTCATATCCAGCATGCCGCTGGGCTCCCCTGCCTGTCCCTAAAAATGAAATAAGAAGAAAGTTGCTTTTCATTAACTTTTTTTAAAAAAATGGAGATATAATTCACATGTCATAGTATTCACCCATTTAAATTGAACAATTCAGTGGTTTTTAGCGTATTCACAAAGTTGTGCAACCATCTCCATCTACTTTCAGAACATCTTCCTTACCCCAGAAAGAACTCTGTACCATTAGCAGTCATTTCCCTAGTCCCAACCCCTCTGCTCCCAGCCCCAGGGAAATACTAATAAACTGTCTCTATGGATTTGCCCATTCTGGACATCTCATGTAAATGGAATCAGGCAATATGTGACCTTTGGGTTTGGCTCCTTTAACTTGGTATAGTGTTTTTAAGAGTCATCTATGTTGTACCATGTTTATATTATCAGTATTTCATTACTTTTTCTGACAGTACTCTTCCAGTGTAAGGATATGCCATTTTTGTTCATTGGTAAGTTGATGAACATTTGGGTTGTTTCTACTTTTTGGCTATTATGAATAATGCTGCTATGAACAGCCATGTACAAATTTTTGTGTGGCCATATATTTTTGGTTCTCCTAAGTAGGTACCTAAGTTCGTTAACTTTTTTTTTTTTTTTTTTTTTTTTGAGACAGGGTCTTGCTGTGTCACCCAGACTAGACAGGCTGGAGTGCAGTGGCACCATCTCATAAACTTTGCCTCCTGGGCTCAAGCAATTCTCGTGCCTCAGCCTCCTGAGTAGCTGGGATTACAGGCATGCACCACCACCACACCTGGATAATTTTTGTATTTTTAGTAGAGGCAGGGTTTTTGCCATGTTGGCCAGGCTGGTCTTGAACTCCTGACCTCAAGTGATCCAACTGCCTGATCACTTGAGGAAAGGAGTGATCCCTTCCCTCCCCATTGGATCATGGCTAACACCCCTATAACAAAAGACAGGTTAACTAGAAAAAGCATAACACACTTATAGTTTACTTGACATGGTAGCCTTCAGAATGAAGACCCAAAGATATAGGGAAAACTGTTCATTTTTATGCTTATGTTCAATGAAAAGTCGATGTAGAAATATGATTGGACATGTAGAAATATGGACAAAAAGGATATGGTCCTAATGCTATCAGAATAGACTACATGGGGAAGCTCACCAAGGCCTGTCTGCAGCATTTCCTTCTGCTGGGTGTGGGGGTGGGATCCCTCTGGAATGAGTGTCTTAATTTCTTTATGGCCAGCTGTTACATAGAAAGGTGGGGGAAATTTAAGAGCAATATATTTAGGTTTTATGGCTGGCTTTCAGGAAACGGGATTCTGGCTTCTATGGCCGGTCTTGGAGAAGAGGAATTCTAGTTTCTATGGCTCACCTGGGGAAGAATCAGGGTCAACAGACAGGAGGGCAGAGAAACTTTGCTTCTGCGGCCTTCATTTGGGGTATCATTTTTTGGGCTCCAGCGTTACCTTCACAGCAATAACAAATAACTAGGTTTTGCCAGGAACTTGGCAACTCTGAGAGGATTAAAGCAAGACTGCTGCCAACTTCTGTTGCTTCCTTATCACCTCAAGTCGTCTCAGATTAAAGTCTCTGATAGTTGATCTCAAGGAATTACACGTAGCAATTGGGAAGCACATTTTTATTTGCTTAAGCTTCTAAAGTCTAATGTAATGTCATTTGCACAAATAAAAATTAACGGTTGGTCAACTAAGAGAGCAAAGTATAGAGTGTTTTTCAAGGGATGACTGTGGCTTTCAACTTTAAAACACAAACCTGATTGAAATGTGGTGGTGTGAACATGGCAATGGGAGGTACTTTTCTGCAGGTTTAGGAGGGAGAGAGGCCAAAAGCAATGTTGATGCTTAAATTTCAAAAGATTTGGGTTTTGTTGTTGTGTTCTTAGCATTTCCTTCAAACATTTTATTTTGAAATTTTTCAAATATGCAGAGAAGTTGAAAGTTACTCACACTTCTTATCAATTAACATTGTGCCACATTTGCTGTATCTCCCTGTGTATGTATGCTTTTCAAAAATTAACTCGTTGAGGCCAGGCACAGTGGCTCATGCCTGTAATCCCAACACTTTGGGAGGCTGAGGCGGGCAGATGGCTTGAGCCCAGGAGTTTGAGACCAGTGTGGACAACATGGCGAAACATCTCCACTAAAAATGCAAAAATTAGCCAGGTGTGGTGGCACACACCTGTGGTCCCAGCTACTTGGGAGGCTGATGTGGGAGGATCACCTGACCCTGGGAGGTCAAGGCTGCAGACAGCCTTGATCTCACACCACTGCACTCCAGCCTGGGCAACCCAAGTGAGACCCTGTCTCAAAAAAAAAAAAAAAAAAAAGTGTTGAGAACAAGTTACAGACATGAGGCTTTTTTCCCTAAAAATTTAAGCATGTACTCACTGCCTAAGATAAAAGACATTGTAGCTGACTAGAATACCATTATCATCCCTAAGAAAGTTAACATTCATTCAATAATATCACCTATCATAAATATGATAGTGATATCATAAATATCACCTTTTTTTCCTCTAATTGTCTCAAAAATATCCTTTATATCTGTATTTTAAAATCCAGAATCATCTACTCCAAGGTTTACTTGTTGCATTTGTCTAAGTTGTACTGAGTACTTGACTGACTTGTGGTCATGAAAATGACTCCAAAGCAGCTTTTATAGAACGGCCATCTCTACAGATAACGAGAACATTACCCGGATAACATTCTCTTACATGCAGACTTTACAATTTTTTATTTACAATCTAATAATGATGTATTTTCATGTAGTTTATAAGAGGTTGTACAATTGATGAGCACTCACTATGTGCTAGACGCTGTGCTGGCCTTGAGGCTCTTACAGCTTAGGAAAGGGATACACACATGTAAACAGCATGAGAGCAATGCCAGGACAATAAAGCAAGGACAGGAGTAGGCACATGGTATGAAGGAAAGCTTCCCAAAGAAGGTGGATCCCTGAAAGTCTACTTCGGCTGATTTCTTGAAAAAAAAAAAAAAAAAATCATCATCATTACAAGTCAGCAAGGCAATTGAAGTAGAGGCACATTTTTACCAAGACAGAGCCACCTAAAGTAGCATGGTGTCTCTTGGAAACTTGGAGTAGATTAATACAGGGAATTTTTTTTTTTTTTTTTTTTTGAGACAGGGTCTCACTTTCATTGCCCAGGCTGGAGTGCAGTGGTGCAATTACAGCCCACTGCAGCCTCGACCTCCCCAGCTCAAGTGATCCTCCCACTCAGCCTCCTAAGTAGCTGGGACTATAGGCTAGAGACTGAGTTTCGGCATGTTGGCCAGGCTGGCCTCAAACTCCTCGCATCAAGCAATCCTCCTGCCTTCGCCTCTGAAATTGCTGGGATTACAGGCATAAGCCATCCTACCTGACCAATACAGAGTATTTTTAATATTAAGAGAGATAATTGGAGAAAAAGAAGTAGGTGGAATGTGTAGGACATTTGTGCTATTATCTTCCAGGCACAAAGGAACCAGAAAAGGATTTTAAGTTGAGGGAGGAGGTAATAGTCTACTGCCAGGGGTGTCCAATCTTTTGGCTTCTCTGGGCCGCGTTGGAAGAAGAATTTTCTTGGGCCACACATAAAATACACTAACAAAATCACAAAAAAAAACCAAACTCAATGTTTTAAGAAAGTTTACAAATTTGTGCTGGGCCACACAAATACTACTAAAATAACAACTACAAAAAAAAAATTAGCTGGGTGTGGTGGCGCACGCCTGTAGTCCCAGCTACTCAGGAGGCTGAGGCAGGGGAATTGCTTGAAACGGGGAGGTGGAGGTTGTAGTTAGCCAAGATCATGCCACTGCACTCCAGCCTGCGACAGAGTGAGACTCCACCTCAAAAAAAAAAAAAAAAAAAAAAAAATGGGCCAGTTCAGGCCAGGCGCGGTGGCTCACGTCTATAATCCCAGCACTTTGGAAGGGTGAGGCTGGGTCACTTGAGATCAGGAGTTTAAGACCAGCCCGATCAACTTGGTGAAACCTCATCTCTGCTAAAAATACAAAAATTAGCCCTGTGTGGTGGTGTGCGCCTGTGATCCCAGCTACTCAGGAGGCTGAGGCAGGAAAATTGCTTGAACCTGGGAGGCAGAGGTTGCAGTGAGCTGAGATCGCGCCACTGCACTCTAGGCTGGGCAACAAAGTAAGACTCTGTCTCAAAAAAAGAAAAAAGAAAAAAAAACTGGGCCAGTTCATACCTGTTTAGGTTAGTAGTAATGATTACTTACAGGAGATAATAGCTATAAAGTACCTAAAATGGTGCTTAACATGGACTAGCTGTTCAGTAAGTATTCCCTTCTTCCTAAAGAAAAAAGATTATCCCTGTAATAACAGCACCTTGGGAGGCTGAGACAGGCAGATTGCTTGAGCTTAGGAGTTCGAGACCAGCCCTGGGCAACATGTGAAACCCTGTCTCTACAAAAAATAAAAAAATTAGCTGGGTGTGGTGACGCATGCCTGTGGTGCTATTCGGGATGCCGAAGTGGGAGGATTGCTTGAACCCAATAGGTGGAGGTTGCAGTGAGCCGAGATTGCACCACTGCACTCCAGCTTGGGTGACTAAGCAAGACCCTGTCTGAAAAAAAGGAGGTTATCACTATTAAAACTGCCGTATGTGTTTAGGATTACATTCCATGAGTGGGAGCATTGCGTGTTTCAAATCCATGCATACCCAGCTCTGTTTGAAATCTATGCATACCCGAGGACTCCTGGCCCATCTTTGGTTCACAACGCCCCAGTTACAAACCTTTTAGACAGAGTGCACACACAGCTGTAGATAAATGCATCCCATATTCACTCTCACCTACGTAGATACCTAGCTTAAAATAAGAACCCCTGCACACATAACACATATAGATGATCTCACAACCAGAAAAGACATAACAAAAACATACATATCTCCTTAGAAATAAGGCCCGGCATGGTGGCTCACAATCAGTAATCCCAGCACTGTGGGAGGCCGAAGCGGGCAGATCACTGCAGCCCAGGAGTTCGAGACCAGCCTGGCCAACATAGGGAAACCCCATCTCTACTAAAAATACAAAAAACTAGCTAGGCGTGTTGGCGCATACCTGTAATCCCAGCTACTCGGGAGGCTGAGAATTGCTTGAACCCAGGAGGTGGAGGTTGCAGTGAGCCAAGATTGCACCGCTGCACTCCAGCCTGGGTGAGAAAGCGTGACTATTATCTCAAAAAATAAATAAATAAATGTGCATATTTTAGTAATTACATATATTCTCACATTCAAAAGTAACAATCTGTGGTTTGAATAAGGAAATGAAGTTGAGTGCATGTACCTAAGATAGCGGTAGGAATTTTCAACCTAAAGAAGGACACTGAGGCAAAATTAACAGAGAGAATTTATTGGGGCCAAGGTTGAGAACTGCAGCCCGGGACACACTTCCCAGTTGCCTTGCAGAGTGCTCCCGCCAGGGTTTGCTGCAAGCAGGTTTTTAAGGGCAAAGGGAACAAAAGGTGGTCTGACAAAGTTGTTTGACAGGAGTGCTCCTTGGTTTATAGAAACAACACTGATTAATGATTAACTGTACATTGTTGAACTATAGGGTATGCACGATGGTGTCCAGTGTATGGCATTTTATGGCTGCTTGGCGTTAGTCTAGAGCCCACATAGCAAATGGCTTCAAGAGGTAGTCACTTAGCTCAAGGATGTGACTGCTGTCACACTCTGTCACATTTCAATGCCTCTCTGGGCCTGATAACTAAAGCATTCCTCAGATAAAAGTTTATTTTCTTTCTCGGAATGGAATTAGTTTTTCTAGTATGATTGTCCCTTAAAATGTCTTTTTACCATGCTTAGAAAATTGCCTCAGATAATTACATCATTTCTCTGTAGAAACTAAGGCTGTTTTTTGTTTTTGTCTTAGTCATGTTTGACTATATCAGTTGCCTGTTTGTACACTACTTAGCTTTAAGATGAAAATTAGAATAAAATTAAGGAAAATCCCAAATGTTATAATTCTTGCAGACATGTTAAAACCAACTTGCTCATTCACTTGGTGAATATATAATAAGACATTATATTACATATATTACATGTATAATAGCCTATTGCTTATTTGGAGAGTGGGCATACTATTTTAAAAAATAAGGCCAGTGGCTGGGCATGGTGGCTCATGCCTGTAATCCCAGCACTTTGGGAGGCTGAGGCTGGCAGATCACCTGAGGTCAGGACGGGGTTCGAGACCAGCCTGGCCAACATGGTGAAATCCTGTCTCTACTAAAAATACAAAAATTAGCTGAGTGCAGTGGCATGCACCTGTAATCCCAGCTACTCGGATGGCTGAGGCAGGAGAATTGCTGGAACCTGGGAGGCAGAGGTTACAGTGAGCCGAGATCGTGCCATTGCACTCCAGCCCAGGCCAACAACAGCGAGACTCTGTCTCAAAAAAATAAAAAAATAAGGCCAGTCTTAGTGGCTCACGTCTGTGATCCCAGCACTTTGGGAGGCCGAGGCGGGTGGATCACCTGAGGTCAGGAGTTTGAGACCAGCCTGGCCAACATGGTGAATCCCCGTCCCTACTGAAAATACAAAAATTAGCCGGGCGTGATGGTGCATGCCTGTAATCCCAGCTACTCAGGAGGCTGAGGCAGGAGAATTGCTTAAGCCCAGAAGGTGGAGGTTGCAGTGAGCCAAGATTGCGCCACTGCACTCCAGGCTGGGCAACAGAGCGAGACTTGGTCTCAAAAACAAAAACAAAAACAAAAAAAACTCAACTTTTTTGTATTTACATCAAGTAATATATATGATGTTTTCTAAAGTGTGTGATCACAAAGTTGATACTATTCCTTGGTGTATATTAAGGCTCTATTGCTGCAGGCAAGTTAACCTGACTTATAATGTCTTTGGTTATCCCAATTCTCCTTAACAAAAATGAGAAATGGATTTGAGAAATGAACTAACACCACAAGGCAAATGTGACCTATTGTTTGCATATTAATTTGGAGACTATTTCATTGAGTCAACCACTGTATGTTTCCCACATTTTAATTGTGCCAGATTTTTTAAAAAGTAGTGCCATTTGCTTTTAAAATTATTATTTAAAAATTATTTAATTAAAAAATAATAATGTTTAATTACATAAAATTAAATTGAGTTAAAATAGCATTTTAATTTGATAATTAAAAATTACTATTTTAAATTGAGATGTAGTTTAGATACAATAAAATGAACAGGCCTCAGTTGTTCAGTTTAAGGAAGAATTTTGATGGAATAGTCATGCAAAACTAGCTGTGGAATGTTTCTATCACTCCAGAAAGTTCTCTTGTGGTGCCATTTAAAAGGATGAATTTTATGTGAATTATGTCTCCTCCCCTCACCCCCCACACACAAATTTGACCCACATTTACCTGCTGTGTCACTTCCAGAAATAACAGAGGTTAGCATAATTTTTTAATACCATATAAAGTACCTGACTCTTCTGTGTGGGAAACACATGAAGGGAGAAGAAAAGACACACACACAATACCTTTAAGGGTAAACAACCTTTATCCCATGTAAATGGCAATGCAGATATAATAAGCAAATGATATAATAATAAACAGTTAATAAGCAGATTGATAGAATAAGCAAATTGCAATGGGAAGGGAAGAAGGGAAAAGATATTTACACTTACCAGACTATGGACGATTCACCACCAGACTGGGAAGCAATAGCCTGGGCTCCAGTGTTGGCCACTCGTCTGTGCAGACGAGGAGAGGTCTCATGAAGCTTAGGCGCAGTCTGGAACTCTAGCTTCTTTGTAACTAGTTTTTTGGCATGAGGCCCAGTCATGAGGGCCCTTCCTGACTGAGCTCAAGGAACACAAAAAGGTGAACTTGTTTTGTGATTGTCTATTGTTTTTCAATAACTAACGTATAGGAATAGATTGAAATAGAGATTTCTCCGAAACAGTGCGGATGAACGTCTCAAGGGGCTCACACAACCTGTTCTGGGAATTGGTGATCATTGTTTTTGTCCATGTTTAATTGAATTCAAATTTAATATTTAACTTTTCCTCCACACCGACCCCACATATAACATTCAATTTACTTTTTTCCTAAAACAGAAAATTGGGAGTTCCTGAACATTGTAAGAAATACACCAGCCGGGCACAGTGGCTCACACCTGTAATCCCAGCACTTTGGGAGGCTGAGGCGGGTGGATCACCTGAGGTCAGGAGTTCGAGATCAGCCTGGCCAACATGATGAAACCCCATCTCTATTAAAAATACAAAAAATTAGCCAGGCGTGGTGGCATGCACCTGTAATCCCAGCTACTCAGAGGCTGAGGCAGGAGAATCGTTTGAAACCAGGAGGCAGAAGTTGCAGCGAGCTGAGATCATGCCACTGTACCCCAGCTTGGGCAACAAGAGCGAAACTCAAAAAAAAAAAGAAAGAAAGAAAGAAAGAAATACACCAAGGCCAGTTGGGCCAGGGCAGTGATTCGGTCTACCACTGCAGTGACAATAAATAGGCTTCCCTGGGCTCTGGGGAACAGAGAAGGGCATTGAGTTTACCTAGTGTCTAAGTGATGTAAATTTATCCCCCACAGAGGAAGGGCCTGGCCTGAATGCAAGAGTTACCACAGCAGCAAGACTATCCTGGCAATAAATCCCCTCCAGGGCAAGGCTGCAACCGATTGAGGCAGCAGTGTGCAGTTGACCCCACAGCTAGATTATCACCATATGCTTCACAAACTCCTCCTCCACTGGTGAATGTCAGAGCTAACCCAGAGAGCAGGGAACCCTCCATGCCACCAAATCAAAGCCTCCCAAGCCATACTAGGAATCTGGCTAATTCTCTCCTGAGAACGGCAGTTCTCAAACCTTAGCTGTGAGTCAGAATCCTGGAAGGCATGTTAAGATGTGGGCTGCTGGGCCCTAACTCCAAAGTTGTTGCTTCAGTAGTCAGGGCTGGGATCCAAGTGTTTGGGTTTCGAAAAAGTTCCCAGGTGAAGCTGATGCTCCTGGTCTGGGTACCACAATTTTTTTTATTTATTTTAAAAAATTCTTTAATTTTTTTTTTTTTTTGAGACAGGGTCTTACTCTGTCAGCCAGGCTGGAGTGCAGTGGCCTGATCATAGCTCACTGCAGCCTCGAACTCCTAGGCTCAAGCGATCCTCCCACCTCAGCCTCCTGAGTAGCTGGGACTACAGGCGTGCACCACCATACCCAGCTAATTGTTTTAAAATATTTTTTAGAGATGGGGGTCTCACTATGTTGCCCAGGCTGGTCTTGAACTCTGGGTCTCAATCTATCCTCCAGCCTCAGCCTCCCAAAGTGCTGGGATTACAGGCATGAGCCACTGCACCTGCCTGGGACCACACTTTGAGAAAGTGCTAAACCCTTGGTGCTAAAGCTTTCTACTCCTTATAACATTTGGTGCTTGAGAATTCTCACACAGTCAGTAATATTCTAGGACAGTCCTGACCTATCAGTCATAGTCATGCTATATGGAGGGCAGGATCAAGCCAGACATGGAAGACCCAAGCGTGGGAATGCCTCTCTCAGCTAGGCTGCTCCGGCCACTGTTCAGACACACTAACCCCAGCACCCTAACCTGAGAAGCAGTGGGATTTATCAGGTGTATAGATAGCTGCACGTGCATTTGTGAACACTGTGTGGGTAGCAGAGATGACAGTTCTCACCAGCCATGTCACCATGTCTGGTGATGTTTCTACCAGTGACAATCAATCTCACATGAATTCAGTGACTCAGTGGGCCAGGACCAAGCAGACAGGTTAGCACTTGGATCCAGGCTGTGCCAATCAAAAGCTGTGTGACATGGGCAAATTTCCTTACTTCTCAGAACCTTGCTTTGCAAAGAACTCATTACTTTGCAAGGGTAAACCTGTGGAGTAGGTCAGTATTTGGGAATGTGTTAAGTGAGATATTTCTTGCCTGCATCTTTTCCTTCATTCCTCTTCTCCCCTTTGACTTTAAGCTGGGAGCATTCCTTACTTTGGGGTGAGGGCTGAGGTTTCGAGGACAGTCCTGCTCCAGGTGGAGTTGGTGGACTGGCAGCATCAGCATTACCTGAGAGGGAAGCAAATTCTGGGACCACAGCCCACATCTACTGAATCTCAATCTCAGTCTCTGGGGATGAGGCCAAGAAATCTGTTTTTTTTCGTTTTTTTGTTTTTTGAGATGGAGTCTCACTCTGTCACCCAGGCTGGAGTGCAGTGGTACAATCTTGGCTCACTGCAACCTCCGCCTCCCGGGTTCACGCCATTCTCCTGCCTCAGCCTCCCAAGTAGCTGGGACTATGGGCACCCACCACCACGCCCAGCTAATTTTTTGTCTTTTTAGTAGAGACAGGGTTTCACCATGTTAGCCAGGATGGTCTTGATCTCCTGACCTCGTGATCCGCCCGCCTCGGCCTCCCAAAGTATTGGGATTACAGGCATGAGCCACAGCGCCTGGCCAGAAATCTGTGTTTTGACACATAAACTCCTCAGGTTATTATACACAGGTAAAGACTGAGCAGCTCTGGCCTAGAACAAAAAAAGTTTCAATGTAGAGGCTTCAAAAGCCATAGCTGACAGCATGCTCTGAAAACCAGCATGCATATGTTGTATGCAGTATGTTGAGAAAGGGTTTTTCTCTGGAGGCCAAAGCTTAGGAAACCAAGCACAGAGTTTATGTTATAAGCCATGGTGTCAGGAAGCATTTGTGTTGAAGCCCTCTCTATCCCTAAAGGAAGAACAGTTGGATCAGCGGGAAGCAGAGCAGGACCAGATGGGGTGAGATTAGATCTTGGAGGACTTGCAGGGTACAGCACCCTTCTCAGCCCACCAGACCCTGGCTTGAAAAGGTTTACTGGGTGGGTCAGACTGTCCCCCAAGAGGTGAAGTAAGAGACAGAGTTCCAGCCAGAGGCACACAACTGAAGGAAAGAAAGGGCTGAGAGACCATCACAGGGGCACCTGGCGCCCCAATTTATGGAGGGAGTAGAGATGGAAAGGGAGCCAGTCTGGAGAAAGAACTGCGCAGAAAATCAGAAGGAAGCCGAGGCGGGACAGCACGTGTCCAGGGCTGGCGGGATTATTATTATGAGCCAGGAGCCCTGAAAAGCAGTGAGGGCAGCTTCAGAGGCAACGCGTGAGTGAGTGGGAACAGTCATCGCCCTATCCTGAGTGGTGAGAGACATGTGGTCTATGTGACTCTTCTTGCTGGTCTGAGGGTCATTCCAGGCCTGCCTGTGATAACCTCACCCTGTGCTGATCCTGGGGAAGGTTCTATCTGGGTTTGTCACCTGCAGACCCGTGGCTGTGGAGGAGCTGGCACTGAGGAGGGCAACCCCACAGCGCCCTCCGGCCCAGAAAGGGGCCTGGGAGGCACTTGGCTCCACTGCCCTGAGGGATTGGGCAACCTGGGTGTGTCCCCGCTGTTCCTGGAGAGTTGGCTCATTCCCTCCCTCCTCTCCAAAAACAAACTCAGACGCCCATGGTGAGGTCAGTTTCAGTTGAAGCTGCTTTGCATAAAAAAAAAAAACAAAAACACATCTCCTTCCTCTTGATGGGAATACTTACACCAAAAAGCTTTACGAGCATATGGTTTTGACGGCTGCGAGGTCAGGAGATGGGGGTTTTCCTCTTGCTCTGCAGGACCTTGGGGAAATCACTCACCAGCTAACGTGTGTCAGTGCTCACCGTGCGCCAGCCACCTTTGAATCCTCCACAGCCCTTGAGGCTTTTTCAGTGAATGCCGAGAGGCAGGTGCTTTGCCTGGCTGCCATGGCCCTGTAATCAGCAGAGCTGGGATTTGCGCCTGGGGGTTCAGGATGTAGCCAAGTGTTAGAGCATTTCCGAGATCCTTCCCAGTGCCCAAACTTCCCGCTTCTCTAGTTCTAAGTCACTGGCCATCTGACCGTGGGAGACTATGGCTTAGGCTGGCCACACTTGTTCTAATCTTGGGGTCTAGGATGTCCCAGAGGGCTGCATCCTGCCATGACCATGGGTAAACAGCTTCACTTGTCCCTGAAGCTTCCTTTACAGGGAGAACAGGGCACAACCCCACAGCAGACACAGCAGACGCGTGGGTCTCACCACCAGCCTGTGTTTTTAAGGGCATAGACCTTGTGTTCTCACTTTTGTATAACTGACCCCCTACCCCATGCTACAGAGTACATGGCATGTGGTAGGTCCTCCTTAAATGTTTCTGATTAAGCCCAGTGACAAGTTCTTTTGCAAAGATACATACCACAGTTGAGCTCTGGATACTTACTCATGAGATTTTCAAGTATTCATTTATTCAACGAATATTTATATATGTATGTATGTATGTATTTCATTTTTTAAATTACTTTTCTTGGGGGAGGGGGGCTTTCCAGCAAAAACCAGAAAGCCTGCTGGACAAATTCTAAAAGAGCTGTAACACTTCAGCAAATATTTAAATGAATGCCTACTGTCGGCCAGGCACACACCAGGTGATAAGTGATCCAATGGTGAGCAGAACAGTAGGTCCTCATGGGGTTACAGTCTTGTGGGGGAAGAAATAAACTAATCAGTTTCCCAAATGCACATAAAATGACAGCTATGAGAAGGTGACTGAAGGAAAGGGTCACACGACTGTGGAAGCACAGGCAAGAGGCCTGCCTGGGCTTCAGGGAGGCATCCCTGAGGTGAAGGCTTGCACATTGATCCACCCACCTACCATCCAGTAGGGACCACATTCCAGAGAGACCGACCTTCCTTCCTTCCCTTCCTTCCCGTCCTTCCTGTCCTTCCCGTCCTTCTTGTCCTTCCCATACTTTCTGTCCTTCCCTTCCTTCCCATCCTTCCCTTCCTTCCCTTCCTTCCATTTTTTTTGAGACAGGATCTCACTCTGTCTCCTAGGCTCAAGTGCAGCAGTGAGATCCTAGTTCACTGCAGTTTCGAACTCCTGGGCTCAGGCAATGCTCCTGCCTCAGCCTCCTGGGTAGCTGGGACTACAGGTGTGTGCCACCACGCCCAGATAATTTTTAAAAATTTATAGTAGAGATGAGGTCTCACTATGTTACCCAAGCTGGTCTCGAACTCCTGGCCTCAAGCAGTCTCTGCCCGTCTCTGCCTCCCAAAGTGCTGGGATTACAGATGTGATGTACTGTGCCTGGCCCACAGGAGCTCCTTTTCTAGTAGGCAGGTGGATACTCTATGCAATGATAGAAATTAAATAAATGTCCGTTCAAACTATTTGGAGGCCACACTGCACACCCATTCATTATCAAAAATAAATAAAAATATGAAACCTACCATTGGCAAAGCTATAAGGAAATAGGTACAAATCATATACTGCTAGGAGCACTGCAGCTTAGGCCAACTTTTTTGAGGACAACCTGGCAATAGGTAAGCCAGAGCTTTGGATACTGTACCCTAGGGTTTCACTTTGGGGAGTATTTCTTTTCTTTTCTTTTCCTTTCTTTCTTTCTTTCTTTTTTTTTTCTTTTTGTGAGACGGAGTCTTACTCTGTTGCCCAGGCTGGAGTGCAGTGGTGGGATCTCGGCTCACTGCAACCTCCACCTCCCAGGCTCAAGTGATTCTCATGCCTCAGCCTCCCAAGTAGCTGGGTTTACAAGCGCACGCCACCACGCCCAGCTAATTTTTGTATTTTTAGTAGAGACAGGGTTTCATTATGTTGGCTGGGCTGGTCTTGAACTCCTGACCTCAATTGATCCTCCCACCTCGGCCTCCCAAAGTGCTTGGATTACAGACATGAGCCACCACACCTGGCCAGTTTGAGGAGTGTTTCAAAACAAAATGCAGTGGTATTTATAATAACAAAAAAAAATTTTAAAGGAAATAAGACCTGATACAGGGGAACACTATATTAATATATGAAAAACAATAATATATAAATACATGGATTGCAGCAGGCACTGACAGGTTGTCATTGTTTTTGCGCCTTCCTGGTGTTCATGAACATCACCTCCTTGGATGTTCATGTCACTTCTATGAGGAACAGGAAGCTCTGGGCACCCAGCTGGTGAGAGCAAGAGTCCTGTGTGCCCCACATGACACCAAGCTGCCAACTTCCATCTTACCGAACCCCAGGCTGTCTGCTCCTGAGGGGGCTCTGGGGCATGGTGACATTCCCCAGTGGGCGAGGAAGCTGAGGTCACTGTCTGCTTTCAACACTTGTCCCTGAGTCACTGCCTGGGCCTGAGTAGGGGAAATCCAGCCCCTGCCCATTGCAGCCACACGGCCTGGCTCCCCTGGCTCTGGGGGATGTCACCATTCTGAGGGCGTCCAGCAGTGTGATGGTGAAGCCAGGTGCCCTCTCCTGACAGCCACCCTTGCCCCACAGAGCCTGCCTGCTGGGATGTAGAGGAGGGGGGTTCCAGCCCCTCCTGTCCCGCGTCAGGTCTGTAGCACACAAGCTGCCTGCCCAGGGTCCTCAAATCAGCTGTCTTCACTCTGACCTGCAGGTCTCGGCTCCTGCATACTGCAAGCTGGGTGCCTTCCTTCTACAGAACCCATGCCCCCTTGCAAGGAAACCATGGAATTTCCCCAGGAGTCTTCGACAACTCCAGGCCACAGGAAGGTCACAAATGGTCAGAAAAGGAATGAATTTGAAGGAGGAAGAACCAGCCCTGCCCACGTTGTCTGGGGCCCCTCCCAAGGGGACAGGAAAGCTCCACAAACAGGACCTGGAACATCCAGGGAGCGTCTGGGCTGCAGGTAGGTGTCGCCTTATACACTTTACACCAGGCCCCTCCCCACCTCCCCATTTAGAGCCTCCAGGACCAATCGTATCAGAATCTCCGGGGCAGGACCTGGGGGCATCCATGCTTTTTAAAGCCTTCCAGGTGTTTGCAGTGTGCAGATAAGGTTCAGGGCCACTAATTTAAACCCTAAAAGTCTTATACCAGATCTTTCTATAGTTTGGGGTGTGCTACTTTCCTGTCTGTGGAAATCCTGCTTGTCCTACAGGGCTCATCTCAGCCGCCCCTTCTTAGGTGAAGCCTTCCTTGACTTCCCAGTTTCCTGAGGCAAAGTTAATTGCTTCCCCACCATCATTAATTCTGGTGGGGTCCAGGCCGTGCCTGGGTGCAAATCCTGCCTCCATGACTTCCTAGTTGTACCGTGGCCACATCTCTCCACTTCTGCAAGCCTCAATCTTTTTATCTGTAAAATGAGGCTAACAATAAAAGTACCTATTTTATGGGGTTAATGTTCAGTTAAATGCAATAATCTGCTTATAACAGTGGTGGTCAGTAAATGCTAGCCATTTCTTATAACTCAAATTCTTTTCTGCCTTTTCTGCACTTTCAAAATGCAAACTCCTTGAAAGTGGAACGAGTCCACCCCAGCCTCATGCTCCCCGTACTCTGTCTACACTGTGCTCTGCACGTAGCAGTATTCAATAACTATTTGATGAACAAATGAATCAGAAGGGAATCCTTATGTGACATTAGAACTTGCTTCCCAGTTTAGCTCTGGCATAAATCCAGAGTCCATATATTGATTTGTTGAGCAATGTTTTCCTTTATTGAGTTCTTACTATATACTAGGCTCTGAGAATTTAAAGATAAACACACAATTGCTGTCATTGAGGAGAGTCTGGAGGAGGACACAGATTCATGATTTTGTTATTTTATTATGCTTGTAACATTGTCTCAGAAGTGCCACCGGGGCACAAAGGAAAAAGAGGGGAAGGGGAGGGAGGAGGGAAGTGTTAGTGCAGAAGATACAAAGAGAAGGAGCTTGCCGGGTGGAGAGGCAGGGAAGGGCATTGGAGCTGAAGGAACAGCACCTGCTAGGCCAGAAAGGCCCAAGAGGGCGAGCTGCAATCCGAGGATGGTGTGGTACACCAGGAAAGCCGTAGGGGGATGGAACTGGCCAGGCAGACTGTGGCTGGAATGGGAGAGGCTCGAGGGCTGGACTAAGTGGCTGGGACTTCATCCAGCCAGCCAAGGAGGGTCTGGTCATGTTTGTGAGCCGAGAAGGTAAACAGAGCGCACCTGGGCTGGTTTCCTTCTCTCAGGCCTTCCTGGCGGCCACGCCTTACCGAAAGGAGTCCTGACTCAGAGCTGCTGTGCCGTCCCTTCTCCTGTCCCTGCCTGGAAGAGGCCTATCAGGTTGACCAAGCTTTGCTCCCACCTGTGGATGAGAAGGGCAGGTGGCCGAGAGTGGGTGTGGAGGAGGAAGACTGGATGCCAATGATCCTGTGAGTTTCATTCATTGGAGGTGTAACTTTCAGGCTCAAACTAGAGGCAAAAGATGAGGCAGTCCATGGGAAACAGGGGAGCAGGCGTAGCAGAGGGGCTCCGGCTGACGACAGGCAGGGGACTTGCTTCTTCTGTTTGTTTGTTAGAAATCATGACTCTGCCATTATCTGCTGTGACATCTTGGGTACTTAATCCCTCACTCGAGACCTCAGTGTCGTCTTCTGTAAACTGAATGGAGTGGTCCAGGTGATCTTTCAACTCTGTAATTCCAAGGAAGAAGGCAGTTCAGGGAGCGGTGTGGATTTTATAGATAAGGGGCCGAAGGTGGGGACTCCCAGACAGGACAAAGTCTCTTCTGGAGGGAGCAGCAGCCTTTTCAGAGTGGGTGGGTGGCGGAGCTCACCTTCCTTTGCTGCTCCTAAGCCTGACACAGCCTCAAACCCCAGCAGGTACTGAGGAGGTGGGGGAGTGGAGCTCCTCTGCTGACCCAGCAGAGAGGAGCGGAGCAGCCTCAGCGAGGCGGCCCTGGGAAAAGTGCTAGGGTACAGCTGCCCTAGGCCCCTCTGATCCCGATCCCAGCTGCTCTTCTCCTCCCAGCACTGTATAGCCCACAGGAGCTAAATCCAGGGGCAGACCCCAGGCTTCTGCCGAAGGGTAGAGGGTGGCAGTGGGAGGTCAGTCAGGCTTCTGGGCCAAGAGCCCAGAGAAGAGCTGGTGGCCATAGCACAGGCTCTGTGAGGCTGGGCAGCCGGCTCACCTCCCCTCAGCCCCCACCCACCTCCTGCTGGCCTGAGGCATCCTGGAGACCCCTCAATCCCAACATCTTAGTCACAGTCCCTGAAAGTCCTCGGGTTCACAAGCATTCTATTTTAAGTAATGGTTCTCTCTACTTTTATTAGCACCCAGCACTAACCTTTTGTGAAGATATAAAATCAAAGTAAAAAATTCTATAATTATTATTTTTTAAAGCAAACACTCACACATGGATTAAGAGGACCTGTTCACCATTCGTGCGGCAAACATTTACTGAGCATCTACTATGCCAAGCCCTGTGCTGGGCTCAGGAGGACCCAGGGTGGGAGCAGAATCCCATGGAACCGCCTAGGAGGTTCAGGAAAGACTCCTTTAGAGAGGAGAACCTTGAGCTGAGACCAGGAGGGTTGGAGAACTTGGCCAACTGAAGGAGAGAGGCCAGCCTGAGCCAGGGCCAGGAGGCAGGGACTATGAGTAGTTTATTGTGGCTGAAGCAGGGAGTTGACAGGAAAATGTTCCTTTTCCTGCACTCACACAATCGTAATGATCTGTGTCGCTATTTGTTTAGTGTCTGTATCCCCTGTTAGACCACAAGCTCCACGAGGGGTACAGTGTGTATGTATACTGCTGCATCCTGGTACCCAGAACGATGCCTAGCACAGGGGTTCCCAACCCCCAGGCCAAGGATCAGTACCAGTCATGGCCTGTTAGGAACCAGGAGCACAGCAGGAGGTGAGCCGCGGGCAAGCTGGCATTACTGCCTGAGCTCTGCCTCCTGTCAGATCAGCAGTGTGGCATTAGATTCCCCTAGGAGCTTGAACCCTACTGTGAACTGTGCATGGGAGGGATCTAGGTTGCACACTCCTTATGACAATCTAATGCCTGATGATCTGAGGTGGAACAGTTTCATGCTGAAACCATCCTGCCCCATCAGTGGAAAAATTGTCTTCCATGAAACTGGTCCCTGGTGCCAAAAAGTTCAGGAACCACTGGCCTAGCACATAGCAAATGTTCACTTAAATTGGTGTCACAGGAACAAGTAAAAGAAATAATTCTCATGTTAATTTGGGTTAGATCAGAAAGGGCTGTGAAGCCATGCTAATGAGTTTGGATGGTATCCCAGGGCCAACAGGAGCTACTGAAGGTTTTTTTTTTTTTTTTTTAATTATTTAGAATTTTGGCTGGGTGCGGTGGCTCATGCCTATAATCCCAGCACTTTGGGAGGCTGAGGTGGGCGGATCACTTGACGTCAGGAGTTTGAAACCAGCCTGGCCAACATGGTGAAACCCCGTCTCTACTAAAAGTACAAAAATTGGCCAGCCATGGCCTATAATCCCAGCTAGTGGGGAGGCTGAGACACAAGAATCACTTGAACCTGGGACCTGCCCTGATAATCACGTAGGTTCTTTTCTATTTTTCCTAAGTGTCAGCTGGCTTGAGAAATAAAGGGACAGGATACAAAAGAGAGAAATTTTAAAGCTGGGTGTCCAGGGAAGACATCACACATTGGTAGGATCTGTGATGCCCCACAAGCCACAAAAACCAGCAAGTTTTTATTAGAGATTTTTCAAAATGGGAGGGAGTGTGTGAATAGGTGTGGGTGACAGACATCAAGTACTTAACAGGGTAATAGAATATCACAAGGCAAGTGGAGGCAGGGTGAGATCACAGGACCACAGAGGCGAAATTAAAATTGCTAATGAAGTTTCGGGCACCATTGTCATTGATAACATCTTATCAGGAGACAGGGTTTTGAGATCAACCGGTCTGACCAAAATTTATTAGACGGGAATTTCCTCTTCCTAATAAGCCTGGGAGTGCTATGGGAGACTGGAGTTTATTTCATCTCTGCAGACTCAACCATAAGAGACAACCACGCCCGTGGGGGAGGGGGGGGCGGGGGCCAGTTTAGAGACCCACCCCCAGGTGCGCATTCTCTTTCTCAGGGACGTTCCATGCTGAGAAAAAGAATTCAGCGATATTTCTCCTATTTGCTTTTGAAAGAAGAGAAATATGGCTCTGTTCCGTTTGGCTCACTGGTGGTCAGAGTTTAAGGTTATGTCTCTTATTCCCTGAACAATTACTGTTATCCTGTTCTTTTTTCAAGGTGCTGAGATTTCATATTGCTCAAACACACATGCTGTACAATTTGTGCAGTTAATGCAATTATCACATGGTCCTGAGGCGACATACATCCTCCTTGGCTGACAGGATTAAGAGATTAAAGTAAAGACAGGCATAGGAAATCACAAGGGTATTGATTAGGGAAGTAATAAGTGTCCATGAAATCTTTATAATTTATGTTTAGGGATTGCAGTAAAGACAGGCATAAGAAATTATAAAAGTATTAATTTGGGGAACTAATAAATGTCCATAAAATCTTCACAATCCACGTTCTTCTGTCATGGCTTCAGCTGGTCCCTCCATTTAGGGTCCCTGACTTCCCGCAACACTGAGACACAAGAATCACTTGAACCCAGGGGGCAGATGTTGCAGTGAGCTGAGATCGTGCCACTGCACTCCAGCCTGGGCAACAGAGTGAAACTCTGTCTCAAAAAAAAAATAATAATAATAAAATGATTTTATTTTTGTTTTTATCGAGATAGAGTCTCACTCTGTTGCCCAGGCTGGTCTCGAAATCCTGAGTTCAAGCAATCCACCCACCTGAGCCTCCCAAAGTGCTGGGATTACAGGCATGAGCCACCACGCCCGGCCCACTGAAGGTTTTAAATAGGGGAATGACACATTCATTTTTGCCCTTTATGAATCCCTTTTTGGCTTTGGTGTGGAGAACGGCCGGGATCAGAGAGTTCACTTGAGACCTAAAGTCAGTGGTGTCTCTGGAGATGAGGGGGCAGCACAGATTTGAGAGTTTAAGGAGACTTGATCCAGGGGTGCAGGGAGTGACTGGATGCAAGGAGTGAGGGAGATAGAGGTGGCCAGGAGGACGCCAGGCTTCTAGACCTGGCAGGTTTCCCACCGTGGCCCCTAGGATGGTGTACACGTCCACATTGTCATCCTTACCTCAGGGCATTGTTATGGTTGATCGTCTGTTTATGGGACTCTCCCCAGCAAGTGGGCCAGGACGGGCTCTGTTCACCTTTGCAGCTCTCATGCCTAGCACGTGAGAGTAACTGCTCAGCTACTCTGAGCATAGTAACTGCTCAGTTAGTGTTTAGTGGATGAAATTCTGGTTGGAATTTGTGTATACAACTTTGTTTTCAGAAGGGTGAGAGAAATTACTGTTTAGTAAATGCAATGTCATAGACATAGTGCACCCAAAAGAAAAAAATCATTTCATGACCAGGTGTGGTGGCTCATACCTGTAATCCCAGCAATCTGGGAGGCCAAGGCAGGAGTATCACTTGAAGCCAAGAGTTTGAGAATATCCTGGGCAACATAGTAAGATCCCATCTCTACAAAAAAACAAAAATATAAAGTCATTTCCATTTGTGAGCTGTGTTCAGAGGCCTGGGAGCTGGGTTGAGGCAGGGAGGGATGTGGGGAGCCCAGGGTGTGGAGGAGGCAGCGGGGCTCCCTGGGCCGTGAAGGTCGCTGAACAAAGGAGACCGTCCAGGTTTGGCCACTGGTGCTTGCTGCTGTCCCCGAAATGAGATCGGAGGGGAGGGGCAGGTTTGGAGGAGAGGTGACAAGTCTGAGTGCCCATGGGACATCCAGCTTGATATATAAACCAGAAGGTGCTGGAAGCCTTAGGTGTGAGTGAGAAGACACAGAGATGTGGAGAGGAGGGCTGGGGGTGACCTGGAGAAACAACTGTTAAGGAGGGGGCAGAGAATCAAGTGGCCAGGAAGTTTGGGGACACGTTGGGAGGGCCACCTCAGGCCCGGGAGTCCTGTTGCCTCTTCTCCTGTGCTGTTACCCAGCAGGGGGACCAGGGGCCTGGGAGAGGCGCCAGCACTTTACTAACAGCCCAGCGCCTTGGGGTTTCGTTTCTGCTGGGTTCTGGCTCACCTTCCTCTTGTGGTCAGAAGAATGCAGAATCCTGTGGTTTCCCCGCTGTGTCGTCACAAGGCCTGCTGCCAGCCTGCCGCACTTTTCCTCAGCTCCATCACTGAACTTCTTTCATTTTTGCAGATGAACCTTGTCACCCTCCTCATAACCCAGGTTTCCCCTGCCTCCTCCCCACCCCCAGATCAGTCCTCCCACCCTGTAAGTGAGCCAGGCTCTTCCCAGCTGTGCCCTGGGTGGGCTCAAGGGTGTTTCCTGGGCATGGTACCACCTCTCCCTCCCATTGCCTCCCTGCTCCTGCTTCCCTCCCCTCTGGTCTGGCTGAGAAAAAGGTCCAGAGTTGGCAGAGCAGGTGGAAAGCCGGGGGCTGGCTGTCCCAGCTGCTGCACATTCAGGTTCTGGGATCTGTGGGCCAGGTGCAGTGCTGTGCTGCTAAATGGATAACAACAGGCTCTGGGGGCAAGCAGTGCAGCATTAGCTGATTTCTATGACACAAATACTCCCACCACGGGCAATTTCAGGCTACTACCAAGATGTTACTGAAGGCAGAATGGGAAGAGGTGTGCAGCAGCACCTGCCGTACGATAGTTCCACCCTACACCCAATAGACACGAGTAGCCTCAAGCGTATCTATAACTGCAAAACATACTAGAAGAATTAGGAAGTGATATGTTTTCAGTATTCATTGCTTTTTAAATAATTTATTTTCAGCCGGGCATGGTGGCTCACGCCTGTAATCCCAGCACTTTGGGAGGCTGAGGCAGGAGGATCACCTGAGCTCAAGAGTTTAAGACCAGCCTGGGCAACATGGTGAAATCCCGTCTCTACTAAAAATTAAAAAATTAGACGGGTGTGTGGCATGCACCTATAATCTCAGCTACTCGGGAGGCTGAGGTTGGAGGATCGCTTGGGCCCGGGAGGCGGATGTTGTAGTGAGCCAAGATTGTGCCACTGCACTCCAGCCTGGGCGACAGAGCAAGACTGTCCCAAAAACAAAAACAAAAACAAAACTTATTTTCTCATGAGTTGTTATAATTTAATTTTTAAAATGATGACAATTTAATAACTGCTTTGCAAAATTTCTGAAAATTCCACAATTAGCTCTTGCAAGCAGTACAAACTCAATCCAGCAAACCATTAGCACCAGGAAGAAAGGAAGAGGCACCAAACCCCAGACTCCAAGAGATGCATTCACAGGGCTGTGTACCCTCTCCCAGCATCCATCTGTCACCCTCCCTCTGTCTGGACACCATCAGTCTGGGCAGCAGGTTGTGGGCAGCAGGCCTCAGAATCCCTGTGTGGGGTCAGCCCCAGTGAGAGCAGAGCCTGGCCCCAGGCAGCCCCTCCCACTCAGCAGACCCGCTCTTTCGCGGCCTGGACCTGGGGACCTGGTGCGGGCCCAGAACCCAGCCCCCGGACACCTACCCTGGCAGGCCTAGAGCAAGGAAGTTTCATGGCGCAATGTTCTTCCCCTTGAAGGTGTGAAGCCCTGTGAGGGCTGGAATTTCCACATTGCTCAGATAGTGGGCTTGCTCAGTCCTCCGCAGTGAAGAAAACAAAAGAGAACAAGTGGCCACGGCCTCTTTCTAGGCATCTCTTTATTCCTCTGGGCTGCAAGGGGCCTGCATTGGGTCTGAACAGAGGTGAAACAGAGGAAAGCTTTGAGGGTGCAACTCAGCCTGGAGCCATTTCTGGACAGTGAGAATGAACAGCAGTGATGACGTCATTCACCACATTCCACATGCGCTCGTCTTTGCACTAGGCCTTGGAGGCATGAGGGTGGTGACTCATAGCGGTAAAAACCCTGTCTTGGCTACCTCAGGAAATGAGTGGAATCTGTGGCTTGACGTTCCTGTATTCTTGCTGATGAACCACTCACGATGTCCACGTAGTGGCTCCTGCCAGGCGCTTGTGAAAGTTGGAGAAAAGAGGTCGCCTTCCCACCATGCCCACAGTGTGCCTCGGCCCCTTGTTCATGGCCCTCGGCAGCAGATGCCTTTCCTTTCTCTCATGCGCACAGGCCAGGCCAGCCCAGCCCACCAAGCCCCCTCCCGAGCCCCCTCTTGGAGGAGCCTCCTCTACACGTAGGGCTCTCCCTGGGGGTCTTCCTTTGAGTGTGGGGTTTATGTGCACTGATTTCTAAGATCAAAAGGCTAAGACCTTGCCATCCATTCATTCATTCAGCAAGGGGGGCGGGGGTGCTGGGAGGAAGCAGGAGGACAGAAGTTTTAAGCAGTCACAAAATATAATGAATGAAAACAAAACCAAAAAGAGGACTAAGGGAAGGGAGGTGGAAAAATACCAAACCCCTGTTCTACCCTCTTCTGAGACCCTTCGCTGGCAGGTGCCCTTGTAAACAGTGAAACAGCCGTCCCAGGGCCTGCGAGGTAGTGCCACTGTCTTAATCGGTCCGCAGGTTACTTCTCAGAGGGTGTTTCCATGGATTCTACTGGGTCCTCACCTGTTTCTGGGCAACCTCACCCCAGCTTCCTGCCTTGTGATAAAGATCTTTTTATTTCTTTATTTTGAGCAGTCACTTTCCCCTAAAAGATTAATATGTTGTTCTCACCAAGAGGCCCAGCTCTAGCTATATACTACCTGTTTGTAGTGGTTGAAAGTTTAATATCTCTTTAGCATCCCTTACAAAATATTTTGGGAGGTTTAGTTTAAATTCAGGCACAGCCTGTGGAAGGCTCAGACGCAAGGCTAGGGCGCCATCTCCTGGTCGATTTTGAATATGACAAAATTGAACTTGGATTGAGACTCGTGTTAATAGAGGTGAAAATCAGCTGATTTAAGTTATAGGTGGAAAGGCGTGCGCAGAAACACATGTAACTAATAAAGCACTTTGTCAGAATCTATAAAGAACTCTTACAATTTAATATAAAAAATCTTAGCGATTGGGCTGTTAAAAAATCAGTAGAAAAATAAGCAAGAGGCTTAAAGGGGCAATTTCTAAAAGAGGATATCAAATGCACCATAAATATATGAAAGATGTTCAACTTTTTATTCTTCGAGACTACTGGTGGAGGACAAGGCGGAGGAAAGCCCAGGAAGCCTGTATACGCTGTAAAGACCCTTTCAGGTAATTCAGATTTTACCCACTAGAGGGCGTGCCACTCACTTTAGTTGTTTTAAATTTGCCCAAGGGAAATATGCAAAATAAAACCGCAATGAGATGCACTGCACTGCAGCCTGCCAAGTTGGCAAAAATGGGGGCAGCGGGTACTCTCATACACTGCTGGAGAAAGTGCAAATTGCTATACCTTTGAAAAATTGTTTGGCATTATCTAGAAAACAGTTAACGCATAGGCGTATTCTATGTCATAGCAACTTCACTTCTTGATATATGTTCAACAAAAATGTGAGTCCATGGACACTAAGAAGCATACAAGATTGCTTATAACAGCATTATTGGCAGGTAATAGCAAGAACTGGAAACAATTCAAATGCCCACGAAGAATAGGCTGGAAAAATAAATGGTAGTATATTGATGCAGTGGAATATCTAACGGAAAAACAGACAAGCCAACAGAATCTGCAGCTACAAACGGCAACAATATGGATGGATGGATTTTATGAACATAATGTTGAGCAAACGAAGCCAGGTATAAAATAATCATAATCATATATAAAGGTCAAAACAGAAAAAACATTTTATAGTGCTAGATGTCAGGATAATGGTACATTTAGTCCTAGAGAATGAAGGCAGAGATTGGGAATATATTTAAAATAAATTTTAAAAATAAATTTAACACTTCAATTATAAAGTTTAAAAAAGTTACAGATGGAATGGTAGAAAGGGATTTCCAACCAGTAGAATTAGGCAAGAGTGAGGGAAGAAATCGAAAACTTGGGAAAGAAGAAAAGCAGGTGTAGGGTGCAAAAAACGAAACCAAAAAAACAAACCCCAAAACACCTCCAGGTAATTCGGATTCTCCCCACTAGAGGGCGTGCCTCCCTCTCCTCGCCCTGAGTGTTCTTGCCGTACGCAAACATTTGCTTCGATGTTGTTTTTTCCCTCCCTTGAATTATTAGGTTAGTACAAAAGTAATTGGGTTTTTGCAATTATTTTTAATTTAATATATCCGTGGGAAAAATCTTCATAAGAGGAATAATTTGGCCAAAGGATATAACTATTTTAATGCCCTATTTTAAGAATGTTGCTAGATTGTTCTTCAGAAAGACTGCACAAATTAAATTGATAGCCACCCAACAACGCGTCAAAATGCGTTCCTAAGTCATTCAATGGTAGACTTTCAAAATGGTAGGTTTTAAAGAGCTTGTTGATTGAACATTTGCAAAACAGTAGTACCAAAGTGGATTAATTTACATTTCTTTAGTTATTAGTGAAACAAAACATTTTCCTTTAAAATGCTTGACAATGATTTCCTCTTATGCACACTGCCTGGTCAAGGTGGCCTTTGCCTATTCAGACAATTAGGTTAAATGCAAAAGTAACTGCGGTCTTTGCCATTACTGTTAATTACATAATTACTACTAATGCCAAAACCACAACTACTTTTGCACCAGCCGAATATGTTCTCTTTATGTAACTATATTTGATCTCTATATATTAGTAAATTTTTTAATCTGTCAAGGTTGTCACAGTTTCTTCCATTCTAATGGTTACTTTTTTTTGTTTCTTTTTTTTTTTTTTTTGAGCTGGAGTCTCGCTTTGTTGCCCAGGCCTTGTAAGTGCAGTGGCACAATCTCAGCTCACGGCAACCTCCAGCTCCTGGGTTCAAGCAATTCTCGTGCTTCAGTTTAAAGAGTAACTGGGAGTACAGGCGCCTGCCACCATGCCTGGCTAATTTTTGTATTTTTAGTAGAAATGGGGTTTCACCATGTTGACCAGACTGGTCTCGAACTTCTGACCTCAAATGATCCACCTGCCTCAGCCTCCCAAAATGCTGGGATTACAGGTGTGAGTTGTCACACCCGGCCTATTTTTTAATCTTAATTTTTATTATTTTCTTTTGAAATATACTTGAATGTTCTTGTGGTTACGCTTTTCCATTTTTAACTCTAACATTTTTTTTCTATTACCCATAGTATTACATATATTTCTTTCCAAGTTGTGATAAGTTTGTTTTCTTCTGAAGAGTGTTTTCCAAACTGATTTTCTCTTATTTCTTTGGGTGTGAAAACTTTTCTGAAGGAGTTCCATGGTCAAATAAATTGGGAAAATATTTAGACAAAAATAAATCCCTTCCTTTATTACAGCAATTATAAAACCTTAACGATGGTAATTTATTCATTGAAGAAAATATTTATTGAGCATCTACTATGAGGTACTAGGGGCTTGTACAGCTCTGAACAAAAGAGACAAATGCATGCAGTGTATTTCCAAGACAGGGATATCATATACAGATTTTTTTCCAATGTATTTGAGCAAAACTTTTTAATTTTTATTTATTTACATATTTTTAGAGACACAGACTCACTCTGTCACCCAGGCTGGAGTGCAGTGGTGCAGTTATAGCTCACTATAGCCTCGACCTCCTGGACTCAAGTGATCCTCCCACCTCAGTCTCCCGAGTAGTCAGGACTACAGGTATGGCAGGCTAAGTTTTAAAAATTTTGTAGAGATGGGATCTCACTATGTTGCCTAGGCTGGTCTCCAAATCCTGGCCTCAAGCAGTCCTCCCTCCATGGCCTCCTAAAGTGCTCGGAGTAGAATTGAGAGCCACCGTACCTGGCTGCTCCAAAATGCTTTTTTATGCCTCCCCTACTTAGTGTTTTACACTGTTCCACAGAATATCGGAATCTAGAATTTGTTCCAGCATAAAGTGAAAGATATGAATCAACTTTCATTTTTCCTCATCAATTCATCCATATTTTTAGCAGAATTTATTAAATATGATTCCTCTTTGGTTTTGCTGTCTTCTGTTCATTGAATAGAATTTTTTCTATAATTTGGGAATTTCTGGCATATTTATTGTTTCATTGGTTTATAAAGAATAACTGTATCCAAAATGAACAAAACTCTCACTTTCTTCGCCGTTAATTGTTGCTAAGATTAAGTGGTACCTGAGGCTTCAGCTTCCCCAGGTACCTGCCAGCTAGAGGCATAAGCATGACAGCAGAGGGTGCAAAGTTATTGGAAACACTGAGCCTCCACGGACCCATCTGGCGAGGAGGACAGCTAACCCTAGCTGGGGGAGGAATACCTGGGAGATGGGGAGGGTTAGGAGTGGAGGGAAAACGTGTAGTTATTGAGTACTTGTCATGTGCTGATCACACTGTATTAATATATTACTCAGAAGCCCGCTGTGCAAATGTGGGAACGGAGGTAGCTTGTCTAAGCTAGCCCAGAGGCTGATCCACATCAAGCCCCGTCACAGCTGCTGCTCCTGCCCTGTACTCCCAGTTGACATCTACCACCACCACCACCACCACCATCACCACTACACCATCACCACCACCACCATCATCACCACCACACCATCACCACCACCACTACCACCACCACCATCACCACCATCATCATCACCACCAGCACCACACCATCACCACCACCATCATCATCACCACCAGCACCACACCATCACCACCACCATCATCATCACCACCAGCACCACACCATCACCACCACCATCATCACCACCAGCACCACACCATCACCACCACCACCATCACCACCACCACTACCATTATCATCACCACCACGACCATCACTACCACATTGCCACCATCACCACCACCATCACCACCACCACACCATCACCAACATCACCACCACCACTACCATCATCATCACCACCTCAACCATCACTACCACCACCACACCATCACCACCACCATCACTACCACCACACCATCACCACCATCACCACCACCACCACCACCACACCATCACCACCACCATCACCACACCATCACACCATCACCACCACCACCACCATCACCACCACCACCATCACCATCACCACCACCATTACCACACCATCACCACCACCATCACACCACCACCACCACCATCACACCACCAACACCATCACCACCACCACCACCACACCATCACCACCACCATCACCACCACCACCACACCATCACCGCCACTACAACCACCACCACACCATCACCACCACCACCACGACCACCACCATCACCACCACCACCACCACACCACCACCACCACCACCACCACATCACCACCACCACCACCACATCACCACCATCACCACCACCACCACCACACCACCACCACCACCACCACCACATCACCATCACCATCACCACCACCACCACCATCACCACCACATCACCACCATCACCACCACCACCACCACACCATCACCACCACCACCACCACATCACCATCACCATCACCACCACCACCACCACACCACCACCATCACCACCACATCACCACCACCATCACCACCACCACCACCACACCACCACCACCACCACCACATCACCATCACCATCACCATCACCACCATCATCACCACCATCACCACCACCACACCATCACCACCACCACCACCACCACCACCACCACATCACCACCACCACCACCACATCACCACCATCACCACCACCACCACCACACCACCACCACCACCACCACCACATCACCATCACCATCACCACCACCACCACCATCACCACCACATCACCACCATCACCACCACCACCACCACACCATCACCACCACCACCACCACATCACCATCACCATCACCACCACCACCACCACACCACCACCATCACCACCACATCACCACCACCATCACCACCACCACCACCACACCACCACCACCACCACATCACCATCACCATCACCATCACCACCATCATCACCACCATCACCACCACCACACCATCACCACCACCACCACCACCACCACCACACCATCACCACCACCACCACCACATCACCACCACCATCACCACCACCACCACCACACCATCACCACCACCACCACCACATCACCATCACCATCACCACCACCACCACCACACCACCACCACCATCACCACCACCATCACCACCACCACCACCACCACCACCACACCATCACCACCACCACCACATCACCATCACCACCACCACCACCACCACCACCATCACCACCACATCACCATCACCACCACCACCACCACCACACCACCACCACCATCACCACCACATCACCACCACCATCACCACCACCACCACCACACCACCACCACCACCACATCACCATCACCATCACTATCACCACCATCATCACCACCATCACCACCACCACACCATCACCACCACCATCACCACCACCACCACCACCATCACCACCACCACCACCACCACACCATCACCATCACCACCACCACCACCACCACCACCACACCATCACCATCACCATCACCACCATCATCACCACCATCACCACCACCACACCATCACCACCACCACACCATCACCACCACCACCACAACCACCACCATCACCACCACCACCACACCATCACCATCACCATCACCACCATCATCACCACCATCACCACCACCACACCATCACCACCACCACCACCACAACCACCACCACCACACCATCACCACCACCACCACCACCACACCATCACCACCACCACCACCACCACCACCACACCATCACCACCACCACCACCACCACCACCACACCATCACCACCACCACCACCACCACACCATCACCACCACCACCACCACCACACCATCACCACCACCACCATCACCACCACCACCACACTGTCACCAACACCACACCATCACCATCATTACCACCACCACCACCATCACCATCACCACCACCACCACCATCACCAATACCACCACCACCATCACCATCACCACCACCACCAATACCACCACCACCATCACCATCACCACCACCACCAACACACCATCACCATCATCACCACCATCATCACCACCATCACCATCTCCACACCATCACCACCACCACCACCACCACCATCACCATCACCACCACCACCACCATCACCGAACTCCTGACCTCAAGTGATCCACCCACCTTGAACTCCTGACCTCAAGTGATCCACCCACCTGGGCCCCCTAAAGTGCTGGGATTACAGACATGAGCCACCTTGCCCAGCCCTTTTCTGTGATTCTTTTGCTTATTAGTTGCTTTTGCTGTTCTGATTAGGAGGAAAGCAAAGGTCCTGCTTCCGCAAATATGGGGATATAGGAAACTACAAGGACGCCCATAAAAGTACCAAGTGTGACCTTTGTGCTACAGTCCTTCTTTCTCGGGTTCTCTTTCTGGCAGCTGTGAAAATGGCCGCGGTGGCAACAGTGGAGGCAGATGGCTCCCCGGCAACTCAAATAGCTTGTACTTGATGAAAACATGCTCACTCCTTCTGCTACTGCTTCCCTAGGGGCCCTCGCCAGGAAGGTGTGAGCCTCCTCAGGCTGAGCATGGGGCATGAGAAGAAAGGACTGGGCTCTGGAGGGCTCCAGCATTTAAGGAGCAGGAGGAGGTTGGGGAGCCAGAGGAAGTGGTCAGAGAGGTGAGAGGAGAGCCAGGAGAGTGCAGGCGCGGAAGCAAGGAGGTTCTCCAGGGCGCCTTGGTCACAGGGTCAGAACGGGCAGAGCCAGTGAGAACTCAGCTGCAAAGAAGCCAGAGGCAGCTCTGCAAGTCCTGCCTTGGGAGAGGCTGAGATTGGTTCTGGAGTGAACAGGGCAAAGCCGCTAGCAGGAGGTGTGTGTGTTGCACGTTCCTTTGTGTGTGTGTGGGCGGAGAAGAGGCTTGGGGATGTAAACTCTGGAAGAAGACATCCAAGAAGCTAATACAAGTGGTTACTTATTAGGGGACAGACAGTGAGGACAACGGGAGCAGGAGGATGAGCTATTCACTGTCTTTTTGGATTGCTTTGATTTTTGGACCGCGTGAAGGTTCACGTATTGAAAATAAAAAGGCCGGACGTGGTGGCTCACGCCTGCAATCCCAGCACATTGGGAGGCGAAGGTGGGCAGATCACCTAAGGTCAGGAGTTCGAGACCAGCCTGACCAATATGGAGAAACCCCGTCTCTACTAAAAATACAAAAATTAGCTGGGCATGGTGGCACATACCTGTAATCCCAGCTACTCAGGAGGCTGAGGCAGGAGAATTGCTTGAACCCAGGAGGTGGAAGTTGTGGTGAGCCGAGATCACGCCACTGCACTCCAGCCTAGGCAACAAGAGCGAAACTCCGCCTCAAAAAAAAAAAAAAAAAAAAAAAAAAAAGAAAAGAAAAGAAAAAGAAAAAAGAAAAGAAAGAAAAAATTTAAATCTAGTAACTTAAAGGGCTGAAACATGTCCAGTGGCTATGTCACTTGGAATAGCATTGGTGACCTCAGGGGAGAAATTTTGGTGAAGTGGAGACAATGAAATCCAAAGTATATTAATCGATGGGCCAGGCATGGTGGTTCACGCCTGTAATCCCAGCACTTTGGGAGGCCAAGGTGGACGGATCACCTGAGGTTGGGAGTTCAAGACCAGCCTGACCAACATGAAGAAACCCTATCTCTACTAAAAATACAAAATTAGCTGGGCGTGGTGGTGCATGCCTGTAATCCCAGCTACTCGGGAGGCTGAGGCAGGAGAATTGCTTGAACCCAGGAGGCGGAGATTGCAGTGAGCCAAGATGGCACCATTGCACTCCAGACTGGGCAACAAGAGTGAAGCTCCGTCTCAAAATAAATAAATAAATAAAATAGATCGATGGATGTGATGGCTAATATTAGATGTCTCGACTGGATTGAGGGATGCCTAGATGGCTGGTAATGTATGATTTCTGGGTGTGTCTCTGAGGGTGTTGCCAGAGGAGACTGACATTTAAGCCAGTGGACTGGGAGAGGCAGACCCATCCTCAATAGCAGTGGGCACCATCCAATCGGCTGCCAGTGCGGCTAGAACAAAACAGGCAGAAGAAGGAGGGATGTGCTGGCCTGCTGAGTCTTCTGGTTTCCGTCTTTCTCCTGTGGTTCCTCCTGCCTTTGGACGTCAGATTCCAGGTTCTTCAGCCTTTGGACTCAGTGACTTGCACTGGTGGCCTGCCTTGGGCTCCTAGGCCTCTGGCCACAGGCTGAAGGCTGCACTGTCAACTTCCCTACTTCTGAGCCTTTTGGACTAGAACTGAGCCACTACCGGCTTCTCTCTTCCTCCTGCTCCAGCCATGTGATGCGCCTGCTCCTGCTTAGTCTTCCACCAGGATTGGAAACTCCCTGAGGCCTCTCCAGAAGCAGATGCTGCCATGCTTCCTGTACAACCTGCAGAACCGTGAGCCAATTAAATCTCTTTTCTTAGCCGGGCAGGGTGGCTCACACCTATAATCCCAGCACTTTAGGAGGCCGAGGTGGGCGGATCACCTGAGGTCAAGAGTTTGAAACCAGCCTGGCCAACATGGTGAAACCCCATCTCTACTAAAAATACAACAACAACAACAACAAAAACAAAAAGTTAGCCAGCATGGTAGCAGGTGCCTGTAATCCCAGCTACTGGAGAGGCTGAGCAGGAGAATCACTTGAACCTGGGAGGCGGAAGTTGCAGTGAGCCAAGATCAAGCCACTGCACTCTAGCCTGGGTGACAACAGCAAGACTCTGTCTCAAAAACAAAAACAAAAATAAAAAAACCTCTTTTCTTTATAAATCACCCAGTCTCAGATATTTCTTTATAGCAATATGAGAATGGACTCATAATGGACAAAAGGGACTTTGCCTGTGAGAGGAGGGATGGAAGCAGGGCAGTGCCAGAGGTAGACTAAAGGTCAGGGTGGCCTAGTTTGTTGTTCCTCCAGCTTGGGAGAGATCAGAAGATGGAAGGTTAGAAATGGAGGATGATGGAGCACAGAGGGTTGGAACTGAGAGCCCAGGCAGCCCAGTGAGCCCCGCTGGGGCTGAGCATAGGGTAGCCTGAGGCCTGGATAGGTGTGGGGTCACAGGGACAGCCCACGATTTTTGTATTTTTGGATATTTATGCTTTGTGGAGGGTTGTGCAGATAGCTTCTGAGGCCCTTGCCCGTCTGTTTTTCTGTGATTCGAGAGCAGTGCTTTCAACAGAACTTTCTACAATAATGTTAACGTGCTATACCTGTGCTGTGCAATATGGCAGCCACTAACCACATATGACTATTGGGTGCTTGAAATGTGGCTGGGGTGACTTAGGAACTGAATTTCTAAACTTATTGAATGTTTTTAACTCTTGTTTTAAATTGAGATATAATTGACATATCACGCTCTGCACATATTTAAAGGGTACAGTTTGGTAAGTTTTGGGACATGAGCACACCCCTGTGAAACCATCACCACAATCAGGACAGTGAACACGTGCAGGACCCACACGAGTTTCCTCCTGCATCTTTGTAATCCCTCCCTCCCACCCTTCCCTGCTCCCACTAATCCCCAGACAACTACAGACCTGCTTTCAGTCATGATAGGTTGCATTTTTTGGAATTTTACTTTTGCCCCATCTTACGATGCTGAGCGTTTTTAAGAATTCCATATAAGTGGAATCCTACAGTATTTACTCTTTTTGGTCTGTCCCTTTTGCTCAGCATAATTCTTTTGAGATTCATCCATGTCATTGTGTTTATCAATAATTAATTCCTTCTTATCGCCCAGCAGTATTCCATTGTGTGGATATGCTATGATTTGTTTATCCATTCATCTGTGGATAAATATATTTTCCCCAGTTTTTAGCCATTGTGACTAAAGCTGCTATGAACATCATTATATGAGTCTTTGGACATATGCTTTAATTTTTCATGGGTAAATACCAAAGAACGGAATGGCTAGATCATATAGTAGAATTTAATTTTGATTAATTCTAACTAACATTAAATGGCCAAATGTGGCTAGTGATTACCATATTGGACAGCACAGTTCCGAAGTATATTCTTTAATCCAGTGATTCTGTAACAGGGAAAGACTTCCCCTCCTTCTGTAAAATCTGAATTTATTTGCTCATCATTCACTGAGCAAAGATTTATTGAGGTTCACTTTGTGCCCTGCATTGTGGTGGTCACTAAGGATGGGATGGGGCAAGATGGACATGGGCCCTGTCCTCAAGGTTCTTGTAGTCTAATGGACTCAGTTTGGTTGGGCCATGGGTGTGTTCAACATTGAAGTCTGCTGAGAAATCGGAGGATGAATCCAAAGCAAAGTTATAAAGTGGAGTGGTTTCTGTTAAGGCATTGAGATGTCCCCAGGAGAGGTGTGGGGTTTGGTGAAGGATCGAGGCTTTCCCACTCCTACTGAGATAACCTGTAAAATGAGAAGCAGGTACAGGGATGAGGGAGGTGAGTTTGGAGGATGGGGTGTAGTTGTTGGTGAACCTGGTGTTTCAGGTGTGTGTGGGGTGCTTATTGTGAAGGAAGTGGGGGAGGAGGACGTACTGTGCTAGTACAGCTGTGCCTGTCCTGGGGATGTGGGGGAACAGTTGGGGAAGATTCAGCTCCTGAGAAACCCCTAGCAATCCGAGCTCTCATTCTGTCACTGTGACACGACATACACACATCTCTCGTTAGGTCTCTCCCTAGAGAAAAACTATTTTTAGGCCATGATTGGGTGGGTGTGGATGCATTGAACCAAGAAGCTTCCTAAGAATTTTTAGGTCCTTCTGCTCATGACTCATCAGGTTCTGCTCCTAATTCTGCAGAAGCAGCTCCAACCATAGGCTTCTGGTGGAAGGATGAGGGAAGGGGCTGTGATAGGATGTCACTCCTGCGCTGATGACATGTTCGGAGCTGGGATGATTATGAGTGATGGTTTGTGAAGCAGACCCTGCGTCCTACTGGTATATTTAAGTTCGTGGTTTTGAACCTGTTAGTAGGGTGCTTGGAAAGCTGGTGAGGCCAGGGAAGCTTCTAGTGAGGCTAGGGAAGCTCAGGAACCCTAAATAGGAATAATGACAACCATAGCCACCATTTATTGAATACTAACATATGCCAGGCATTTTGCATGCATTATTTCATTTAATTCTCACAACAGTCCTATGAAGTCAGCTAATGTTATGAGTCCCCATGTAACTGAGTGCCCCGAAATGAGTTGTCTTCTCTCCCCTTTCCCACTGTTCCCTATTTTCTACTTAGCCCTTCAGAAATGCAAATACAACCTTTCACCTCCCCCTCACCAGACACTCCCTGCAGACAAGTTCTTCTGTGTGCTCCAAGACAGATCTCTCTTGAGAGTTGGCAGATTTGCAGACCAAGTCATGCCCACCACGGAACTTTCACCTCCAGAGGGTTGCCTTGGGACATTCATCCACAAGGAGGGCACAGCAAAATCACACCCTTTTCCCACTTGGCCACTTTTACAACTTCTGCCCAGGAAGGTGCCAACTCAACCGGATGGTAAATAAGGCACCAAACTAGCAGTGGGACCCCCTGCCCTTATTCATTCCCCTCTTACTTTATCAAAGTGTCTCCTTTCTGCTCCAGAGGGGAAGTAGCACATTTGAAGGCAGGACACTTTGTGCCCCTCCCCAAGCTAGTGTGAAAGGAAAATAAATCTTGGGGCCCTGAAATCATGAAGCTAAAGGAAAAAGTCAAGCTGGGAACTGCTTAGGGACCTTTGTTCACTGAAATAAGTGCATATCTGATTGCTTCCTTTGGAGAGGCTAATCAGAAACTCAAAAGAATGCTGTTTGTCTCTTATCTACCTATGACCTGTAAGCCCCCTCCCCGCTTTGAGTCTTCCCACCTTTCCAGACCGAACCAGTGTTCATCTTGCATATGTTGACTGACGTCGCATGTCTCCCTAGCACGTATAAAAGGGAAAACTTTGCTCTGACCACCTTGGGCACATGTCGTCAGGACTTCCTGAGGCTGTGTCACCGGTGCACATCCTCAACTCTGGCGAAATAAACTTTCTAAATTAACTCAGACCTGTCTCAGATTTTCAGAGTTCACACCAGCTTTGCAATAAATTCACTTTTTAAATATCTGGCCTTGCTCTTGTTGGACTGTACATGCGACGAGCAACCAACCTGCATTTCAGTTACACCCACTTTACCAACGAAAAAACTGAGCCTGAAGAGGTCAAATAATTTATCTAAGGTCACACTGACTCAATCTAAATTCAAACTCAGGGTCAGTTCTTCCCCATTGGGAGGCTATATATATGAAATGACCTGGCATAAACCCCCTGATAACAGTTAGTTTCTTTCCATTGTCGACGAAAAGTCAAACTCTGTAAAATATTTGAAGAGATTTATTCTGAGCCAAATATGAGTGACCATGGCCCATGACACAGCCTTCAGGAAATTCTGAGAACAGGTGCCCAAGGTGGTTGGGGACAGCTTGGTTTTACACATTTTAGGGAGACATGAGACTTCAATCTAAAACATTTAAGAATACATTGGTTCAGGCTGGGCACGGTGACTCACGCCTGTAATCCCAGCACTTTGGGAGGCTGAGGTGGGTGGATCATCTGAGGTCAGGAGTTCAAGACCAGCCTGGCCAACATGGCAAAACCCCATCTCTACTAAAAATACAAAAATTAGCTGGGGGTGGTGGCAGGCACCTGTAATCCCAGCTACTTGGGAAGCTGAGGCAGGAGAATCGCTTGAACCCGGGCGGCAGAGGTTGCAGTGAGCCGAGATCATGCCACTGCACTCCAGCCTGGGCGAGAGACAGAATGAGACTCCATCTCAAAAAAAAAAAAAAAAAAGAAATACATTGGTTCAGTCCAGAAAGGTGGGCCAACTCGAAGGGGTGGGTGGTGGTTCCAGTTTATAGGTAGATTTAAAATTTTTATGGTTGAATATTGGTTGAGTTTATCTAAGGACCTGGGAGCAACAGAAAGGAAATGTCTGGGTTGCAGTAAGAGGTTGTGGAGACCAAAGTTTTGTCATTCAGATGAAGCCTTCAGTTATCAGGCTTCAGAAAGAATAGGCTGTAAATGCTTTTGATCAGACTTAAGGCATGTGTTAATGTTAAATGCTGACAAGTATAATGAGGGGTGTAGGACCCCCACTTCCAGTCTTCGCCTAAACCAGTCTCTCAGGTTAAATTTTATGGGTCCTGGCCAGGTGCAGTGGCTCACGCCTGTAATCCCAGCACTTTTTGAGGCCAAGGCCGGTGGATGACTTGAGGCCAGCAGTTTGAAACCAGCCTGGCCAACATGGTGAAATCCCATCTCTACTAAAAATACAAAAATTAGCTGGGTGTGGTGGTGCATGCCTGTGATCCCAGCTACTTGGGAGGCTGAGGTAGAACAGTCGCTTCAACCTGCGAGGTGGAGGTTGCAGTGAGTCAAGATTGTGTCACTGCATTCCAGCCTGGGCAACAGAGACCCTGTCTCAAAAAAAAAAAAAATTATGAGTCCCTTGGACAAGAATGAAGTCCCTTTGAGACAGCTGGGTGGGAAGGGCTCCCTGGCAGAACCTCTGACAGCCCGCACACTGGGAGAAATGCGCACTGGGGTGGAGCCGTAGGAAGTTAGCGCCCTTGGCAGGGAAGGAGCCTGGTCTTTCTCTCTTGTTCCGGGGTATGGTACCTGGGATTCAGTCTGCGAGGCAGGACACACACTAGCAGGACCCTGGCTTTGCAGAGAGTCCCTGTTTCCCTTTTTTTCCTTTTTGCCCAATAAATCCCATTTTTCTCACCCTTCAAATTATCTGCGAGCCTCATTTTTCATGGTCGTGTGACAAGGACCCTGCCTGTAGCTTAACTAGGGAAAAGTCATATAACACATTCAGATGGTTGGCCTTAGAATTTTATTTTTGGTTTACATCATCCTTAGATTAGTCCCTGAGGAGAGAATCTACCTGAATTAGACTAAATTAACTAGATGTGTCCAGTAGGGAGGGTCTCAATTTTCTCCATCACAGAGTGAGGAGTGGGAGAAAAAGAAACAATGTAACAAGAACTATGCTAGATGTGGTTTTGTTTTGTTTTTGTTTGTTTGTTTGTTTTTGAGATGGAGTTTTGCTCTTGTTGCCCAGGCTGGAGTGCGATGGCACGATCTCAGCTCACTGCAGCCTCAGCCTCCCAGGTTCAAGCGATTCTCCTGCCTCAGCCTACTGAGTAGCTGGGATCACAGGCATCTGTCACCAAGCCCAGCTAATTTTTTGTATTTTTAGTAAAGACGAGTTTTCACCATATTAGCCAGGCTGGTCTCGAACTCCGACCTCAGGTGATCCATCCGCGTCAGCCTCCCAAAGTGCTGGGATTACAGGCGTGAGCCACGACGCCCAGCTAATGCTAGATGTTGTATGTGCTTTATTTTAGTTAATCCCTAAAGCAACCTTGTGAATGAAGTTCAAGTGAAATGCCTAACCTTGTTTTTACTCTAACTTGCTACTTTGAATCTTCCCTGTTTGTCTCTTTAGTCACCTAGCCTTGCTTCTCATGTAAATAAGACTCTCTCTAGCTGGGAAAGCCGGACAAACTCCAATTGACCCCTTAATTTACAAGACACTAAGGGCTCCTTACCCAACCCCCTTCCGTAAGGAGTTGACCTGTGTAAACAGATCCTCAGCATTTCAAAGGAGCCCAATTAACTGATAAGGTACTAGCACCAACAATGTATGAAGTTCCCAGGATTTTTCTCAAGGAGATAACAACATAAAGCCCTGAGTTCGTGTCTGGCATAGCCCCTATAACTAATTATAAATGAAGGATTTAGAGCCCTGCACCTGGTACCGTTGCTCTTTTTGTAACCATTTGTCTTTTAAATAGTTTATCTCTTTGTAACCATTTGTTTTTTTATTCTTGCATCTTTTTACTTCTGTAGAATTATTGCATTTGAGTTCCCCTCCCCTTCCTAAACCTAGGTATAAAAGTTAATCAAGCCCCTTCCTCGGGGCCGAGAGAATTTTGAGCGTTAGCCGTCTCTTTGGCCGCTGGCTTAATAAAGGACTCTTAATTTGTCTCAAAGTGTGGAGTTTTCTCTAACTCCTGTGGTTATAACACAAGGTGTTATTCTGTTATATAGCTGAAGAAAAAGGCTTAGAGAGGTTTCCACCCTTCCCAAGATCACACATCTATTAAGTTCATACAGCTGAAACTGAACCCACTGTAGCCTGGATCCAAATCCTCTCCTTAATATCCTACCATGCTGGCTCACTAACAAAGTGGACAAGAGAAGAGACAGTAAGAGCATAGCCCCCTCAGGGTCTTTATTTGCAAAAAAAGTCAGAAAGCCTCTGGTAGTTCTAGGAGAGATGGGGACAGAGTGAAAGTAAGTGTACATACAGTTGGGCCATTATTGATAGAGCAGGCTCCTTCCCACCGGGCCCTCCTCACTCACATCCGCCCTACCCACACAGCTTCCCCTGCAGGCAGGTTCTCTCTATGGCCTGGGGCAGCCACCCAGCCTCCTTAGGAGGCTTATAAGAGTGTCATGCAATTCTGCACTGGATAATTGACAGTGTTGGTCCCAGCTGGAGAATCTCACCATAAAGGCTAAGAGTGGGAATGCTGACCCAGACCAATTTGTATTGGAATCCCAGCTCTGCTACTAATTAGCTAACCTTGGGAAGTTACCTAACCTTTCTCTGCCTCAGTTTCCTCATTTGTACATCGGGGTAATAATAATTCATAGAACTGTTGCTAACAATTCGCTAACGCTGAAAAAGCTTTTAGAACAGTGCTTGGCAAGTACAGTGTGGAACACTCAATCAACATTTATTATCATTATACAGACAGCTAGACTGAGGCCTAGCAAAACAGAGTAACTTGTCCAGAGAGACACATTTAGCAAAGCTGGGACCAGAACCAGTTCTTCTGTCTGTTATTTCATTTTATTTTATTTTTAGATACAGGGTCTTACTATATTGTTCAGGCTAGTCTTGAACCGCTGGGCTCATGTGATCCTCCTGCCTTGGCCTCCCAAAGTGCTGGGATTACAGGGGTGAACCACTGTGCCTGGCTGTCTCTTAATCCAATGTATGTGTATATACTTAGTTAAATATTTTAACAACGAAGATAAAGATTATTGATTTTAAATCCATTAATACTTTGAAAGTAGTGTCAGCCACTTTCATGTTGGCTCATACCTGTAATTCCAGCACTTTGGGAAGCTAACCCAGGAGGATCACTTGAGCCCAGAAGTTCAAGACCAGCCTGGGCAACATAGGGAGACCTCATCTCTACCAAAAAAAAAAAAAATCAAAAAATTAGTGGGGGCATGGTGGCACATGCCTACAGTCCCAGCTACTTGGGGGGCTGAGGTAGGAGGATTGCTTGAGCCTGGGAGGTCGAGGCTGCAGTGAACCATGATCCCACCATTTCACTCCAGCCTGGGTGACAGTGAGACCTTGTCTCTTTAAAAAAAAAAAAAAAGTAGTAAGTGAGCTCTCCCACAGTTTCAAGCTGAAAATAGTCGCCTTATTAATTCATTTAAAAAATAGTCTGTTATTAAAAAAACAAGCTGTCATTAGCAAGGCTAGAATTGTTGTGAACCAGCTCAGTGCTACCACTGGGCTGACGGGGAGATTATCATATTCTGTAAGTGATAATAACTGCTGGCCATTAACACATTTAGTTGTAATTATATTATTGTCTGGAGTGTTTCAGAAATGTATCTAATTTTTGTTGTAAACTTAAAGAGATAAAACAGGCCGGGCGCGGTAGCTCACGCCTGTAATCCCAGCACTTTGGGAGGCTGAGGTGGGTGGATCACGAGGTCAGGAGATCGAGAGCATCCTGGCTAACACGGTGAAACCCCGTCTCTACTAAAAATACAAAAAGAAATTAGCCGGGCGCGGTGGCGGGCGCCTGTAGTCCCAGCTACTTGGGAGGCTGAGGCAGGAGAATGGCGTGAACCCGGGAGGCGGAGCTTGCAGTGAGCCGAGATCCCGCCACTGCACTCCAGCCCGGGCTACAGTGCGAGACTCCGTCTCAAAAAACAAACAAACAAAGTGCGCAGCAGTGTCTGGAACGCAGTCAGGGATCAATAAGTGTTAGCAATTATTTCCCTGGTTAACCAAAAGCTGCCTATAGTTTGGTATGGCTGACACATGGGAGGTAGGCTAGTGGTGGTGGGAAAGGCTGGAACTGCGGGGTGACTAGGTAAGCAGTGACCAGATCAGGACTTTGCATGTCATTACCAAGAGGATGGACTTTAATCCTCCTGGTCACAATTTCTGAAGCCATTCCTAATGGGAGACAAGTGTGATCTTCTATCTACAGGAGTGAGGCTATGGCCCAAGAAGCCCTCCAAAAACATAACATTGTTTTATTTCCTGTTTAACTTAAAAAAAAAAAACCCACTGCTATTGTGTGTTCTATTTCATAGCATGTTCAGTGGCAGGCAGATGGTCTTCATAGGTCAATCCTTGGTTGAATAATTGTAAAATGGATGACATTTGGAATAGTCTCAATCTACTTCAGAAAAAACCATTTCCACCGGGTGCGGTGGCTTATGCTTGTAATCCTAAGCACTTTGGGAGGCCAAGACGAGTGGATTGCTTGAGCCCAGAAGTTCAAGACCGGCTTGGCCAATGTGGTGAAACCCTATTTCTACTAAAAATACAAAAATTAGTTGGGCATGATGGTACATGCCTATAATCCCAGCTACTCAGGAGGCTGAGGCACAAGAATCTCTTGAACCTGGGAGGATGAGGCTGTAGTGAGCCAAGATCACACCACTGCAGCCTAGGTGACAGAGTGACACCTTGCCTAAAGAAAACTAAAAAAAAAAAAAAAAAAAGAAAAAAAGAAAAAGAAAAAAACATTTCCAACCACTTGAACCTTTTTTTTTTTTTTTGAGACAGAGTCTCACTGTCACCCTGTCGCCCAGGCTGGAATGTAGTGGTGTGATCTCGGCTCACTACAACCTCCACCCGCCTGGGTTCAAGCGATTGTCCTGCCTCAGCCTCCTGAGTAGCTGGGATTACAGGTGCATGCCACCATGCCCAGATTATTTTTTTGTATTTTTAATACAGACGGGGTTTTGCCATGCCATGTTGGCCAGGCTGGTCTCAAACTCCTGACCTCAGGTGATCCGCCTGCCTCGGCCTCTCAAAGTGCTGAGATTACAGGTGTGAGCCACCGCACTCAGCCTGAACCAACTTTCTGAGATGTCAAAATTTCAATATCATGGTATCTTAAAGATGAGAAACATTTCTTTTTCTTTTTTTGAGACAGGATCTCACTCTGTCACCAAGGCTGGAGTGCAGCAGCAGAATTTCAGCTCACTGCAACCTCGACTTGCTGGGTTCAAGGGATCTCCCAAGTAGCTGGGACTACAGGTGCACACCATCATGCCTGGCTAATTTTTTGTAGGGATGGGGTTTTACCATGCTGCCCAGGCTGGTCTTGAACTTCTGAGTTCAAGCGATCCTCCCTCCTGAGCCTCCTAAAGTGCTGGGATTACAGGTATGAGCCACCACGCCTAGATCAGAAACACTTCTAAAACCAAATACACGTCAATGACTAATACACTAAATTATATAACACTTTGTTTCAAGGTTTAAAAAATATCCTGGACTTTGGAAAATATTCTTATATAAAGAAGCAAAAAGAGGATGGAATAGACTTGTGCTAACACTGAAACTCCAGTCAAGTTGTAAACTGAAAAAGAACGTGTTGAAACAAGGAATTGCCCCATAGCCTTCACAGGTGAGTATGATAGATTAATGAATGGAAGTCCAGGAAACATTTCTTACCTTCACTTCAGTCCTTCATGCCCTGACTGAAGTCCAACATTCACTGTGATCACTGTTCAAAGGTAAATGCTGCAGTAACCATTTAAGCTGTTAGCAGGTTTCCTCTCGAAAAGATGTGGGGTCAAATCTTCAAATGCTAGGAGAGTCAAGGGAGCAGAGACGGTCTGTCTTGCTTCAGGGCTAGCCTTGCTTTCATGAGGTCTCTAAAATTTTCCTACTGTAAAAAATCCTACTCTCTTACCAAGAAATAGCCCAGTATATTTTGGAGAAAAACCAATCCATACACATTTTTCCCATAGCATCAGCTTTTTGTTGAAGTGACAAAAGTGTTAAAACAAACAAACAAACACCAACTAACCACAAACCAATGTGCAGAAACTGGCAAGTGAAACACAGACAACAGGAATTTGAAAATCAAACCAGAAAAAAAAAATTTAAGTCCAGGAGACATGGAAGCAATTTGATAACTCACACAGTATCCTCTTCATGTTTATAGGGTAAGACCCATGGGCCAAACTTTAATTTGTAGTGCTCTGTAAAAGTTACATGAGAGCCTGTTACACCAGAATGCTGCTTGAAAATGTTATTTTTGGTGATAACATTGGATTTTAAAACCTCCTATCTTAAACACATGACTCATGTAGAGATTATATTTTGTTATAAGGCTTCATACTTTCTATTTGTGCCTAGTCTATTTCATAGCTTATAGCAATTATTATGGGACCACAGTTGAAGTCGAAATATATCCAAAAAATATTATTTATGAATATACTAAAGTTTAGCATAATCAAGAGCTTGTAAGACTGTTACCCCAAATTAGTATTTAACATCTGACATGGATCAAAAAAAATGACACATCAAAATAGAATAGCTAGGTAGACAATCAAATAATAAGTAACATCTCAATCTTTACTAGTATATATAATACATATATATAATATATATAATACATATATAATATATATAATACATATATATTATATAATACATATATATAATATATATAATACATATATATAATATAAATACATATATAATATATATAATACATATATATAATATATATAATACATATATATAATATATATATAATACATATATATAATATATATATAATACATATATATAATATATATATAATACATATATATGTATTTTTTTTTAAACAGGATCTCACTCTGTTGCAGTGTCACTGGAGTGCAGTGGTGCAGTCTTGGCTTCCTGCACCATCTGCCTTCCAGAATCAAGCAATTATCCAGCTTCAGCCTCCCGAGTAGCTGGGACCACAGACGTGCCACCATGCCTGGCTTATTTTTTTATTTTTTGTAGAGATGGGGTTTCACCATTGTTGCCCAGGCTGGGCTCAACTCCTGAGCTCAAAGTGATCCATCTGCCTCAGCCTCCCAAAGTGCTGGAATTACAGGCTCAGTCTATACTAGTATATTTACAACTATATTTTATTACAATATTTATTAAATATTGTTGTCTTTTGCTAGGAAACTTAAAAACCTTAAAGAACATCATTTGTGAGCTCCCAATTGGCACAAATTACATAAGGTACTCTACACATATTTTTATTTTCTTAACTTTTTGTTATAACAAGTGAAAAATCTAAAAATCAACTGAATAAGCTTTTATGTTGAAAAGTATACTTAAATGATTCTGGTGATCATGGTGTTCTAGTAAGAAAAATGCTTTGCTAGTGATGTGACAGCGTACGGCATATGAATAATATTTGAAATCTTGCTACTCTTTTCTTATATTCTGCCCCAAACCCAAAGGAAGTTTAAAATGAGAAAAAAGGTAAAGGTATGAAAGAACCTTTGGTGACTCAGGTGGCTTCAGACTTACCAGTCACAAAAACTTGCAAGCAGGTTCTAGGAGACTTCACTGCATCCATATATGCTGTTAATAGTGTTTTTTTTTTTTTTTGAGACGGAGTCTCACTCTGTTGCCCAGGCTAGAGTGCAGTGGTGTGATCTCGGCTCGGCTCGCTGCAACCTCCACCTCCTGGGTTCAAGTAATTCTTCCACTTCAGCCTTACGAGTAGCTGGGACTATAGGCACCTGCCACCATGCCAAGCTAATTTTTGTATTTTTAGTAGAGACGGGGTTTCACCATGTTGGCCAGGCTGGTCTCAAACTCCTGACCTCAAGTGCCCACTCCAGCCTCCCAAAGTGCTGGGATTACAGGCATGAGCCACCGCACCCGGCTTGTTATAGTCTTAAAACACTCTACACCAGGGGTTAGTAAACGTTTCCTATAAAGGGCCAGATAGTAAATATTTTATGTCACTACGCAACTCTCCACGGTAGCATGGAAGCAGCCATAGACAATACGTAACTGAATGAGTGTGGTGTGTTCCGGTAACGCTTTATAGACACAGAAATTCACTTAAAGTCCATATAATTTTCACATGCCATGAAATATTTACTGTTTTTTTTTGGGGGGGGATGGGGACAGGGTCTCACTGTCACTCAGGCTAGAGAGCAGTGGCACCATCACGGCTCAGTGTAGCCTAGACCTCCTGAGCTCAAGTGATCCTCCTATCTCTCAGCCTCCTGAGTAGCTGGGATCACAGGCATGTGCCACTATGCCCAGTTAATTTTTGTATTTTTTGTAGAGATGAGGTTTCACCATGTTGCCAAGGCTGGTCTTGAACTCCTGGGTTCAAGCAATCCAGCTGCCTTGGCCTCCTGAAATGTTAGGATTACAGGCGTGAGCCACTGCACCCAGTGATTTAATAGATGTAAAAATCATTCTTAGTTCTTGGGGCAAATAAAACAGGCTTGCAGGCCAGATTTGGCCTGGGAGGTATAGTGTAGACTGGTCCACACGATTGGAGAGTCAGCAGGCTCTTACTCTCAGACTTCCTGGTGGTCCTCACCAGTCTATTTTACAGTGGCTTCTTTATTTCCTTTCTGCCACTGTTGATGGGACTGTAGCGTCACTGCATGTGACTGATACCAAAAGAGAAAGGTTCTTTTAATTAATCTTTCCATACTATCCAGAAGATTTTTTTCAGTTTTATTTCTTAAACATATAAGAGGGCATTATAAAATGACATTATAATTATAAAAGATTTTCTTTTAAGAACAATGTTTTTAGGCCTACTAATATTACTTAATAAAAAGAGCAGATATTTAAGAGACTGTACATTTTTATTTAATAAACCACATGGCAAAACAATACTTTAATAAGTGTATAGGAAATTACAATGTGAAAGTTGCAAATACAGCACATATATATATATATATATATACTTTGATCTTAATTAACATGGACAAACCCCAGCTTCAAAATCTTTCTAAAATCAATCATATGCAAAATACCTGGTTTCTGAAAGGGCATATGATAAAGTATATACAATTTCTTAAACTGTGATATGGCTTATTTAATAACATGTATTTATTGAGAGAAGCATAAACTTTCCAAATATACAGTATCTTCCAGGTAGAAAGATGACATACTGGCACATTTCAATTTTGTGTTGCAGTTATCTGAGAATATACTAAATTGCACTATTTAAGTGGACACTGTCATAGATTTAACTGGGAAAGTCTCCATAAATGTTTTCCAATCTTATCAAAAAGCAAATTGGTCCTCAATGATTGGAACAGCAGGTTAAACCCTTTACAAGTCAGAATTCAGTGACTGGCAGGCCTGAGTGCACACATGTAATTCAATACTGAGGAACTCCCACAACACTGTCTTCTAATTTGCATGCTCCCACGAACATCACAAATAATATACCTGATTGGCAATCAGTAAAACAAATCTCAAGACCTGGTTGTCAAGATTCATACGACACATCTGGAGTTAGGGTTTGCAAATTGTATTTTGGCTACAAAGATATTAAACTTTATCAATTATTCGAAGATCAGACTTGCCTCCCCTCAACATAGCATATAGTGATGGGTGTTCATTTATGACAAATAACCAACTGGCTCATGAGCTTGGCTTGCTTCAAAGACAAAATGAACCAAATGAACTAATCTTCTATCTAGGAAACACTCTGTAACTTTAAATTTGCTATATACAAATCAGAGCCAACAGCAAAATTGCCTAAAACCTTATTTCAAATGGGCTCATATTCTGTAAGAACACCATATTAAGTTGAGCCAATTAACATATATGCATAAAAGGAAAATAGATTTAGCTAACTGCTTGTTTCAAAATCAAATAAGTCTACAAAAGCTGTGAGAGTGGCTGAGAAACACGACCCAAAGTCTTCTTAGCAATGATATTCACTGGTGGTTGTGCAGTGTAGTCTCTTTGTCTACCACACTTACTCTACGAAGTCCAGTGTGCAGAGAAATCTGGATCTGGAACAACCAGCCATTTTAAAAAGGTTCTTTCATACCTGGACATACATTTCTAAGCGGTGCCTTGTCTCTGAAAGATGATTTTCCTCACATTAAAATGAGAGAGAAGCTCACGTGTCTGATCTTGACTATGTCTATTCTGGAAAGTCTATGAAAGACAAACACTGTCAGGTGGAACACCTGGGTTCAAAAGGAACACTAAGTCTCGTAAGAGCAAGAAACTTAGTTTTAGAGAATGGAAATAAAGCACCCAAAGTTGAAAAGAAAACAGTAAAATAAGAAACCCGGTGATGTGGCAAAAAAACACTGATGGGAACTCTAAGTTGTAAAAATCTGCACTCACATTACATAAGGCATAGCTAATGGAAATGTATGTAGGAATTACAATAGCTTCCAGTTCTGCATATCAAAACCTTCTGAGACATGCTTTCTTCAATTACACTCCCATTATGTTTCTAAGGCAGCATAATTGTTAGTGGAATAATAGGTCTTTTCCTGAAACAGACCAAAAGGTTGCATCTGGCCATAGTTGTGAAACACACGTTTATGTACACAAGTAACTCTGATTATTTGCAAATACTAATTAAAATATATCACACCAAAGAACTGCCAAGTTTTTATATTGTGGTCTGTGGTCCTGTCATAATCTGTTTTCCCAGTGCAAAATTAATAATGCTATGTGTTCATCCAACTCAGCCACTGCTTTTCACAGGGCATAGAGCTCTTTGAGAGCTCAGCTGAGAAGTGTAATGCATGGTTGTAGCTCAACAAGTGAAGGATAGACCAAACGCTTTTTGTCAGAAGTCATTCAGTCCTTGGTCCTATCTGCTAAGTTAATGTCCTTTTCTGTGGGTTAAGTTACAAAAAGTGAAATCAAATTCTCAAATCTCATAGACTCCGTAAGGTAAAGATACAAACTATGTACTTTTTCCTACAAAAACAAAGCACAGGAAACTTTATGTGTACCTCACTTTAAGCAGAACACGATAGTTAAGATTTACAGAAGTTTTCATGGCTGGGTGCGGTAGCTCACACCCTGTAATCTCAGCACTTTGGGAGCCCGAGGTGGAAGGATTTCTTGAGCCCAGGAGCTCAAGACCAGCCTGGGCAACATAGGGAGACCCCATCTCATTAAAAAAAAAAAAAAAAAAAAAAAAAAAAGATTTACAAAGGTTTGCAGTGTTTCTGTATTTTACAAAAGGATTCTTTTTGGCTGGGCACAGTGGTTCATGCCCATAAGCCCAGCACTTTGGGAGGCCGAGGTGGGCAGATCACTTGAGCTCAGGAGTTCAAGACCAGCCTGGGCAACATGGTGAAACACTGTGTCTACCAAAAATACAAAAAATTAGCTGGGTGTGGTGGTGCATGCCTGTGGTACCAGCTACTTGGGAGGCTGAGATGGGAGGACCACTTGAGCCTGGGAGGCAGAGGCTGCAGTGAGCCCAACTGTGCCACTGCACTCCAGCCTGGGTGACAGTGAGACACCATCTTAAAAAAAAAAAAAGAATTCTTTTCAATACTCAAATGAATTTTAGCCTGTTTTATCAAATACATTTTTTAAGGAACAGGTCGATACAAAAGCGAGATATGCCTTTATAAGATAAAGAAAAGTTTACAAGAAACAAGCTCAATAGATATAAAAAAATGATTAGAGTATGATGAATATTTTTTTCCTTTCTACTTGCTAGATACTCAAAGTCCATAAATATGTCCAGATGTCCACTGAAATATCTCTCATTTATTCTTACTTGGTTTCTATATGTAAGAATATTTTGATTTAAATAGTTTATATGCTCCTGAAATTTCTGAGAAATTCAAGTCATTATTTTAAATGACTTCACAATAGGAATCCCATCATGTATATTTTCTTTTCCTTTTTGTTTTTGAGATAGGGTCTCATTTTGTTACTCAGGCTGCAGTGCAATGGTGTGGACATGGCTCACTGCAGCCTCAACCTCCTGGGCTAAAGCACTTCTGCCACAGCCTTACAAGTAGCTGATACTACAGGTGTGCACGACGCCTGGCTGATTTTTATATTTTTGTAGAGACAGGGTCTCTACAAAAGACCAGGCTGGTCATGAACTCTTGGCCTCGAGGGATACTTCCACCTTTGCCTCCCCAAATGCTGAGATTACAGGCATGAGCCACTGTGTCTGGCCACATAAATTTTCAGTTCAATTCAACAAACATCTACTGGGTTTCATTAGAGGGACCATCAATCCTTTTATTGACACCATTAACTCCCAACAATCTTATAGGTAAATCTGGGTTTTCTTATCTTAGGTTTACTTATAGTAAGGTACTTGGTAAGAAGATAAAATGTTTCCTATTCTTCATTTATATTGTAAGTCATCTGCATGCTTATCTAGAATTTCAACTTACAATTTGCCTGGTACATTGTTACCCTACTCTGATTCTTAGAGGAGCCCAATAACCATATCCATTCTTCGTGTAAGAAACTGTCACTGTTGAAAAGGGACTCCAAATGTGCATAAAAGATAATCTCAAAACCAATGGTTGCAAAATGAAACATGAACAGTCAAGCTGCCTCTTTAACACAGGCATTTACAATTAGGTTGCCTTCAGTTTGGAAACCTCTGTTTAGTTTCCCTGCAACACAGATTTAATGTCCATCCCTATCTAGTGCTTTAAAACACACACATACAGGCCAGGCATGGTGGCTCATGCTGTAATCCCAGCACTCTGGAAGGCCAAGGCAGGCGGATCACCTGAGGTCAGGAGTTCAAGACCAGACAGGCCAATGTGGCAAAACCCTGTCTCTACTAAAAATACAAAAAAATGAGCTGGGTGTGGTGTACCTGTAGTCCCAGCTAGTTGGGAGGCTGAGGCAGAAGAATCACTTGAACCCAGGAGGCAGAGGTTACAGTGAGCAGAGGTCACGCCACTGCACTCCAGCCTGGGTGACAGAGTGAGACTCTCTCAAGAACAAAAACAAAAACAAAACCACACACATATATAAGGTCAAAAATCCTTTACATTTCTGTTTTCTCAAAGTAATATCTTCCCCCAACCCCTTGGACATTTCTGCTATGGTATTATTGGAAAACCTCAAAATTGTATTTTAGGGTTTCTGGAGTCCATGGAGAATCCCTAACCCATATCATAAAACATAAAATATATAATAAAACATAACCCATATCATAAAACATAAAATTCTCTCTGGATTAATGTTGTTGAACTATATGTGAAAGGTGGGAATTATAAACTGAACCCTCTAGAGTTTACCCTGAAAGGCTAAACACACAGATGACCTGGAGTGGAGGCAGGAACCAACGTACCACATTTTTTGTACAAATTGTTGGCAGTTCTTAAAGGGACAGAAGATTACTGTTTACATTTTGCAGTCTCTTGCTTTTTTAAGACAATTTCATGAATGATAAAAGTGATGTCGGGAAGACATAAACCTGAAACTCCAACCCCCATCCTCGCTCTTTTATTTTGTTTTAAATCATCATATAGTAATTTGAGTTTAAGACTAACTTCAGCCATTCAGAATAATATTGAAAGTATTTCCTAAATCATTTAATAACAGTGACCACAATAAATAAAGATTTGGTTCTAAGATTACAAATAATGAAAAATGTTAACTTTGAGATTCAAAACCCTGTAGCATCTGGAAAAGGTTGTTTATAAAGTATAATCATAACAATAACATTAAGACTTATGTGTGAAATAAAACATTTCTGAAACACTTAGGAATACATGCTTATTCCACTTTTGGGATAACTACTAGTACTTCCTGAAATCTGTTGGGTAGTAATTTCTGTAAAAAGAAAGCAGCAATTCCAGAAGCTGGGTGTCGAGATTATTATACATAATAAAAAAAATTCAGTTTTCCAGCACTGGCTTAATATAAAATGGCCTTAAAAAGTATTTTTAAATGCAAATATTGAATTCTTGATGCTTCCTTTAAGACACGTACTCTGTCAAGTTAATGAAGTATGATCTTGGATTGTCTTCTATGAGGTATCTGTAGAGTCACATCTCATTCTGTAAACAGTGTTTGGGAAACATCTTCATCTGAAAATTATGGCAAAGTCTCCTTTTACCATTAAACAGAGACTAGCACTGTCAGGCTGGGGCAACTGTTTGAGAGACTGATGCTTGATACGGACACAGCTGTCAGGGATTCCATTTTCTCATTTAGGTTTGCATTTATTGCTCTCAAGTCTGTGACTGCAGGATAAATAAGGCAGGAGTTCCCAAAATACATAAAATTAGGGACTAGAACTCTGACAATTTGCACAAGTTCTGTCCACTTCTTGCCTGTAACTCTGAAGCTGAATAGTACATCTATACATGCCAAATGTGTTCAATAATAAATGGTTTGCTTTGGACTGTACTTCCTCCCATTTAGATGAACTTCCAGGAACTGCAATGTCAAGAAAATATCATTACTATCCATTGTACAGTTACATCTTGAATAAGATACAGGGAAAAAAACAACTGAAATATACTGGGAATATATTTTTATTAGTCTGATTTCTACCCTCTCTAAGCTATTCTGTTAGATAAGTAGGTCAATTTACACATCCTTAATGGCTTCTCATTATTCTAACCTCTCCAGTCTACTCTCAGGTAGAGAAAAAATACCAGACATCAGTTACAAACCTGTCATTAAAATATCTTGTGCACATTAAAAGTAAACCTCATGCATGTATTATTTTGATTTAAAAAGCATCAATAGCATCAATCTGTGAAATGACTTGAAGAAATAAAAATGTAAGAATCTAGCTTTTCCTATGTAGAAAAGAGCATGGGAAATATTCTTTCTTTTTTTTTTTTTTTTAAGATGGAGTTTCGCTCTTGTTGCCCAGGCTGGAGTACAATGGCGCCATCTTGGCTTACTGTAGCCTCTGTGTCCTGAGTGCAAGCAATTCTCCTGCCTCAGCCTCCCGAGTAGCTGGGATTACAGGCACGTGTCACCACGACTGGCTAATTTTTGTATTTTTTAGTAGAGATGGGGTTTCATCATGTTGGCCAGGCTGTTCTTGAACTCCTGACCTCAGGTGATCCACCCACCTTGGCCTCCCAAAGTGTTGGGATTACAGGCGTGAGTCAACGCGCCAGGCCGGGAAATATTCTTTTTTTTTCCGAGATGGAGTCTTGCTCTGTCACCCAGACTAGACTGCAGTGGCGCAATCTCGGCTCACTGCAACCTCCGCTTCATGAGTTCAGGCAATTCTCCTGCCTCAGCCTCCCAAGTAGCTGGGATTACAGGCATGCACCACCACGCCTAGCTAATTTTTGTATTTTTAGTAGAGACGGGGTTTCACCATGTTGGCCAGGCTGGTCTCAAACTCCTGACCTCAGGTGATCCACCCGCCTCAGCCTTCCAAAGTGCTAGGATTACAGGTGCGAGCCACCATGCCAGTCAGGAAATATTCTTAATACCTTTAATCTGAAGGTTAAAATCAGTTTGTAATATCTCAAAGAGATAGAAAATTATTGTTCTGGTATCAATACTGACCTGCAACTTACCCTTTAAAGAGCCTTTTGTTTAAGGCTGTTAACAAAAGCCTTTGTTTTTTAAAGACAAAGGCTTTTGTCTTAAAACAAATCTTTTCAGCAGAAAAGTCTTCCTACATAATTATAAGCAGGGATGTTTAGTTTCAAAGGCAGAAGTCCACCAACCCCAGGCCCACATTTACTACCAGCAACATACTTAGCTGTATGTGAACTATGGCAGTAGATTTTCCTGAAGTGAGAGACCAGATATTTAAATCTTCGACTGAATATACATCTTCTATTTTCATCAAGGCTTCTTTGATATAGTCTACATTCAAATGGCTTGGCACACCTATTAGGAATATATAATTTCTAAGTAAAATTTATTTTGGAAATAAAGGAACTTTTACATTACCGATGACATTTATCAAAGAAAACAAATGGCTTTGCTAAATTCACTTTAAACAAATACTTTAAAATATTAATACTTCAAGATAAACCATGTACACATATATTTTTATTAAAAATGTAAGATATATACAAGAGGGTAATACATACTTTAAAAACATATTCATTCTCACTAAAAAGGAATGCCAATCAAACCAGAATACTTCATTAACAGATAAACTAAGAAAAAAAAAAGGAAAAAAGAAAAGAAAAGAACATATAATGATAATAAGCCTATTGTTAAGAACTTTTATTTTCATGCTTACACATAATATCAGTAAGGGAAGAATGCAGTAAATACAACAAAGTCACAAGTTAAGTGGGAATTAAGGAATTAATACATAATCTAGAATTGCATTTTTGTCCTAGTGCCACAGTTTATTAGCAACATGACCTTAACCAAAGTATGTTATCCCTCTGAACCTCAATTTTCTTATTTGTAAATGGGGATAATTTACCACATTATCTGCCTTACCTACTTTGCTTAGCTATTATAAGTGTCAAATGGGTAAAAGATGGGAGAGTTCATTAATTCTTACATGTTACATACATGTAAGGTACTGTTATATAGCCTAAAAGGTATTAGTAAAAAGCAAAAGATGTAATTCCTATTCAGAATGTCCCCTGACTCCCAATCTGCTTTAGGGAAGTAATAAACTCATAATGAGGATATAGTGAGATCTTACCTTCTAGTATTATAACTACTGTATCCCATATGATTCGAAATGTTGTAAAAGCCACAAGTAATGAAAATACGTATGTACAGATGGGGTCAGCAATCTTGTATTCTGGCTAAAGGGTAATAGATCAAAATTTATGATTAAATAGACAAATATAAAACAGACTGCAAAGCAAAGCAAGGAATATGTCCCTTCTTGCTTGATTTTCTTTAGCAGAATTACAGAATACCTTTAAAACTTGGATATTGTAATTGAAAAGCATCTTCACTCTATCCTAGACAGTTTACGTTACTTGCCTCATGGGACCTATTTCCAGAAATGTAATCACTTGTTCTATTGTTCCTTGTGCCATCTCTAAATGTTCTAGAATATCAGAGCTGGAAAGAAGTAAGTGTGTGTGTGTGTGTGTGTGTGTGTGTGTGTGTCAAAGCTGGAAAAAAGTGTGTGTGTGTGTGTGTGTGTGTGTGTGTGTGTGTGTGTGTTGCCCAGGTTGCTCTTGAACTCCTGGGCTCAACTGATCCTCCAGCCTCAGCTGGGATTATAGGCACAGCCACTGTACTCAGCTCTGGAAAAAGTTTTAGCAGCCACTAGTTTAAGCCCCTTGTAATAAAGAAGAGGGAACTCAAGTTTAGAGTTCAGGTATTTGCTTTCAAGGTCAAAGCATTAATGGCAGAGCCAAGACTAGAACCCACTCAGATCTCTGGATTTTCAGTCCAGTGCACATTTTACTACCTAGTAATTCAATCACGAGTTTTAAAATTGAGTTATCTGGGCAATCATGGTGGCTCATGCCCGTAATCTCAGCACTATGGGAGGCTGAGGTGGGTGGATCACTTGAGGCCAGGAATTCGAGACCAGCCTGGCCAACATGGCGAAACCTTGTCTCTACTAAAAATACAAAAATTAGCTGGGCATGGTGGTGTGTACCTGTAATCCCAGCTACTTGGGAGGCTGGGGCATGACAATCACTTGAGCCTGGGAGGCGGAGGCTGCAGTAAGCCAAGATTGTGCCACTGCATTCCAGCCTGGGCGAGAAAGTGAGACTCTGTCTCAAAAATAAATAAATAAATAAATAAATAAGAAAATTGATTTATCCAGTGAAGGCACTACAAAAGCCAAATACAGATAAGTTACCCTGTGACGTGATATCATTTTGTTTACTGCTAACAAAAGAACTATAATGATTGTCAAGTAAACTTACATCAATGTAAAATGAATAGAACTGGCACTGGTGTCCAGTATACTGATATGACAATCAGCCTTAGTTTTCATGTTGAAATTAAGTACATTTTAAAATAGAAAAATTACCAATCATATTACCTTGAATCGTATGATGTATGCAGCTATTAGCACACCAACACTCTGTACCAAATCTCCCAAAGCATGTACAAATGCAGCTCTCACTGCCAGGCTATCCTGCCCATGGTTACGTTCACACCCAGAACCTCTGGTAGGGGAATTTGAAGGCAGGGAGTGGGAATGGGAGTGACGGTGACCAGACTGGTTCAACAGAAACCCCATTCTGTTAAAAATAAAAGAAAACATTATTATTTTTCCCAATATTGACAAAAACATTTGTCACTAGTCAGACACTAATGAGGTAACATGGAACTCATTTATTTAATAAATTTGGAGCAACTATTATTTATCAGTACTGTTCTAGGTACTTGGGTCAAAACAGTGGTAAGATAGACATATCCCTACCCCCATGGAGCTTATGTTCTAGTAGAGAAGGCAGAGAAGCCAACAAATAAGTACATAAGGTATAGCCAGGCAATGTGAAATGCTTTGGAGAAACATAAAGCATTGTAAGGGGATGGAGGATGATGGGCAGAGTGGTAAGGGAAGGCCTCTCAGATTTTCTCTAAGCAGATACCTGAAGGAGGTCAGAGAGCAAGTGGTGGAAGAGTGTTCTAGGCGGAAGAATAGCAGAGCAAAGGCCCCAACATGAAAATGTGCTCTGTGTACTTGAAAAAAGAAAGCAGCCACTGTGGGCCAGAATAAAGTGAGCAAAAGTGCTAGGAGATGAGTGGTAGAGGTACACAGAGTCTTACTAACAAGGCTGCAGTAAAAATTTGATTACATTCAGGGACTGTTGTGGGGTGGGGGGAGGGGGGAGGGATAGCATTAGGAGATATACCTAATGCTAAATGACGAGTTAATGGGTACAGCACACCAACATGGCACATGTATACATATGTAACAAACCTGCACGTTGTGCACATGTACCCTAAAACTTAAAGTATAATAATAATAAAATTTAGAAAAAAATTCATTTCATTCTAAGTACAAATAGAAGCCACTAGGGCAGGGATTGGTAAACTGTGGCTGGTAGATCATATTTGGCTCACTGATTTTTTTTTTGTACATAAAGTTTTATTGGAACACAGCCATGTTCATTTGTTTACATGCTAAGTGTGGCTGCTTTTGTTTTATAACAAGTGTTGAGTAGCTTTGAAAGAGAATATATAGATCTCAAAGCTTAAAATATTTACTATCTAGCCTTTTACAGAAAAAAAATTGCTGACTCTGGTCTAAATGATTAAATCTGTTAACTTCAACTTTATTATTTTTTGTTTGTTTGTTTTTAAGACAGGGTTTTGCTCTGTTGCCCAGGCTGGAGTGCAGTGGCCCAATCATAGCTCAATGCAGTCTTGATTGCCTGTGCTCAAGTGACCTTCCCACTTTAGCCTCCCAAGTGGCTGGGACCATAGGCACGAGCCACCGTGCCTGGCTAATTTTTATTTTTAGAAGAGATGAGGTCTCACTATGTTGGCCAGGCTGTCTTGAACTCTAGAGCGCAAGTGATCTTCCCACCTTGGCCTCCCAAATTGTTGGGACTATAGGTGTGAACCACTGTATGTGGCCTAACTTAAACTTTCAAAACTTTCTTCCCTAAAAAGTTTTAAGGGAAAAAAATTGATAGCTTAAGAAAAAAAATCTAGTTAACACAAAAGTATTCTAAAAGTTAAACAAGAACAAAAAACTTTGTCCTACTTAAATTCATGATTTTGACTCAATCTCCAATATACCTGGGCAAACTAATGAGGAATTTATAACGTCCATAGTGTTTCATTTATCAGAAAAGTTAATGAGTTATATCATTTTTAAAATATCAAAATATCACTGAATATTACTGAATGCATATGCAATAGTCTCTGAGTTCACAGTACTTGAAAATATTAATGTGAAAAAAATAGAGCTTACATTACATTAACTGCAACTCCAACAGCTGCGGTGATGAGCATTATATCTCCATTTATTTCATAGTTCATATGGATAGTTCTTTGCACAGCTTCATATAAGAGGAATCCCATAAGTATATACACCAACAGCACACTAATCATAGCTGACAAAACCTCTAGAGGGAAAAACACATATAACAAATACATTTTCAGCATGGTTACTACACTTCATACCAACTAAATATTATATAGTCTTTTTTATATTCTTTCCTCTAAGGAGATAAAAGCCCTCTATTGTTTCTGTCACGTCATTTTTCTTATTTATTTTTTTGAGACAGGGTCTCACTCTGTCACCCAGGCTGGAATGTAGTGGCCTGATCATGCATGGTTCACTGCAGCCTTGATCTCCCAGGCTCAAGTGATCCTCCCATCTCAGCCTCCAAGTAGCTGGTACTATAGGCACATGCCACCACACCTGGCTAATCATTTTTCTTATTTAAAATGTGTTTAGCACTTACAGAAAAAAAAAGTGGTTAGCAGCTTGACTGATATGGATCCTCCACTAATTTACCCTTACCTCTCCCTACCCTCCACTCCTCTCTCTCCAGGGTCAAATTATGTATATTTACAGACCATGCACAAGGTAGAAAATGACAAAATGAGAAAAAATATTTGTCACGTATGTGATCACAGACTAATTTCTTGATAGAAAAAAGTACACTCAAAAGTCAGTAACAGGTAAGGTGTGGTGGCTCATGCCTGTAATCCTCCAACACTTTGGGAGGCTGAGACGGAAGGATCACTTGAGCCCATGAGTTTGAGATCAGCCTAGGCAACATAGTGAGACTCCGTCTCTCTTGGTTTTTCCCTTCCCTTCATGTCAAATGGGTAATGTGCCAACGTTGTAACAAGGTTCCAGGGTGGCACGTCTCACACATGTATGTGAACACCTAATTATCAAGCTCATGAACTACAAGAGGATCAAGACTCTATCTCTAAAAAACACATTAAAAATTAGCTGGACATGGTGGTGAGCACCTATGGTCCCAGCTACTCAGGAGGCTGAGGTGGGAGAATTGTTTAAACCCAGGAGGTCGAGGCTGCAGTGAACCGTATGCTACTGGACTCCAGCCTGGTCTCCAGAGCTGTCTCAAAAAAAAAAAAATCAATAAGAAAATTCATAATAAACAGAAATGGCCAAATTCTCAAAATCAGTCATAATAAATGAAATTCAGATAGGAATAAGATTTATTTCCTCCTATTAAATTGGCAAACTTTTTTTAAAAATCAAAAGTTTGATAATAGCCAGAGTTAGCAAGGATCTACCGGTGGAAGTATCAAATAGTATTACCTTTTTAGAGAGCCAATTGGTAAAACTAATCAAAACTTAAAATGTGTACATTACTTGATCTAACAATTGTACTTTTAGGACTCTACTTGATAGAAACACCTGCATGTGTGCAAAGATATCTACAAGGCTTTCACTGTAGCATTGTCTGTAGCATCCAAAAAAAAAAAAAAAAAAACTCTGGAGACATCCTAAATGTCCACCAAAGAGGAACTTCATAAGTTATGATTTATACATATATAGTGGGGATACCACACAACCATTTATTTTTTAAAAAAGGAAAAGAAGAAAAAAAATCAAACAAATTGATAATCACAAGAAAGTATTACATTTGGGAAGTGGTACTAGAAGTTTAGGGGATTTATTTTTCACTGCATTATTTTTGGTAATATTTAAAGTGTTTTAAGTTTTTACCATAAATGCATATTACCTTTAGACTAAAAAAATTTTCTTAAGGCATGCAAATATTCATGCCTTCATGAAGGCTATTAATTAAACGTTGTATATAATAGCAAATTATTGGAAACAACCAAAAAAGTGATTAGTAGGGACCTTGTAAGGTGGAATACTATGCATGTATAAAGAAGAAAAGAGCTTATTCTGGTAAGGAATAATGCCCAAAACATAGTGTTATGTGAAAAAAAGCAAAGTACACAACTGTGTATGATACATTACCATTTGTATAAAAAAAAAGAAAAAAGAGAATATATAAATAATCACCTGTAAATGCAATCTCCAGAAGGATTATACAAAATACTCATAAAAAACTAGTTATCTTGGGTGAGGAGAACTGGTGGCTGGGAGACAGGGATGACCTTGCCCTATATATGCTTTTGTACCATTTGAGTTTTTTACTATATAAATATGAAGCAAAATAATTTTGTATCTTTTCAAAATAACAAAAAGAGCAATGTGAAGTACATTTAAAAACAGTAAGGCCAGACGCGGTGGCTTATGCCTGTAATCCCAGCACTTTGGGAGACCAAGGCGGGCGGATCACCTGAGGTCAGGATTTCAAGACCAGCCTGACCAACATGGCAAAAGCCCGTCTCTACTAAAAATACAAAAATTAGCTGGGCATGGTGGTGGGTGCCTGTAATCCCAACTCCTTGGGAGGCTGAGGCAGAAGAATCGCTTGAACTCAGGAGGAGGAGGTTGCAGTGAGCCAAGATCACACCACTGCACTTCAGCCTGGGTGAAAATTAACATTATTATATGAAACAAGCGTTAACCCTCAAACAATAAAAGGAAGAAAATAATTTAAGGAATATTTTTCCTTTAGAGAAACCTGACACTAATCCTGTAAGTGTTAATAGGTAAAATAATCTGGAAAACTGTTATGTGGAACAACTCATTGCTCAAAAGTTGGTTAAGTATATTGGACTCTGACACATTTTCATTTCAATTTATAAATTATAACACAAAAAAATTATCTAGCAATTATAGGCTATTTCCTGAAGACACCTAATGTAGTTAAAACTCCTATAAAAACCGCTGGGCATGGTGGCTCACGCCTGTAGTCCCAGCACTTTGGGAGGCCGAGGCGGGCGGATCACAAGGTCAGGAGTTCGAGACCAGCCTGGCCAATATGGTGAAACACTATCTCTACTAAAAGTACAAAAATTAGCTGGGCGTGGTGGCGGGCCCCTGTAGCCCCAGCTACTCAGGAGGCTGAGGCAGGAGAATTGCTTGAACCTGGGAGGGTGGAGATTGCAGTGAGCTGAGATTATGCCACTGCAACCCAGCCTGGCCGACAGAGTGAGACTCTGTCTCAAAAACAAAAACAAAAAAAACACTCCTATAAAAACCTATGCATCAACAGAACAGATATAAGAATAAAACAAAAACATACCATTTCTATTCAAAAACCATGGAACACCTATTTCTAACATACAGATAATCATACTTTGAAAGAGATTAATATATTTTTAAAAGAGATATAAGCTGAAAAAGAGAAAAGACCAAATGAAATATACAAAGCTATGGAGAGACCTCTATATTAAGTACAGACTATACACTCTTTGAGGATATGGTCCAAGTCTTATTACATGTCATATTTACTGTAGTACTTAGGAGAGTAGTTCACATTGATAGCAGGTATTCAAATATTTATGGATGATTTTTTAGAATGAAATTAGTCAAGGGTTAAGCAAGGGAAGATGATAAAAGGCTATACAATTAAGAAAATGAAGCTAAATATGAATAATAGGTTATTACTTAATACCCCAAAAAACAAAAAGTAAATAAGTTAAAAGAGAAGGTGTAAGCCAAATAAAAAAAACACAAGGGATTTCTTGTCAAAGTTATAACTGCTGATGGTGAAGTACACATATAAAAATACTGTAAAGAGGCTGGGTGCGGTAGCTCATACCTGTAATCCCAGCACTTTGGGAGGCCCAGGTGGGCGGATCACCTGAGGTCAGGAGTTCGAGACCAGCCTGGCCAACATGGCAAAACCCCATCTCTACTAAAAGTACAAAAATTAGCTGGGCATGGTGGCAGCTGCCTGTAATCCCAGCTACTCAGGAGGCTGAGGCACAAGAATTGCTTAAACCTGGGAGGTGGAGGTTGCAGTGAGCTGAGATCACACCACTGCACCACTCCAGCCCGGGTGGCAGAGCGAGACTCTGTCTCAAAACAAAACAAAACAAAACAAAACTGTAAAGAAGAAATAATTTTAAAAATTCGAAACTGTAGAATCTCATGTGCTTGTGGTAGCCTCCTACCACCAGGAGAACTTTAACCAAGTACCAAGGCTGAAGCTAGCAGTTAGCTCACCATAGTTTTTAAGGTGCCCTAATCAAAATTTTAATATAAAAATTATAAAGCACGTGGTGGCTCACACCTGTAATCCCTGCTACTTGGGAAGCTGAGGGGGGAGGATCACTTGAGGTCAAGAGTTCAAGACCAGCCTGAGCAACACAGTGAGACCCTGTCTCTCCCCCCAAAATTGGCCAAGTGTGGTGGTATATGCCTGCTGTCCCAGCTACTTGGGAGGTTGAGGCGGGAGGATCACTTGGAGTTTGAGGCTGCAGTGAACTGCAACAGTGCCACTACACTCCAGCCAGGGTGAGAGTGAGACCCCTGTCTCTCAAAAAAAAAAAAAATTACAAAGCAATACACTTTACACTTATAAAGATTCACAGCCACATAAGTTAATGACATAGAGATGTGCTTGGTTATGAAAATTTAAAATTCATAATTAAAAATTACTTCAAAACCCCTTATATAATTAGGTTGTCTATACTTTCCAATTTTTCTGGGATAGTCCTAGTTTATGTTTGCTGTTCTGGCATAATTATGAATAGAGCCCCGTTTCACTCTCAAAACTGTTCTGGTTTGGATGATAAATTATAGTTACCCTAGTAGGTCTGTCAGATATAATATTGGATGCCCAGTTAAATTTGTATTTCAGACAACAAATAATTTTTTAGTGTAAGTATGTCCTACGCAGTATTTCAGATATATTAGGCATCCTATGAGTATGCTAAATCTGGCAAATCCCACACTCCAGTGATTTTACTAAACCACTTAAAAATCGCCTTTTTGTGAATTCTCAGATAAGGCAAACCTACATTCAAGATAAAGTGAAATGAAAGTCAAACACAGCGCATGAACAGAGCTCCTTGGCAGAAGGACTCCCACCCTTACAAGGCCCACTATATTCTGGCAGCCTGCAGCTGAAAAGTCAGTTCTCTATGCCACAGTTTTCACTCACATGAGAAGGATAAGAGATTCTAATACCTGCCTACGTTAACAGTAATGGAATTCAGCTGATTTCTAGAAACTCCCAAAATGGCATATTAAGATACTGCTATCAATGATATCCCTTTTCTAGTCATTAATAAGGAATGTGCCTCATTAATAAGGAATGTTGTTCCCTTGGTGAAAAGCAAAGACACTAGTCTGTTATCTTTTATAACAGTTATATGTCTTCTGGGATATAGACATATATCCCAAAATGTCTTCTGGGATAGAGTAGTAATAAATGCAAAAGGGAAAAAAAGTAAACTTTTAAGTAGATTGTTAGGGCTGAGATTTATAATTGGAAGTATAAAGCAAAGACAATACTATCTAACTAAAAATTCTAAGAGCAGAAATATAATCATTTATTCTGATAAAACAAAAAGCTCTTTCATTTGAATACATTAAGCTTTGGTGAAATACCATAAATAGGACTAACTTAGGGTTTAAAAATTTTTCCTTCATAATATTCTTAACATGATGGAATGCAGATAAAAACGGGCAAGATTCCGCTCCCTCCCACTCCCCCATTTAAGAGAGAGGGAAGCTTTCAATCAACAACCAAATTATGACCTGCTCCAATTTTCTCATTCTTGTTCTGGGTTGGTCTTCGGTCACATAACTTACAATAAAGTTTTCCAAGACAAAAGGAGTAAATTTCGGATTACTATTTCATTTTCTTAAAAGAGACTCAGGAACTTTCACAATTAAAATTCTGGATTTCTGTGAAAGCTACCACCCCATTAGCTTTAGGTAAATTCGTTTTTTTAAATAGAGACAGGGTATCACTATGTTGGCCAGGTTGGTCTTAAACTCCTTGCCTCAAGCAGTCCTCTCACCTCAGCCACTTTAAGTGAACTTGAATGGTCATCTTTCAATCAAAATAGAAATTTAGCATTTAAAAGTCTTGAAAAATGGCCGGATGTGGTAGCTCATGCCTACAATCCCTGCACTTTGGGAAGCTGAGGAGGACAGATTGCTTGAGCCCAGGAGTTTGAGACCAGCCTGGGAAACATGGTGAAATCCCATCTCTGAAAATATAAATAAATAAATAAATAAATAAATAAATAAATAAATAAAATAAATAGGTGTGGTAGCACATGCCTACAGTTCTAGCTACTCGGGAGGCTGAGGTGGAAGGATAGCTTGAGCACAGGAGGTCAAGACTGTAGTGAGCCTTGATCATGCCACTGCACTTCAGCCTGGGCAACAGAGCAAGTCCCTGTCTCAGAAAAAAAAAAGATTTTTATGAAAATACTACAAAACCATTAATATAGTTTTGTTTTATTTTGTTTTGTTTCTCTCTGTCACCCAGGCTGAAGTGCAGTGGCGCAATCTCGGCTCACTGCAACCTCCACCTCCCAGGTTCAAGCAATTCTCCTGCCTCAGCCTCCCGAGTAGCTGGAATTACAGGCACATGTCACCATGCTCGGCTAACTTTTTGGTATTTTTAGTAGAGACGGGGTTTCACCATGTTGGCCAGGGTAGTTTCAAATTCCTGACCTCAGGTGATATGCCAGTATCAGCCTCCCAAACTGCTGGGATTACAGGCATGAGCCACCGCACCCGGCCTAATATAGTTTTTAAAACATATTTTGCCAGCTAAGTCTACACATACATAATTAAATCACTCCACTTGGCTGAACTGGAGCATGAGAGGAGGGAGTAAGATGAGTTAATATGTGTATTTGCTACAAGATCACGGGTCTTTTCATTTGGCTGAAATACAAACAAATGTTTATAGTCAATGATCTAATAAAAACTAAAATACACCCTGAATTTCATATATAGAGAATAAACAGTTTGAATGGCTAATAAATGCTAAAAGAAAAAAATAAATAGGAGAAAACATAGATGATTATCAAGTTTTAATAGTACTATATGAAAATTGTTTACTGCATATTTTAAAACATCAATAAATTGCCAAAACTAGGAGTTTTCAAGGTTCACATGAAAAACACTGGATTCCTTCGCTGTCATCCTCTGTTATTTTCCATCAAGTACCTTATTCTTTCTCTTCCTAGGATTTATTACAATTTATTATTATTTTTATGTTTGTATACATATGTACTACCTATTTCCCCACCTATACTATTATTCATTCATTCAACAAGTAACTATGAGGCACTATAACAATATTTGCTTCAACTATGTAAACCACACACAACCCAAACATATTTATTTTCATGGGTGTTGTATAAATGTACTGGCCTACCATAACTGTTAACTTTGCTAATGCTATGATGCCAATAATGAGTATTGTTCACTTAACAAAACTCAGTTACAGTTTCACTTAAACTATGTAACACTTGTCTTTCCATTGCTTAAAAAAACTATATATAGCAAATATCTGAAGACAGGTTTCAGAGGTCTATAAAAATGAATAGGGAAGGAGAGTGGAGCTATATCCTCTCTTCTAATTCCTTTTGTGCTATTTTTCTTTTCTACCTTCTTCCAATAGAGGATAGGAAGGAAACAGAAGGAAAAAGAGTGGGCTATATTGGATTTGCCTAGGACTTCTAAACTAGTACACGTTGAGCACCCCTAATGAGAAAATTCAAAATTCGAAATGCTCCAAAATTTGAAACTTTTTGAGCACCAATATGATGCTCAAAGGGGCATTTCAGATTTTGGATTAAGGATGCTCAACCTGTATTTGTATTTCAACTCAGGCTAAAGACATCATAGAGGATTTTCAGTGGCCCACTGTCACCACCAGAATGGCAAGCTAAACTCCAAAGTTTGTCTTTCGATCTCCCCTTCCATTATAAATAATCTCCTACTTCTGCTTATTGCTCCCCCTACAACACACCCAAGATGCCTACTACTCTCAAGCTGACGTCTAGCTATCCAGCGTGGACTACCTCACTCATGTCTTCTTTCAGCCTCAATAAAAACTCCCATCCCTAGGAAGTTCTAGGAATTTATTCTTTTCCTATAGATGTTTATTTGATGTGATTAAATTCTAAGATGTGAATAATTAATAGGCATAACTTTTGTCAGTGGTGGGAGGAAGTTGTCAAAATGAATCACTAACTAGGAGATTATAGGTTATTTTTGGCTGTGTGTTTGCGGGAAGACTTCTTAGCTAAATAGTTTTCTATCCATAGAGCAAGAGGGGATAAAAAAATCCCAACTACATGGAATTAGCATTGTAACCAGGTACCTAACCCAGGACAATCCATCATCTAGCCAGCTCTGCCAGGGTTTCTGCTCAGTAAAACTATGTATCATTAGGAAAGACATCTATCCTATACTGTCACTTAGCCATGAGCCTAGGCTGATTTTTTTTTTTTTTTTTTTGAGACGGAGTCTCACTCTGTCACTCAGGCTGTAGTGCAGTGGCACCATCTCAGCTCTGCTTCCTGAGTTCAAGCGATTCTCCTGCCTCAGCCTCTCGAGTAGCTGGGACTACAGGTACCCACCACCATGCTTGGCTAATTTTTTTGTATTTTTAGTAGAGACGGGGTTTCACCATGTTAGCCAGGATGGTCTCAATCTCCTGACCTCGTGATCTGCCCGCCTTGGCCTCTCAGAGTGCTGGGATTACAGGAGTGAACCACTGTGTCTGGCTCAGGCTGATGATTTTTATTACCATAGTGCAAATCTTGCTTTTTATTTCAAATACAAACAACTCTGCTTACTACAGTCCTTTCACATGAGCATTATCTTTATCTAATTCGCACAACCTCTTCAGCCCACCGTCTGGAAAAAAAACCATATAAATATAGTCAATTACTTTCACCAGAAGGACAGAAGGATAGAAGGATAGAGGCAGAAAGCAAGCAAGCGGGTGGAGCCTGTTCTCTTTAGAATGGCATTTCCTCTTTGTCTGGAAAAGAATGCTATTCCTCCTGAGAACTTGTGGGATTTCTCCTACAGTGTGGTTTCATTACATTCAAAATTGTATTACCTTCCAGAATAAGATAGCATGCCCACAATCAAATAAATCCAGGCATTTAAAAATAACTCGCATATGGCCCCTAACCTGCTCTCCATCTTCCTACAAAAAGCTGATTGTAGTTTATTATAAAACAATAATGAAAGAAAATAGATGAAAAATAAAAACCTGAATGATTTTATACAATCTATGGTCTCACATGAAGGAAAAGTAGCAACAGAACAGAACTGACTCCTGGAATAGCCACTGTATCCCACAAATCTAAGACTACCCTTCTTTCACCTTGACTGATTTTTGCTAAAATGAACTGTTACATTGCAAATAAATTACCAAAGACTTATGAGTTTAAAGAGCATGTCTTGAAAAACTGTTATTTAATCATCAGAGTGAATCATCTTTTTTCCTACAATTTAGCTAAGAATTCTGACTGGGGGAGAAGAACGGTAGGCCATTTTGGAGCATGGAGCATCTTGAGAGATATGAAAAATCTGGGTAAGATGATATACAGGCAGGTAGAAGAGGGAAGGAAAAACAGAAGGCTGAAACTAACTTTTATTGGGAATTTACTCTATGCCAGAACCATGTTAGGTACTTTATTTTCCTTACCACATTATTTACTTTTCACAATTCTGCAATACAAATATTATTCCTAGTTTACAGAAGAAGAAACTTCTAGTTCAAGAGAGTAACTTACTCTCCAAAAGGTCATATAGATGGATCTCAGATTTGAACAAAAGATGATTTAGCCACGAAGTTCTAAGTGGTAAGAACTAAAGCAAACAAATAGGATCAGCCCCTCACTGAGATAAGGAAGAAAAAATTCCCTTCTGACAAATTTCTTTCTATACCCAAAATGGACCTTTAAGTCAGGTGTACAACCAGTACAACAGTACTATCCAGCTATGTTAAGGGTCTGTCTATCTATCTATCTATCTATCTATCTATCTATCTATCTATCTATCTATATGTTTTTGTTTTATTTTTATTTTTTTATTTTTTTTGAGACGGAGTTTCGCTCTTGTTGCCCAGGCTGGAATGCAATGGCACCATCTTGGCTCACCGCAACCTCTGCCTCTCAGGTTCAAGTGATTTTCCTGCCTCAGCCTCCCAAGTAGCTGGGATTATAGGCGGCCGCCAACATGCCCAGGTAATGTTTTGTATTTTTAGTAGAGATGGGGTTTCACCATGTTGGCCAGGCTAGTCTTGAACTTTTGACCTCAGGTGATCCACCCTCCTCGGCCTCCCAAAGTGCTGGGATTACAGGCGTGAGTATTTTTATAGTCTATTCTGTGAACATGACCACAGTTTTAGAATTATAGAAAAATGTGGCCAGGTGCGGTGGCTCACGCCTGTAATCCCAGCACTTTGGGAGGCCGAGGCGGGCAGATCACGAGGTCCGGAGATCGAGACCATCCTGGCTAACATGGTGAAACCCCGTCTCTACTAAAAATACAAAAAAATTAGCTGGGCGTGGTGGCAGGCGCCTGTAGTCCCAGCTACTCGGGAGGCTGAGGCAGGAGAATGGCGTGAACCTGGGAGGCGGAGCTTGCAGGGAGCCAAGATCGTGCCACTGCACTCCAGCCTGGGCAACAGAGCGAAACTCCATCTCAAAAAAAAAAATTATGGAAAAATGTTTTCAAGTTCCAAATATTTAGTCCCAAATTACAAAAACACCACTACTCTGAGTTTGGTAACTGGTTTCATTTACTCCCAAAACAAATGATTTAAGGATTATGCATTGTTCTAAATTGTCTGTTCCACAGCTTTCATGCCCTTATTTATTCAGCCTGAATACGCAAATTTATGTTTTTGTCTTGTTTTAGACAGAGTCTTGCTCTGTCCCCTAAGCTGGAGGGCAGTGGCGTGCACATAGCTCACTGCAGCCCTGACCTCCTGGGCTCAAGTGATCCTCCTGCCTCAGCCTCCTGAGTAGCTGAGACTATAGGTGCATGCCACCATGGCTGGCTAATTTTTTAAAAAGTTTTTGTAAAGATAGGGGTCTCGCTTTGTTGCCCAGGCTGGTCTCAAACTCAAGGGCTCAAGCAAACTTCCTACTATGGCCTCCCAAAATGCTGTGATTATAGGAGTGAGCCACCACACCTATCCAACAATTAGTGCCAGACACAGAGAGTTTAATATTACCTGTTCCTGTCCCTATTTAACTCATCATCTAGGAGACAGAGTTTCATAAAAATAGCTATAAAAGATGTGATAAATGCTGCTAACCACATATAAATTATTATGAGAACATGACATAGAGGATGATACTACTAATATCTAACTATCATTCACAGACACGAATCCTTTTTTTAAAAAATCCAAACTCATAAATAAATCAAACACGGGTGATTTCATTGTAAAAACAATTGTTTATTACATATTATATATTAGTGACTTTTTACTTTTTTTTTTTTTTTTTTGAGACAGAGTCTCACTCTTGTTGCCCAGGCTGGAGTGCAATGGCATGATCTCAGCTCACCGCAACCTCCACCTCCCGGGTTCAAGCGATTCTCCTGCCTCAGCCTCCTGAGTAGCTGGGATTATAAGCATGTGCCACATGTATTTTTAGTTGAGATGGGGTTTCTCCATGTTGGTGAGGCTGGTCTCGAAATCCAACCTCAGGTGATCCACTAGCCTCGGCCTCCCAAAGTGCTGGGATTACAGGCATGAGCCACCGCACCCAGCCTATATTTTTTTATTTTTTTGAGACAGGGTCTTGCTCCATCACCCAGGCTAGAGTGCAGTGGCCCGAACATGGCTCACTGTAGCCTCAACCTCCTGGACCCAAGCAATCTTCCTATCTTAGCCTCCCAAGTAGCTGGGACCACAGGTGTGTGCCACCACATCTGCTAATTTTTCTTTTTATAAAGACGGGATCTCCCTGTGTTGCCCAGGCTGGTCTCCAACTCCTGGGCTCAAGTGATCCTCCTGTCTTGGCCTCCCAAAGTGCTGCAATTAGAGGTATGAGCCACAGTGCCTGGACTATTAGTGACTTTAAAAGGTTCCATTCATCAGGCCTGGTGCAGTGGCTTATGGTTGTAATCCCAGCACTTTGGGAGACTGAGGTGGAAGGATAGCTTGAAGCTAGGAGTTCAGGACCAGCCTGGCAACAAAGCAAGACCATGTCTGTACAAAAAATTAAAAAATTAGCTGGGTATGGTGGTATATGCATGCAGTCCTAGCTACTCTGGAGGCTGCGAGGGTAAGATTTCTAGAGCTCAGGAGTTCGACGGTGCAGTGAGCTATGATGGTGTCATTGTATTCCAGCCTGGAAAACAGAAAAAGACCGTGTCTCGAAAAAAAAAAAAGACTCCATTCATCTAAAGATAATTTACACACGAATTTCAGAAATACATCTGCCTGTTTGTCTATTATCAGTTTCTATACACCTTCACATGTGTAATATACTTTTATTGAATACTAGATAATCCAAATTAGATACATGTATCAGCTGTAATTTGACATTAACCACAATATAAGTAAATATTAAAAACTCTTTATTACAGAAGGAGAAGCAAAGGCACAGTAAAACTATTTACCCTAGATCAACAGGACAAAAGAAGACCTGAAATTAATTTTCATTTCCTCATTTAATATTTTATTCAATAAAAGCTAATCCTTTTAGAAGGTCATGGACTCACTGGGCATTGTGGCTCACACCTATAATCCCAGCACTTTGGGAGGCTGAGGCGGGCGGATCACAAGGTCAGGAGTTCGAGACCAGCATGGCCAATATGGTGAAACCCCGTCTCTACCAAAATACAAAAATTAGCTGGGCATGGTGGTGGGCGCCTGTAGTCCCAGCTACTCGAGAGGCTGAGGCAGGAGAATCGCTTCAATCTGGGAGGGGCAGGTTGCAGTGAGCCAAGATCGAGCCACTGCACTCCAGCCTGGGTGACAGAGGGAGACTCCATTTCAAAAAAAAAAAGTCATGAACTCAAAACAAAAAAAAACAAACAGGCTGTGCATGGTGGCTCACGCCTGTAATCTCAACACTTTGGGAGGTGGGAGGCCGAGGTGGGCAGATCACCTGAGGTCGGGAGTTCAAGACCAGCCCGACCAACATGGAGAAATCCCATCTCTACTAAAAAGACAAAATTAACTGGGTGTGGTGGCACATGCCTGTAATCCCAGCTACTTGGGAGGCTCAGACAGGAGAATCGCTTGAACCCAGGAGGCAGAGGTTGCGGTGAGCTGAGATCGTGCCATTGCACTCCAGCCTGGGCAACAAGAGTGGAACTCAGTCTCCAAAATAAATAAATAAATAAATAAATAAAAATTTAAAAACAAGAAAAAATAGCTAATCTTTGGGTTACAGAAGAAACAAAAATGATTCCTTCTTCACTCCAGACCATTTGGAGGAACTGAGAGGGGAAGTAATAGCCTCCAGAGTAACTAAATAGACAGTACTTGATCATGTAAAGCTAATTCTCTATAAGAAAATTCCAGATTCAGTTTAAACTGTACAGAAAGAACTAATGGGAAGAGGAGAAAACTAAAATGTGAATAGCATATAACAACATCACTGTTTTACCATCAAGTAGAATTGCTCCTTCAATTTCTTTTATTTCTACCTTTTTAGCAAAACTATTCTCACTTGGGTGAGAACCCATTTTCATTGGTACTTCAAAACTATTCATAAGCAAAAATCAGTGTCAAAAATATTTAGTAACTTAAAAAAAACAAAAAGTATAAGTAGAGACGGACAAGAACTCCTCCTGCTTTCTCCCACTGGGCTCATCGTATTTCTGTTCCATTACATAAGAGACTAAAACTGACAAACTCTGTTTTATCGCTAACACCTAAAAGCAATAAATGTGATTTGTTACCATATTATGATAAAATTTAACCAAAAAATTTTAAAGATCGGATATTCTGCAGTTTACAGTGACATTTATGTATATATGCCTAAAAGCTACATATAAACCTTGAATTCATTTAAAATTATTTCCAAAGAATAAATGAAGGCTGCTTTTGAAGTGCCAGGCATTTTTCTAATTACTTTACAAATATTAACTCATTTAATATTTGTAATAACTCTATTATAAAGTAGGCACTACTATTAGTTTCCTTTTACAAATAGAAAATGGAGGCACAAAGATGTTAGGTAACTTGCCCAAGGTCAAACTGGTAGGAAGTTAGGGAGCCAGAGCTTGAGCCAAACTATTGGTCTCAGGGTCTGTTCTCTTGACAACTTCTCTTTGTTGCCTCTCATGGGTCCTTGTAAATACCAATCAAAAGTCTACAATCAACCGGGTATGGTGGCTCACGCCTGTAATCCCAGCACTTTGGGAGGCTGCGGTGGGAGGATCACATGAGGTCGGGAGTTCGAGACTAGCCTGGCCAACGTGGTGAAACCCCATCTCTACTAAAAATACAAAAATCAGCTGGGAATGGTGGCACACGTCTATAATCCCAGCTACTTGGGAAGCTAAGGCAGAAGAATCGCTTGAATCCGGGAGGTGGAGGTTGCAATGAGCCAAGATTGCGCCATTGCACTCCAGCGTGGGCAACAAGAGCAAAACTCCATCTCAAAAATTAAAAAAAAAAAAAAAAAGAAAGAAAAGAAAAAAAAAGGCTACAATCAATAGTCCATAAATAAATATAAACCAATCTAAAGCCTACAGAGAATGTGATCTTTTAAAGCAGAAACACATCCATATAACAACTAAAATGGCAATTACAGCTAAGCTATGGTTTGATATTTACTATTGTCAGATAGAGTGTAAAATTTCATTCTTCAGTGTAGAAGAAATTCCCAGGAAATCTAATTTTCTGCTTCCTCATGCAGAATCCCAAGACAATATCCTGTTTTCAATTTTTATTCAAAAGGAGCAAGGGAATATTACTTCTATCTGAATAGTTAAGTGGTTGTTCTCCTCCTTTAAGCTCTGACATTTTCAAACCAGAAGCTTCTATGTACTGTTATAAAGTGATCTGGAGGTGGAACTCTATATAGAATCACTGCCTCCAGGTCTAGAGTTGAGTATACAGTATACTGCCTATTGCATAAAAAAGGGTGGTGAGAAGCAGGATATGAACATATATATGTATTTGCTTATGTTTTCAAAAGGAAGTGCTGGAAGGATAGGCTAGAAACCAATTAAAAGGGTCTACTCTTATGGAATGGTATGGGGAGATGGAGTGGAGGGGAATGAAAGCAAGACTTCTCTGTGTTTTCTTTTAAAAAATAATTTTTGGCCAGGCATGATGGCTTATCTCTGTAATCCCAGCACTTTGGGAGGCCGAGGCGGGTGGATCACTTGATCTCAAGAGTTCAAAACCAGCCTGGGAAACAGGCTGCAGAGTTTGCAACCAGCCTGGGAAACAAAGCCTCGTCTCTACAAAAAATACAAAAGTTAGCCAGGCATGGTGGTGCATGCCTGTGGTCCCAGTCCCAGTCCCAGCTACTCGAGAGGCTGAGGTGGGAGGATTGCTTGAGCCTAGGAGGTCAAGGATGCAGGGGGCTGAGATCACGCCACTGCACTCCAGCCTGGACAACGGAGTGAGACCCACTCTCAAATAAATAAATTAATAAAATAAAATTTGACTTTTGCAACATGTTTTGCATATTTACAAAATAAATCAACAGAGAAAAAACCCATCCCTGTCCCACCCCACCATGTCATCAAAACAAAACAAAATTCAACAAGAATGGTAACAAACCAAGCTTCTTGTGGGGATTCCCTCTGTGAAGTTTTCAGGACCTGAATCTCCAAGTCTGGAATTAGAGATCACAAGAGCTACCCTACTTAAGTGTGTCCAAATGTAAATATATCTCTCCCCATAGAACTTCAAGAGATTACTCTGAAGCAATGGTACTGTGGAACTCAGGGACACCAACTGCTTTGGTTTACAGCTTTATTCATCAAATTCTATGTATCTTTGAATCTTCCTCAAGCAAACTAAGTTTTTTCTTCCAAATTTCCACCATTATTTCATAGAGCAGAATAAGTGAAATAAGGTCTATATCTAGATATCCCCTCATAATATTTCAGAATACAAAACAACAAAAAAAAGAAGATCCCAAAAGTTTCAGTGTGAAGCTTGAGTACCTTCTTAGCTCAGGAAATACCTATCTATCTATATCTTTAACAATTCCCTCCCTTTCATTTTTTTAGATGACTTTTAAAAATTGACATAAAATTCATGTAACAAAATTCACCATTTTAAAGTGTACAATTCAGTGGTTTTCAGTACATGTACAAGGTTGTGCAGCCATCATCACTACTAATTCCAGAACATGTTCAACACCTCAAAAAGAAATACCATATGCATTAAGTGGTTACTTCTTTTTATTTTTTAAGTTCTATTTTTCTGAGGTTCTTAATAGTAAGGCTTGGCTGGGGGCGGTGGCTCATGCCTATAAACCCAGCACTTTGGGAGGCCGAGGCGGGTGGATCACGAGGACGGGAGATCCAGATCATCCTGGCCAACATGGTGAAATCCCGTCTCTACTAAAAATACAAAAATTAGCCATGAGTGGCGGCGGGCCCCTGTAATCCCAGCTACTCTGGAGGCTGAGGCAGGAGAATCACTTGAACCTGGGAAGTGGAGGTTGCAGTAAGCCGAGACCGCGCCATTGCACTCCAGCCTGGGTGACACAGTGAGACTCTGTCTCAAAAATAAATAAATAAATAAATAAATAAATAAATAAATAATAAATTTCAGGAATAATTTTAATTTCAAAGAGCTATTTCTTGTATTTATTTTTCCAAAACATTTTACTGTTTTATTATTCTGAGCATATTAATAAGATAATTTAAAAACTTTTCTCCTGGTTCTGTTCTTTTCTTTTTCCTTTTTTTTTTTTTTGTCTCACTCTGTTGCCCAGGCTGGAGTGCAGTGGCTTGATCTTGGCTCACTGCAACCTCCACCTCCCAAGTTCAAGTGATTCTCATGTCTCAGCCTCCCATGCAGCTGGTATTACAGGTGGGCACCACCATGCCCAGCTAGGTTTTGTATTTTTAGTAGAAACAGGGTTTCACCATGTTGGCTAGGCTGGTCTCAAACTCCTGGCTTCAAGTGATCCGCCCACCTTGGCCTCCCAAAGTGATAGGATTACAGGCATGAGCCACCATGCCCAGCTTCTCCTGGTTCTTTAAGTTACTTCTCTTTCCTTTAGGGTTAATTTTTCTATTAGTTTAGTTTTGGTCATTTTAATTCATGGTGCTGGTTTTTCCCACATGCTGGAAGATTCTTGGTTGTCTATTCATACTTAGGGCAGAAGGATAGGGAAACTATCCTTTGTAAAAAGGAAATGCTGGAAGGATAAGCCAGAAATGAATTGAAATAATATTTTTTGGTAGAGACAGGGTCTTCCTATGTTGCCCAGGCTGGTCTCGAACTTCTGGGTTCAAGGGATCCTTCTGCCTCAGCCTCCCACAATGCTAGGATTGCAGGCATAAACCACCATGTCCAGCCTAAAATGGTTATTAATATGGGGTGTAGGGCAGGGCAGAGGATAACTATATTCCTTTAGGATGAGTAGGTGGAGAATCAGGATATGAGGTGGTAGAAATCTGAATTCTGGTAAAAGTAAGACTTATTTTGGAGCATCAACTTCCACACTAATTCTTAGTTTTCCCTGAACATTTTGTTCAGTTTCTTTCTAGAAGAACTATGTGGTGTTTTACTTGGCGGAAAGTGTAGGCTGCCTGAGTAGAGGTAGGAGTAAGAAGGGAGGTAGGGGCATAGTGACCACTGGGAACGGCTTCCCACTTATTCAATTAATCTTCCGTTTTCAGCCCCAATTCTCATTTCTGCTCATCTCTGTCCCTAAGCCTTAAGATCTGTTGGGCTGGTCCAGTTCCTAGTTCAGAGTATGTTCTACACATTGCTTCTTGGCTTGTTTTCTCCTTCAACCCACTCATATGTACTTTACAACTTCCAAAAATTTCTGGAAATGTGTTTACTGGTAACCCAATCATGTAATTCTCTTTGGTGTTTTGGTACCTCTATGTTTTTATCTTAATGGACTCTCAGAGAGACAGGAATCAAATGGTGCTGTCTGGTCTACCTTCTTGGAACTTAGTACTTTTAAGGAAAGGGAAAGATTTGACTTTCTATAGAAAATTCCAGAGACACAATAGGACCGGTCAGTTCTATTGTCTCTTATTTTTACATAGTATTTATTTATGAAGAAGCAAAGTGACTATGTAGAACAAACACTAAGTACTTCTTTAATATTTAATAGAAGTTTCATTATTATGGGTTCTTAACTTATATGTGTAGCATCTTCTGTGTTCTGTTATTGCATGTTTCTGAGGGAGTGTTTCACTGCTTTCATCAGAATTCCAAAGGGTTTATAACCTAAAAGAGTTTAAGAACCACAGGACTATATAAATGTACTCTCTCAAGCAGTGTTAAAAAAATTCCCATTCCATGATGATATGTTTACATCTTAGATCTTAACTGCAGGTGTTTAAATCTCAAAAAAATTAATGTTTAAAAATAATTTTGAAGCTGTTTAAAAATCCTAAGGCAACCAGTAAACAAATGACTATATAATATGTTGAGAAGCAGTGGAGTTTCCTTTAGGAACACATTCTTTTTTTTTTTTTTTTTTGAGAGAGACAAGAGTCTTACTCTGCCGCCCAGAATGGAGTGCAGCAGCATGATCTAGGCTCACTACAACCTCCGCCTCCCGGGTTCAAGCAGTTCTTCTGCCTCAGCTTCCTGAGTAGCTGGGATTACAGGCGTGCACCACCATGCCCAGCTAATTTCTGTATTTTTAGTAGATATGGGGTTTCACCATGTTGGCTAGGCTGGTCTTGAACTCCTGATCTCAGGTGATCCGCCCACCTCGGCCTCCCAAAGTGCTGGGATTACAGACGTGAGCCACCGTGCCTGGCCAGGAACACATTCACATGCATTATGCAGTAGCTTAACAAAAGAAAAACTTCACTTGGGGCTTTAGCTCTTTTGTACAGTAGCTGAGAGTACGGAGGGGTGGGGATGCTAGATAATTTTCCAACCTGATGACCTGGATAGCTACTTGGAATATCACCATTTAGGTACAGTGTCAAGTTTTGCACCAGAAGACCCAGTCACTAAGTAAGAGGTCCTGGATGCTGTGGGCCAGTCATGGCAGCTCACACCTGTAATCCCAGCACTCTGGGAGGCCAAGGTAGGAGGATGGCTTGAGCACAGGAGTTTGACATCAGCCTGGGCAAAGGATGACCCCCTTGTAGGTAGGCCCTGTCTCTACAAAAATCACAAAAATTAGCTGAGCATGCTAGTGCACGCCTATAGTCCCAGCTACTCGGGAGGCTGAGGTGGAAGGATCACTTGAGCCTGGAAGGTGGAGGTTGTAGTGAGCTGAGATCACACCACTGCACTCCAGCCTGGGCAACAGCGCAAGAAGATCACACCACTGCACTCCAGCCTGGGCAACAGTGCAAGAAGATCACACCACTGCACTCCAGCCTGGGCAACAGAATAAGACTCTGTCTTAAAAGCAAAAACGAGAAATAAATTCAAAGAAAATGTACGTAAAGAAACAAAAAGTTTACTGCACTCCAGCCTGGGCAACAGAGCAAGACTCTGTCTTAAAAGCAAAAAACAAAAAACAAATACAAAGAAAATATAGGTAAAGAAACAAACAAAAAATCTACAGTCTAAGTTTTTTTAGGCTAAAAAATAAAAAAGATGATGAGGAATTGATTGATATATTAGCCAGGAGCATCAGTGTTCCTACAAAATGAAATTATCAGATATTAACTCTAGTTCTTTGAGGCAAGTTTTGCTGAAGCTACTTAAATGTCAACTTTTGGGTTCTACTTTTGAGTCTGACATCTGGGTAAATGTTACTTCATATAATAGTTCAGGTAATTATTTTATACATATTTTCAAAATAAGCAAAAAATTTAAAAACAGTAATACAGTAAGAAGCAGAGCTGTGTAGATAGCAATGTATGATTTTAACTCTTTATAATTAAACATTAAAATTTGTTCAAAACAGGCAAATAAAAATGTGTGCATTTGCAGAATTATGTTGATACGATGGCTGCAGTCAAGTTCAGCCACACAGCATACATTATACCTGTGATAGCTCTGCTTAAAATCTAAGCTATGGTAGCTTTGGCTGAAATACCTGAAGTAAAAGAGAGAAGCTAATGCTCATTAACGGGTTAAACCCATGTGGTTTTGCTTTGTTCAATAAACTGAAAGTAAACTTTTTTCTGATGATATCTTCAGGACATAGGGAGCAACCTTTGAAGATTAATGATCATCATATAATTTTATATGTGTAAACTGTTTAGCTGACTAGGCTAAATGTACCCTGGAAAAGATGTTTCTGAATAAATTTTGTTTATCTATTTTCATTTGCTTTGTTCAAACAAGATATCACTGGAACGAGTTCAGTTAATCAGGGTTATAGTTCATTGTGGTTTTACTATAAAATATTATAAAGCAAAAGAAACACCAACTACCTACCTAAGCGATGAAATCCAAAGGTGAATCTTTTGGTTGGTGATTTTGATGATAGCCACAAAGCAAGCAGGGTGAGTATGATGGCGCTTAGGTCAGTTAACATATGAAGTGCATCTGTCATGATTGCTAGGCTATTTGCAATGTATCCACCTTAGAGTTACAAGTAGGAGAAAAAAGGAACAAGTTAATTTTTTAAAAAAGCAAGCAATCAAACTAGAAATATGCAATATCCTACAAAACATGAACTTCTAACTAAATCTTTATCCCATTACAATTAAATCAAGGTATTCTGAAATTTCATTCAAAATATTAGATATAGGTTCATTTTTCTGGTGAGAATATCCACTTCTTTTTTTCTTTTTTTTTTGAGACAGAGTCTCACTCTGTTGCCCAGGCTGGAGTGCAGTGGTGCAATCTCAGCTCACTGCAACCTCTGCCTTCTGGGTTCAAGTGATTCTTCTGCCTCAGCCTCCCGAGTAGCTGGGACTACAGGCACGTGCCACCACGCCCGGCTAATTTTTGTATTTTTAGTAGAGACAGGGTTTCACCATGTTGGCCAGGCTGGTCTCAAACTCCTGACCTCAACTGATCCACTCGCCTCGGCCTTGCAAGTGTTGGGATTATAGGCGTAAGCCAATGTGTCCAGCCAGAATATCCATTTCTAGTAACACATGCTGCAAGGAGTCAATGACCTTTAGAAAGTTAAGAACCACAAGGCAAATATATAGTGATTTTGTGTCTTGGTACTGAAGCTTTTGCTTAACTTACTAATTCTACTATTAGTGAATTAATAACCATATCTAAATATTACAACAAAGCTGAAGAAAAGAAGGGTGTTCACTTGTTGAGGGGCGTTGGAACATAAAATTAAACTGAGAAAACCTACAAAATGTACATTAGTTCGATATAAAATATGTAAAAATTAACTGATTCACTTAGCAACATCTCTGAAGAGGGGTACAAAAGGTAGTATTTAGGATACAATTTTTGTTATCGATTTTCCAGGCATTTAATATATATATTATACATTGTTTCATTGTGTGTCTGTATTGTCCCATAATGGACAACCAATTTTCCTAGCACTATTCACTGAATAAGCTTTTATGTGTATCAGAATCACCTGGAGGGCTTGTTAAACTACAAACTGCTTAACTCTACTCCCAGAATTTCTGATTCGGTAGGTCTGGGATGGTGATGGGGATGGGACCTGAGAATGTATATTGCTAACATGCTCCCAGGTAATGCTGATGCTTCAAGTCTTGGAACCACACTTCGAGAATCACTGTTATAATGTACAGCAGAACTGCATGATCAGGTAAGTGTGCTGAGCTGTTGATCCTCCTCATTCCTGAGCTGGGTGTGTAGAGACAAGAGCAGGAGACTAGGGGCTGATGATCTTTTAGTCACATCCATTTACCCCAGAGTGCTCTATACAAATAGCATTTTTATGTATTCCCCGGCATGAAAAAGCTGGAAAGCACCAAGAGAAGGTTGGTGTTAAACAACATGAAGTTTTGGAATCTCAGAAAGTCTGAATGAGTTAATTTTTTTGAGCTTTAGCATACTTATCATTTTATAATGAGGATAATTCCTTAAAGCAATTCTGTCCAATAGAACTTTGAGATGATAGAAATGTTCTGTATCTGAGCTGTCCAATGGTGTAGCCACTAGTCACATGTGGCTTTTCAGCATTTAAAAAATGGCTAGTAAGGTTGGGGCACAGTGGCTTATGCCTGTAATACCAGCTGTTTGGGAGGCCGAGGTGGGAGAACTGCTTGAGTGTAAGAGTCTGAGGCTGCAGTAAGCTTTATATAATGGCACCAGTTCACTCCAACTTGGGTGACAAGAGTGAGACATTGACTAAAAAAAAAAAAGAAAAATGGGGCCAGGTGCAGTGGCTCACGCCTGTAATCCCAACACTTTGGGAGGCTGAGGCAGGCGGATCACCTGAGCTCAGGAGTTTGAGACCAGACTGGGCAACATGGTGAAACCCCATCTCTACCAAAAAATAAATAAGAAAGAAAAAGAAAAATGGTTAGTGAAACTAAGGAATTTAATTAATTAAACTTTTTTTTTTTTTTTTTTTAGAGAGTCAGGGTCTTGCTCTGCCACCCAGGCAGGAATGCAGTGATGTGATCATAACTCACTGCAGCCTCAACCTCCTGTGTTCATGTAATCCTCCCATCTCAGCCTCCTGAGTAGCTGGGACTACAGGCATGTACCACCATGCTCAGCTAATCTTTTTATCTTTTTTTTTTTTTCAGGAGATGAGGTCTTGCTATGTTGCCTAGGCTTAATTATTTACTTTTAATTAACCTAAACTTAAAAAGCTACATGTTGGTGACATCAGCCAAAAAAAAAAAGTAAGGACCTCTGAAAATCATCTTCACAAAAAGAATGAAAACATGGACAAAAATAGTCAAAATCAGCTTTTTCAGAACTTTGGAAATTAGCCAAAAGCTTATACACATAGCACTTATTCAAGAAAAATAGCTGAATATCAGCAAGAACAGTTATCTTCATGGTGTTTTAATTTGCGCTGTACCCATTTGTTGTCCTCCAGCTGTATGGTAGCCTTGAAAACCAACAGGCCACAATCACAGTGAAAACCTCAGGTTGGCAGCCACTGGAGGATACAAAATGAGTTTGGATCTCCTTCAATGCCCCATTCCCAGAGAACTGTCATTATTTGACCTGCTGGTAGTTCCCTAAAGGACGTGCAAGGATGTTTTTATTTGACTGGACACTTGAAGCTTGCCCTGTATGAACAGCCCCCATCTTCCCATGCTTGTCAAAAATCAGAGGCAACTAACACTGCGGCTTCCTGAGGTAGGCAATGATGTGTTCTCTGTGTTCAGAAAATTTCACAATGTCTACCCTGGAATGGATCTCTTTTCCCCCAATTTGCTCTTTCAATCTAGAAATGTGTGGCCAGGCACAGTGGCTCACACCTGTAATCCCAGCATTTTGGGAGGCTGAGGCGGGCAGATCACCTGAGGTCGGGAGTTCGAGACCAGCCTGACCAATATGGAAAAACCCTGTCTCTACTAAAAATACAAAATTAGTTGGGCATGGTGGCACATGCCTGTAATCCCAGCTACTCGGGTGCTGAGGTAGAAGAATTACTTGAACCCAGGAGGCGGAGGTTACGGGGAGGTGGAGGTTGTGGTGAGCTGAGATTGCGCCATTGTACTCCAGCCTGGGCAACAAGAGTGGAACTCTGTCTCAAAAAAAAAAAAAAAAAATTATAGAAATGTGTATCCTCCAGCTATGGGAAAACTTCCTAAACCATAAACTATAGTGTTGATGATTTCGTAGCCTTTGCTTTCTTTCTCAAACTCCTTCCTGTTATTTGGAGTTTAGATTGATATTCCAATTTTTTTTTTTTTTTTTTTTTTGAGACAGAGTCTCACTCTGTCACCCAGGTTGGAGTACAGTGGTGCAATCTCAGCTCACTGCAACCTCCGCCTTCTGGGTTCAAGCAATTCTCCTGCCTCAGCCTCCCGAGTAGCTGGGATTGCAGGCATGCGCCACCACGCCCGGCTAATTTTTATATTTTTAGTAGAGATGGTGTATCATCATGTTGGCCAGGCTGGTCTCGAACCCCTAACCTCAGGTGATCTGCCCGCCTTGGCGTCCCAAAGTGCTAGGATTACAGGCATGAGCCACCGTGCCTGGCCTCTAAATTGTTTTTGCCCTTTCTCTCCAATTATACATCTTTTTGCTCAACTCTGTGAGAGAGTACCTTAATTCATCTTTTTTTGAGGTAGGGTCTTGCTCTGTTGTCCAGGCTGCAGTGCAGTGGCACAACTGTGGCTCACTGTGGCCTGGACCTCCTGGTCTTAAGCAATCCTTCCACCTCAGCCTCCTTTGTAGCTGGGACTACAGGCATGTGCCACCACACCTTGCTAATTTTTTTTTTTTTAATTTTTATTAGAGACAAGGTGTCACTATGTTGTCCAGGCTGGTCTTGAATTCTTGGACTCAGGCAATCCTCCTGCCTTAGCCTCCTAAGTTGCTGGGACTACAGGAGCATGACACCGTGCTTGGCTTTTTTTTTTTCTTCAATTTTTAGTGAAGATAAGCTCTCACTATACTGCCCAGGCTGATCTTGAATTCCTGGGCTCATGTGATCTTCCCACCTCAGCCTCCCAAAGTGCTGTGATTTCAGGCATGAGCCACTGCACCCAGCCCTTAATTTATCTTCTAACTTTTCTATGGAGTTTAAAAGAAATTTCGGCCGGGCGTGGTGGCTCACACCTGTAATCCCAGCACTTTGGGAGGCCGAGGCGGGTGGATCACGAGGTCAGGAGATGGAGACCATCCTGGTTAACACGGTGAAAGCCCGTCTCTACCAAAAATACAAAAAAATAGCAGGCGTAGTGGTGGGTGCCTGTAGTCCCAGCTACTTGGGAGACTGAGGCAGGAAAATGGCATGAACCTGGGAGGTGGAGCTTGCAGTGAGCCGAGATGGCGCCACTGCACTCCAGCCTGGGCGACAGTGCAAGACTCCATCTCAAAAATAAATAAATAAATAAATAAATAATAAATAATAGAAATTTCAACTATGTTTTTATTGTGCAGAAGCTTTTTTCGTTACCCTGAATTTCTTTTCTTTTTTTTTTTTCTTTGAGATAGAGTCTCACTCTGTCACCCAGGCTGGAGAGCAATTGCACAAACACTTGGCTCACTGCAGCCTCAACTTCTTGTCCTCAAGTGATCCTCCCACCTTAGCCTCCTAAGTAGCTGGGACCACAGGTAAGCACCACCATGCCCTACTATTTTTCTTTCTTTGTTTCTTTTTTTTGTAGAGACAGGGTCTTGCCACCTTGACCAGGCTGGTCTTGAACTTCTGAGCTGAAGTGTTTGTTCCTCCTGCCTCAGCCTCCCAAAGTGCTAGGACTACAGGCATGAGCTACTGCGCCCACCCTGAATTTCTATTTTAAAGTAGTCTGTTCTTGCTTCATGGATACGTGATCTTTTATCTCTGAGTATACTAATTATACAATTTTACTATTATATCTGACTGGCTTTTAAATAGGTTTAACTAGCTTTCCTTATTTTAGCTGCCTTCTTCACCCACACTTCCAGAGGTACCTGGTACAACCAATCTGGAGCTTACTTAGGATTTTCTAGTGCAGTAGTTCTAAAATATGGTCCCTGGATCAGTAGTGTTAGCATCCCCTGGGATTTTGTGTTTTAACAAGTTCTCTATATGATTCTGATGCACACTAAAGCTTCAGAATCACTGCTGTAGTATAAACTGTGATGGTTCTCAGCCTTCCCCACTGCTGGCTTAGGTGTTTGCTTTCTTGGGTCTACTAAGTCAGTTAGTTCTTTATCTGTTTCCTTTCCAGTTTCCAAAATTTTTGTTGCTATCTTTTCCTCTCCAGTTTTCCTCATATGTGTGAATTTATATCTTTTTTTAAAAAAATCTCTTTATTGTATAAGAGGCCAGGTATGGTGGCTCACGCCTGTAATCCCAGCACTTTGGGAGGCCGAGGTGGGCGGATCACTTGAGGTCACGAGTTCAAGACCAGCCTGGCCAACATGTTGAAACTCCGTCTCTACTAAAAATACTAAAAAGTAGCTGGGCGTGATGGTGTGCACCTGTAGTCCCAGCTACTTGGGAGGCTGAGGCAGGAGAATCACTTGAATCCGGGAGGTGGAGGCTGCTACTCAGGAGGCTGAGGCAGGAGAATCACTTGAACCCAGGAGGCAGAGGCTGCAGTGAGCTGAGATGGTGCACTCCAGCCTGGGTGACAGAGCGAGACTCCATTAAAAAAAATCTGTTTATCGTATAAGAGAGGCATCAGGAACAAGCAAAATTAGATGCATGAGTTCAATTTGCCATCTTTACCTAGAAGTTTATATACACTCTCAATTAAGCATTTTCATTTTCAATAAAAATGCAGTTGTAACTCTGTTACCAAATCCAAAGGATGTTTTAGTTCTCATCTAATTAGACCTCTCAACAGTTTCAACCTATTTATTTCCACTTTGAAATACTCTCTTTTTTAAAAAAAAAAAATTTGGAACACCTTTTTCCCTCTGCCTGACTTCTAAAGTTGGAGTTCCTAGAGACTTGGGCTCTCTAGGTAATTTTACCTATTCCTACGGCATTATATACACTCATCTCTCTCTACCTTGACCTCTCTTCTAACCACAGACTCATATTCTTGCTTCCAAGAATATACCCTCCAATCCATTCTTTTTTTTTTTTTTTTTTTTTTTTTGAGATGGAGTTTTGCTCTTGTTGCCCAGGCTGGAGTGCAACAGCGTGATCTCGGCTCACCACAACCTCCGCCTCCTAGGTTCAAGTGATTCTTTTGCCTCGGCCTCCCGAGTAGCTGGGATTACAGGCACGTGCCACCATGCCTGGCTAATTTTGTATTTTCAGTAGAGACGGGGTTTCGCCATATTGGTCAGGCTGGTCTCGAACTCCCGATCCATTCTTCACATAACAGCAGAGTAATCTTTCAAAAAGGTAAATCCCATCTTGTTACTCTCCTGCTTAAAACCTTATCTGGTTGGCCAGGCGCGGTGGCTCACGCCTGTAATCCCAGCACTTTGGGAGGCCGAGGCGGACAGATCACGAGGTCAGGAGATTGAGACCATCCTGGCTAACACGGTGAAACCCCGTCTCTACTAAAAATACAAAATATTAGCTAGGCGCGGTGGGGGGCGCCTGTAGTCCCAGCTACTCAGGAGGCTGAGGCAGGAGAATGGCACGAACCCGGGAGGCAGAGCTTGCAGTGAGCCGAGATCACACCACTGCACTCCAGGCTGGGCGAAAGAGCGAGACTCCGTCTCAAAATAAAAACAAAAACAAAAACAAAAAAAACCCTTATCTGGCTTTCCATTGCACTTAAAATAAAAACTACACTCATCTAACATGGCCTACCAGGGCCTGCCTGATCTCTTCCTCCTGCCTCTTTCCCTCATGGTTACACATTGAAGCCAAACTGGCCTTCTTTCTAATTCCTTTCGAAGAATTGAAGGCTTTAGGACCTTGGTACATGCTGTTCTCTTCTCTTGGAAAACTCCCTCACTCTGTTTGGGTAACTCCTACTATTCTTTTTTTTTTGGCTTAAATGTACCTGGTCCATGCATAAACTATGTCCTACTGGTTACTATGTCTTATAGTACCTTGTTCTTTTTCTTCCTAGTACTTAGGACCATCTAAATTTTAAATTTACTTACGTGTTTAATGATTGTCTCTTCCATTAAATTCTCCACATAGTAGGGATCATAATAGTTTCGTTCTCCATTGTACATTCAGAACATGTAGCACAGTGCCTGGCACATAGTGTAAGTACTCAAAATACACTTCCAAAGAGAAGAGAAAAGAATGGACCTTTACGAAGGTCTCAGAGCAAGGTAAGTGGTAAAGCCAACCAAGTCTATCTCAGCTCATTTAGTTACTTCATTTTTTTTCCCTTCTTTTTGAGAGAGTCTCACTCTGTCACCTGGGGTGGAGTACAGCAGCCGGATCTCAGCTCACTGCAACCTCCACCCCCTGGGCTCAACCGATCCTGCCACTTCAGCCTCCAGAGGAGCTAGGACCACAGACACGCACTACCAAGTCAGGCTAAGTTTTTGGTTTTTTTTGGTAGAGAGGGGGTTTCATCATGTTGCCAGGCTGGTCTTGAACTCCTGAGCTCAAGCGATCCTCAGGCTCCCAACGTGCTGGGATTATAGGCATGAGCCACTGCACCCAGCCAAATTGCTTCATTTTTTATTACTCCATACTTCCTACATAAGATACTTCCTACACCTGGCCAAATTGCTTCATTTTTTAAAAATATATTTTATTTAATGTAGTCTCACTCTGTTGCCCTGGCTGGAGTGCAGTGGCATGATCTCAGCTCACTGCAACCTCTGCCTCCTGGGTTAAAGCGATTTCTGGCTAATTTTTGTATTTTTAGTAGAGATGGGGTTTCACCATGTTGGCCAGGCTGCTCTCAAACTCCTGACCTCAAGTGATCCACCCGCCTTGGCCTCCCAGAAGTGCTAGGATTACAGGTGTGAGCCACCGTGCCTGGCCAAATTGCTTCATTTTTTATTTCTCCATACTTCCTACATAAGATGCTTTATTTCTCTTTCTTTCTTTCTTTTTTTGAGACAGAGTCCCACTCTGTCACCCAGGCTGGAGTGCAGTGGTGCAATCTTGGCTCACTGCAACCTCCACCTCCCAGGTTCAAGCGATTCTCGTGTCTCAGCCTCCCCAGTAGCTGGGACTACAGGTGCGCCATGACGCCTGGCTAATTTTTTTGTATTTTCAGTAGAGACGGGGTTTCACCATGTTGGCCAGTCTGCTTTCCTCCTAACCTCAAGTGAGCCGCCTGCCTCGAAGATGCTTTATTTATAAGCGCTTTGGACACACTTTAATAAATGCTCTATTGTATACAGTTGAACTCTATATAACATTTTGAATAATATTGTTAATGCTTACCCTAAGTACTACTATCATCTCTGTATTGTTTAACAAAATATTTCCACATTTGACAATAAAGTCAGTATTTGAAAGGAAATACTTATTGTGGCTTTCATAAAACAACATTTACCAAATAACAGATTTCAGAAGTGAGAAGTCAAGACAATTATATCTTAATGATTTTTACTTAGGTGAAATAAACTCTGAATTATTAATCATTTTAAGGGGGGATGCTGTGATTGTTATTTTAACTTCAAATATTCAACGTTAACTTCAAAAATCATTAAACCTGAATGACTCAATATTCTAGTTGTGTTAGTTTGGGCAAGTCACCGAATCTCAGTCTGCTGAGACCATGGTGCTTTATCTGGGGCACAGGTTGTCTCCTGTCTTTTAATTTCTTTACAGCTCAAGCATTTATAATTATCTAACAGAATAAAAATGAATTAATTCAACAAGTTTATTGAGTATCTACTTTGTGCCAGTCACTGTTCTAGGTGCTAGGAATTCAGCCTGTATTTCAGTGGAAACAGGTAATATTAAATGAGTAAATAAATAAGATATCTCAGATGCTGAGGACTTTGAAAGTTGGAGAGGGAACAGGGAACAAAAGAGATTTACTTTAGTCAGTCAGAAAAGGTCTCTCAAAAGTGTGGGTTTTTTTAATTTTTATTACTTATTTATTTATTTATTATTTTATTTACTTATTTTTTTTTGAGACGGATTCTCACCCTGTTGCCCAGGCTGGAGTGCAGTGGCGCAATCTCGGCTCACCACAACTTCCGCCTCCCGGGTTCAAGCGATTCTCCTGCTTTAGCCTCCCAAGTAGCTGGGATTACAGGCGCCCACCACAACGTCCGGCTAATTTTTGTATTTTGTTTTTAGTAGAGACAAGGTTTCACCATGTTGGCCAGGGTGGTCTCAAACTCCTGACCTCAGGTGATCCACCCACCTCGGCCTCCCAAAGTGCTGGGATTAAAGGCGTGAGCCACTGCACCCGGCCGGGGTGTCTTTTTAAATAAGACACGAATGACAAGAAACTGGCCAAGAAAAGATTTGGGAAAGGCAGTCTATGTAAAGCAGTGTTTTTCAAGCTAAGGCCCTGACCTACTGCAGTGGACACACGAAATCCATTTAGTGAGCTGGGACCACAATTGAAGAAACTATTAGGATACATCACATGAAGGAAAACTTTTGTTTCAGTTATACATATATTTATACACATGTGACCTGTGTATATTCTCATACATATGTATGCATGCATGCCTAAATGAGTCACAATGTGAAGTGTATTTCTTACTACAGTGAGGTCAAAAAATGTTTGAAAGCCACTGAGATAGAAGGACCAGCCACTTTGAACGCCTTAGAGGCAAAAAGAGCTTTGTGAGTTGTAAGAGGAAAAAGAAGACCAGCATGGCTGAAGCGAGCCCTGGGGAGGAGTGTTATGAAAGAAGGTAGGAAATGTATATAATTTTTCCCACATAGAACCCTCCAGTCAAACATCTTAAATCTGGACTGCCACCTGTTTTTGTCATGGTTCATCATTTAAGAGATGACATGTAAGAATCATCTCCCTGCTTTTATGTCACTTTGTAAACTGTCACTGAGAAGTTAGTAGTTATACTGACGTGATTGAAAATAACCTCTAAACTAAGAATGTATCTTATATTGAGAACGGATTGTTCGTATAATTAAAAAATGAACAAGAAAACCAGGCTCATAGAACTTTGGCGGAGTCCTCTGGTTCATTTCAGGCCCTTCTTACGAGGCAAAAATTTCATGTTAGTTGGTAATTAATTTTGCAAATCTCTTGGCTATAAATACAAAAGGAAATCGTATAAAAGAAACCACTTAGGTCAAATGTAGAGGAAAAAAATGCTGGGACTGTAGATGTGGCTCTTCCATTAACTCCCTAAGTGGCCCTCACGACTTATTCCACTGGTTTGTGCCCTGGAAATCCTTACATGTAAAAAAAAAAAGGAGGTGGAGCAGGTGTTCAGTAAGGTCCCTTCATACTGTAAAATTCTATGATCTTAAGTTATTTACGATCATTTACTATTTTAAACGTTGCGAAAATTAACCTGGTATTTTACCAGACCTTTGTAAAAAGAGGAAGTTACATGACATACAATGAAGATAACGTCCTTAACTTTACGGTAGATGACAGTGGTTGAACAACTAGAAGAGAAAGTCAAAGTTATCTCGGGGAGTTTATATTGTACTTAGATTGAGCTGCACTTTGGAACCGTGTGGCCTTTTCACATGAGATCAGTGTCTTGATAAATACAAACTTCCTGAAAAGATGGGTTAAACCTCAAAGCCTGTGTAACTACAGCTTGACAAAGACTCTCGAGGAAAGGTAAACGGAAAGTGAGTTGGCAACACAACTCACCTACAAGTTCTCCAATCATGAAAAGCAAGTACAGAACGGCAGCAATGGTCAACCTGGCTTTCACCTTTCTCTGCTTCAGTATCTCTCTCTGTTTGCTGCAGTTGTCACAGGAGTCCACCTTCAAACTCAGCTGACTGTTGGTCAAAGGTAAGTCTTGGTCCAGTAAGGAATCATCGTCGGCCTGGAGGGTCGGGTGCGCCCCGTTAACAGGCCTTTCCGGGGCTTCGGAACCGTCATCGGCCACCACAACTCGAAGTTTGTTGAACCGAGAAAGCCCCTCGTCCCCCGCCTCATCCGAGAAGTCAAAGGCGCTGGTGTCATTTAAAAACAGCGGCGCATCATCCTTCCTTAGCATAGATTTGAGGCGCTTCCACGCGCCAGAGCCGGCCATGGCAGAGGCTGAGCGGCCGCGGTGCGGAACGGCTTGGGGGAGGCGGACGGCCGGCGGCGCCTACTTCACCGGAGCGCCAGTTCTCGAGGGCAGTGCCGCGCGTCCCTCCCCATCCTGTGGAAAACGAAACACGTTATAAATTAAAGGCGCCCAACCCTGTCCTCAAGTTCCGAAGCCGCTGGCGGCGGGTCGCAGGGCCGACCCCGACGCTCCGCCGGGGCTCCGCGAGGGGGCGGCACATCTATTTAATACCTGGGGCGCTGCCGCGGGGCCGCAACTCATCTCCCCGCCCCCGGCCGGCTCAGCGAGGCGGGCTCGCGCTGCTCCACCCGCGGCCGCAGGAGAGTGGGGTCGTGCTCGCGCCCGCCGCGCCCGCTGCTGGAGGCCGGCTCCCCAGGTCTGACAGGTTCGGGGCCGGACGCCCACAGCCACCGCCTCTCCCCGCCCTGCGCGAGGCCACGCGCGTGCGCCGGGCGAGGCGCGCGAGGGAGGGGTCGGCGCGAGGACACGCAGGCCTGGCGCGCAGGGCTGGGGCGCCCGCGATGGGCGGGGGCGCGCGGCGCGCCCCGCCTCTCGCCCCGAGGCTGGATTGGGGGCCACTGCGCCGCCTCCGCCCAGGGGTCACTCACTGGCCAACTGAGGGGACTTTGGGCGGCCTCTTCCACCTTCCCAGGCTGGGAGGCAAGTGCGGTCGGAGGGTCACGCCGGGGGCTGGGCGTTGCTGCTAGGAGTTCCCTCCACCGAAAGTGTGTCTCAGGAATCTCGGGTCGGGATCTGGGTTGCGGGTGCTCGGCAGAAGACAAACCCAGCACTTTTCTTGCTAACTGAAAAGGCAAGCAGCTTTTCTCTCCTCGAATTGCTTGTCTCTGGCAAATTGGCAACATTTGCTGCAGTCAACTGGAGAGGGCAAGGCTGTCGTCGTCAGCAGTTCTGTGTCCTACTGTTTTTCAGCAAATATGTATTGTCCTCTTTGTGCTCTCTGCCGTGTTCCTTTTGCCTCCAAGGTATTTACGATATGGACTAAACTCAAGCATAGAAAATCTAGTACAGGCATACCTTGGAGATACTGCGAATTTGGTTCCAGACCACCGCAATATGACAAAGTGAGGTCTCACAAATGTTTCATGTCCCAGTGCAAATACAATCATGTTTATAATGTAGTCTATTAAGCGTGTAATAGCGTTATGTCTAAAACAATGTGCATACCTTAATTTAAAATATTGGGAGAGAGGAAGGAAAAAGTATATATACATTTGTTAATTGCTCTGAGGAAGGAGGGTCGCATGAGCCCAGAGGTTCGAGATTACAGTGAGCTATGATTGTGCCTCCGCACCCCTGCCTGGCGACAGAGTGAGACCTTGTCTCTAAAAATAAACAAGTAAATAAAATACATGACTGCTAAAAAAATGCTATCAGCTGGGCGTGGTGGCTCACGCCTGTAATACCGGCCCTTTGGGAAGCCGAGGCGGGCGGATCACCTGAGATGGGGAGTTCAAGACCAGCCTGACCAAAATGGAGAAACCCTGTCTCTACTAAAAATACAAAATTAGCTGGGCATGGTGGCGCATGCCTGTAATCCCAGCTACTAGGGAGGCTGAGGCAGGAGAATCGCTTGAACCCGGGTGGCGAAGGTTGTGGTGAGCCGAGATCACGCCATTACACTCCAGCCTGGGCAAGAAGAGCAAAACTCGGTCTCAAAAAAAAAAAAAGCTATCAATCATCTAGGCCTTTAGCAAGTCATATTCTTTGCTAGTTGGAGGGTCTTTGCTCCTTGTTAATGGCTGCTGACTGATCTGGATGGTGGCTGCTGAAGGTTGGGGTGGCTGTGGCAATTCCTTAAAATAAGACAACAATGACATTTGCTATATTGATTGACTTGTTTTCATGAAAGAGTTCTTGATGGCGTGTGATGCTGGTTGATAATATTTTACCCACAGTGGACCTTTCAAAATTGGAGTCAATCCAGTTTTCTCAAACCCTGCCTCTGCTTTATCAACTAAGTTTATGGAATATTCAAATCCTTTGTTGCCATTTCAACAGTGTTCACAGCATCTTCACAAGGAGTAGATTCTATCTCAAGAAACCACTCTCTCTGCTTATCTATAAGAAGCAACTCCTCATCTGTTCAAATTTTATGAGATTGCAGCAATTCAGTCACATCTTCAGGTTCCACTTCTAGTTCTCTTGCTATTTCCACCACATCTACAGTTACTTCCTCCATTGAAGTCTTGAATCCCTCAAAATCATCCATTAGGGTTAGAATCCACTTCTTCCAAAATCCTGTTAATATTGATATTTTGACCTCCCATGAATCACGAATGTTCTTAATGGCATCTGGAATGCTGAATCCTCTCCAGAAGTTTTTCAATTTACTTTACCTAGGTCCATCAGAGGAATCAATGGCAGCTATAGCCTTATGAAAGGTATTTCTTCTTTTTTATTCATTTATTTTTATTTTTAGATGGTGTTTCACTCTTGTTGCCCAGGCTGGAGTGCAATGGCGCGATATCGGCTCACCGTAACCTCTGCCTCCCGATTTCAAACTATTCTCCTCCCTCAGCCTCCCAAGTAGCTGGGATTACAGGCATGTGCCACCACGCCTGGCTAATTTCGTATCTTTAGTAGAGATGGGGTTTCACCATGTTGGCCAGACTAGTCTCGAACTCCCGACCTCAGGTGATCCACCTGGGTCGACCTTCCAAAATGCTGGGATTACAGGCATGAGCCACCGCGCCCGGCCAGTCACCCAGGTTTTGTTCCATTTATAGAGCACAGGTAGAGTAGATTTAGAATAATTCCTACGGGCCCTAGAATTTTCGGAATGGTAAATGAGCATTGGCCTTAACTTAAAGCTACGGGCTGCATTAGCCTCTAACAAGAGAGTAAGATTGTCCTTTGAAGCTTTGAAGCCAGGCATCAACTTCTGTCTAACTATGAAAGCCCTAGGTGGAATCTTCCAATAGAAGGCTGTTTCCCCTGTATTGAAAATCTGTTGTTTATTGTAGTCACCTTTAATGATCTTAGCTACACCTTGTGGACAACTTGTTGCAGTTTCTCCATCAGCATTTGCTGCTGCTTCTTGCACTTTTATGTTATGGAGATTGCTTTTTTCCTTAAATCTCATGAACCGACCTCTGCTAGCTTCAAACTTTTCTTTTTTGTTAAAAAAATTATTTAATTTATTTATTTTTAAATAGAGACAGGGTCTCACTATGTTGCCCAGGCTGGTCTGGGTATTTCTAATTTCCTTCAAGAACCTTCCCATTTCCCAGAGTCAAGTGATAAAAGTTTAATACAAACAAACAAACAAACCCAAACAATAAAAAAGAACTTTTCATTTGCATTCACAACCTGGGTAAGAAAAGGCATAGTGCAGGGCATGGTGGCTCACGCCTGTAATCCCAACACTTTGGAAGCCTGAGGCAGGCGGATCACCTGAGGTCAGGAGTTCGACACCAGCCTGGTCAACATGGTGGACCTCTACCATAGTAGAGACAACCCTGTCTCTACTAAAAATACAAAAATTAGCTGGGTGTGGTGGCATGTGCCGAGTAGCTCCCAGCTGCTTGGGAGGCTGAGGCAGGAGAATCGCTTGAAGCTGGGAAGCGGAGGTTGCAGTGAGCCTCGCACCATTACACTCCAGCCTAGACGACAGAGCAAGACTCCGTCTCAAAAAAAAAAAAAAAAAAAGAAGAGGCATAGCTTTCAGCCTATCTCAGCTTTCTTTCTTTTTTCTTTCCTTCCTTCCCTTCCCTCCCTTCCCTTCCCCCCTCCTTTCCCCTTCCTTCCTTCCCCTTCCCCCCTCCTTTCCCCTTCCTTCCTTCCCCTTCCCCCCTCCTTTCCCCTTCCTTCCTTCCCCTTCCCTCCTCCTTTCCCCTTCCTTCCTTCCTTGCCTGCCTCCCTCCCTCCTTCCTTCCTTCCTTTCTTCCTTCCTTCTTTTCGTCCTTCCTTCCTTCTTTCCTTTTTTTGGAGTGCACAGGCACAATCATGGCTCACTGAAACCTCTACTGCTCAGGCTCAGGCAATTCTCCCACCTCAGCCTCCCAGAGTGTTAGGATTATAGGCGTGAGCCACCATGCCCATCCTTATCTCAGCTTTCCATATGCCTTTCTCACTATGGTTAATAATTTCTAGCTTTTGATTTAAAGTGAGAGATATACAACTCTTCCTTTCACTTAAACACTTAGAGGTCATTGTAGGGTTATTAACTGGCCCAATTTTAATATTGTGTCTCGTAATAGGGAGGGCCAAGGAGAGGGAGAGTGAAGGGGGACGGCTGGTCAATGGAGCAGTCAAAACATATACAACATTTATCAGTTAAGTTTGTCATCTTATATGGACAAGGTTCGTGATGTCCCCAAATAATTACAATAGTAATATCAAAGATCACTGATCACAGATCAGTATATCAGATATAATAATAATGACAAGGTTTGAAATATTAAGAGAATTACCAAAAGGTGACACAGAGACATGAAGTGAGCCCAGGCTATTGGAAAAATGACGGCGACAGATTTGCTTGACACAGGGTTGCCATAAACCTTCAATTTGCAAAACTGGCAATATCTAACAAGTGCGAGAAAGTGAAGCACAATAAAACAAGGTGTGCCTATAGAGGTGTCCTTTTGGCTATTGGGTCTGTTTCACAAAAAAAACAAAAAACAGCCAGATGCAGTAGCTCATACCTGTAATCTCAACACTTTGGGAAGCCAAGGGGAGAGGATCTCTTGAGGTCAGAAGTTTAAGACCAGCATGGGCAACATATTGAGACCCCGTCTCTCCAAAAAATTTTTTTAAAGCCTCCAAGGAATTGGCGGTTGCAGTGAGCTATGATTGTGCCAGTGTACTCCAGCCTGGGTAATAGAGGGAGACCCCATCTTTAAAAATCAAAACAAAACAAAACCAAAAAAAGAGGAAGAAGAAATAATTGTGGCTTTTTTGTTTTTTGTTTTTTTGAGACAGGGTCTCGTTCTGTTGCCAAGGCTGGAGCGCAGCGGTGCGATCTCGGCTCACTGCAGCCTTGACCTCCTGGGCTTAATCTATCCTCCTGCCTCAGCCTTTTGACTAGCTGGGACCATAGGTGCTTGTCATCATGCCCGGCTAATTTTTGTATTTTTTTCCTTGTAGAGATGGTTTTTTGCCATGTTGCCCAGGCAGGCCTTGAACTCCTGGGCTTAAGTGATCCTCCTGCCTCAACCTCCTGTAAGTGCTGGGATTACAGGTGTGAGCCACCATGCCCAGCCAATATTTAAATTCTGTAGTAGCTTCTGATTTAAACCTAAATTATAATATCACAATGGAATGGCAATATGCACCCCTAGCAAAATCTTACAGTTTTGTTTTTTTTTTTTCTTTGAGACAGGGTCTTGCTCTGTCACTCAGGCTGGAGTGCAGTAGTGTGATCTCGGCTCACTGCAACCTCTGCCTACCTGGTTCAAACAATTCTCATGCCTCAGCCACCCGAGTAACTGTGATTACACACAAGCACCACCATGCCTGGCTAATTTTTCTATTTTTATTGTTATTATTTATTATTATTATTATTTTTTGAGATGGAGTTTTGCTCTTGTTGCCCAGGCTGGAGTGCAGTGGTACGATCTCTGCTCACTGCAATCTCCGCCTCCAGGGTTCAAGCAATTCTCCTGCCTCAGCCTCCTGGGTACCTGAGATTACAGGCACCTGCCACCACCCCCAGTTAATTTTTTGTATTTTTAGTAGAGACTGTGTTTCCTCATATTGGCCAGGCTGGTCTCGAACTCCTGACCTCAGGTGATCCACCTGCCTCGGCCTCCCAACGTGTTGGGATTACAGGCGTGAGCCACCGCGCCCAGCCTAATTGTTCTATTTTTAGTAGAGACGAGGTTTCACTATGTTGGCCAGGCAGATCTCAAACTCCTGGCCTCAAGTGATCCACCCACTTCAGCCTCCCAAAGTGCTGGGATTACAGGCATGAGCTACCACACCTGGCTGTTTTAGAGATTCTTAATCTAGATTTTCTGAGTGGGTTTTAGGGAGTTTGGGAGGCCTTAAACTTATGTGCAAAATTTTGAGGACATGTATATTTTCTGGGATAAGTCTTTTAGCTTTCATCGTATTCTCAAATTGGATTGACTCAAATTAGGTTAAAAACAACAACATTGTCAGGAGAGCTCATCTTAAAGGTCCAGCCCCTAGCTTCTACTTGAGTTGAATTGTAGGGCAAACTCCTATTTATCCAGCGTTTTTTTTTTGAGACCGAGTCTCACTCTGTTGCCCAGGCTGGAGTGCAGTGGCGCGATCTCAGCTCACTGCAAGCTCCGCCTCCTGGGTTCACGCCATTCTCCTGCCTCAGCCTCCCCAGCAGCTGGGACTACAAGCGCACGCCGCCACGCCCAGCTAATTTTTTGTATTTTTAGTAGAGACGCGGTTTCACCGTGTTAGCCAGGATGGTCCCGATTTCCTGACCTCGTGATCCGCCCACCTCGGCCTCCCAAAGTGCTGGGATTACAGGCGTGAGCCACCGCGCCCGGCCTATCCAGTGTTTATGAATGTTGTATTTTTATAACAGTCCCCATGTATTACCAAATTTCAAGTTACAAAAAATACAATAAAAAGTCACATGAAACGTCATTTTCCTCTGAAGATTGAAATGGCACTTTAGAATCTTGTATGCCTCAGATGCAAGAAATCAACTCCTTTAAATATGACTCCTCGGATTTAAATGCCCATCATATTTCTACAGAGCTGCAGCCACGGGAATCAAGGTAGGAAACCTAGATCAGAGATTCCATGTTCCCTAGACCAGGAAGGGAAAACTATTTCCTGGTTAACCAGGGCACTCTGGTAATAATCAGCTGAAAGGAGAGATCTTACTGGGGGTTGCTTTCCTAACTCCAAATATTTTAATCCACCGGGTTTGGGAGTAGGTTTTTTTGTAGTTGTTTTGAATTTCACTTTGTTATACTGTCTGAAATTCTACTAATGAGAGATACAAACGGATAAAGAAAATATTTTAGGAGTGTGATCATTTTCTCTTTAGTATAAATCCTTCAAAGAAGATTCCATTTAAAGAAATTGGATAAATGTTTTTAAGAAAAGTTAAGGAAAGAGCGTGAATTGTTTTGGGTACTTACAGCAAGCTTTGTTGAATAGGGCTGCAGTTCTGCCTCCCAGTTTGTTTTTATTATTTTTCTCACTGGGTACCTGGAGAAAGTGATGGGAGGACAACAAAAACTCTATATGGTGATTTTAAAGTATATCCACAAATTCTGTGATACTCTACTTATCAAGAGGTGGAGCTTAATTTCCTTCCTATTGAGCGTGGACTGCACTAAATGAGTTGCATGTGGCCTGTAATGAATATGGCAGAAGTGACTCTGTGTGACTTATAAGACTAGGTCATAAAAGGTATTGCAGCTGCCTCCTCATCCTCACACTTGGATCGCTTGCACTAGGAGGAGCCAGCTACTGTGTCATGAGGAACTCAAGTGGCCCTGTGGAAAGGCGTGTGTGATGAGGAACTGAGGCCTCTTGCCAACAGCCATGTGAGTGAACCATTTTGGAAGTGGACCCTGTAGTCCCAGCTAAGCCTTCAGATAACTATAGACTGGGCAGTGCTAACTAAAACCTGGAGAAATCCAGAGCCAGAACCACCCAGCTAAGCCATTCTCAGATGACCCACAGAGACTGCATGAGATAAGAAATGTTTGTTTTAAGATGGCAAGTTTTGGGATACTTCGTTACACAGCAATAGATAACTAATATGTTATGTATCAGTTTTCCTGCATACCAGGAAAGACACTTTTCTTATTCCTTTATCACATGGGCTCTTATTCCTCAGCCTGCCCTCAGACTAGTGGCATGATTTCTATCACTGAGCTTCAAAATGGGCTAAATACATAGACTTCTGCAAATAGGCTTGGAATGTAACTACAATTTGCAACCTTATTTCTACGCACTCGGAGTTTATAATAATAGACAAATGAACTTTTGAAACAGTGCACACTTATAATCTCGGTACTGCCTGCAATTCTGTTTGCTAGCTATTGCTCAGTATGCCATTCTTTTTTAAGAGACTTCATACGTTTTTCTAGTCTGAAGAATTTATTTATTTTTTATTTTAGTGAGACAGGGTGGAGGGGCAGGTCTCACTATGTTGCCCAGGCTGGTCTTGAACTCCTGGGCTGAAGTGATCCTCCTGTCTCAGCCTCCCAAGTGCTGGGATTACAGGCACGAGCCACCAAGCCCAGCCTGAATAACTTCTTGCATGGCAGATGGAAAAGGCTGCCAACCATTTAGCTAGTCTCTCAACCAGGCAACTCGTAATATGCAGATTTAGGCAATAGCAGAAGCCTGTCAACTGAATTGCAAGACACATACCTTGGGGCAGTTGAAAGGGATGGGCATAAAATTTCCTATGTCAAAATTTGTTTTCTGGTCCAGATATCTCTTGAAAAAAATGGCTGGGTGTTGTGGCTTATGCCTGTAATCCCAGCACTTTGGGAGGCTGAGGTGGGTAGACCACCTGAGGTCAGGAGTTTGAGACCAGCCTGGCCAACATAGTGAAACCCCCGTCTGTACTAAAAATACAAAAATTAGGGCTGGGTTTGGTGGCTCACACCTGTAATCCCAGCACTTTGGAAGGCTGAGGCAGGTGGATCACGAGGTCAGGAGTTCGAGACCAGCCTGACCAACATGGTGAAACACCGTCTCTACTAAAAATACAAAAATTATCAGGTCTTGGTGGTGCGCGCCTGTAATCCCAGCTACTCAGGAGGCTGAGGCAGGATAATCACTTGAATCCGGGAGGCAGAGGTTGCAGTGAGCCAAGATCGTGCCACTACATTCTGGCCTGGACAACAGAGCGAGACTCTGTCTCAAACAACAACAACAACAAAAATTAGCTGGCTGTGGTGGCGGGTGCCTGTAATCCCAGCTGCTTGAGAGGCTGAGGCAGGAGAATCTCTTGCACCTGGGAGGCGGAGGTTGCAGTGAGCAGAGATTGTGCCATTGACTCCAGCCTAGGCGACAGAGCAAGACTCCATCTCATTAAAAAAACAAAACAAACAAAAAAACCTACTGAAAATAATATCATAGCTAGGATACTTAAGGCTTGTGTGCCAGGCACTATGAGGGCACCCGACTTACATTAGCTCATTTAGTCATTACCACATCACTGTAATGAAGGTAGTGATTGAAAGCATGGGTCTTGGAGTCAGACAGATTGTGTTTGAGTCCTGGCCTCACCACTTATAGTTGTATGGTCTCTGGCAAACTATTTAATCTCTTTATGCTTCAATTTTCTTACATATAAAATGGATATAATAATAGTACCCACTTCACAAGGGTTGTACTAAGGATTAAATAAGATAATGCCAGTAAAGCATGTAAAACTTAGCACATATAATTCCTAGCACACAGTATGCGTTCAATCAATGCCAGCTATTTTTATTTTTATTTTCCTTTTTTTTTTTTACTTTTGACACAGCCTCAGGAGGTCCTGAGGACATGTGCCCCAAGCTGTTATTTTTTATGTAGATGAAGACATAGAGTCTCAGGGAGGTTAAGTATCTTGGTCAGGATCATGCAGTTAGCAAACAGAGCAAGAACTCAATTTGGATTAGCTTTGTTTCTGAGCTCAATCTCTTAACCATTACCCCACACTATCTGCTCAGTTTCTTTCTGCCCAAAAATGGAATGCTCTATAGAAAAGCATCTAGACTCTGAAGCATGTCAGGAGAGATCCCTGTTTCATATATCAATGACTTGCCAGAACCTTGAGACTTCAGCATCATCCTGTGAAATCCCCATTGAAAATGAGCAAAAAGAAAGTGGAAAAGTTTTTTAAAAGTGAAATATGGGAGAAGATGCTACTTGGTTGAGGTTCAAATTCTGCGTATTCCCCATCCCAAGAATGCATCTCTATTGGAGTATGTGGCCGTAGGAGATTCCTATAGGATGTTTTAGAATGTGTCCCCTTATCTTCTTCAGGAGGGGATGAAAGTTGTTGAATGCGTGGAACAAGGGTTAGTGATGTGATACACAACTACAGTGAGTGTAATAGTTTATTCCTTCTATGAGTTGTTACCAGGAAGGATTCCTGATCCAGACCCCAAGAGAGGGTTCTTGGATCTCATACAAGAAAGAATTTGAGACGAGTTCATACAGTAAAGTGAAAGCAAGTTTATTAAGAAAGTAAAGGAATAAAGAATGGCGACTCCATAGGCAGAGCAGCCTTGAGGGCTGCTGGTTGCCCATTTTTATGGTTATTTATTGATTATATGCTAAACAAGGGGTGGATTATTCATGCCTCCCCTTTTTATTATTTATTATTTTTTAGACAGAGTCTCATTCTGTCGCTCAGGATGGCTAATTTTTGTATTTTTTAGTAGAGATGGGGTTTCACCATGTTGGCCAGGCTGGTCTCAAACACCTGGCCTCATTTGATCCACCTGCCTCAGCCTCCCAAAGAGCTGGGATTACAGGCATGAGCTGCCGTGTCGGGCAATGCCTCTCCATTTTAGACCATGTAGGGTAACTTCCTGACGTTGCCATGGCATTTGTAAACTGTCATGATGCTGGTGGGAGGGTAGCAGTGAGGATGACCAGAGGTCACTGTCATCCCCATATTGGTTTTGGTGGGTTTTGGCCGGCTTCTTTACTGCAACCTGTTTTATCAGCAAGGTCTTTTATGACCTGTATCTTGTGCCGACCTCCTATGTCATTCTGTGACTCAGAATGCCTTAACTGTCTGGGAATGTAACCCGGTATGTCTCAGCCTTATTTTACCCAGCCCCTATTCAAGATGGAGTTGCTCTGGTTTAAATGCCTCTGACAGAGTGGCTGGAGTTTCAATTTAATACCTCCTCTCAGGGAGGAGAAAGAGAAGGAGAAGGACCCAAAATAGATAAGAGAATTGCCCAAGGATGGCAAAGGCCCCCTTTTGGACAGGGAGGAGATAAAGGAGAGGGTCAAGAGCCCATCTACCCCGTAAGGCAAACCAACCTGCCAGCCAAAACCGAAATTTAGTCAAGTTCATTGTTCTCATAGCTTTGTTTTTTGCTTTCCCTTAGTTTTTTTTTTTTGTTTGTTTTGTTTTGTTTTGTTTTGAGACAGAGTTTTGCTCTTGTTGCCTGGGCTGGAGTGCATTGGTGCAATCTCGGCTCACTGCAACCTCCACCTTCTGGGTTCAAGCGATTCTCCTGCCTCAGCCTCCCAAGTAGCTGAGACTACAGGCATGTGCCATCATGCCTGCTAATTTCTGTATTTTTAGTAGAGATGGGGTTTCACCATGTTGGCTAGGCTGGTCTCGAATGCCTGACCTCAGGTGATCTGCCTGCCTTGGCCTCCCAAAGCGCTAGGACTATAGGCATGATCCACTGCGCCCGGCCAAACTGAGACCCTTAGTTTTAAAGTAAATGTTCCTATGGATTTCTCTAAGCATATCTGGCTGAAATTAGCAGGAATAGGAGGTCCAAGATGAGAAGGGGTTTTGGGAGTTAGGATACCAGCCCCAGAGTCTGAGGCGGTGGCTGGGCTAGAGGAGCTTAAAGTTGAGGGTGGAAGGCTGAACTTGGAAATACATTGGGAGTTTCATCGTAGACAGGAGCACCACAAGAGAACTCAGAGAAACTGATTCAGCATCTAATTTTGTAATCCGTTCACTGTGACCCCTAGCAGTGTAATATTAATAATTGTTCAGCTTATTTTCTTGTCTGTAAAAAGTGGAAAATAATGTTTGTCTTACCTATTTCATTGGGACACTGTAAGAATCAAACAAGATTTTGTATGTGAAAGCATCTTCCTTTACCGCTTTACCAGAAAGAGACATTAAAGACCATGCCACCTGAACTAAACTACAAAGCAAGGGTATGGACAAATGCTAATCATCAAGAATTCTCAGTCGGGGGTGGTGGCTCACCCCTGTAATCCCAGCACTTTGGGAGGCCAAGGCAGACAGATCACTTGAGGCCAGGAATTCAAGATCAGCCTGGCCAATGTGGTAAAACCCCATCTCTACTAAAAATACAAAAAAATTAGCCGGGTGTGGTGGTGCACGCCTGTAATTCCAGCTACTCGGAAGGCTGAGGCATGAGAATCACTTGAACCTGGAAGGCATAGGTTGCAGTGAGCCGAGATCACGCCACTGCACTCCAGCCTGGGCGATAGAACAAGACTCTGTCTCAAAAAAGAAAGAATTTTCCACTTACATTCGTCTCTTCTTAGGATTGCTAAACCCAGTCCTTGGTTTATTAATGACGCATTCTGACTTATTTCGAACTTATTTAGAACTCCACCACACATTGTTACTTCATTCCTATCCTAAGCTGTTTTTGCAGCCATAGCACCTGATCTCATACTTGCAGCAGGAACCCAGTAAATACTCATGGACAAATATACGCAAATATTTTAATCATAGAGAGTTTATCCATAACCTTAAATTCTCCTTTAACATAAACATTTCTATTTCTTTAAGCTGGAGTGTAAGGCCATTTCTAAGGAATTTTTTCAAGTGGTGATATCAATGTGTCTTATAAGATCAGTGATTATTAATACACTCTTAGTTCATATTTATACTATATCTATTTCAAAGAACATTATAACATTTACGAATCAAGCCAGGACAAAGAAGCAACTGCAGACAAAGTGACTCTTTTGTGGCCTCTAGTAACTTGTGGCTTCAAACAATGAGGGCCATTGTATAAACTCCTTTGAGGGGTCATTGTGAGAATTAATTAGATTAAAATCTGCAAAGTACTTTGAACTTTTTCCAGAATTCCCTTACAAATAAAGATGACATTAATTTTTTTTGGGGTATCTTTATGTTGGTCCTCCCAGAATCAAATGTAACAAGTTCACCTGCTGTTGAACTGCCTGTGTTCCCTGAAGCAAATCCCAAGACTAAGCCAAATTTTATCTTTAGTGATTTTAAGCTGACCCCAAGAGCACACACAATGGAGCAGAATTTGTTGCCCTTATCACAAAGAGCTTGGTGTATGATATGCATGACGCAGTGTCTCATAATCCCTATGCCACATGGTAATTAAATATAAATTACTGCAGTTATTACAGCTATTTTATAGTGACCAACAGTTTTACCCTCCTTTTTGTTATTTATATTTGAATAATTTACATTCTGCTCATTTGCAATAGGATTTAAGGCAGCCTTCCCTTTAGTAGTTCTTCCTTATCCCTAAACAATGTAAATACTGAAAAACTTTCCTGATTCCGGTAACTGTTTAATCCGCATTGTATGAACAGAAGCACAAGCAGGCATTAAAGACAGAGTCTTAGATCCAACTCTCTAACAGCTGGGGCTCCTTGGGAACCCCTTCTCCTTAGTCTCCTGATCTTCTCTGATCCCAATCTTGTCCCCAGTGACCCCCTCAGCCCATGCTGTCCTCTACCCTTCCCAAGAAGGAGCAGCTCTGAATATTCTGAGTGCTGGGCTTGGGGCAGCAGAAACTGTGGAGCAGCCCCAGGTGAGCCCTGGGGAACAGTAGGATAAGAGGCCTATTGTAAATGAGGAACCTGTCTGGCAGGTGACCAACTTGGTTTGCTTGGAAGTGAGGGGGGTTCCCAGGACATGGGACTTTCAGTTTACTAGGACTAATTTACCTGGGCATTAGACTAGGTTCTGGGACCCTGATATTGGTGGAGTCTTTTCTGGGTGGGGAGAGAATCTTATTTGGGAAAGACACCTTGTTCCTTTTGGGCCCTGCAGCACACTGGTCTGGGTTATGTCTTCTCAGGGAACTCCGGATGTGACTCCTGTTACATGAAAATGGAAGAGGTCAGAGTTGTCCAAGAGGGAGGCCAGCCACATCCAGGCAGGGCCCCCATGGTCAGAACCCTGCTAGAGCCATCAAGGTCCCAGGTCAGTTCTGCAGCTTTGCAGGTGTGGAAATGACACCTGTGGGTCAGGCTGGGGAAGCTAATGCATGCTAAACAACTGCCGTTAAGAGACTCAGCAGATCACTGTTGTGGTTATCTTCATAATCCTGGGGGATATACCTTTGCCATTTCCCTGCATGGCCCCCTTCACAGGACCAGTGATATGAGAAGCCAAGTTGCCTTAGAGCTAGAACAAAGGTTTTTGTGTGTTTGTTTGTTTGTTGAGACAGAGTCTCCCTCTGTCACCTAGGCTGGAGTGCAATGGCACGATCTTGGCTCACTGCAACTTCCACCTCCCGGGTTCAAGTGATTCTTCCACTCCAGGCTCCCAAGTAGCTGGGATTACAGGCACTCACCATCATGCCTGGCTAATTTTTGTATTTTTGTAGAGACGGGGTTTCACCATGTTGGCCAGGCTGGTCTTGAACTCCTGACCTCAGGCGATCCGCCTGCCTTGGCCTTCCAAAGTGCTGGGATTACAGACGTGAGCCACCGCACCCAGCCTAGAACAAAAGTTTTGAAAGGAGAAAAAGGTTGGTTGGTTGGAGACAGGGTCTTGCTCTGCTGCCCAGGCTGGAGTGCAGTGGCATCATTTGGGGTCACTGCAACCTCTGCCTCTTCCTATGTGTAATTTTTAAGTGAAAATGGAAAATCCTAGTTTAGTTTTCCTGGAAATTTTTCCCCAGGCCCACATCAGGTGAGGCCCACAGATAACCAACCCCCTCTACTGTGTACTGATTGTTATAATTTAGGGGAGGACATTCACGTACTACTACTCTAGCTGCCTTTAATCCTCCCAGTTGTGTTTAGTCCTGAGTTGTGACCTCAAAGCTCATAGGCCTGTCTTCCTTTTGTAAATAGTTTGGATATTTTTATCTCAAAGTGCATTATTTTGCACTTGCTCCCACGAGAGCTCATTTGTCAATTGTCAGATCACATGGTCAGATTTATAGGCTCTTCTGATTATCTAGCTCAGGAATTGGCAAACGTTTTCTGTAAAGGCCAGATAATAAATAATTTCACTTCCACCACTATTGGTCTGCAGCTCTTCTTATGGTAGCAGTTGTTGCATTTCTCTGTGGGAAAGAAAAGAGGATTAAACACCTCTTTCTTAGCAAAACAGAGAGTAGGCATATGTGTGACAGACACAAGATGTATTCTGTAGTTTTGTTTGGCAGGAGATGATCCATTTCAAAACAAATTAAGAAGACTTGGAAAAAAATATAATTCAGTATTTGAATAATGCTGCTTCTTGTTCTTTTTAAAAAATAATAATTTTAGGCCAGGCGCGGTGGCTCACGCCTGTAATCCCAGCACTTTGGGAGGCCGAGGTGGGCAGATCTCGAGGTCAGGAGATCGAGACCATCCTGGCTAACACGGTGAAACCCCATCTCTACTAAAAATACAAAAAATTAGCCGGGCGTGGTGGCAGGTGCCTGTAGTCCCAGCTACTTGGGAGGCTGAGGCAGGAGAATGGTGTAAACCCGGGAGACGGAGCTTGCAGTGAGCTGAGGTCGCTCCACTGCACTCCAGCCTGGGCGACACAGCAAGACTCCGTCTCAAAAATAATAATAATAATAATAATTTTAGCTTTGCAGCAATCCTCAGGTGTCAGTCAGTCACTCTGCTGTTGTAGCAGCAGCCAAAGAGAATAAACAAATGAGCATGGCCGTGTTCCAATAAAACTTTATTTATGGAAACTGGGATGTGACTTTCATATAATTTTAATGTGTCACAAAATATTAGTTTTCTTTCCATTGTTTTCAACCACTTAAAAATGTAAAAACCACTCTTAGTTTGCAGGCTGTACAAAAACAGGCACTGGCGCGATTTGGCCCAGCATTTGCTGACCCCTGATCTAGACCTATCTGCGTAGAAGTGTTGTTAGAGGTTTTATCGCATAGGCTGTCCTCCAGATCATTTACACATGTTAGTATGTCCTTTCCTAGCACAGATGCCTGAGACTTAGGCTCTTGGTTTCATCAATCCTCACTTCCCAATATACTGTTTTTAAAAATTTATTTATGTATTTATTTACTTATTTTGAGACGGAGTCTCACTCTGTTGCCCAGGCTGGAGTGCAGTGAGCCCAGGTAGCGCTACCTCGGCTCACTGCAACCTCCGCCTCCTGGGTTCAAGCAGTTCTCTACCTCAGCCTCCCAAGTAGCTGGGATTACAGGTGCCCATGGTATGGGATTACAGCCACCATGCCTGGCTAATTTTTGTATTTTTAGTAGAGACAGGGTTTCACTATATTGGCCAGACTGGTCTTGAACTCCTGACCTCGTGATCCACCCACCTCAGCCTCCCAAAGTGCTGGGATTACAGGCGTGAGCCACAGCACCTGGCCTATTTTCTTTTATTTATTATTTATTTTTTATTTTTTTGAGACAGACTCTCACCCTATTGCCCTCACAAGTAGCCTCCCAAGTAGCTGGGACTACAGGCACCCACCACCATCCTTGGCTAATTTTTGTATTTTCAGTAGAGACAGGTTTCACCATGTTGGCCAGGCTGGTCTCGAACTCCTAACCTCAAGTGATGGACCCGCCTCAGCCTGTCAAAGTGCTGGGATTACAGGCATAAGCCACGGTGCCCGGCCCTCAAATGTACTATTAAGGCAGCAGTATTTATACCACCCAACTGCCTTCATTTGGGCCAGGTATAGCTGGGGCCCCGGAACCCACCAGAATGCTTGCTTGTGGCTGTTCAAGCATCTTAGTGGCTCCTGTGAAAATACACTGGACCTTTCAAAATGGAAATCTGATTGTGTCTCCAACCTCTTCCATGCCTCCACGCTTAGCTCAGGCACTTGCCTCTTTCCTCTGAGCTGTAGTGTAGCTGCAGTAAACTTGTGTTTTCTGGGGTTCTGAGCACAGGCCTTTTCATGTGCAGCTTCCACTTGGAATACCTTTCTTCATCATTCTTTTAGCTAGTTAATTAGGTAAGCTCTCTAGAGCCACTCTCCTGCATGGCACCCATCATGCCCCAAAGTCTAGATGAGTCAATTTGTTACATGTTTCACTTTGTAATGTTATCTTCATTAGTGGCATTATTTGACTAATGGCTGCTACTAACTCTCATTAGACTCTAAGCTCCAAGAGAGTGAGGGACTGTATCTTTGCACACCACTGTATCTTCTGCACCTGGCACTGTGCCTGGCACAGAGTTAGGTGGTCAGCAAGCAACCCAGTAGGCCACAGCCTGCTGCCTGGGGCATTGATGCCTATGAGAGTTCCCTCCCTTTACTAGCAGAGTGAACTTAGATGAATTATAAGATCTCTTTGAGCCTCAGTGTCCTTCTGTGTAAAATGGAGGTAATAACATAACTAGTGTCGGGTTATGGTGACTTAAATGAGATAATGTGCCTGGCACATGGCCTGATCTAGTCACTACTAGATTAACATTAGTCTCCTTCTCCCTTCCTATTATTGAGGTCCATTCTGTGGGTGCCTGACACCCAAGTATCACTTGCCCAGATTCCCCCAAGTGCACAGGACTCCATCTTTCTGTTGAGAACTGCACAGTTTCCATCGAGAAATCCAGAATTAGAGATGTGACTACCGTGCCCTTCATATATCCACTGCCTTCCCAGGAACTGTCACTTGGGCCTCTAGTTCCCTCCCCTACCTTGAATCAACAGGCCCACCCATTATTTTTGCTTCTGAGCTAGTTCCTTATTGCCTCACAAAACATTCCACTTTCACGCAACTTTTATTATTAGCCTGTCCTTTGGAAACCTGTCCAAGGTTTTATTAAGGCTTCTAGGTGAGTAATACTAAGCTGTTGTTTATCTACTTTTCCATTTTTTTAACCACTTAAACATGTAAAAACCTCACAGAAATTTGTCAGATTTTCTCTTTAAAGATATCATCTTGACAGTCTTCTCTGAAATTAATTTTATTTATTTAGCTTGCCTATTTCACAAATGAACCATAATTTTCCAGATTCCCTTTATAAATTTCTAAATGATAATAAATATTGTCATGTAATAAAAATTATAATATTTTGAGCCCACTGTGCTAGGAACCTTACACACACTATTTAATTAATTATTATTATTATTTTTTTTTGAGACAGAGTCTCACTCTGTCACCCAGGCTGGAGTGCAGTGGCACAATCTGGGCTCACTACAACCTCCACCACCCGGGTCCAAGGGATTCCTGGGCATCAGCCTCCTGATTAGCTGGGATTACAGGCATGCGCCACCACACCTGGCTCATTTTTTTTGTATTTTTAGTAGAGACAGGGTTTTGCCATGTTGACCAGGCTGGTCTTGAACTCCTGGCCTCAAGTGATCCACCCACATTGGCCTCCCAAAGTGTTGGGATTACAGGTGTGGGCCACCACGCCCAGCCCACTATTTAATATAATCCTTATAACAATCCTTCATAGTAGACACTATTGTTCCCATTGTGTACATGGAATAAATGAAATTTTATAAATATTTTGTTCTAAGTCACACAGTTAGGAATCAAGATTTGCATCAGGTTTGTATGAGTCAGGTGCCCATTGTCTTTTCACTCTGACCTTTTTCCTCCTTTCTTAGGCTTGTTGGTTCATAATGGTGGTGGGGAGGGTATGTATGTCATATTTTTGCTTTTCCAACCTCCTGAGTATACAGCCAGTTGTTATGACCAGTTACCCAATTTTGCCAATGGCCCCTCAGTGTCATGTTGCACTTCCATCAGAAGTTGGGTAGGTCTTGAAGTATTATCCTTGTATTGAAAACAGTAATCATCCATCCATCTATCCATCCACCCATCCATTCAATATTCCTTAAGAGTCTGTATACTGACCGGGGGTGGTGGCTCATGCCTGTAATCCCAGCACTTTGGGAGGCCGAGGCCAGCGGATCACCTAAGGTAGGGAGTTCAAGACCAGCCTGACCAACATGGAGAAACCCCGTCTCTACTAAAAATACAAAATTAGCCGGGTGTGGTGGCACATGCCTGTAATCCTAGCTACTCAGGAGGCTGAGGCAGGAGAATCGCTTGAACCCGGGAGGTGGAGGTTGTAGTGAGCTGAGATCGTGCCATTGCACACCAGCCTCGGCAACAAGAGTGAAACTCTGTCTCAAAAAAAAAAAAAAGAGTCTGTATGCCAGATGCTATGCTATGTGCTAAACATGTCTTAGACCAAAGAAATGTGTCCCTAGTTTTTAAAATCAAGACATTGTGGAGTTAGTGGAAGAGGCATTTGGCGGGTTGGGGGGTTAGGGTAGGGATGAAGAAGAGAAAGGAAGGGAAAGGAAGGAACTTCCTGTGAAGTCATTCCCCTGGGCACATGAGTATGATGGAGGAAGGCAGGGGAAGATATTGAGATTCTTACACAGCAAGATAGGAATGATAAGGCAAAACCAGCAGAATTTTGCCCTGGCATGAAATACTGCCTGTTTGTGGTACCTTATGCTTTTCAGTTCCCTTCTCCAGAAGCTGATGTTTTCCTATATCTCTGATGTTCTATTTACTCTTTTTGAAGCCACTTTTAGAAATTGGCCAGCATATGGACATGGTGGTGCAGCATATGGATGTGGTAGTCCCAGCTACTTGGGAGGCTGAGGCAGGAGAATCACTTGAGCCTGGGAGGTTGAGGCTGCAGTGAGCTATGACTGAGTCACTGCACTCCAGCCTGGCATGATTATAGCTCACTGCAGGCTAGGTTAGTGGAAGATAAAGGCTCTCTCAGGCTGCCAAAAAAAATCAAGTTTCTGACTCTAATCAGGTCCTGAGAGCGAGACCATCTCAAAAAAAAAAAAAAAAAAAAAAATTGGCCAGCATAGATGTTAACCTTTGCATTTTGTGTTCTCTGTGTAGGTAGCATATCCACTCATCTCAACAGCCTACCAGAATTGTGACAGTAGATTCAAGTTATGCTTTTTAAAAGATTTAAACTGATTTACTGGGCTTAAGAAGGGGTTTACTTCTTTTTTTTTTTTTTTTTTTGAGACGCAGTTTTGTTCTTGTTGCCCAAGCTGGAGTGCAATGGTGTGATCTCCCTCCGCTCACTGAAACCTCCGCCTCCTGGGTTCAAGCGATCCTCCTGCCTCAGCCTCCTGAGTAGCTGGGATTACAGGCATGCGCCACCACACTCAGCTGATTTTTTGTATTTTTAGTAGAGACAGGGTTTCACCATGTTGGCCAGGCTGGTCTCAAACTCCTGACCTCAGGTGATCCACCGGCCTCAGCCTCCCAAAGTGCTGGGATTACAGGCGTGAGCCACCGGGCCCAGCCTACTTCATTTTTTCCCTTGGTTTTGCATGTGTTTGTGTGTGTGTATTAGTCTGTTCTCACACTGCTATGAAGAAATGCCCAAGACTGGGAAATTTATGAAGGAAAGAAGTGTAATTGACTTTCAGTTCCACATTGCTTGGGAGGCCTCAGGAAACTTGCAGTCATGGTAGAAGGCAAAAAGCAAGTGCCTTCTTCACAGGGCAACAGGATGGAGTGAGTGCAAGCAGGGGAAATGCCAGATGCTTAATGCAACCATGAGATGTCATGAGAATTCATTCACTATCATGAGAACAGCATGGGGGAAACTGCCCCCATGATCCAATTACCTCCACCTGGTCCTGTCCTTGACATGTGGGGATAATGGGGTGAGATTTGGATGGGAACACAGAGCCAAACCATATCAGTGTGCATGGTGAATGCATTTGCACACAAGTGTGTATAGACTTGTACATGTGAAAAGCAAGGGGGGCCTGGATTGTTGTTCAATCCTTAAAACATGTTCAGACAGAGGAATCCTGGTGATTAGAAGAGTCCTCACAAAGTGGCCTTTACTTTGGTAAGTTCATTGTGAAATCAGAGTCTGAAACTTGATTTTATTAACAGCCTGAGAGTGCCTTCATCTCCCACTAACCTAGCTTACGAAAACTAGTAAATACAAAGGAAAATATTGTGAGTATGCAAGAAAGTGTTCATATGTTTTAGAGATCCACACTAAAGTGAATGGTTATCTCGGTCAGCCTGGGCTGCTACAACAAAATACCATATGCTTGGTGGCTTAGAAACAACAGGAATTTTTTGCTCACATTTCTAGAGGCTGAAAAGTCCAAGATCCAGGTGCCAGCAGATTCCATGTCTGGTGAGGGCCTGGTTCCTGCTTAAGAGATGGCTGTGTTCTCCCTCTGTCCTCACATGGTATAAGGGGCTAGGGGCCTCTTGGGGTCTTGGCACTTATCTCATGAGGGCTCTGTCTCCATGACTTAATCGTCTCCAAAAAGGCTCCACCTGCTAATATCATCTGGGTGGGGTAGGATTTCAACATATGAATTTTGGGGGACAGAAACATTTACACCATGGCAGTGGGGAGGGGTCTAGGATTTTCTTTAATATAGTTTAGTTTTTTTATTTTTATTTTTTTTTTTATTTTTATATTTTTTGAGAGGGAGTTTCGCTCTTGTTGCCCAGGCTGGAGTGCAGTGGTGTGATCTCGGCTCATCGCAAGCTCTGCCTCCCGGGTTCAAGCGATTCTCCTGCCTCAGCCTCTCAAGTAGCTGGGATTACAGGCATGTGCCACCACATCCGGCTAATTTTGTATTTTTAGTAGAAACAGGGTTTCTCCATATTGGTCAGGCTGGTCTCGAACTCCCGACCTCAGGTGATCCACCCACCTCAGCCTCCCAAAGTGCTGGGATTACAGGTGTGAGCCACCACGCCTGGCTATATAGTTTAGTTTATAAAAGTGGGAGAAAGTGAAGCAAGTGTAGGAAAATCTTGATTATGATTGAACATGGTTATAGGGTATTTCATACTATTCATTATACCTTATATATATTCATTATATTATTTTCTTCACTTTTTTCCTTTTACTTATTTAAAAACCTAGAATACTTTTGTATGTTTGAAATTTTTCTTTTTTTTAACTTTTATTTTAAGTTGAGGAGTGCACGTGCAGGTTTGTTATACAGGTAAACGCTTGTCGTGGGGGTTTGTTGTATGGATTATTTTGTCACCTAGGTATTAAGCCTACTACCCACTAGTTATTTTTCCTGATCCTCTCCCTGCTCCCACCTTCCACCTTCCAGTGGGCCCAAGTGTGTGTTGTTCCCCTCTTTGTGTTCATGTGTTCTCATCATTTAGCTTCCACTTATAAGTAAGAACATGTGGTATTTGGCTTTCTGTCCCTGCATTAGTTTGCTAAGGATAATGGGCTCGAGTTCCATCCACGTCCCTGCAAAAGACATGATCGCACTCTTTTTTGTGGCTGCATAGTATTCCATGGTGTATATATACCATGTTTTCTTTATACAGTCTACCACTGATGGACATTTAGGTTGATTCCATGTCTTTGCAATTATGAATAGTCTTGCAACAAACATACGTGTGGATGTGTCTTTATGATAGAATGATTTATATTCCTTTGAGTATATCCAGTAATGGGATTGCTGGGTCAAATGGTAGTTTTGTTTTTAGATCTTTGAGAAATCACCACACTGTTTCCCATATGGTTGAACTAATTTACACTCCTACCAACAGTGTATAAGCATTTCTTTTTCTTCACAACCTTGACAGTACCTATTATGTTTTTACTTTAACCATAGCCATTCTGACAGGTGTGAGATGATATCTCACTGTGGTTTTTATTTGCATTTCCCTAATGGTCAGTGATGTTGAGCTGTTTTTCATATGCTTGTTGGCCACATGTATGTCTTCTTTTGAAAAGTGTCTGTTCCTATTAATGGACTTGTTTGTTTCTGTAAATTTGTTTAAGTTTCTTTAAAATAGTTTAGTTTAGTTTTTAAAAGTGGGAGAAAGTGAAGCAAGTGTAGGAAAATCTTGATAATGATTAAATCTAGTTATAGGGTATTTCACAGTATTAATTATATATATTCACTTTTGCGTGTTTGAAACTTCTTTCTTTCTTTCTTTCTTTTTTTTTTTTTTTGAGACAGAGTTTTGCTCTTGTCGCCCAGGCTGGAGTGCAATGGAGTGATCTCGGCTCGCTGCAACCTCTGCCTCCCAGGTTCAAGCGATTCTCTGGCCTCAGCCTCTCCAATAGCTGGGACTATAGGCATGAGCCACTATATCCAGCTAATTTTTTGTATTTTTAGCAGAGACAGGGTTTCACCATGTTGGCCAGGCTGGTCTTGAACTCCTGACCTCAGGTAATTCACCCTCCTCAGCCTCCCAAAGTGCTGGGATTACAGGCGTCAGCCACTGCGCCCAGCCTGAAATTTTTCTTAATATAAATTTTAAAAATCTAAAGAAAGTGACAGTAATTTACAGAAAAAAATAAAACAGTCAGGTGGCCTGATTATTCAAGTTACCTTAACCAGAAATACAACCTAGAAAACTAATTTGATTAAGACTTCTGGGTCCACCTGCAATCCTAGCAAGGGCAGATAGCCGTAGGATCCAAGCACAAAAGATTAATGCACTACTGGTTTAGTCTGTGTGTGCTATAACAGAATACCTTAGACTGGGCAACTTAAAAAGAACAGAAATTTATTTCTCACAGTTTGGGAGGCTGGGAAGTCCGTGATCAAGGTGCTGGCAGGTTTGGTTGTCTGGTGAGGGCCTCATCCTCTGGAGGGGAGGTGGAAGGGTAAATTAACCAAATGCTGCCCGAAGCTTCTTTTTTAAGGCACTTAATCCCAAACCTGAGGGAGGAGCTCTTATGGCCTGATTGCCACTTAAAGGCCCCACCTCTTAAAACTATCACATTGCAGCCTGGCCAACATGGTGAAACCCCGTCTCTACTAAAAATACAAAAATTAGCCAGGCAGTAGTGGTGTGCACCTGTAATCCCAGCTACTCAGGAGGCTGAGGCAGTAGAATCACTTGAGCCTGGGGACGAAGGTTGCGGTGAGCCGATATCATGCCACTACACTCCAGTCTGAGCAAAAAAGTGAGGCCCTGTCTCAACAAAACAAAAATCCTATCATTTTGGCAACATCTGAATTTTGGAGGGACCGTATTCAAATGATAGTACCTACTATCTGTATAAAATGACGTAACTACCTGTTTTTGTTCTCATGTCTTTCTCCAGAAAAAACTGATTTGATCTCTGTTTACTAAATTACAACTTCAGTACAATCCTGCCTCCCCCAAAATACTCACAGAGCATCTTTGAGGGGCCCAATCTCTTTGATTGCTCATTTACAGCCTCCTAGTTTACTCCAACAGATAACTGATTCCCTCCTTTGCATTGAATTCTTGCTAAAATAACCTTCAGAGAGTGGCTTATTCTCTCATCTGCAAATGGTTTTTTTTGTTTTGTTTTGTTTTTTGTTTTTTTTTTTTGAGACAGAGTCTCGCTCTGTCGCCTAGGCTGGAGTGCGGTAGTGCGATCTTGGCTCACTGCATCCTCCCTACCTCAGGTTTAAGTGATTCTCATTCTCATCTGCAAATCTTGAGGAGTGCCTCACAATTGTTCCCTCCTCATACCAACCATATCTCACATAGTGCTGTCCATTATCTAGCACATAGCACAATTAAAACCTAATCTGCTCTAATCCCAGTACTTTGGGAGGCTGAGGCAGGTGGATCACCTGAGGTCAAGAGTTCGAGACCAGCCTGGTCAACATGGTGAAACCCCATCTCTATTAAAAACACAAAAAATTAGCCAGGCGTTGTGGTGGGCACCTATAATCCCAGATATTTGGGAGGCTGAGGCAGAAGAATCGCTTGAACCCATGGGGTGGAGGTTTCAGTGAGCAGGGATAGCGCCACTGCACTCCAGCCTGGCGGCAGAGTGAAACTCCATCAAAAAAAAAAAAAAAACAAACAAAACCTAATCTGATCAAGTCCACCATGAACAAGCCTGTGGTCTGACAAGGGAGTGTACTTCAGAATTGTGAAATGCTGCCCTCAACAAGGTGTTAACGGGTGGGTCTTTGTTCTTAGAGCTCCCAAGATGGTGGCAAGCCTTTTGTTCTCTGACCAGAGGTTCCTGGCCTCACGGATTCCAAGGAATGGAACCTTGGGCCATGCGGTGAGTGTTACAGCTCTATTAGAAGCCGTGGGTCACAGAAGAGAACCGTGGAACCCAGTGACTAGTGTTAAGCTCAGTTAGGACAAACCTGGGCACTAAGCTGTGCAGGAACAATGGTGAGCCTCTAGCCCCAACGGGAGCAGCAATGCGTGCCTCGCTGGATCAGAAACGCAGAGGACACCCTGCCGGATCTGGAGGGGGGGAAGTCAATGGCAGGTCTGCGATGGCAGCGAACAGCAGTGGTGGATGGTGAGCGAAAGCTCACCTCGAGCCGGAAGAAACATGGACCAGAAGAGTGTGCAGTTGCAAGATTTAATAGAGTGAAAACTGAGCCCCCATACAAGGGGAGGGGACCCAAAGCAGATTGCCCCTCCCTGCTCGAATGCCTGGGGTTTATATCCCAATCATTGTCCCTCCCCCTGTGCTCTCAGATGATAGATGATTTGACTATTTCTTTACCTCCTGCTTTTAGCCTAATTGGTATTTTAGTAAGCCCTCTTTACTACCTGATTGGTCAGGTGTAAGCTGAGTTTCAAGCCTCGTGTTTAAAGGTGGGTTCAGTCATCTTCCCCAGCTAGGCTTAGGAATTCTTAGTTGGCCTAGGAAATCCAGCTAGTACTGTCTCTCAAAGGGAACTCTAGCAGCTGCATTCTCATGGAAATGTTTAGATTAATTAGAGGACAAACTTTTTTTTTTTTTTTTTGAGACAGAGTCTCTGTCTGTCACCCAGGCTGGAGCACAGTGGTGCAATCTTGGCTCACTGCAACCACTGCCTCCCAGGTTCAAGGAATTCTTGTGCCTCAGCCTCCCGAGTAGTTGGGATTACAGGCTTTCACCATCATGCCCTGCTAATTTTTTTTTTTGTTGTTGTATTTTTAGTAGAGTCGGGGTTTCACCATGTTGGCCAGGCCGGTCTCGAACTCCTAACCTCAAATGACCCTCCCATATCAGCCTCCCAAAGTGTTGGGATTACAGGTGTGAGCGACTGCACCTGGCCTGTGGACAAACTTTCCTTGTGTGTCTACGAATCAGTGAATGAAAGATCATTTTTAGAGAATGAAAACTAACCTCAAGAAAGCAGAGAGAGGGTAGAGACTTCTGGGGTCTGAGCTCTCCCATATGACTTTCATGCCATGGGACTGTAGTAGTCACCCAAGAGAATGACATAGGCCCATCTGTAGCCATCTCTCCCCTTCTGCTCTTCTGTCCCAGGATCTAGTTCTAGGAACAGAAAGGACAGATCTTCAAACACCTAGACATCTGATGCCTACACTCATAGGCTTCTCCCATCACATTCCCTGTCCCTATATCAGGTACGTCAGTCCTGCTCCAAGCCAAAGGAGTGGTGCCTCAATTGCTACCACCAATGGCAAAAGGCATCTATTTCTGCTGCTTCCAGCTTCTGCTTTTGCTTTAGAAACTGTCATTCTTGGGATACATGAGAGACAGACACTGCTAACCTAACTGCTGGTTCATCTTCCACTCCTGGCACTTCCATTCCATCAGATATCTTAGGGGCTGAAACTGACATAGGAGTTAAGAAGGGATTACTTAGGCAGATAGTAAGGGCATGGGAGTCCTCCTAAGGCTTTTCTTTTTAATGAAAAGCAGCCCCAAATCATTTTCTAACAAAGAGCAGCCTGCAAACTGGGAGCTTGCACGGGTGCATGCTAGCAGGAACTAAGGACTAGGCATTTTCAAAACAGAGGCTCCATCTTCCCTTCTCTGCCAGCCACGTGTATTGTAAGGAGCAGACAAGATGGCGCAGGTCAACTGGGAAGTCCATTTGCATGAGAAGATTAGGGTGGGGAGACCAGCCTTCCTGGCGCACCACGTAAACGTCATAACTGATCCAACCAGTCTGTGAGCCCTATGTAAATCAGATACCGCCTCTTCAAACTGAATTATAAAACTTGGTGCATTCACCACCAGCTGTTCCTTTTTGCTCGGAGATCCCTCTCTGTGTAGAGGAAGCTGTTTCTCTTTCTCTTCTCTTCTGCCTTTTAAACCTCCGCTCCTAAACTTCTCATGTGTGTACGTGTCCTAAATCTTCCTGGCACGTGACGACGAACCCCAGGTTTATACTGCAGACGACACAGCCCCTTCAAAACCTGAGGAAATAGCAGGACCGTATGAGGATTCTCGACCTTGTGGCCCAACCTCTCTGCCCGTTTGCCCAACACCAGCCTCCTGGAATAACAGAGGTGGCTAAAGCAAAATCTTCTTTGTGTTTACAAATTGTTTTCAAAACCATGGTTTAATCTCATCCTCCTTCAGATCTGTGAGATAGCTATTATTTCTATTTAAAGAGACAAGACACTAGGGCACAGAGAAGTTAAGTAATTTGTTCACAGTCACAGAGTTAATTGAAAGCAGAGCCATGATGTGAACTGAGATATTCCATCTCCTGGAGGAATTCATCTGTATCTAAATCCAAATTATTACTGAGCTTTGAGCTACGATATCTCTTTCTTTCTTTTTTTCTTTTTTGAGACAGAGTCTTACTCTGTCACCCAGCCTGGAGTGCAGTGGCGTGATCTCGGCTAACTGTCGCCTTGACCTCCCTGGGCTCAGCTGAGCCTCCCGAGTAGCTGGGACCATAGGCATATGCCACCACGCCCAGCTAATTTTTGTACTTTTTGTAGAGACAGGATTTTGCCATGTTCCCCAGGCTGGTCTCAAATTCTTGGGCTCAAGGGATCCGCCCGCCTCAGCCTCCCAAAGTGCTGGAATTACAGGCATGAGCCACTGTGCCCAGCCTATGATATTTCTGTAAGAAAAATATTGGTTATAGCCACCAAGTTATGTTACCACAAAAAATGACTCATTATTAGCTTCAGGCTGAGACTGTTCATAGCCAAAAGCCATATTTCATTCTGTGTTGAACTCATTAAACCATTCCTAATTTTTTATTGTGATGAGTCAATAGATAATATTTACAGTTAATAAATCAAGAAAAACAAATATATTACATATACCGATTCAATGGTAATCAACAATATAACTTAAAAACAAACTATTAATAAATCTTCTGGGTAATGGGTGTGGAGAGTGGGTGTTGTGGAGACGGGTGGCAAGAGACTTTTGTTTTTCATTTAAGACAACTCGGTACAGTCTAAATTTTTCAAACATGTGCAAATGTTACTTCTATAAATTAAAAACAAATTTATTTTATTTTTTGAGACAGAATCTTGCTCTGTCTCCCAGGCTGGAGTGCAGTGGCGCAATCTCGGCTCACTGCAACCTCTGCCTCCTGGGCTCAAGCAATTCTCCTGCTTCAGCTTCCCAAGTAGCTGGGTTCACAGGCATGTGCCACCACGGCCAGCTAATTTTTGTATTTGTAGTAGAGAGATGGGGTTTCACCATGTTGGCCAAGCTGGTCTCGAACTCCTGACCCTGTGATCTGCCTGCCTCAGCCACCCAAAGTGCTGGGATTACAGGCGTGAGCCACTGTGCTGGGCCTAAAAAAATTTTTTTAAATAGAAAAATAAAATGAAGTAAAAAATATTTTTTCAATGAGTGATTGCTTAGTCATATGTAATGCTATGTAGCCAATAGAAAAAAATGAGATACCTCTATACAAATTTTAAGTAAGAAAAACACATTGCAGAATGATACTTGAATAATACTATTTATTTCAAATTTGTGTGTGTGTGTGTGTGTGTGTAGATAAACTCGCACACCAAACTGGAAGGATATATACCAAAGTCTAGGAATAAAGAGTAGGGAGGAGAGACTTTATTTACTTTCTTTTTTTTTTTTTTTTTTTTTTTTTTTTGAGATGGAGTCTCGCTTTGTTGCCCAGGCTGGAGTGCAGTGGCACCATCTCGGCTCACTGCAACCTCCACCTCCTGAGTTCAAGTGATTCTTGTGCCTCAGCCTCCCAAGTAGCTGAGACTACGGGTGTGTGCCACCACACCCAGGTAATTTTTGTATTTTTAGTAGAGATGGGGTTTCACCATATTTACCAGGCAGGTCTCGAAATCCTGACCTCATGATCCTCCTGCCTCGGCCTCCCAAAGTGCTGGGATTACACACGTGAGCCACTGTGCCGGGCCCATTACTTTCTGTCACATGCGTCCGTGTGAAGAGACCATCAAACAGGCTTTGTGTGAGCAATAAAGCTTTTTAAGCACCTGGGTGCAGGTGGGCTGAGTCCGAAAAGAGAGTCAGCAAAGGGAGATAGGGGTGGGGCCGTTTTATAGGATTTGGGTAGGTAGTGGAAAATTACAGTCAAAGGGGGTTGTTCTCTGGTGGGCAGGGGCGGGGGGTCACAAGGTGTTCAGTGTGGGAGCTTCTGAGCCAGGAGAAGGAATTTCTCAAGGTAACGTCATCAGTTAAGGCAGGGACCAGCCATTTTCACTTCTTTTGTGATTCTTCACTTGCTTCAGGCCATCTGGATGTATACATGCAGGCTTGAGCTCAGAGGCCTGACACTTTCTATACTTCTATATATTGTTTGATTTTTTTCAAGAAGCATGTGCATTGAATATGAATGTATATGGATGATTCTGCAGGTTCAAAGCTAAAGTGATTCTGAGTGTTTTCCTTTTCATGCCATGAAAGAGCCCAAATGTGGTTGTATCGTGTTATGTATGAGAGTCAGGATCTTACACTGATTTGTAGTGAGGAAATTCACTGGTTCTGTGCTCCATGGTATTGTTGCAGAAGGGAAGTTTATGAATCAAATCACTCCACTCTTGTGCCTTAACGTCACCACAGAGCTGACCAAAAGTCTGACTCGTGTTTCTTTTTATATTGTTAGATTTCCTTTCTCTGCTTGGTTTTGAGCATTTGTCACCAGAATGCATGGGATTTAAATCCCCAAATCTAGAATTAATATTTGATGACTGTAACAAGGTATCTGAACCACACTTTGGAATTCTGGACTTTGGGTCTTGATTTACCCTGGTACTTACTATAACCTTTTTGAGACCTTGGCAATGAAATTATTGACTTTGAGCCTTGGCATCTTCATCTGTATCATGAAGATGTTAATAATATTAATCCCACAGTATTATTGCCAAGATCAAATGGGATAACCTACATGAAAGCCTTTGAAAATTATAAGCAATATACAAATAAATATAACATTATTATTTTATTAGTCCTAATAACAAAAAGATACTTAATGCTCACTGACTACAGGGTTAGAGAATGAAGACTCCCTGCCTTACTTCTCTTTTCCATCCCATGCAAAATGTTCCCCCCAACACCACCCCGCAAAAAAAGATTTGCTTGGCAGTACAATTTTGATTGTTTAGTGTTTCCATAGTGGTGTACCAGGAATCATAGGCAAGACAAGGAACTTGTAGCAAAATATTTCCTTTTTCTGTCCCCAGCCCAGATTTGTCCCCAGCAATACCAGATTATTTATACCTTTTCTTTCCTTTATACTTGGCTCTTATGACAGCCAGGGCACATGGCCTGTACAGTGTTTTATTAAAGGATCTTCCAGTAGGATTGTAATGGTTTTAAAAGATGATCACAAATTCTTTGACATTTCTCCATTGAGTGTGGGATCTATATTCCCTTCCTTTGAATCTGGGTGGATTCATGACTGCTTTGACTAATAGAGAATGGCAGAAGTGTTGCTATGTGAATTTCAAGCCTAAGTTACAGAAGACCATGCAGCCTCTGCCTTGTTAACTAGGACATTTGTTGATAGATTCTTGTCATCATAAAAAGTCCAGCTACCCTGAGCCACTGTGCTAGAGAGGCAATGTGTAGATGCTGTGGTCAGTAATCCCTGTTTAGCCTGGTCTTCTAGCCAAGATATCAGAAATACGAGGGAAACCAGCTTGGACCCGCCACACCACTCTACGTGCCAGATCAATGCCAAGTGTCCTCCACCAATGCCTCATGGAACAGAATTCTCCAACTGAGTTCTGCTTAAATTCATGACCTACAAAATTGTTTTGGGGTAGCTTGTTATGTAATACTTGGTAACCAGAACAGGAACGATAATCCCATTTCAGTTCAACTTTTGGCCAGATTAAGCACAATTATGGGGGTCAATTTATCTTTCTTTTTTCTCTCTTTGCAGTGAATTTTTTTTTTTTTTGAGGCAGGGTCTTGCTTTGTTGACCAGGCTGGAGTACAGTGTGCCCATCTTGGCTCACTGCAGCCTCAACTTCTTGGGATCAAGCAATCCTCCCACCTCAGCCTCCCAAGTAGCTGGGACTATAGGTGCATGTCACTATGCTTGGCTAATTTTTGGTTTATTTTTTGTAGAGATGGCATCTCACTCTGTTGCCCAGGCTGGTCTCAAACTCCTGGGCTCAAGTGATCCTCCCATTATGGCCTCCCAAAGTGCTGGGATTATAGGTGTGAGCCACGATGCCTGGCCTTCCTACAGCACTCAGTATTCCAAGAGATCTCCCATCCAAGCACTAACCAGGCCCAACTCTGCTTAGTTTCTAAGATCAGATAAGTTCTTTAAAAAAAAATAAAAGCGGTTACTGACTTTTCTTGATAGCTGGGTATTTTGATAAAGACTTCCAAAGAGATATCCTAAGCTTGAACTCTTCCCCCAAATAGGGACCACCAGAGCTTCTTTGCTGTCATCTTGCTTGAGAAACTTCCTTGCACTGGGGCTACTGAGTCAACAACATTCTTCATAAAAATAATTTTCCTTTGGGAGGCTGAGGCTGGTGGATCACTTGAGGTCAGGAGTTTGAGACCAGCCTGGCCAACATGGTGAAACCCTGTCTCTATAAAAAAATACAAAAATTAGCCAGGTGTAGAGACAGGTGCCTGTAATCCCAGCTACTCAGGAGATTGAACCTGGGAGGCGGAGGTTGCAGTGAGCCAAGATTGTGCCATTGCACTCCAGCCTGGGTGACAGAGCAAGCCTCCATCTCAAAAAAAAAGAAAGAATTTTGTAAGAATATTCATAGGTACTCACCGTTTCTCTTAGGTAAAGAGCTAAGAGTGGAATTCCTGGGTTATGGGATAGATATATGTTTAACTTGGTAGGAAATTGCTAATTTTTCAAAGTGTTTATATCATTTTACACCTCCATTAGGAAAGTATGAGTGATCATTTCTCATCTCACCAACATTTGGTATTGTCAGGTGGGTTTTTTTTTTTCATTTAATTTTGGTGAATTCTAATTTATCTGTTTTTTGTTGTTGTTGTTGCTGTTGTTGCTGCTGCTGGTGTTTTTGATATTGTATCTTAGAAATTGTTGGCTAATCCAAAGTCACGAAGATTTACACCTGTGTTTTCTCCTAAGCGTTTTATAGCTTTATCTCTTACATTTAGGTGTATGACCCCTTTGAGTTAACTTTTGTACATGATGTGAAGAAATGGTCCAAACTGATTCTTTTGCATGTGGATATCCAGATGTCCCAGCACCATTTGTTGTAAAGACTGTTCCTTCCTTACTGAGTTGCTTTGATCCCTTTGTGGAAAATCAGCTGACCATAAATGTATGGATTTATTTCTGGACTCTCAATTCTACTGATGTATATGCCTATCCTTATGCATAGTTTTAATTGTGGTAATTTGTTGTAGTCTTAATTGTGGCAATTCATCATAGTCTTAATTTGCATTTAATTGTATTTTCCTGATGACTAATAATTGCCCTAGAAAGTTCCTTCTTACCCGTGCCAGTCAATCCCTTTCTGCATCCCCATTCCCCCAGAGCTAGCCATTGTTTTGATTAGTTTCCACTGCAAATGAGTTTTAACCTGTTTTACACCATTATATAAAAGGAATCACACAGTGTACACTTTTTAGTGTGGACTTCTTTCTCTCAGCATGTTTTTGAGATTTATCCATTTATGGTGTATATTATAGTTTGTTGCTTTCAGAAGAAATTTTTACCACAAAGATTTTCAAATTTTTCTCAACTTATTTCTTTTTATTTAATTTGTATATGAAAAATTTTAGCCTGTTTTTTACATTTCTCATCTAATTGCAGGTTATTTTCAACTTACAATTATAGGTTTGCCAAGTTTTGGATCTCTAATGTTTTGCTTATTTCTGGTTTTTGTCAAGCCCATGCACTTGACTTCTGCTAGTCCCTTGAAGGCTGTACCAGAGTCAAGGGCCATCTTCTTCCTTTTAAAGCTCACATACATTGCCATCTTTTTATTAGCTGACCTAAGTGTATATTTATCCAAACATCTAATTTATTCCAGCTTTAGATCTTCTTGCATCTGAGTTATTAAAATACACATTTAATTTACAATACCTACTAGTATTTATCAAAAATTTACTGAAATTATTCATGGTATTTGGGGGGAAACACTATCTAAAAAGGACCCATGATTGATTATTTGTTTATTTATTTATTTAGTGCACTTGATTTTGCAGATGAGTCTGGAAGTGTTAGTTGCAAAGATATGCATTTACTTCTCTGGCTACAAAAAAGAATAGAAATGCACAAAGCAGAGCAGTGTGAAGAAGAAGAGGCGATGACCCCTAGACCGACCAAAGCCCGTGCTCCACTGCCCAGTGCCTATGTCCCACCACTGTCGCTGCCACCCTGCCCGAGAGAAAGGCTGAAGGGGATGCTAAAGGAGATAAAACCAAGGTTAAGTAGGAACTGCAGAGAAGATCCACAAGGTTGTCTGCTAAACCTGCTCCTCCAAAGCCACAGCCGAAGCCCAGAAAGGCCTCTGCAAAGAAGAGAGAGAAGGTACCTACAGAGAAGAAGGGAAAAGCTGATGCTGGCAAGGAGGGGAATAACCCTGCAGAAAATGGAGATGCCAAAACAGACTAGGCACAGAAAGCTAAAGGTGCTGGAGATGCCAAGTGAAGTGTGTGCATTTTTGATAACTGTGTACTTCTGGTGACTGTACAGTTTGAAATACTATTTTTTAATCAAGTTTTATAAAAATGCAGATTTTGTTTAGCTTTTTTTTTTTTTTTTAAGCTATGTTAGTACACAGAATACTTCATTGTTGTTTTGGGGAGAAGGGCCATATGTCACTAATAGAAAGCCCCTGAAGCTGGACTGATGTGGGGAAAACACCTTTTCCTTCTGGTTTTGAGAGACTTCCTCTTGGGTCCCAGGAAGAGGGATTCCCTGACTTTGATACACATGGCCACCTTGGTATAAAAGCCTTGTGGTATGGAAAAACAAATTCGTTTTTTATGTCCTCTTCTCTGTTTCTACCTTTCAGAATGGACTTAAATCCCTTAAACCCAGACATCTTCTGGGACCTGACCCCCAATAATTGGTTACCAGTGTGTCAGGCAATCTGGACTTTGCCCTCAAAAGAGCAGTGGTTCCTGTTTCTAGGTTGTGGATCTTCAGATAAATTCTGTCATTTTCCTTTCACTTCCTGAAAGCCAGGGTCGGTTCATGAAAAGCTATGAAACAGCATGCTAAATGTGAAATGTCAACCCTCACTAAACTTTGCCGGTTCAGAGCATCAGATGAAGACTTCATTGGGTTTTACAGTGGCTTTCTGATTTTTGGTAGTCCATTGAAGAAGGGAGTTTGAAAGTTGTTGTATACTGTTAACGATTGTCTGCCCATGTCCTGCCCAAAATACCATGATTCTTTATGGAAATTATCTTTAATAAAGCTGGATACAGTTTGGCTTGGGAAAAAAAAAAGAAATGCACAAAGAAGGCAAAGTGAGCTTGTGCTGTCTGAAGAATAACTTTCAAGCAGTCTGCAGATAGATCCCATTTGAAAGTCAATCCTCCTTTCCCTCACTCCTGCACTGCCAACAACTGAAGTTGCTGAAGAAGAGTGAGTCTGTGGGATAGCCAGTCTCCTCACCTTTTCCACCTTCATTCTTGAATTCTTGGTCTCCTCTGGCTCCTGTCTTTTTTGCCCTTCTTTCCCCCGCCCCCCCAAATAATACCTGCCTTGGGCAAAATTATCGAATCAACTCCCCTACCAGCACTCCTTTTGCTGCCTGATTCTCTTCCTTTATTCCTCCGTGCAAGCCTCCTTATGCTGAACCTCCAACCCTCAGGGTTCAACCAGACAAACAAAACCAGCCAGAAGTATACATTAAGAGAGTTTTTGCACAGAATTGGCTTATGTGATGGTGGCAGCTGGCAAGACACCCTAGAAGAGCAGGCCTGGTCTCTTAGACACCAGCTGAAGCTGTTAACTACAGATAAATTTCTTCTTCTGCAGAGAAGCCTTAGTTCTGCAATTAAAAACTTTCAACTGATTGAATCAGGCCCACTCAGATTATTTAGAATAATCTCTCTTATATAAAGTCAACTGATTATGGATTTAATTCACATCAACAAATTACCTTCATTGAAACACCTTAATTAGTGTTTGATTGAATAACAGGGGACTGTAGTCTAGATAAATTGACACATAAAGCTGACCATCACACTGTATTTCCTACAGGAGTTGGCTTTCACATACTGGCTCAACTGGTAACTAAAATGTAGCTGATAGAAGCTGCATGCTCAGGAGTATTTTTGTTTTATGAAGAAATCTTAAAGAAACAATATGAAATAAAAATAGCGAAGGTATGTGTGGGGTGGGGTACCTATTCAAAAGGCAAGAACTGGTCACAGGCATGGTCACCCTTTCTCATTGTCCCCTCCATCTCCTGAAATATCAGCCATTCCGAATCTTTTATTTTATCTCTACATAGTCCTCTACCACCCCCACCAATGTACCCACCCAACAACCCTTCACCAGCACCTCTAGGTTTCCTCCCATGAGAACACCTTGAGATCTACACCTAACATCTACTTTTAGGCTTCCCCCATCTTCTCAGCCCTGTGCATATATTTAGGGACCACATTTATCTCCCATGTTTAATTTGTCTCCTGTGGAAGTCTTTACAAAGATCAAATTATTCATTTATTCATCCATCAAATATATGTCTAGGGCATTGGCAGGTGGTGCAAATAAAATAAACAGATTCACTTCCTCTGTGTCCTGGGCTTGTTTCATTCTGACCCTCTGTGCTAGAAGCCCAGGACACAGAGGAAGAAGCAGTGTGTTCTGATTGAGGGACTTCAGAAAGCTGAGTAGAGTCCATCAGCTGGGACTTGAAGGTTAAGAAGGATTTTGATGGATGGAGAAGAGCATTTCAGGTTAAGTGGACTACATGAACAAATGCAAGGAGTCCTAAAGATGAAGGCATAATTCAGAGCCTGCTTCTGGGTTTGGATGCAGGATGTAGCTGGTTGAAGACTCACATTTTGGGCACCAGGTTTTCACCAGCCTCACTTCATTTAAGTGAGGCTGAAGCCTATTGATAATTAGAAGACACTAAGGCTTAGGATAGATTTAGAAGAAGTGGTTGAAAAGGTAGAATGTCAGAGAATACAATACCCAAAAGTCAAGGGAGGATGCTGTAAATTGTGTTGGTGCCATAGAGAGAGATCTTATGTCTTGTGACTCAGTGCTCAGCTTTCTGTCTTGTTGGGCTGCCCTGTTTGAGTCTTTTGGCTAGAGAGAGCAGGCTTTTAATGGTGTTTTTTCTCCCCCATACACAGTGACACAAGCTTCTCCAGCACATAGTCCACAAAATCTTTTTTCTTTTTCTTTTTTTTTACTTATTTATTTATTTTTTGAGACAGGGTCTCGCGCTGTTGCCCATGCTAGAGTGCAGCGTTGCAATCATAGCTCACTGCAGACTTGAACTCATGGATTCAAGCAATTTTCCTGCCTCAGCCTCCCAAACAGCTGGGACTACAGGTGTGTGCCACCATGCCTGGCCAATTTTTAAATGTTTGGTAGAGACACGAATCTTGCTATGTTGCCCAGGCTCAGGATATCTTTTTAAAGTTTTTTCCTTTTATCTTTTTTTGCAGGGGGAAGGCAGAGTCTCATTCTGTCACCCAGGTTAGAGTGCAGTGGTGGGATCACAGCTCACTGCAGCCTTGACCTCCTGGGCTCAAGTGATCTTCCCACCTCAGCCTCCTGAGTAGCTGGGACTACAGGTGAATGCCACCGTGCCCAGCCACATTTTTTTTTTTTTTAATAAGAGACAAGGACTTGCTATGTTGCCCAGGCTGATCTTGAACTCCTGGGCTCAAGTGGATCCTCCTGCCTCAGCCTCCCAAAGTGCTCGAATTACACATGTGAACTACTGCACCCAGCCTTTAAAGTTTTTAATCAATTTTTTGAGGTATCCTTTACCTGCAATCAAATGTACTCATTTCAAGTGTACAGTGCAATGAATTTTTTTATTTTTATTTTTTTGAGACGGAGTCTTGCACTGTCACCCAGGCTGCAGTGCAGTGGTGCTATCTCGACTCACTGCAAGCTCCGCCTCCCAGGTTCACGCCATTCTCCTGCCTCAGCCTCCCGAGTAGCTGGGACTACTGGCGCCCGCCACCACGCCCGGCTAATGTTTTGTATTTTTAGTACAGACGGGATTTCACCGTGTTAACCAGGATGGTCTTGATCTCCTGACCTTGTGATCCACCCGCCTCAGCCTCCCAAAGTGCTACAGGCATGAGCCACCGCCCCCAACTTTTTTTTTTTTTCTTTTTTTTTTAGAGAGAGTGTCTCACTGTGTCACTCAGGCTGGAGTGCGGGGGCATGATCATAATTCATTGCAGCCTTGAACTCCTGGGCTCAAGTGATCTTCCCACCTCAGCCTCCTGAGTATCTAGGACTATAGGCATGTGCCACCATGCCCGGCTAATTGTTTTTTTTTTGTTGCTTTTGTTTTTGTTTTTGTTTTTTGTAGAGATCAGGGTCTCACTGCATTGCTCAGGCCACTCTTGAATTCCTGGTTGCAAGTGATCCTCCTTCCTCAGCCTCCCATCTGGAACTATAGGTGTAAGCTAGCATGCCCAGCCTTGAACTTTGAAAAATGCATGTAGTTATGTAACTATCATCATAAGATACAGAACTTTTTCATCATCAAAAAGTTTTCTTTTTTTTTTCTTTTCTGAGACAGAGTCTCACTCTGTCCTCCAGGCTGCAGTGCAATGGTGCAATCTTGGCTCACTGCAACCTCCGTCTCCTGGGTTCAAGCGATTCTCCTGCCTCAGCCTCCTGAGTAGCTGGGATTACAGGCACAAACCACTATGCCCAGCTAATTTTTGTATTTTTTAGTAGAGACAGAGTTTCACCATGTTGGCCAGGCTGGTCTGGATCTCCTGACCTCAAATGATCCACCTGCCTTGGCCTCCCAAAGTGCTGGGGTTACAGGCGTGAGCCACCACGCCCAGCCAAAAAGTTTTCTTATTTAAGATGTTAATATTACTCACAGTGAACTACAGATTCAATGTGATCCCTGTCAAAATCCTAACAATGGCTGGGCATGGTGGCTCACCCCTGTGATCCCAACACTTTGGGAGGCTGAAGAAGGAGGATTGCTTGAGGCCAGGAGTTCAATACCAGCCTGGGCAACACAGTGAGAACCCCAGCAGCTCTCAAAAAAAAAAAAAAAAATCTAAAAACATTTCTTGCAGAAATAGGAAAATACATCCTAAGATTCATAAGGAGGCCGGGCGCGGTGGTTCATGCCTGTAATCTCAGCACTTTGGGAGGCCGAGGCGGGCTGATCACCTGAGGTTGGGGGTTCAAAACCAGCCTGACCAATATGGAAGAACCCCGTCTCTACCAAAAATACAAAATTAGCCGGGCGTGGTGGTGCATATCTGTAATCTCAGCTACTCTGGAGGCTGGGGCAGCAGAATCACTTGAACCCAGGAGCCGGAAGTTGCAGTGAGCCGAGATTGTGCCATTGCACTGCAGCCTGGGCAACAAGATGGAAACTTCGTCTCAAAAAAAAAAAAAAAAAGATTCATAAGGAATCTCCAGGGACCCAAATCGCCAAAACAATCTTGAAAAAGAAGAACAAAGTTGGACTTCTTACACTTTCCAGCTTCAAAACTTACTACAAAGCTATAATAATCAAAATACTGTGGTTCTGGCATAAAGAAGGACATATGGATCAGTGGATTCAGAAATAAACCTTCAAAAATATGGTCAAATGATTTTTGACAGGAGTGTCAAGACCATTCAGTAAGGAAAGGATAGTCTTTTTCAACAAATGATGTTGGGAAAATTGGATATTCACATGCAAAAAGAAAAAAAAAAGAATTTGGACCCTTACCTTACACCATATACAAAAAGCAAATCAAAATGGATTACAGACCTACATATAAGAACTAAAACTATAAAACTCAGATGAAAACATAGGGGAAAAGTTTTGTGGCATTATTTTAGCAATGATTTATTAGCTATAACTCCAAAAGGATAGGCAACAAAAGAAAAAAGATAAATTAGATTCCATCAAAATTAAAAACTTGTACATCAAAGGACACTATGAACAGATTATAAAGGCAACCCAGAGAAGGGAGAAAATATGTGCTAGCTAATCATAGCTCTGATAAGTCATTGATATCTAGAATATATAAAGAAGAAATATACTTCAACAACAAAAAACCAAACAACCCAATTTTTAAAGTCAGGCAAAGGACTTGAATAGGCATTTCTTCAAAGGAGATATACAAATGGCCAATAAACACATGAAAAGATGCTTAACATCACTAATTATTAGGGAAATGCAAATCAAAACCACAAGGACGCCCGGCCCAGTGCCATGTGCCTGTAGAGTCTGGGCTAATAGGGAGGCTGAGGCAGGAGGATCCTTTGAGCCCAGGAGTTTGAGGAGTGGGTGATAATTGCACCTGTGAATAGCCACTATATTCCAGCCTGGACAACATTGCAAGATCCTATCTATTTAAAAAATCTGCATACAAGGAGTTACTACTTTCCACTTTACACCCATTAGAATGGCTATTATACACACACACACACACACACACACCTATAAGTGTTGGCAAGATGTGGAAAAATTGGAACCTTTGTGCATTGGTGGGAATGTAAAAACATGCAACTACTCTGGGCATGGTGGTTCATGCCTGTAATCCCAGCATTTTGGGAGGCGGAGGTGGGCTGAACACTTGAAGTTAGGAGTTCGTGACCAGCCTGGCCAACATGGTAAAACCATGTCTGTACTAAAAATACAAAAATTAGCTGAGTGTGGTGGCGCATGCCTCTAGTCCCAGCTACTTGGGAGACTGAAGCAGGAGAATCACTTGAACTCGGGAGTCAAAGGTTGCAGTGAGCCAAGACTGTGCCACTGCACTCCAGCCTGGGCGACAGGGCAAGTCTCCATCTCAAAAAAAACCAAAAAAACCAAAACAACAGTAACAACAACAAAAACCATGCAACTGCTATGGAAGACGGTGTGGTGTTTCTTCAAAAAATTAAACATAAAATTACCATATGATCCAGGCTTTCTACTTCTGATTATAGACCCCCAAAAAAGTGAAAGCAAAAACTTGAACAGATAGTTGTACATCCATATTCATAGCAGCAGCATTCGCAATAATCAAAAGAAAGAAGCAACCCAAGTGCCCATAGGTGGATGAATAAACAAAATGTGTATACATACAGTGGAATATTATTCAGCCTTAAAAAGGAAGAAGATTCTAATGCATGTTACAACATGGATGAAACTTGAAGACATTATGCCAAGTGAAACAAGACAATCACAAAAGGGCTGGGTATGGTGGCTCATGCCTGTAATCCCAGCATTTTAAGAGACCAAGGCAGGAGGATCATGTAAGCCCAGGAGTTTGAGACCAGCCTGGGCAACATAGTGAGACCCACACACAAGAAAATTAGCCAGGCATGGTGGCGTGTACCTGTAATCCCAGCAACTCCAGGAGGCTGAGGTGGGAGGATCACAGAAGCCCAGGAAGTCAGCAGGGCAATGAGCCATAATTGTGCCACAGCACTGCAACCTGGGTGACAGAGCAAGACCCAGTCTCAAAAACAAAAGAAAGAAAGAAAGAAATATGTTTAACTTTTATAACAATATAATGACTAGGAATATTAATTTATTTGTAGCACAGGAAATGTGGAGGAAGGAATAAAGAGAGAAATACTACATTAAGAAAGGGACATTGGCAATCCCATAGTCCCACTAACAAATCTAGACTTAAAATTTGGTTAATATAGAGAATATGGTATAAGCAGGGAGGACTAGCAATTTCTCCTTAAGTTTTTCCTGTGGGTTCATCTTCCCATTCCTTGCCATCTTCCTCCCCTCAAATAAAAGGGAGGAAGGGAGGAAGGAAAAGGGCAAGGAAACGGAAGACGCACCCACAACTCCCGAAACTGGAGAAGGTTTGGGCAAATAGTATTTAAAAGAAAGATAACTCAGTTGGGTGCAGTGGCTCATGCCTGTAATCCTAGCACTTTGGGAGGCTAAGGTAGAAGGATCACTTGAAGCCAGGACTTCAAGACCAGCCTAGGCAACAAGGCGAGACCCCCTGTTGTTGTTTTTTTCTACCTTTTTTTTTTTTTTTAAGAAAGAAGACTCTAAACAGTTGAGATACCTAGTTATTTGGAATAATTGTTGGTGGTGACAATCCTGAGTTGTTTCTTATTTCTGACACACCAGAAATGTGAATCCTATTGTAGGCTCAAGTGACTTTGAAGGAGTCCTTGCTGAGGCATATAGGGCCATCCTATTGGGAGAGAACTGGGCTCCAAACAGCCAGGGGCTTCTCCTGATAATGCTAATGGGGCAGGGCATGCTGATTCTCTTTCTTGCTTCTCTCTCATCTCATCTCTCTCTTCTCTTTGTTGCTCAGCAGCTATCTTGCTATCTTGTTCCAACTGTGTCTTTTTTTCTGTCTTACCTTTTCTCTTTCCCAATCTTCCAGCATACTTCTGTCAGTGAAATGAATGTTCATGTTTTTTAATGTAACTTTTAAAAGCAAACACCCACTGATTCTGTAGCAAGACTGCTAGTTGCTTTCCAGCCATCAATACTCCCCATCTTTCCAATGTTTTACCTGTGTTCGTGGCTGTTCAGTGAAAGACTGCATCTCTTAGCCTTTCTTGCAACTAAGACTAGCACGTGACTAAGTTCTGGTCTTTGGGATTTGAGTGGGGGTGATACATGCAGTTCCAGGTCATGGCACAGAGATGTGTCCTCTCTTTCCAACCCTTCTCCAACCTGCTTCCTGACATGGGGATGTGCTGGGGCCCTCTGGGACCATACAGATGAGGCCAGTACCCAAAGGGTGACAGAGCTACAAGCTACCAGGACCCCATGTCCCTGTGTGAACAGATAGACTTCTGCCTTGTTTGAACCATTGTTACCTTGATCTTTGTTACAGCAGCTGAATATATACTCTAATATAAATCCTACCATGGGAAAGAGACTGGATTAGGCAATAAACATCTAAAGATGAGTGAAATCTTGACAGTGCAAATCCTGAAAGAGTTTGAAATTGTCCCAATTGTCTCAGAGAACTAATATTTATGGTTTTTGAACAAATGTAGGAATTGATTCTCCCTGGTCTTAAGACTTGAAACTTACATTTGTCTTACCTCAGTTCCTTCCTCAGGAAACTGACCCTCAGGCAGAGAATTGAAACTCATGAGATCACCACATCCACACAATGAGGTGCCAGACCCCCTTATCCATCATGATTGCTTCTCTACCCATCCCTAATTCCTTTTTTCCCCAACTTCCCCGCTTCATAAACCTCCCAATTTTAGTGGTCGGGGAGACATATCTGAGACTTATCTCCCATTCTCCTCTGCTGCAGCACCCAATTAAAGCCTCTTCCCTGGAACTACTCATTGTCTCAGTGATTGACATTCCATACAGTGAGCAACAGGACCTAGACCGAACCCTTGGCGTTTCTGTAACAAGTTCACAACCAAGTGGGAAACATAGCCACAAACTTAGTAACTGTAATACAGGGTAGACTATGGAAATGACTTTATTGGAGATATAAACAAAGGCTGGTGGGAGACATTAATTCTGGTTGTAGTGGTACTAAGAAAGACTTCCTACATGAGGCAATATATGACTTGGGATTTGGACAGTGAATTCTGATAATGAAAGAGGATAAATAGGGCACTCCAGGAAGAAGGAACAGTATGTGTAAAGGTACGAAGATACAGAAGTGCACATTGTATCTAGAAAATAACCATCAGAACAGGCAGAACATCAGTGAATGTCGAGGAACAATAGTCGAACTAGGTAGGGACCAGATTGTGATGGCCCTTGAATGTCATATTAGGGAATTTGGGGCCAGGCACAGTGGCTCGCGCCTGTAATCCCAGCACTTTGGGAGGCTGAGGTGGGTGGATCACTTGAGGTCAGGAGTTCGAGACCAGCCTGGCCAACATGGTGAAACCCCTGACTCTACTAAAAATTATAGAAATTAGCCTAGTGTGGCGACGGGCACCTGTAATCCCAGCTGCTTCAGTGTCAGCTCTGTGTCCCCATCCAAGTCTAATGTCAAATTGTAATCCCCATGTGTTGAAGGTGGGGCCTGGTGGGAGGCGATTTGATGTGGGTGGTTTCTCATGGTTTAGCACCATCCCCAGTGCTGTCTCATGATAGAGTTCTCATGAGACCTGATGTTTTAAAAGTGTGTGGCAGTTCCCCACTTGTTCTGTCTCCTTCCTGCCCTGCCATGTTAAGGCTTGCCTGCTTCTTCTTCACCTTCCGCCATGATTGTAAGTTTCCTGAGGCTAGCCATGCTCCCTGTTAAGCCTGCAGTACTGTGAGCCAATTAAATTTCTTTTCTTCATAAATTACTCAGTCTCAGGTAGTTCTTTATAGCAGTGTGAAAATGGACTAATGCAAAGATGAAATATGAAAGCCAGAGGGTCTCCTAGGCAGGAAATAAGTAGACTCTCAAATCTTGAAGTCAGATGGCAGCAAAAGTTGAAGAAAAGGCCCAGGACTAAAACAGGAGCTAAACTTGCTCCATAGAAGAGTGAATTGGTGGCCAGGCGTGGTAGCTCATGCCTGTAATCCCAGCACTTTGGGAGGCTGAGGTAGGCAGATCACGAGGTCAGATCACGAGGTCAGGAGATCCAGACCATCCTGGGCAACATAGTGAAACCCTGTCTCTACTAAAAATACAAAAATTAGCTGGGCGTGGTGGTGGGCACCTGTAATCCTAGCTACTTGGGAGGCTGAGGCAGGAGAATCGCTTGAACCTGGGAGGCATTGGTTGCGGTGAGCCAAGATTGCGCCACTGCACTCCAGCCTGGGAAACAGAGCAAGACTCCGTCTCAAAAAAAAAAAAAAAAAAGAAAAAAGAAGAGTGAATTGGCAGGGCACTGTGGGTGGCTCACACCTGTAATCCAAGCACTTTGGGAAGCCAAGGCAGATGGATGCCTTGAGCTTAGGAGCTCAAGACCAGCCTGGGCAACATGGCGAAACCCCATCTCTACAAAAAATAAGCCGGGCATGGCAGTGTGCACCTGTAGTCCCAGCTACTTGGGAGGCTGAGATGGGAGGTTCACCTGAGCCTGGGAGGTCGAGGCTGCAGTGAGTCACGATAGTGGCAGAGTGAGATCCTGTCTCAAAAAATTAAAAAAATACATAGAAGAGTGAATCCTCAGCCATGCCAAGTGTGTTACATCAATGTCAGTGTCTTTACTGGGAGGGAGTGGGATCCTGAAACTTGAGATGGAAAAATCCAGGTTGATAAACTTGAAAATCTTGAATCCTCAGATTCCCCTTGGCCCTCTGGGTCTGAAGAAGCAGCTCAGTCCTTCCTGTGAAAGGCCGATGATCCCACTTTACTTAAAACGATGTAGATGGTTAGGCCTAGCTTCTGCAGGAGAGTGGTTGGTTGTGAGGGTCGCAAGATGGGAATTCTCCCAGAATGTAAAAATATCTCACTGTGGGTGAAAGTTCCCAAAGACCTGGAAGATCCAGAGGTGTTTCAGGCCTAGACGCAGCTGCTGGAAGTCACATATGGCCCAGTAGGGTCACAGATCCCTTACACTGAGCAGGTGAGTAAGGCCATGCTTGAGTTGAAGGCTCTGAAATCTTCAGACCTCACTGAGGTCGTGGTTTATGGCTCCTATTTGTACAAGCTCTGGACCAAGTGGATGCTGCAGTCCGTGGCTGAGTGGTTCCAGCTTGGTTTAAACTCTGCTCCAGTCTGATGAATTAAGGAAAAACCATCTGTTTTGGGGTCTCTGCACTTGCTCTGACTCCAGTTGTGAATATCTTTTTTGAATGTTGCTAATTTAAGAATAAAGTTTTAAATAGTTTTAAATAAATTGTAAATAGTTTTAAAAAATGACATAGAGGCCTTTGCCTTGCATCATCCCCATAATGCATAAGACCACATCCATCCATTCCCATAATCAACTCTCATTTCCCCACCTGGCCACCAGACTAATGCTAGGATCAGGGAACACTGTACCCTACCACCTCCCTTAGCTGCTAAGGGAAACATGGATCACAGGCTAAAAGAGCTGCAAGATATAGCTAGTATGTATTGGCAGGAGCTGGGAGTGAATATATGGAACTGGATTCTAAAGAGGCTGGATCAGTGGAGATAAAGAAGAATTTATGGATAAGGGAGCACTCTTCCATAACACAGGATTTAACACCTTGGGAAATAGTGTTAACTTGCTGTCAAGATAGTTTTTGAGAAAGCTTAGAAGAAATATAGTAGAAAATTCAGACTGCTTTGGAACATAGTAAAGGAGTAAAGGGCTCAGAGATATGTGCTCTCTAGAGTAGATATATAAATCTGGAAAACCCATCTGCTATGTTCTGCAGAAGAATCCAGATGATAGTCCATCTATTAAAGGGATAAGGAATGCGCTGGTAAAAGGGGGCACCAGAATCATTGAGAAACTCAGTGATCTTCTATAGGCCAGGGCCACAGAAGTAAGATATGCCATTGTAAAACTGGGCTCCGTAATAGACAGGGGCATGGTAGGATCCTATCATGTAACCGAGGTTAGGTAGTAGCACTTAAACCATCACGTGCAAAGTGGGTGAGATTATCATAGTAAGCAGAAAAAAATAGACTGTTTTCCAGAGGAGTCTGATACAAAGAGGGCTATGGAGATGGTTGTGAGATGATGGGTCTAGGCCAAGGTGGGAGGATCCCTTGAACTTAGGAGCTTAAGAGAAGCCTGGGCAACATGGTGAAACACCATCTCTACAAAAAAATGGAAAAATTAGCCGGGCGTAGTGACTCACAACTCTAGTCCCAGCCACTTGGGAGGCTGAAGTGGGAGGATGGCTTGAGCCTGGGAGGCAGAGGTTGCAGTGAGCCAAGATTGCACCACTTCACTCCAGACGGGGCAACAGAGTGAGACCCCATCTCAATTAAAAAAAAAAAACAGAAGAAGAAAAAAAGAATCAGTTTGCATTCATGTGGGAATGGACACAATAAGTATTAATTTATGTTTCTGCCCTAGGGCTATGTTAACTTTTCCGTCCTTTCACATAATGTAGTAGAAAGACATTTAGATCACCTGGAGATGCAGATTATCACATTGGTTTATTATAACTATGACTTCATTGAACTGGATGAGCAAGAAATCGCCAACATGTTGGTGGCCTTGGAAAAAAATTTGTGCTCCAGAGAGTGGGAGAGAAACCCTATGAAGATTCAGTGTTCCAAGACATCAGTGAAATCTTTAGAGGTCTAGTGGAGGGCATGCTAGGACATCCCCTCTGAAGTAAAGGATACATTGTTGAGCTTGTATCTCCCATCACCAGGAAGGAAACGCAATACCTGGTAGAATTCTATGTTCTGGTGGCAGCATGTACCAAGCTCCAGCTCATTTATGGTGTAATATGGAAAGCTTTTCAGAGCAAGACATGGCTTTGTAGCAGGTCCAGCCTGTGATGCAGGCAGCACTGTTACTTGGTCTTAAGATTGAGAAGCCCCTATAATGTTGGAGGTATCAGTGGTGGGAAAAGATGTCTTGTGCAGTTTATGGCAAGCCCACATAGACCCCAGGATCTGGAACAAGGCCCAGCATCTACACAGAATTTATAGACCTTTTAAAACTCAGCTTCTGGTGTGCTACTGGCCTTGACAGAAATGGAGCATCTGATTATGTAATATGTATCCATGTGGCCAGAAGGGCCCATTATGAGCTAGCTTCTGAACCACCAAGTCATAAGGTCAGGTACGCCTAACAGCAACCCATTGTACTTGGGAAGTGGTACATCTGGACTGGGTACAGGCAGGCTCAGACAGGGGGTACAGCTATCACATAGGTAGTACAGACCCCAGTTACATTTACAGACATTGCCACTTTTATGGTTTTAGCTAACATTACCTGGGTGGAAAGATATTAGCAAAACTTTGTCTTAGTAAGGTTCTAACTAGGAAGACATAAATTATTCTGAGTATTTGAAAATAGAGTTTATGATAGAGAATTGTTACTCTTGATAATTATTAATCAACAGGGGATGGTGAGGCAATCCAGAGATTAGCAATGACAGGCAGCCACTGTCCCCTCGGCTGGAGAAGAGGTGGTGTTCCTGGAACCCAGGGGTAGGGGTTACCTGGTATGCCAATCGTCAATTTATTGTCTCTTCACTCCAAATCCATTCTTCATTGCCTATAGTCATAATTCTAAGATGGCTCCCAAGATTCTCACCTTCCTGGTGTACAGGTCCTATATAATCCCTTTTTCGTGAGTATAGATGGGACTGTGAACATGATGGATTTTACTCCCGTGATTAGGTTACATCAGATGACAAAGGTGAATATATAATTGAGATCTCAAATCAGTTAACTTTGAGTTAATCGAAGGGTGGTTTTCCTGAGTGGGTCTGACCTACTCAGGTGCTTTCTTGAAAGAGAAAGAGGACTCTTCTTGGGCGAGGAGATTCAAAGTTAAGAGGGCCCATGGAGGGGGTGACATGGCCAGAGTACCCTCTAGTTGTTGAGAGTGGTCCCTGGTTGACAGCCAGCAAGAAAACAAGGTCTTCAGTTCTACAACTGCAAGGAACTAAATTCTGCCAATGACCTAAATGAACTTGGAAGTGGATCACTTCCTAGTTGATCCTCCAGATGAATATGTAGCCAGCTGACACCTTGATTTCAGCTGTGTGAGACCTTAAGCAGAGTACCCAGACAAAATGTGCCAGACTCCTAAGCCACAGGAGCTGTGCAATAATAACTTTGTGTTGCTTAAACCACTAAGTTTGCGGTAATATGTTATGCATCAATAGCAAACTAATATAGGCCTTGTAAATAGTTCTCTTCTGGCATGATATTAAGCTTTGTTGGTAGACGGTGCTGGAGAGACATTGCAGGAGGAACGTTTTTTTCTCTCTCTTCCTGACTTCCGTGTGCTCCTCTCACCGGTGCTCCTGCAGTATGTACAGCATCTGCAATACTTGGCTCCTGCAACACACATGGCTTCTGTAGTGCCCAGCTCCTGCAGTATTTCCTAGCTGGCAGCACACAGTACCTCCCCATGGGGAGTTTCCCCAGCATCACCTAAGGTAGCTTTGCAATGGGTGGCAAGGTTTGGTATCTCTCTGCAGATAGCTTGTCTTAGTACCTCAGCAAGTGCTTCTGGCATGGCACCTCAGCTTCACTATCTAGTGAACCAACACTATTCCATCTCCAACAAGATCTGGATTTTTGTCTTGGTGAGGTTGCAGAGATCTTACTTGGATGCTTTATCTCAGTCCCAACGTTGTGACTGCTCCTTATATCTGCTATTCTTGTATTCTTTAGAATTATCTTTCTTACTGCATTGCTCCAATATCTCTCTAATAGTGAATAACTTTCTATATTTTAAAATTTAATTTAACTTAATTATATTTTATTTTTTGAGTTGGGACCTTGCTATGTTGCCCAGGCTGGTCTTGAACTCCTGGGTCCAAGCAATCCTCCCTCCTTGGCCTTTCAAAGTGCTGGTATTACAGGTGTGAGCCACTGTGCCTGGCCTAAATTTCTATATTAAATTTTCCCTGTTTAAATTACTGTGTGCATTCTTTCTCCTCATTGGACCCTGCCTGATATATCTGACAAAGTTGGACTCACAGCAGGACTCTCCAACTGGGAGCTGGGGCCAGATGGGAGAGCCAGTCATTGCTCCAGTTGCCTTCTGAGGCAAAAAGGAAGGAGAAATACCTTGATTTCTTCTTTACCACCCCCTTCCAATCTCCCAGCCTGTAACCTCTACTAGTGCCTCCCATTGGCCAAACTCAGCTGGAAGCAAGCTGGCACAGGGACCAGGAAAGCCAGCCCCTGTGGTATGGGGCAGAGCAGGGAAGGTGACGGTGGGACTGAGGAAAACCAGGACTGATAAAATCCTGCAGTAGTCATTGGCATTCAGGGATTAGTTCTCCTAAGTTTATGATGAGATACAGACAGACTATATTTATCTCTTTATTAAGTAAATTAATTTAAAGTCTATTTTTCTCTCTGGGAGCACATAATAGAGACTTTTCTGAAAACTTAGAGGGAAAAATGACATCTTGAGATATTTAGCTGTTAATAAAAATTAATGCCTTTAAATATACCCTTTCATCTACTACATCAAATAAGCAGTTTTGAAAAAATACTTTAAAATGAAGGTAAGTGAATAATTAATTTTAAAGACAGCACTTTCCTAAGTAAATTCAAAAAATGTTGACAAGAAATTTATAGGAAGTCCAAAGACTAGGGCAATAATTTAGAAATTACTTGATCCACTGGCATTTTTAAACTGAAAAAGGAATCAGAGACTCTGAACTCTTTGTATTATTGACCTCATTACATTATAAGGAAATTGAATTTTTAAAATATCATCTCACCTTTTGGTCTGGAGAATCTTTGGAAATAATTCACATTTAGCAACTGAAACACTTTGAAGAGAACATTTTAAGTAAAAAAAGGACTATTTTGCATAGCTAATGCAAGTACTTATTTTAGCAATTTTAAATGAAGCATGATCTATCTCCTAGCTAATTTAAATAAATCTATCCTAAAAGGAAAGCTGAGTCCTGGAATAATATATGATGCCTATGGTCATTAAAATCACACTTTTTCCATAACATAGAGAATAAAGTAATAATGACTGATGGCTACTTTGATATCTACATGTAAGATTAACAAATGAATTTTGTGAAAACCCCAAAGTGGAAGAAGAATCGCTGTCTTTTGAATAATATTTAAAGTTATTTGAATGAATCATCATTTGTGACTAGTTTTACTAATAGTTCAAAAACACTGATACTATTTCAAATGATTAACACTCAATATTACGGATATTCATTTACTGTCAGATTTGATAATACTAAATAAAAAATAAAAAAGATTCCCCACCTGCCAATAGAAGCAGAACACTGGTATTGGTGATGTTCTCTATCCCTCACAGCTTGATCTTCTAATTTTGCAGGTTTGCAACTTCAGTTGCCAGCTTAACCAGTTGATATTAACCACTAAAAAACTGCCTATTGTATGAAGTTGATTTGTATAAAAGAAATGAATTTTAATAAAACATAGAATTGCCAAGCCCTCCGATATTCATTTAAGTCATTTAGTCCCTCTTATTTCAACAGAGAAGTCTACATAAGAAGCCAAATTAAGGTTGAATGGTTACTTAGGAAACCTAAAGTCTATTTAAGAGATCACATTAAGGTTAGTGAATATATGTATCCAAGGCACTAATAACAGAAATAATACTATTTCTTCTAGCCATAATAAATGCTCGTTTAGTGGGTGCTATTATTTACAATAGTGTCTTGCAGCAGTTTACAAATCCTGTTCATATAATGCGTGCTTGATTCTTACAAGAACTACACCGAGTAATGGGTCTGGTATTATCATTATCATGCCTCTTTTACTGATGAAAAAAACACAGGTTCAGAGAGTAAGTGACTTGACTAAAATCTCATAACTGATATAGTTGACATCTGTTGTTTTGGTTGGGCCAATTTCCTTCCTCTTTTTGGTAATAGGACTCTGATTTTTCCTTTAAGGAACTACCCAGTGCCTTTCTATAACTCCTAGCAGGTCTGTCAGTCAAGGGGCTCTGCCTCTGTCTGTTATGTGTGACCCACACTGACCCATCAGGGTCCACTATATTCCCCTAGATGCAGAGATTGGTATACGGGTGGGCATGTAATCCAAGTATTTGAGTGTTTTTTTTTTTTTTGAGATGGAGTCTTGCTCTGTTGCCCAGGCTGGAGTGCAGTGGTGCAATCTTGGCTCACTGCAACCTCTGCCTCCTGGGTTCAAGCAATTCTCCTACCTCAGCCTCCCGAGTAGCTGGGATTACAGGCATGCGTCACCACACCTGGCTAATTTTTGTATTTTTTGTAAAGACGGGGTTTCACCATGTTGGCCAGGCTGGTCTTGAACTCCTGACCTCAAGTGAGCCACCTGCTTCAGCCTCCCAAAGTGCTGGGATTACAAGTGTGAGCCACTGTGCCTGGCTTTGAGTTTTTTTTTTTTTTTTTTTAAGGGATTGAAATAAATGAATGCTAGGAGCGCACTGACTTCACTTGGGAGATGTAAGGATCATGAAACCCTGGAGCTATTTTCCTATCACATTGAGAGAGCTCCTAGAGTGAATGCTACATAGGAGAAAGCAGAGTGGAGAATCAAAGGGAGAGAGAGGGAGAGATTCCTATTTTGGCTGAGGAGAAGACATAGAAATCCTTGAAGCCAGAGCAGCCCCCGGACTTTCAAGCTCAGTTGATCAAAACTTCCTTTGTTTGTTTAGGAAGGTCTGGACTTCTCTACTTGCTAGTTGGTTAGACAAAAATCTAATACAGCTAATGATTATCTTAGCTGGGCTTGAAACAAATCTTTTGACTTTAGCCCTTTGCTATTTCTTTTCTTGGGATATTTGAGGTGCTGCTTTTCTGGCTGGAAACCTCTGTGGGTGGTGGTGCCTTTGCCCAAGTTCTTGTCCTATGTCCAGGAAGAGTGATGTATGCAGACAAGTGGAGGGTGAGCAAGACGAAGAAGAACTTTACTGAGGGTCAGAACAGCTCAGAGGAGACCCGCGGTGAGCAGGTCCTCTCTGTGGGCAGGTCGTCCCATCGAGTGTGCAGCTCTCAGCAGAGAGGAGGCCTGGAGTGGATGGCTCCTCTCTGCTGACAGGTCATCCCCAAAAATGTTCATCTCTCAGCGGAGATGGTAGTTCCTCTATGCAGCTGGCCATCCTGATGTCTGCCCTGCTCTGGCTGAGTCTGGGGTTTTTATGGTTTTCATTCAGAGTGGGGAAAGTATATGCTGATTGGTCCATGGGCAGCAATAGGTGGGCTCAGGAAAAAGCACCACAAGTTCCCCCTCTGGTGGGCAGGACTGGTAGGACCTTCCCTGGCCTGAAAGTGGAGCTTCACTGGGGACCCACCCCCTTCCTCCCAGGAGCCTGTCTGCCTCTCACGGCCATTCATTGGCACCCAGGATGTTTGTGCCAAGAGGTGCCTGCAGGCCAGTGTTGAGCTACGTGCAGTCCCCCTCGGCTTCCCTCCCATGATCCTCATCACCCAAAGTCTGGAGGGGACTGATGTGGCTGGGGGCTGGTGTGTCAGCACTGCCCTGAGCATGAGCCCCCTGGCTGGGCTGCAACAATGCCGGGGCTCGGCTCCAACCTTGCTCCAGGATTAGAGCAGGAGCTGACAGTGGGAGAAGCCAGGCAGCAGGAACAGGTGCTGGCAGGGGGCTCTGGGAGAGAGCTGGCTCTGGGCTCCCAAGAGCACAGAGACCCCTGGGTCTGCAGCCGAAGGGCAGGGCTCCTGCCTGCTCCATGGATCGTATTTTCCTTTAAGGAACTACCCAGTGCCTCCCTGCTGTAGCTGGCATCTTGGCAATGGCCACTTTAGATGAGTCGCTGCTGCTATCATTTCTATGGAGGTATACCTCAGAAAGGTGTCCCTGACTATAAATGTCAAAACTGGTCATGTGCTTTTGTGAGTAATTTGAAAATCTGCCCTCTTTCTATAGAGACATACTGTCCTAAGTTGCTTTCTAATGTTCATTTTAAAAATTAAATCAAGAGAATGGGAAGACCAGCCATAGACTGGGAGAAAATATTTTCAAAAACATGTCTGATAGGCCAGGTGCAGTGGCTCACACCTGTAATCCCAGCACTTTGGGAGGCTGAGGCAGGCAGATCACCTGTGGTCACGAGTTTGAGACCAGCCTGGCCAACGTGGTGAAACCCTGTCTGTACTAAAAATACAAAAATTAGCCAGGTGTGGTGGTGCATGCCTGTAATCCCAGCTACTTGGGAGGCTGAGGAATGAGAATCACTTGAACCCAGGAGGCAGAGGTTGCAGTGAGCCAAGACTGCACCACTGCTCTCCAAGCTGGGTGGCAGAGTGAGACTTCGTCTCATAAAAACAAAAAAACAACAACAAAAAAACCATGTCTGATAAAGGACTATTATGCAAAATATACAAATAACTCTTAAAACTCAGTGATAAGAAAACAAACAACTTGCTTCAAATATGTGTAAAAGATGTCAACTCACATCTCATTGAAGAAAATATATAGATAGCAAAGAAGCATATGAAAAGATGCTCAACATCATATGCCATTAGGAAATTGCAGATTAAAACAATGAAATACCACTACACACCCATTACAATGGGTGAAATTCAAAATACTGACCCCACCAAAGGCTGGTGTGGACGTAGAACAACAGGAACCCTCATTCATTGCACGTTGGTATGCAAAATGGTACAGCCTCTTTGGAAGAGTGTTTGGTAGTTTCTTACAAAACTAAACATACTCTTACCTTATGATCCAGAAATCTCACTGCTTGGTATTTACCCAACTGATCTGAAAACTTACGTATACACAAAAATCTGCACATGGCGTTTATAGCAGTTTCATTTATAATTGCCAAAACTTGAGAACAACCAAGATGTCTTTCAGTAGGTGAATGTACAAGCTGTGGTATATCCATACAATGGAATATTATTCAGTGCTAAAAGAAATGAGCTCTTAAGCCATGAAAAGATATGGAGGAAGCTTAAATGCATATTACTAAGTGAAAGAAACCAGTCTGAAAAGACTACATACTATACAATTCCAATTATGTGACAATCTGGGAAGGGCAAAACTATGCAGTCAAAAGATCAGTGGTTGCCAGGAGTTGCAGGGAGAGAGGGGTGAATAGGTGGGCACAGATGTTTTGGGGCAGTGGAGCTATCTTGTATGACACTCCAGTGGTGAATATATGCAATTATACATTTGTCAAAACCCATAGAATGGGGAATATCAAGAGTGAATCCTAATGCAAACTATGGACTTTGAGTGATGATGATGTATTAATGTAGGTTCATTGATTGTAATACGTGAATCATTTTGGTGGGAGATGTTGGTAGTGAGGGGTATGAGTGTGTATGAGCAGGGGACATAGGGGACCTCTGTACTTTTTGCTCAACTTTGTTGTAAACCCAAAACTGTTCCAAAAAATAAAGTCTAGGCCGGGCACGGTGGCTCACACCTGTAATCCCAGCACTTTGGGAGACCGAGGCAGGTGGATCAACTGAGGTTGGGAGTTTGAGACCAGCCTGACCAACATGGAGAAGCCTTGTCTCTACTAAAAATACAAAATTAGCCAGGCATGGTGGTGCATGCCTGTAATCCCAGCTACTCGGTAGGTTGAGGCAGGAGAATCACTTGAGCCCGGGAGGCGGAGGTTATGGTGAGCTGCAGCACCACTGTACTCCAGCCTGGGCAACAAGAGCGAAACTCCGTCTCAAAAAAAAAAAAAAAAAAAGTCTATAAAAAAAAATCCCATTCTAAAAAAACCTGACTTTTCTCAGATTGCCTCAAGAAGAAAGACTCTAATAGAAGAAAACTCTAATTGCTGGCACCTGTGATAGTCACTGATGCTATTCACTTTCTGTTTTTCTCCTTTCCCAAGCACCTGTGAGGAAAATGCTTCCCCACCCCTTTGATGTTGGGTGTAGCCATGTGGCTGGCTGTGGGTAATGAAATGTAACCTCTGTCACCTTAAGGGTGAAAGTCTTCAAGAGTTAGTGTGCAATTTGCCATGTTTCTTCTTCCCATGGTAATGACTGGGGGTGTTCCTCCTTGTGGTGGAGGCTGTCAGCCTGGGTCTCTGAGTGAAGACTGTGAAGCAGAGTCCTTCATAAAATAGATGTGTGTGTGTTAAGTCGTGAGATGTGAAGGTTATTACAGGACCACAGCCTAGCCTGCCCTGACTGTACAGTAGTATCTGATATCATACCTCTAGTTCTCTAGTGACCCTCGAATAACATAAAAGAGATAAGGCAAGTTGAATTTCAATCTCTTATTTTAATAAATTACTTTAGGCCGGGCGTGGTGGCTCATGCCGGTAATCCCAGCACTTTGGGAGGCCGAGGCAGGTGGATCACCTGAGGTTGGGAGTTTGAGACCAGTCTGGCCAATATAGTGAAATCCTGTCTCTACTAAAATATGTTAAAAAAAAAAAATTAGGCCGGGCGCGGTGGCTCACGCCTGTAATCCCAGCACTTTGGGAGGCCGAGGCGGGCGGATCATGAGGTCAGGAGATCGAGACCATCCCGGCTAAAACGGTGAAACCCCGTCTCTACTAAAAATACAAAAAATTAGCCGGGCGTAGTGGCGGGCGCCTGTAGTCCCAGCTACTTGGGAGGCTGAGGCAGGAGAATGGCGTGAACCCGGGAGGCGGAGCTTGCAGTGAGCCGAGATCCCGCCACTGCACTCCAGCCTGGGCGACAGAGCGAGACTCCGTCTCAAAAAAAAAAAAAAAAAAAAATTAGCCAGGGTGGTGGTGCTACACGGGAGACTGAGGTAGGAGAATTGCTTGAACCCGGGAGACTGAGGTAGGAGAATTGCTTGAACCTGGGAGGCAGAGGCTGCAGTGAGCCAAGATCGTGCCACTGCACTCCAGGCTAGGTGACAGAGCAAGACGCTGTCTCAAAAAAACAAAAAAAATTACTTTAGTGTTTATATGAAAATAGAAGTTTGGGCTGGGTGCAGTGGCTCACGCTTGTAATCCTAGCACTTGGGAGCCTGAAGCAGGTGGATCACTTGAGCTCAGGGGTTCAAGACCAGCCTGGGTAACATAGTGAGACCCTGTCTCTACAAAAAAATATAAAAATTAGCCAGGTGTGATGGTGCGCTCCTGTAGTCCCAGCTACTTGGGGGGGCTGAGGTGGGAGGATCTCTTGAGCCTGGGAGGTTGAGGCTACAGTGAGCCATGATTGTGAAATTGCACTCCAGCCTGGGCATAGAGTGAGACCCTGTCTCAAAAAAAGAAAATAGAAGTTTGAACAAAACTTGGCTTGTATTTGCTTATGTAAGATATTGCAGCTGGGCATGGTGGCTCATGCCCATAATCCCAACACTTTGGGAGGCCGAGGTAAGAAGACTGCTTGAGCCAGGAGTTTGAGACCAGCCTGGGCAACACAGGGAGACCCCCCCCCCCCCACCATCTCTACAAGAAATTAAAATAAATTATTGGGTCATGGTGGTACCTGACTGTGGTCCCAGCTACTTGAGAGGCTGAGGTGGGAGGATTGCTTAAGCCCGGGAGGTTGAGGCTTCAGTGAGCCATGATCACTAAAATAAAATGTTTCTAGTAATTGTGTTCATTTTCTAAAAATTTCAAAAGCCATTGCTTTTGACTTCTGCATATATTTTGCAAAACTTTTTGGTGGCAGAGTTAGGAGGAGGTGTTGGTGAAATAATCCATGTAAAAATATGTTTGTTATATAATGCAAGGAATGAATGTGGAAAGTGTAGCAGAGTTACAGTGGGTGGAAGTATTTCAGCACTTTGCTAATGTGAAAGAATATTTCTTATGTAAATACAAGTGAAAAGTGGTTTTTAAAAAAGTGGCTAACCATAGGCAAAATGGTAAACTGTTTTTCTTTAGTAATTAATTTCTTTGATTTTCTACTTACAATTTCTTCCCTTCCTTTTAATTATTTTGCAAGAGCATCAGCCTATATGAATGTGTTCATATTTTCAACATCTATCCAATAGAAGCATAAGGTCATGGGCTGTAATATCTTTCTCTTGTGTATCTTCCCCCTTCTCCTCCCTTTTTCTCTGCAGCCCTGGTAATTACATCTTTTTATTTTATTTTATTTTTTCTTTTTCTTTTTTTGAGTCAGAGTCTCGCTCTGTCACCTAGGCTGGAGTGCAGTGGTGCGATCTTTGCTTTCTGCAACCTCCGCCTCCCGGGTTCAAGTGATTCTCGTGCCTCAGCCTCCTGAGTAGCTGGGATTACAGACATGAGCCACTGCGCCTGGTAATTTTTTGTATTTTTAGTAGAGATGAGGTTTCCCTGTGTTGGCCAGGCTGGTCTTGAACTCCTTGCCTCAAGTGATCTGCCCACCTCCGTCTCCTAAAGTTCTGGGACTACAGGCGTGAGCCACTGCACCCGGCCAGTCCCTACATCTTACTGAAATATTTTGCGCCACCCCCTGCTTTGTCTTCCCCCAACACTTTCTTCTGTTTTTGGAAAAAGATCAAAAGAGAGATAAATGGGAGGGTGGAAATAAATGCCTGTGAGAGAAGTAGGTCAAACACATTCTAAATATAGGACATCTGATCCATAAAAGGAATAAAAAATATTCATGGACTAATATTTTTTTCTTTACTTGAATCTCTTACCCACCTTCTCCCTTTAGGTCAGCAAAAAATAAAGGATATAGAAACATTTAAAACAGCAAAACTGAAAGGTGAATAAAGTTTTGATTTATTTATTGCATTATATTTGCTCTTCCTCTTTTGCATTTCATAGTCCTTGAAATCCAATGGCCTTATTTTTGCTATGAATATAACACACACACACACACACACACACACACACACACACACACACAAAGTGTTTAACACTTTCTAGATATAGTTTCTTTGAACTAACTTATTCAGAGCTACATTTTATGTTCTTTTATCTTCTTAAATTCTTTTGGTCTAACAGACTATGCAACACCTTTCTCTATTAGGTCCTCCTACTAACCATTTAATCTGTGTCACTGCTGTATTCTCCAGAGGACAGTTAGTGCCTTGAGGCCCTTGAATCTGAAGTATATTTTTGCTACTCATGATGTTTTTCTCCTGCCTGAAAGACTTTACTAATTTTTCTCTTCAGATTACATTTTACCTGTCTTTTAAGGTATGGCTTAAATCCCAATTCCTCTATTAAATTTTAAAACTTTCCCTAGTTACTTTCCACTTGTACACTATACAACTGCACATCTGTGATAGGATGAATAATGCCCCCCCAAAGACGTCCATATTCAAGTCCTTGGAGTCTGTGAATGCTAGCCTCCATGGCAAAAGGGACTTTGCTGATGTAATTAAATTAAGGACCTTGAGATGGGAAGAGTATCCTGGATTATGCAGGTGGGCTTAATGTAATCACAAGAGTCCTTATATAAAGGAGGAAGGAGGATCAGAGTGGGAAAGATGGTGATGTGACAATGAAAGCAGGGGGAAAAAGGCCATGTGATGTGGGGCCATGAGACAAAAAAGTTGCAGCCTCTCTATAAACTGGAAGAGGCGAAATTCTAGGGAAGCAGATTCTTCCCTGGAGCCTCCAGAAGTAAGCAGCTGTGCTGACACCTTCATTTTTAGCCCACTGAGCCTGATTTTAGACTTCTAAGCTCCAGACCTATAAGAAAATAAAACTGTTGGCTGGGCACTGTGGCTCACGCCTGTAATCCCAGCACTTTGGGAGGCCGAGGCGGGCAGATCACGAGGTCAGGAGATCGAGATCATCCTGGCTAACAGGGTGAAACCCCACCTCTACTAAGAATACGAAAAATTAGCCGACGTGGTGGCGGTCGCCTGTAGTTCCAGCAACTGGGAAGGCTGAGGCAGGAGAATGGCGTGAACCCAGGAGGCGGAGCTTGCAGTGAGCACACATGGTGCCACTGTACTCCAGCCTGGGAGACAGAGCAAGACTCTGTCTCAAAACAAACAAACAAACAAACAAAAAAACATAAAACTGTGTTGCTTTAAGCTACCAGGTTTGTAATTTGTTACACCAGCCATAGGAAACTAAGATGACATCATGTCCTTTACATTCCTCCAGGTCCTGTTCCACATAATTCAGCACTTTATTGTCATGCTCACTAATTCTACTATGTTTAAATGGTAGAATATAAATTCTTGGTGGACAGGAATCAGGATTTTTACTTTTACCCCCTACAATGCCTTCCAGTTCTAGATATTCAGATGTTTGGAGTGAATTATAACTTCGGTGCATAAAAGGGAATGGGAGCGATGAAAGGCATTTTAAAAGAGATATAAATCAACAAACTGTATTTACATCCTTGCAATCAAATTCTAGTATTTTGCTTTTGAGCTCTGTGCCACATGCAGTGTTATGTTAAGCATATAGCAGCCATTTCACAGAGACTGGAACACAAAGGGTATTCAACAAACACCTGATGTGTTAGTAACCCCAAGAAAGGGTTCTTGGGTCGCATGCAAGAAAGAATTTGGGATGAATCCACAAAGTAAAGTGAAAGCAAGTTCATTAGAGAAGTAAACAAACAAAAGCATGGCTACTCGCCAGGCGCGGTGGCTCACGCCTGTAATCCCAGCACTTTGTGAGACCGAGGCAGGCGGATCACGAGGTCAGGAGATCGAGACCATCCTGGCTAACACAATGAAACCCCGTCTCTACTAAAAATACAAAAAATTAGCCTGGCATAGTGGCGGGCGCCTGTAGTCCCAGCTACTTGGGAGGCTGAGGCAGGAGTATGGCGTGAACCTGGGAAATGGAGCTTGCAGTGAGCCGAGATCGCACCACTGCACTCCAGCCTGGGCGACAGAGCGAGACTCCGTCTCAAAAAATAAAAAAGAATGGCTACTCCATAGGCAGAGCAGTGGCATGGGCTGATTGGCTCAGTGTACTTATGGCTATTTCTTGATCATATGCTAAACAAGGGGTGGATATTCAATGAGTTTTCCAGGAAAGGAGGGGGAGTTCCTGGAACTGGGGGTTCCTCCCCTTTTTGGACCATATAGAGTAACTTCTGGACGTTGCTATGGCATTTGTAAACTGTGATGGTGCTGGTGGGAGTGTCTTTTAGTGTGTTAATGCATTAAAATTAGTGTATAATGATCAGTGAGTATGATCAGAGGTCACTTTTGTCACCATCTTGGTTTTGGCCAGGTTCTTTACTGCATCCTTTTAATCAGCGGGGTCTTTGTGACCTGCATCTTGGGCCAACCTTCTGTCTCATTCTGTTACTAAGAATGCCTATCCTGGGAATGCAGCCCAGCAGGTCTCAGCCTCATTTTACCCAGCCTCTGTTCAAGACAGAGTCACTCTGCTTGGAATGCCTCTAACAGATGCATTGAGCTGAAATCTGTGGGGGTAGAGGGAAAAGGAGAAAGGGAAAAGCAAGATGGGTTTGGTACAAAGTCCGCCTTGTCTATTTAGCTGATTAGTTTTTGTCATATTAAGTAAAGTTAAAATGCTGAAAAAGATCATCAAATTTCCAACATGAATTGTTCTGTAAAGCAAAATAGAAGATAATTAAAAATTGGCAGGGTGTCACCATTTAATTTCATCCACTGAATTTAAATAACCAGTATTTTGGCCAGGTGTGGTGGCTCCACCTGTAATCCTAACACTGGGAGGCTGAGGCAGGAGGATCACTCAGGCTCAGGAGTTCAAGGCAAGCCTGGGCAAATAGTGAGACCTTGTTTTTATTTTAAATAATAATAAAAAATAACCAGTATTTTCAAATTCATGTAATATGGTTAATACTGTGCTAAGACATAAAGAGGTACAGGCAACCCATAGGACATGGCTTCATTCTAAATGGCTTTACTATCTAGTTAGGAGATAATGCTAACAACCAACTAAGGTTGCCAGGCAGTTTATCAAATGTCATATTGTGTGACGCAGACTTTACAGATTATAGATATCTGGAAATGGGGCTAGAGAATCAATACTTACTTCATTCATTGAATATTGGTTGAGAACCTATTATGATTCTCTGTGAATAAGAGCGTATGTTCGGAGTTTGCAATCTAATAGAGGGAGACAAGGGAAATAACTAATACAGAATAATTTAAGTGGACAGGCATGGTGGCTCATGCCAGTAATCCCAGCACTTTGGGAGGTTGAGGCTGGCAGATCGCTTGAGTTCAGGAGTTTGAGACCAGCCTGGGCAACACAGCAAAACCCGTTTCTACCAAGGGGGAAAAAAAAAGAACGGATTAAGTGCTAAAATAGCAGGATGCTTTGTAGTTGATAAAGGGTTATTACCGTAACTTCTGAATGAAAGGAGTAGTGGGATTGTGAATGATTTTAAAGTAAAGGCTTTAAGACTGAGCCTTGGAAGAGAAGTAGGATTTTTTTTTTTTTTTGAGACAGAGTCTTGCTCTGTCACCCAGGCTGGAGTGCAGTGGTGCTATCTCGGCTTACTGCAACCTCCACCTCCCGGGTTCAAGTGATTCTCTGCCTCAGCCTCCTGAATATCTAGGATTACAGGCGTGTGCCACCACGCTCAGCTGTTTTGTGTTTTTGGTAGAGACAGGGTTTCACCATGTTGGCCAGGCTGGTCTTGAACTCCTGACCTCAGCTGATCTGCCTCCCAAAGTGCTAGGGATTACAGGTGTGAGCCACCGCACCCAGCTGAAAAGTAGGACTTTGAAAATGTTGATTAAGTCAAACTCTGTAAAATATTTGAAGACATTTATTTTGAGCCAAATGTGAGTGACCAATGGCCCATGACACAGCCCCAGGAGATCCTGAGAACATATGCCCAAGGTGGTCAGGCAGTTAGCAGAAAGGGGTACTGATTCAGACCCCAGGAGAGACTTCTTGGATTTCGCAAAATAAAGAATTCGGGTGAGTCCATAGAGTAAAGTGAAAGCAAGTTTATTAAGAAAGTAAAGGAATAAAGAATGGCTACTCATGGGCAGAGCAGCGGCTTAGGCTGCTCACTGATTACACTTATAGTTATTTCCTGATTATATGCGAAATAAGGGGTGGATTATTCATGAGTGTTCCGGGAAAGGGGTGGGCAATTCCTGGAACTGAGGGTTCTTCCCCTTTTTAGACCATATAGGGTAACTTCCTGATGTTGCCATGGCATTTGTAAACTGTCACGGTGCTGGTGGGTGTGTCTTTTAGCATGCTAATGCATTATAATTAGCAAATAATGAGCAGTGAGGATGACCAGAGGTCACTTTTGGCACCATCTTGGTTTTGTTGGGATTTGGCTGGCTTCTTTACCACATGCTGTTTTATCAGCAAGGTCTTTGTGACCTGTATCTTGTGCCGATCTCCTATCTCATCCTGTGACTAAGAATGCCTAACCTCCTGGGGATGCAGCCCAATAGGTCTCAGCCTCATTTTACCCAGTCCTATTCAAGATGGAGTTGCTCTGGCTCAAATGCCTCTGACAAGGCTACAGTGTAGTTTTATATACTTTAGGAAGACCTAAGACATTCATCAAAACATGTAAGATGTACATTGGCTTGGTCTTGAAAGGCGGGACACCTGGAAGCGGAGACTTCAGGGTCACAGGCAATTCAAAGATTATCAGGCTGGCGTGGTGGCTCACGCCTGTAATCCTAGTGCTTTGGAAGGCTGAGGTGAGAGGATCGCCTTAGGCCAAGAGTTCCAGAGCAGCCTGGGCAACATACGGAGACTCTACCTCTATATTAGGAAATAAACAAACAAAAAAGACTTAAGTTATTATCTAAAGACCTGGAGTCAATAGAATGTCTGGGTTAAGATATGGGGTTGTGGACACCAAGGTTGTTTTTTTGAGACAGAGTTTTGCTCTTGTCGCCCAGGCTGGAGTGCAATAGTGTGATCTCGACTCACTGGAACCTCCACCTCCCAGGTTCAAGTGATCCTCCTGCCTCAGCCTCCCGAGAAGCTGGGATTACAGGCACCCGCCACCATGCCTGGCTTTTTTTTTTTTTTTTTGTAATTTTAGTAGAGACAAGGTTTTAGTCACCATGTTGTCCAGGCTGGTCACGAACTCTTGACCTCAGGTGATCTGCCTGCCTCGGCCTCCCAAAGTGCTAGGATTACAGGCGTGAGCCACCACACCTGGCCCAAGACCTAGGTTTTTTTTTTTTTTGAGACAGAGTTTCATTCTTGTTGCCCAGGCTGGAGTGCAGTGGTATGATCTTGGCTCACCGCAACCTCTGCCTCCTGGGTTGAAGCAATTCTCCTGCCCCAGCCTCCCAAGTAGCTAGGATTACAGGCATGGACCACCACGTCTGGCTAATTTTGTATTTTTAGTAGAGACGGGGGTTTCTCCAGGTTGGTCAGGTTAGTCTCGAACTCCTGACCTCAGGTGATCCACCTGCCTTGGTCTCCCAAAGTGCTGTGGTTACAGGCGTGAGCCACTGTCCCTGGCAGAGATCAAGGTTTTATTATGCAGATGAAGCCTCTGGTAGAGCTCTTATCAGACCTAAAAAGGTGCCAGACTTGGTTAATTCCCTCCTGGGTAAGGGAAAACACCTGGAAAGGAACAGGGCTTTTCTACAGACTGTAGGTTTTCCCCCACAAGATACAGCTTTGCAGGGCCATTTAAAAATATGTCAAAGGAATATATTTTGGGGTTAAATAATTCAATTTCCTTCAGGGCCTGCTATCTGTCGTGATGCTATACTAGAGTCAGGCTGGCTTGGTGTCAAAAATAAAGTTCTAGAAAAGCTAGAAAAAGTCTGGCAGTCTTAAGATCTGTTTTCATGTGAATGCTGTTCAGCTCAGCCTGAATTCCAAAGGGAGGAGGGTATAATGAGCCATGTCCGACCCACCCCCGGGACTAACCCCCCCATCCCCACTTCCATCTAGATGATGGAATAACTAGATTTTCAGGTTTACTTTGGAATGCCCTTGGCCAAGAGGTGAGGGGCAGGGGGTCCATCAGTCAGTTGTGGGGTTTATAATTTTATTTTTGGTTTACAAAAGGATAGAATATTTCAGGTTGAAGCATAGGCAAGAGCACTGCAGACATGAAAGGGCATAATTTTAGGAGAATGCTCACATGGAATAAAGAATGTCTTGAAGGGTATACCGTACATTATTATTGGTGTTATAACAAGTTATCACAAACTTAAGACACAGATTATTTCACAGTTCTGTTGGTCAGAAGTCCAACATTGATCACATGAGGATAAAATCAAGGTGTCATCAGAGCATTAGAGAGGCTTCAGGGGAATGTTTCCTTACCAGTTCCAGCTTCTGGAGGTCACCCACAATGCTGGAGGCTCCCTTCCTCTATATTCAAAGCCAACAATGTTGTATCTCTCTAATCATTCTTCATAGTTACTTGTCACTCTTGACTCTCTTTTGCAGTTTTGGAGGCCCTATGATTACAATCAGCCCACTGGAACAATCCAGGATAATGTTTTTTTTTTAAGATGGAATCTCGCCCTGTCGCCCAGGCTGGAGTGCAGTGGAGCTGCTCAGCTCACTGCAACCTCTGCCTCCCTGGTTAAAGCGATTCCAGGATAATCTATTTCAACACCAGGTAATTAACAACCTTAATTCCCATTTGCTATGCAAGCTAACATATTCACAGCTTCTGGTGTTCAGGCTGTGGACATCTTTGAGGGGCTAGTATTCTGCCTACCAGAGTTAATAAGAAGGAGCTAATACTAAGAGGAAAAGAGGCCCAAAGAGGAAAGTGTGTGAATGCACTGATAAAGGCAATGGGGAACCAGTGCAAGTTTCTGAGTCTTGCAAATTCTTATTTTTTTGAAATAAGCTTTGGTTGCAGCTGAGAAAACTGAACAGGCATAATTGGGGAGCAACATTAGGAGGCCACCATTACAGTTGAGATGAGAGGGTATAAGCTAGAGATGGCAGAGCTAAATCGTTTTCTTTGGTCCAAAGCTGCCTATGCCCTTTTCTAAGTGTTTTCCAACAGAATTCATGAGATCATTCCACAGGATCTCAGCAAGTGCAGTTTCTGATAACTTGGCCGAATTTGTTCAGTAGCTGCTGCAACGGAGGGCTTAAATCTTTCATCTACACTTAACAAGGGGAGCCCGGAAAAGTGGCAAAACCCTAGTTAGCAAGGCTGAGGCTCGCAGAGACCTAGGCATCGAATTTTTTAATGGTCCAAATCGCAGGGAAAGCGAGCACTCCCTGTTCTGAAGGTTTTCCCTAAACACGGAGACAACACTAAAAAGCTGTGCCGCGTGAGGGCTGAAAGTCCTGTTTTCTCCCTAGCTTCAGTGAAGAAAGCCTGACGGCTCCCCCGCGTCCAACAAAGACAACGCTCTTCCGGTCTTCGTGACCCACCCCGTGAGCAGCCCAAACCGACCACCGTCCTCCCCCAGCTCCCACCAATCGGATCGCAGGGACTCGAGCCCCACACTGCTGAGTCCGCTGACACTGCGTCCGGGGCCAGACGACGATATCAGCGCGGGGTCCCCACAACGCCATGGGGCAGAGCCAACTCTCGAGCGCGTGATCGAAGCCCGCAGTTTTTTCGCCCCCGTCACTTCCGGGTGCGACAATCTCTTCTGTCCGGCCAGCCGCTGGAGTCGTTAGGTGCCGCCTTGCTTCTGACGAGCCACACGTTTGCTTCTTCCCTGTGTTCCCAGCTGGAGGGACATGAGTGTCCCTGGGCCGTCGTCTCCGGACGGGGCCCTGACACGGCCACCCTACTGCCTGGAGGCCGGGGAGCCGACGCCTGGTACGTACTATCGGGTGGGAAGCGCGGCCCGGGCTGGGTGTGAGGGGCGGGGACCTGAGTGAGTAGAACTCCGGAGAAACCCTGGGGGAGTAAGCGGTTTTTGGCGGCTGCGGCCCCCGGGCCCTGCCCCGAGTGCAGAAATGGGGAACCGCGCCGGCCCCTCTGCCCAGCGCAATGGGCGGAACTGAAGTCCCGAGGGGAAGCTTTGTATTGGGGGTGCAATTGAAGGCGGTTGATGGTGAAGCCATTCTGAGTTTATGTGTTGACTCCGGTACGTCATTGGTTATTTGTCATACGGCAGTGGTGGGGGATGGATTTACCAGAAAGATGATCAGCTTATAATTCAGAGAGGTGACGTATCCTATAATATTGACCACTCATGAAATGCTTGGTCAGCTCGGTGATATTACTTCATCCCTATTCCTGCAGCAGTCTTCTCGACCGAGTTCCAGGAGGGATTTAAGCTCTAATGCCCTAAGGCATCCATTGAATGGAATGAATTAACTTGCTGTGCACCCAAAATGGTACTATTTATGTACCATCCTTGGGAGAACTGAGAAAATGGTCACTCAGAGCATTTTCTGTGTTCTGTGGTTTAGATGAGGCCTTAGATGAGAAAGGCTGCAGGGCTCCTTGGATATGCTTTTTCTTTTACCTCCTGTTTCAGAAATATAGGGGTTACCCCCAAATAGTGCTCTCAGCACTTTCCTGTTCATGCTTTTCCTCAAGGATCTCTTCACACTTTCATTAAGTCGCTTCTATAAATATGACTTCTTTGTATGTATTTGAAACTTGGGCCCCTCTCTTAACTCTTGTTTACTTCTCCATCTGCTAGCTGGATACTTTGACGTGGCTGTTTTGCACTAATCTCACGTAAGGCATGTACATAAATGAAAACATGTCTCATCCTGTTAATGGTGGTAGGTCACTCTGACTTGAAACTTTGAAATTGCTCTGGACTTTTTCCTCTCTCTCTCCTTCCACCTCTAGGGGATTCTCCTATACAATTCCATCTCCTTGTAATTTCACCTTTAAAACAGCTGTTGAAAGGCTGGTTCACCTCCAGTCTTACTCTTTCAACGCATCTGTCCCGCTGCTGTCACATCACTGTCCCAAGATAAAGCTTCAGTCATGTCATTCCTGAACTCAGAAACCTTAAATAGCTCCTCACTACTTATTAACAAAGGTCCAAACCATTAACTTGGCATTTAGAGGCCCTTACTGGCCTTCCGGTCTTAAAGCTCACTATTGCTATGCTGCATATGCCCCATGCCTCTCCAGAAGTATCCTGTACTGTATTCCAGCCTTTCCTCATGCTGCTTTCTTTACCCATATTGCATCCATTCCACTCCTGCCATAGATTTCTTCCCCATTTGGAAATAGTCCTCACAGATTGTTGGTGGGAGTGGAAATTGGTGCCAATTTCTTAGGAGGGCAGTTTGGCAATGTCTGTTTAAAAAATGCATAAACTCTTTGTCCCAACAGTCTACTTCTAAGAATTTATCCTACAGAAAGTGACACAAATATGCAGATAAGCAAGGAAGCTCACTGCAGCATTGTCTGAAATAGCAAAAAGTGAAAATAACCTAAATAATCCATCTATGGGGGACTGGTTAAACAAACTATGGTAGAATTCTATTCTGCTAAAAATAATGTAGTAGATCCCTATATGTTGGTATGGAAAGATACCTAAGATATATGTTTTAAAAGTTGCAGAATGGTATGAGTAATATTTCGTTTGTCATAAAAATAATATATGCATAGATACGCAAAGACAATTTCTGGAAGGCTCTGTGAGAAACTCCAGAGTAGCTCATGCTGGAGTTAGAGGGTAAGAAGAAGTATTTTTACTTTTCAGTTTGTGCCTCCCTCTGTAGTGTTTTAAGTTTTTACAGTGAGTAACACTCGAATAGACAAAGAGAAATGAAAACTCCATCCATTCTTTGAGCCTTAGCTCAGTGTCCACACTTCCTTTAGGAATTTTTCTTAGACTTCCCTAATGAAAGTCGCTCTCCCCTGAATTTCCATAACATTTTCTGTTTCTCATTTTCTGTGATTCCTCACTTCTCATATTCTGTGATTGCTCGTATTGTGCCCTTCCAGGGAAGGAGACTTGCCTTATTTATTGTTGTAATCTCAGAACCTGGTACATAATATAGATGTTCAGCAAACCTTTCTCGTATGAATAGAATAAGGACCCTCCCTTTCTTCTTCTTTACTCTCGCACAATAAAGCACCTTGAACTTAGTAATTAAATATATATAAAAACTTGAGTGACTTCTTAACCATTGGAAGCAGAGGGTAAAAGAGAGAAAAACAAAACAAACAAACAAACAAAAAATGAGTAACTGAGACTCATCCAATAATTAACCAGAACATTGGGGTGGGAGGAGGGTTTGTGAGTTAAAATGTATGTATATATTGTTAAGCGAAGTGAATTAGTTGTTATTCCTTAAAGTTGAAATGCCCTTTTTTGGGGTGTTCCTATCATAAAACATTAAGAAAATTGTTTTCTATATTTATTAATACTTAAAGTTGCTGATTGCATTGTTATTTTAATCAAGCCTTAAGCAACGGCATAATTGGTGGATATAATTTATTCACTTCCTATACAGTTGGTACATTAATATCCCTAAGTGCTTCACTTTTCTCTCTCTCTCTCTCTCTCTATATTTTTTCTTTTTTTGGTTTTTGTATTTTTATTTTATATGTGGAGTGCTTCAGTTTCTAGTTAGCTCTTACCTATTTGAATGTTGCCTTGCAACTTTGAGAAGTCCAAAGTTTGTTCATGTGTTTCGTAGGGTTAAAATAAAAATTATATAATTTTATTTTGATTTTCAAAAAGCTTACTTCGAATATGATAGCATGTTGTTTTCCTCAATCTTTTTTTTTTTTTTTTTGAGGCAGAGTCTTGCTCTGTCGCCCAGGCTGGAGTGTAGTGGCACAATCTTGGCACACTGCAGCCTCCACCTCCCAAGTTCAAGCAATTCTTGTGTCTTAGCTTCTCGAGTAGCTGAGCTTACAGGCATACAACACTACGCCCGGGAAATTTTTATATTTTTAGTTGAGATGGAGTTTCACCATGTTGGCCAGACTGGTCTCAAACTCCTGACCTCAAGTGATCCGCCCACCTCAGCCTCCCAGAGTGCTGGGATTACAGGCATGAGCCACTGTGCCAAGACTGTTTTTCTCAATTTTGCCAAAATTTAAATCTGTGGCACAAATTGTACTTAGAAATGTGTCACAAGCAATGTGTTGTGATAACTGTTCTATAGAGTGATGTAATTTGATGTTACTGATGGTTACCAGACTATAATTGAAGAGAGATGTTTCAGAGTTTAATATTAATCATAATTTTAGTGTATAATTTTAGTAAAGTGACCATCTTACTTTTTTTTCTCTGATTATAAATCAGTGATTCCATCTTACAAACCATTAAACCCTATTTAGAAATTGTATTTTTCTTGGTAGGAATGGTGATTGATATTCATCTTAGATGTTTTTGAATACCTGGCACAATGCTTACACTTTTATTATTCAAAGGAAAGTGATGAGGCATTGATCTCAGCATCAGGTCTAGATTTATACACAAGACAATGATTATACACTATTTTCTATGGTAAATTAAGTTGCTGAATCTTAAGAGAGAAGAAATTCTTAGAAAATCCCTCTTCTCCTCCCTAACAAATAACACAACCCTCCTTTTACATGTAAATAACATATCGAACTATATCAAAATCGATGTTGACCTACATTTTTGTTTCCATAGAATTGAAAACATACTTTATTTTAGGCATTGCATTTTTGTTTATATAATTTCTTCATGCTTTTGAAAGCAAGAATGCTTTAGTTCAGTGACCGTTACCCACGTTTTGGCCTCAGGCTCCTTTATTTTATTTTTATTTTTATATCTATTTATTTTTTTGAGACAGGGTCTCGCTCCGCTGCCCAGGCTGGAGTGCAGTGGTGCGATCATAGCTCGCTGCAGCCATGAACTTCTGGGCTCAAGTTATCCTCCCACCTCAGCCTCCTGAATAGCTGGGACCACAGGTGTGTGCCACCGTGCCCAGCCATTCTGGGCTTGAGCAATTCTCCCACCTTGGCTTCCCAAAGTGCTAGGATTACAGGTGTGAGCCACTGCCCCTGGCCCTCAGACTCCTTTGATAATCCAGTGAAAACTATAAGTCCTCTGCCCTGAAAAATATATAAAGATACAGAATTTTGTGTATGTTAATGTTCATTTATCATAGACTTTACCTTATAGTAGTAACTTAAAAACATTTTTTGAACATTCATGACTCATTTTTTAGAGGAAGCTCAGAGGTAAAAGTTTAAAAAGAAAAGAAGGATACCTGTGGTTGGGAGACTGTGTGTGTGCCCTCAACCCCATTTGTGGGCTCCTTTCTACCTGCTACTCCCCAACCTCCTTTTATTAGCTGTGTCAATTTGAAAGGTTCCGGCTGGTCAGAGTGCAGTGGTGTTTACAACTAATTGATCACAACCAGTTACAGATTTCTTTGTTCCTTCTCTAATCCCACTGCTTCAGTTGACCAGCCTAAAAAAATAAAATAAATAAAAGGTTCCTAAATTTGATTTTTGCTGGGGACAGGTTTAAGTGACACTTCTCCAGATGAAGGGTTAATAGAGGACTTGACTATAGAAGACAAAGCAGTGGAGCAACTGGCAGAAGGATTGCTTTCTCATTATTTGCCAGATCTGCAGAGATCAAAACAAGCCCTCCAGGAACTCACGTAAGCTAATAAAAAACCAGATATACACTCATTTCCTCTGTGGCATAGTCACAATTTGTATAATTGTATACTGTGTTAAGACATAATATTTTTTAACATGCAATTATAATTGAGTATGTCTATATCTTTATTGATAGCAGATGGGAATAGAGGAGTACATAGTATTCTAAATGTAAAAAGTGAAATGAATACTCCTAGGGTGTTCGATCTCTTCTAAGAAGTACTCCTAAATCTTACCTAGAATCTGTGATTAGGTTTGGCATTTATCATTATTTTATGAAAGTATTGCCTATTGGGGATTGTTCAGGTGGAGATACACCTGTTTCTGAGTAGAGTTGAAAAATTGCCTCCATAAAAGTCACGCTTGTTTTCAGTTGCTGGTTCAAATAAGTTGCCAGAGATCTGTAAGTATCTTTTCTGAGATGATCTGTTTCATTCCCAGTAGATAACTTTACTAGTAAGTAAAGATTAGAGGATATGTTAAGAAAACAGTTTAAGATAGAACAGAACCCATAGAGTGGGATCAGTATACAAAAACATATACTCTGGCTTTATCAGCTCCCATCCACAGACAACACACTCAGCTTCTGCCTCCTCCTGGGTCGGGACCTCTCTGGATAGCCCAGGCTGGCCTGTCTGTCATTTCTTTCTGTGGTGGTCAGCTTTACACTGGCTATAAACTGCTGCTGCTCTGAGACCTACCCTTTGAAAACTTACTTAAGAGGCCTTTATTAGGGCAAAAGGAGAGGAATAATAACTGTGCTTATTTTATAATTATAAGTAATGTTATAATCCTTAGTGTTAAGGTGCTAAATGCATATAAAAGTGGTACTGAGGCCAAGTGTGGTGGCTTACACCTGTAATCCCAGCACTTTGGGAGGCTGAGGCGGGCGGATCACTTGAGGTCGGGAGTTTTAGACCACCCTGGCGAAACCCTGTCTCTACTAAAAACACAAAAAATTAGCTGGGCGTGGTGGTGTGCACCTGTAGCCCCAGCTACTTGGGAGGCTGAGGCAGGAGAATCGCTCGAACTCAGGGGGCTGTTTGTGGTGAGCTGAGATCTGCACCACTGCACTCCAGCCCAGGTGACAGAGTGAGACTCTGTCTCCGAAAAAAAAAAAAAAAAAAAAAAGTGGTACTGGGTTATTCTAAGACTACATGTGTACTACTATAGTTAGGGAGTTGGCAACCTTCTCAGTTTTGTGCTAATCCCAAACAAGATTTTTTTTATCCCTAGCGCGCGATATACCTTATATTTTGATGCCAATCAATCTTTGTTGTTGTATGAGGTGTGATAGATGGAAGGTAAGAAACTGCAAGCGAACATATCTGAAAAATACTTTACTTGCAGGAAGCTGGGAATCAAGTTTTAATTGCAGAGTTTAATTGATGATGATATTGTCTAAAATTTAGTGTTTCGAATAGCCCCTACTTATCTTCTTAGGCACCCAGACAACAATGATTATTTTGACGATGATAGTAAAATTAGCTACTGTTTGTTATTATATGTACTATATGCCCAGCACTTTAACATATCTCAGTTACTCCTGACACCAACTTTATGAAGTATCTAGTATTATCCTTATTTACAATTGAGGAAACTGAGGCTCAGAGAGGTTAAGTAATTTGAAAAAGATTACACAGGTAGTAGTAGAATTAGCTATTGAATATGATGCATTAGTAGTTAATATGCTTCTTGACTGTTAAGGAAAGGTAAACAAATTTCAGAGAAAGGAAAAAGAGAGTATTTCCTCCTCTTTTCCCCATCTCTCCACAAATTTCACTATTAATAAAGATATAGGGGAAAGAGTACTGGACTGAGAGCCACCTGGATTCTAGTCCTGGCTCTGCCATCAAACCTTTGGTAAAGCCTCTTCACCATTATAGAAACAGGTCCACAGAGAAGTAAAGGAGAAGGTAGTGGTAGGTAGGGATTAAGTTTATTTTGTAGCTAACAATGAGTAAGGAAGACCAAGAAAAAAATTTAGCTTTATATATAAGAAAGGTTATAAATATTCATTTATATGTATTTATCATTTTAAGAACATTGGAAACTAAAAAAACAAGGTTCTGGGATCCAGGCCCCTAAAGCAGCCACAGAGGTGCAGTTGTCAGTGGCCTCCATGGAGCTCCCTTCGAGATAATTCACACTTGGAACTTGTAAGGAAGTAGCTTTTCTCTCAGATAATCATTCCTCAGACACTGCATTAAGGCTTCACAAACATTGTCAGCATATTTACTGTAAATTATACAAAGCTTCAAGGGAATGAAGTTGAGTCATCTTTTCTGCCCCACTGTATTCTCTGGAACTTTCTCCCTTTTTTTGAGACTGAGTCTCATTCTGTCATCCAGGTTGGAGTGCAGTGGTGGGATCTCGGCTCACTGCAACCTCTGCCTCCTGGGTTCAAGAGATTCTCCTGCCTCAGCCTCCCAAGTAGATGGGATTACAAGCGCGCACCACTCCGCCCAGCTAATTTTTTTGTATTTTTAGTAGAGATGGGTTTCACCATGTTGGCCAGGCTGGTTTTGAACTCCTGACCTCAAGTGATCTGCCCACCTTGGCCTCCCAGAGTCCTAGGGTTACAGGTGTGAGCCACTGTGCCCAGCCACATTCTCTGGAACCTTCTTTGAGAGTGGCCAGACTTATGGGTCAGGAAAGCACTGTACTTAAAATTATAGTTGTATTATAAAGGGTACAGATCAGGACAAGCCAATGCAGAGACACACAGGGTAGTGCCTGGGAGGTTCCTGAACACAAAACTTTTGTTTCCTCTCCCAGTGAGAGGAAACCCCCGCTGCCAGCACATCAGTGTGTTCAGCAGCTTGGTGTTCGAGGCTGCAGTGAACCATGGTCATGCCACTGTGCCCTAGCCTGGGTGACAGAGTGAGACCCTATCTCAACAACAAAAATTTAGTCTTTTAATCTATGTACTTGGAATGTCTCTATTATTTAGAAGTTCTTTCTTTGTTATTTTTCATTAGCCTCCCATCTTGAAGCTCTAGGGGCCCATCATGAGTCACTTTATTAGTGTAAACTCAGGTGTGATCCAAGGAGCTCATGGATAACAAAGACACTTCTGTCACTTGGAAAATTCCAAGGATTTTAGAAGCTCTGTGCCAGAAACCTGGGACAAAGATCAGACAAATTCTTTGTTAGATAACAGGTGTCTGTTCAGATCTTTTGCTCATTTTAAAATTGGATTGTTTTTCTTATTGTTGAGTTTTAAGAGTTCTTTGTATATTTTTGATATGAGTCCTTTATGTGTTTTGCAAATATTTTCTCCAAGACTGTGGTTTGTCTTATTACTCTCTTTACAGTGTCTTTTGCAGAGCAGGAGTTTTTAATTTTAATAAATTTATTTAATAAATAAGAAAAAATATAGTCGGTTTTTTCTTTTATGAATTGTGCTTTTGGTAGTGTGTCTAAAAACTCATCACCAAACCAAGGTCACCTAGATTTTCTCCTGTGTTTTCTTCTAGAAGTTCTAGTTTTGCATTTTACATTTAGACCTATGATTTATTTTGAGTTAATTTTGTTTGTTTGTTTTGAGATGGAGTTTCTCTCCTGTTGCCCAGGCTGTAGTGCAATGGCACGATCTCGGCTCACCACAACGTCTGCCTCCTGGGTTCAAGCGATTCTCCTGACTCAGCCTCCTGAGTAGCTGGGATTACAGGCATGCACCACCACGCCTGTCTAATTTTTGTACTTTTAGTAGAGCCGGGGTTTCTCCATGTTGGTCAGGCTGGTCTCAGACCTCAGGTGATCCGCCTGCCTCGGCCTCCCAAAGTGCTGGGATTAGAGGTGTGAGCCACCACGCCCGGCCTATTCTGAGTTAATTTTTGTGGAGGCTTGTAAGGTCTGTGTCTATTAATAGATGCATTTCTTTGCGCATGGATATCCAGTTGCTTCAGCACCATTTATTGTTGTTGTTGTTGTTTGAGACAGGGTCTCACTCTGTTGCCCAGGCTGGAGTGCAGTGGCGCAGCCTTAGCTCACTGCAGCCTCCATTTCCTGGGCTCAAGTGATCCTTCCATCTCGGCCTCCCAAGTAGCTGGGACCACAGGCGCACACCACCACACCTGGCTGATTTTTGTATTTTTTGTAGAGATGGGGTTTCACCATATTGCCCTGGCTGGTCTTGAATTCCTAGGCTCAAGTGATCCTCCTGCCTTGGCCTCCCAAAGTGCTGGGATTACAGGTGTGAGCCACTGTACCTGGCCACCATTTGTTGAAAAAACTATCCTTTCTCCACTGCATTACCTTTGCACCTTTGTCAAAGAGAAGTTTATTGTTTTTGTGTAGGTTTATTTAATAAGGGTTTTCTATTCTGTTCCATTGATCAGTATGTCTGTTCTTTTGCCATTACCATGCTGTCTTGATTTCTGTAGCTTTTTGTTGTTGTCATTGTTTGTTTTTTTTTTGAGACAGGGTCTCACTGTTGCCCAGGCTGGAATGCAGTGGGGCGATCTCAGCTCACTGCAACCTCTGCCTCTCAGGTTCGTGATTCTTGCACCTCAGCCTCCCAAGTAGCGGGATTATAGGTGCGCGCCACCACACCCAGCTAATTTTTGTATTTTTTATAGAGATGGGGTTTCACCATGTTGGCCAGGCTGATCTTGAACTTCTGACCTCAGGTGATCCCCAGCCTCAGGCTCCCAAAGTGCTGGGATTACAGGAGTGAGTCACTGTGCCTGGCCAGATTTCTGTAGCTTTATAATAAGTATTGAAATTGGGTACTGTGAGTCTTCCAATTTTGTTCTTCAATGTTGTATTGGCTCTTCTATGTCTTTGCCTTTCCATATGAACTTTAAAACAGTTTGTTGATATCTATACGATAACTTGCTGGGATTTTGATTGGGGTTGCATTGAATCCTTAGATCAAGTTGGAAATAATTTGCATCTTAAAAAATATTGAAGGGCTGGGTGTGGTGGTTGATGCTGGTAATCCAAGCACTTTGGGAGCCTGGGGCAGAAGGATCTCTTGAGGCCAGGAGTTGGAGACCAGCCTGGGTAATGTAATGAGACCCTGTCTCTACAAAAAAATTTAAAAAGTCAGCCTGGCGTGGTGGTGTGCACCTGTAGTCATAGCTACTTGGGAGGCTGAGGCAGGGGATCCCTTGAACCAGGAGTTCAAGGCTGCAGTGAACTATGATCATGCCGCTGCAGTCCAGCTTGGGTGACAAAGTGAGACCCTATCTGAACAACAACAGTTGAGTCTTTTAATCTGTGTACTTGGAGTATCTCTCTATTATTTAGATTTTCTTTGATATTTTTCATTAGAGTTTTATACTTTTTGCATATAGCTCCTGTATATATTTTGTTATATTTGTACCACCATATTTCACTGGGGATGGGGAGCTACTATAAATGGTATTGTTTTTTAAATTTCAAATTCATTGCTGGTACATAGGAAAGAAATTGACTTCTGTATATTAACCTTGTATCCTGAAATCTTACTATACTTGCCTATTAGTTTCAGGAGGTTTCTTGTTGAATCTTTGGGAATTTCCACATAGGAAATCATCTGGGAACAAAGACAGTATTATTGCTTTCTTCTCAATTTGTATACCTTTTATTTCTTTTTCTTGTCTTGCTGTATTAGCTTGGACTTAAAGTATGATGTTGAATATCCTTGATGAACATTGATGCAAAAATCCTCAATAAAATACTGGCAAACCGAATCCAGCAGCACATCAAAAAGCTTATCCACCATGATCAAGTAGGCTTCATCCCTGGGATGCAAGGCTGGTTCAATATACGCAAATCAATAAATGTAATCCAGCATATAAACAGAGCCAAAGACAAAAACCACATGATTATCTCAATAGATGCAAAAAGCCTTTGACAAAATTCAACAACCCTTCATGCTAAAAACTCTCAATAAATTAGGTATTGATGGGACGTATTTCAAAATAATAGCTATCTATGACAAACCCACAGCCAATATCATACTGAATGGGCAAAAACTGGAAGCATTCCCTTTGAAAACTGGCACAAGACAGGGATGCCCTCTCTCACCGCTCCTATTCAACATAGTGTTGGAAGTTCTGGCCAGGGCAATCAGGCAGGAGAAGGAAATAAAGGGTATTCAATTAGGAAAAGAGGAAGTCAAATTGTCCCTGTTTGCAGACGACATGATTGTTTATCTAGAAAACCCCATCGTCTCAGCCCAAAATCTCCTTAAGCTGATAAGCAACTTCAGCAAAGTCTCAGGATACAAAATCAATGTACAAAAATCACAAGCATTCTTATACCCCAACAACAGACAAACAGAGAGCCAAATCATGAGTGAACTCCCATTCACAATTGCTTCAAAGAGAATAAAATACCTAGGAATCCAACTTACAAGGGATGTGAAGGACCTCTTCAAGGAGAACTACAAACCACTGCTCAAGGAAATAAAAGAGGATACAAACAAATGGAAGAACATTCCATGCTCATGGGTAGGAAGAATCAATATCATGAAAATGGCCATACTGCCCAAGGTAATTTACAGATTCAATGCCATCCCCATCAAGCTACCAATGACTTTCTTCACAGAATTGGAAAAAACTACTTTAAAGTTCATATGGAACCAAAAAAGAGCCTGCATCGCCAAGTCAATCCTAAGCCAAAAGAACAAAGCTGGAGGCATCACACTACCTGACTTCAAACTATACTACAAGGCTACAGTAACCAAAACAGCATGGTACTGGTACCAAAACAGAGATATAAATCAATGGAACAGAACAGAGCCCTCAGAAATAATGCCGCATATCTACAACTATCTGATCTTTGACAAACCTGAGAAAAACAAGCAATGGGGAAAGGATTCCCTATTTAATAAATGGTGCTGGGAAAACTGGCTAGCCATATGTAGAAAGCTGAAACTGGATCCCTTCCTTACACCTTATACAAAAATCAATTCAAGATGGATTAAAGATTTAAACGTTAGACCTAAAACCATAAAAACCCTAGAAGAAAACCTAGGCATTACCATTCAGGACATAGGCATGGGCAAGGACTTCATGTCCAAAACACCAAAAGCAATGGCAACAAAAGCCAAAATTGACAAATGGGATCTAATTAAACTAAAGAGCTTCTGCACAGCAAAAGAAACTACCATCAGAGTGAACAGGCAACCTACAACATGGGAGAAAATTTTCGCAACCTACTCATCTGACAAAGGGCTAATACCCAGAATCTACAATGAACTCAAACAAATTTACAAGAAAAAAACAACCCCATCAAAAAGTGGGCGAAGGACATGAACAGACACTTCTCAAAAGAAGACATTTATGCAGCCAAAAAACACATGAAAAAATGCTCATCATCACTGGCCATCAGAGAAATGCAAATCAAAACCACTATGAGATATCATCTCACACCAGTTAGAATGGCAATCATTAAAAAGTCAGGAAACAACAGGTGCTGGAGAGGATGTGGAGAAATAGGAACACTTTTACACTGTTGGTGGGACTGTAAACTAGTTCAACCATTGTGGAAGTCAGTGTGGCGATTCCTCAGGGATCTAGAACTAGAAATACCATTTGACCCAGCCATCCCATTACTGGGTATATACCCAAATGACTATAAATCATGCTGCTATAAAGACACATGCACATGTATGTTTATTGCAGCATTATTCACAATAGCAAAGACTTGGAACCAACCCAAATGTCCAACAATGATAGACTGGATTAAGAAAATATGGCACATATACACCATGGAATACTATGCAGCCATAAAAAATGATGAGTTCCTGTCCTTTGTAGGGACATGGATGAAATTGGAAATCATCATTCTCAGTAAACTATCGCAAGAACAAAAAACCAAACACCGCATATTCTCACTCATAGGTGGGAATTGAACAATGAGATCACATGGACACAGGAAGGGGAATATCACACTCTGGGGACTGTGGTGGGGTGGGGGGAGGGGGGAGGGATAGCATTGGGAGATATACCTAATGCTAGATGACGAGTTAGTGGGTGCAGTGCACCAGCATGGCACATGTATACATACGTAACTAACCTGCACAATGTGCACATGTACCCTAAAACTTAAAGTATAATAAAAAAAAAAAGTATGATGTTGAATAGGAGTTGTGAGAGGGGACATAGCTTGTTCTAGTTTTAGGAGAAAATTATGTAGTTTCTCACCCTAAATGTTAGCTGCAGGTTTTTCAAGGTATTCCTTATTAAGTTGAGGAAGATCCTCTCTCTTCCTAGTTTGTTGATGGTTTATAGTCATGAATAGATGCTGGATTTTGTCAAATGCTTTTTCTACATCAATTGATAGGACCATGTAATTTTTCTTCTTTAGCCTGTTGATGTGGTAGATTACATTGATTGAATTTTTGAATATTGAACCAGCTTTGCGTATTTGGCAGAAATTTTACTTGGTTGTGGTATGTAATTCTTTTTACACATTGTTGGATTCAATTTGCTAATATTTTGTTGAGGAGTTTTATATCGATGTTCATGAGAGATACTGGTCTATAGTTTTTCTTTCTTGTAATATCTTTATCTGGTTTGGCTTTAGGGTAATGCTAGCCTCATAGAATGAGTTGGGAGGTGCTCCTTTTGCTTCTGCAGTTGTTGCCCTTTATCCAAAGGAGGATATGTTCCAAGACCCCTAGTGGATACAATATTTTAAATAATTTTGTGCATGAAACAAAGAGTTTTGACTGTGACTTATCACATGAGGTCAGGTGGGTCATTCATTGTCCAAATGTTTCAGGTTTTGCAACATTTTGGATTTTCAGGTTATGGATGTCAGCCTTTATACACTATGTTTTTTCCTATACTTACATACCTATGATAAAGTTTAATTTATAAGTTAGGCATAGTAAGAGATTAACAACAATAACTAATAATAAAATACAGCAGTTATACTATAATAAAAGTTAAGTGAATGTGGTCTCTCTTTCAAAATATCTTATTGTGCTGTACTTACCCTTCTTGTGATGATATAGCACAGCTGCAGTTGACTGTACGTGCCTAAAACTGAAGAAAGCAAAACTGCAGATAAAGGAGGACTGACATATTTTCTGGAAGAGACTGTGGGGAATTGGTATCACGTCTTCCTTAAATGTTTGGTAAAAATTACCAGTGAAGCCGTTTGGTCCCGGTACTGTCTTTTTTGGAAGGTTATTACTTACTGATTCAATTTGTCTAATAAATATAGGCCTACATAAACTTTTTGTTTCTCCTTGTATAAGTTTTGGTAGTTTGTATCTTTCAAAGAATTAGTCCATTCCATCCACATTATCAAATTTATGAGCACTGAGTTGTTGAAAATATTCATTTATTATCCTTTTAATGTCATGGGATCAGTGGTGATTACTGCTCTTTCATGAATAATACTAATACTTTGGGGTTTTTTTTTCTTGATTGGTCTCACTAGAGGTTTATCAATTTTATTGATCTTTTAAAGAACCACCTTTTTGTCTCATTGATTTTTTTGTTTTCCCCCTTCTATTGTTTTCTAGTTCTAACAGCCTATTTTTGCTGTCCTGTGTATCTCAGATGGTTGACTTGCTGGGTTTTCCTCTCATCCATTCTGTATTTCACTTTCTGTGATCTCTAGTCCAAGCTGGAGGGACAAAGTTATTTATTTATTTATTTATTTATATTTGTAGAGATGGGGTCTCACCCTGTCACATAGGCTGTAGTACAGTGGTGTGATTATAACTCACTGCAGTTTCTAACTCCTGGGCTCAAGCAATCCTTCTGCCTCAGCCTCCCAAGTAGCTCGGACCACAGGTGTGTGCCACCACACCCAGCTCATTTTTTGTGTGTGTGTGTGTTTTTTTTGTTTTTGTAGAGGGTCTTGCTTTGTTGTCCACGCTGGTCTTGAATTCCTGGCTTCAAGCAATCCTCCTTCCTTGGCCTCTCAAAGTGCTGGGATTATAGGCATGAACCACTGTGCCCAGCCAAGAGACAAATTTATGACCTGTAGGGTATGCCAGACTCAGTGCTGGATAGTAGAGATGTTGTAATTGCCCTGAGCCTGTTCGTTGTTATTTCTTTTTTTTTTTTATCATTATTCTCTAGATAGCACAGTTTTACAAGCAAATGACATATTTTTCTTTGTAGCATTCTTTAAAATATTCAGGTAGGTGACCCTTTTAATGTCACTTATTCCTGTGATCCTAACATTGATTGATGTGTAAAGAAATATCAAGGAAGTTGGCTTCTCTTCCTCAATGAGTTTTGAATTAGAATTGTAATGAGAAACATTAGAAATTATCTGGTCTGATCTTCTCACTTTGTAAATGAGGAGATTTAGGCCAGAGAAATAAACTGAATTTCTAAGATCATATAGCTAACTGGCTGTTGGCCGGGGAAAGCTATGATTTCCAGTCCTGTGCTTTTTTCATCTTACTGCTTAATTATTCTTTTTGACTTACTATCCCTTGATACTTCATCTTCCTCACCTCTAATCTGAAAAACCATTGTTCCTCATTTCCTTTATGGGAATGTTGCAATTTTAAGATATATAAAACATTGAACTTCTTGGGCAAAATACTATAAAAAACTTCTTTTTTGGAATAATACAGAGAGTTGTTAAAAGTAACAAGTAATAAAATACTTTTAAATGATTGGATTATTTTAGTTATTAGAAATTGAAGCAAGAATAAAAGACACATTTAGTTATCAGAATGTGGCTTTAGAATATTATTTTGAAAAATCTTATTCTATATTAAATAAACCTTAGAGAGTTAATACATTTCCTACTTAACTAACTGTTACCATTAACCAAGATGAATATGATTCCTTTTAATGGACCGGCACTTTAAATATGTAGAGTTTGTCTTGGCTGTGTGTTTTTGTTTCAGACAGAACCAAGTTGTATTGTTAGACACACTGGAACAAGAGATTTCAAAATTTAAAGAATGTCATTCTATGTTGGATATTAATGCTTTGGTAAGTATGATTTAGTTGATGTAATTTAATGACATCTTGTCTTAGCAATAGCTAAGACTTAGCTAAGCAATAGCTAAGATTTTAAGCTTAGAATTTGTCTTTTTAACAAGAAACCTTGATTGAACTTCTGTTGTGTTGAATTGTTATCTTTCAAATGTTGAATTTATAGTAGGAAATTTAACTTATTTGTGCATTTGGAATAGATCTGCTTATAATTGAAGACTTAGAAAAGAGAACTTAGACTTGGCATAGTGGCTCATACCTGTAATCCCAGCACTTTGGGAGGCTGAGGCAGGAGGATTGCTTGAGCCTAGCAGTTCAAGACCAGCCTGGGCTACATAGTGAGAACCCATCTCTACAAAAAGTAATTTAGAAAAATAGTTGGGCATGGTGGCACATGCCTGTAGTCCCAGCTTTTCCAGAAACTGAGGTGGAAGGATTGCTTGAGCCCAGGAGGTCGAGGCCACAAGTGAGCTGTGATTGTGCCACTGTACTCCAGCCTGGGTGACAAAGGGAGACCCTGTCTCAAAAAACAAACAAACAAAAAGAGCGAACTGGAAGTAATGAACCTTTGGGGTACCATTTTTTTTTTCTTTAAAGAAAGTGCATTTCTCTTTACCAATTACATGGTTTCTTAAATTAGCATTTTATTTAATTATATGGCATATTCATAATGCTATAATAAATTAATGCTATAGGCTGAAGTGGACGCTTTGAGAATGATCAGTTATATCTTTCAATATAAATAGTTGAACAGTTGAATTTCATCAGAAGTTCTATAGCTTTTTGATGAGAGGAAGTGATACTCTGTATTATAAGAAACAAGGAATTAACCAAAAAAAGGAACTTGTTTTGCTACCTTTATTTTCTGATGAACATTAAAAATAGTTTTGTTTGTGGGCAGGGCACAGTGACTTATGACTGTAATCCCAGCACTTTGGGAGGCTGAGGTAGGAGGATTACTTGAGGCGTGCAGTTTAAGACCAACCTGGCCAACGTAGCAAGACCCCATCTCTATTAAGAAAAAAAGAAGCTGGGTTTACATGACTGTAGCCATTCATGCATACCTCAAAAAAATGGACTTTTCTTTGGACAAAGATGGTTTACTAATGTTTTCCATTTGTAACAATTAAAAACAAAGTTCATATTCTCTGGCATTAGAGGCCTGTGGAAGTAAATACAGAGCCATCTGCCCAGTAGTTCCTGGTTTCTTGCGAGGGAGGTGGGCAAGGCTACACTGACCTATTTTTGTGTTCCCCACTGAAATCCTGTTGCAACAGAAGGAATATTTGTTGAATGAATGAATGTTGAATGAATTAACCAAGCAGATGTAATACTGTTGCTTTAGTCTGAAGGGGCAGGATGGAGTCTTCCTCTTTTTTCTTCTCTTAGTCAAGAGTAGTTTTTATTATCATCTGGGAACTGAAAACTGGAAGGCCCAGGATATGTAAAAAGGCACTGTAACTTCTGAGCTAATCAGACAATGACTTTACTTGCAGCTACATTAAGGCTGTGAATCTCTCTACTGACATTTCTTTCATTTCTTCTCTTTCTGTAACCTTGTCTGAAAATAGGGTGCTTTTCTCCTTCTCTCTGACATCTCTAGGCTTGCATCATCCTCCCATCTTCTCCTGACATAAGACTTCATTTTAGATTATGCAGGTTGGCTGAGTTGTAAAGTCTGTACTTAAGACTCCTCAAGAAGGAAAGTGTCCTCACAGAGATCATTCTGCTTAGTCTGACTAAAGCAGCCCAAGGAATGGATTAAACTTGTCCACAGTCCTTTCTGTCCAGGGCTCTGTGGCCACAGTTTGGGTTTTCCTTATGGGCAGACACTTCACTTAAACTGTTTCATGTGCTCTGGCTCAGTCTGTCTCTTGTAAAGGCAGAGAGAATGTTTTACTTTTCTTAAATGAAACTGATAGCATTATTAGATAGTCTTATCTGAAATTTTAGAATTATATGTTTTTAAAGCAAAATATTGTCTATGCCCATCTTAATATAAATGTCTATTTTATGTTTAGTAACACTTTTGTCAATCTGAACTAAATCAAATGTCTTTCAAATCCTACTAACAATATAAGGAAATCTTTATTTTGGAATTAAAATGTGAAGATAAGGCTGTAAAAATTTTGACCAATTTAGGAAGCACAAACTATCATTTATATATTGCCTTATTTATTCATTTTGATATTTTAGTCTATTTTAACTTGACTTTTCATTTATTTTTCCATGTTAAGTTTGCTGAGGCTAAACACTATCATGCCAAGTTGGTGAATATAAGAAAAGAGATGCTGATGCTTCATGAAAAAACATCAAAGTTAAAAGTGAGTTGAAAATTCTTTCACATTCTTTACAAAAGTAGAGGTTTAATTGTTTTTTGTTGTTTTTTTTTTTTTTCAGTATTCTTTTTTTTTTTGAGACGGAGTTTTGCTCTTGCCGCCCAGGCTGGAGTGCAATGGTGCAATCTCGGCTCACTGCAACCTCTGCCTCCGGGGTTGAAGCGATTCTTCTGCCTCAGCTCCCCAGGTAGCTGGGATTACAGGTGCCCGCCACCACACCCACCTAATTTTTGTATTTTTAGTAGAGACAGCGTTCTACCATGTTGGCCAGGCTGGTCTCAAACTCCTGACCTCAGGTGATACGCCTGCCTTGGCCTCCCAAAGTGCTGAGATTACAGGCGTGAGCCACTGTGCCCGGCCAGTATTCATATTTTGACTTTTATACCCTCATATACAATAGCATAATTCATTCATGGTACATTGTTTTCTTTTTAAAAATGTCATTGTTTAAGAAATATTAGAGACAGGGTCTCACTACGTTTCCGAGGCTGGTCTTAAACTCCTGAGCTCAAGCAGCCCTCTGGCCTCGACCTCCCTAAGTGCTGGGATTACAGACATGAGCCACTGCGTGCAGCCTTAAAAATATCATTTTTTTTTCAACTGCACTCTGAGCATTTTTACTAATAGCTGGGCTGATAGGCTTAGATTCTCTGGATATGCCCTACAGTTCTCATTTAATAAGAGTTTAGAGCAACAAATTTTTTTGAATCAAAGGGACCTTAAATTATCCCAAATTTAAATGTCCAAGATGAAGTTTATTAGTGTGAATGAATTACCTCAAAGCAGAGCACTGTTATTTTCAAATTAGGCTAAACCTGTAACCCCTGATTGCTCTCTTGGTTTTTAAATTTTTTTTTTAACACAGAAAAGAGCACTTAAACTGCAGCAGAAGAGGCAAAAAGAAGAGTTGGAAAGGGAGCAGCAACGAGAGAAGGAGTTTGAAAGAGAAAAGCAGTTAACTGCCAGACCAGCCAAAAGGATGTGAAAAGTTGTGTTTGTGTGTTTTCTTCTCCTGTCCCATATTTGGGTTATGATGACTCAAGTGTAGACTGAAGTTGAGGTAGTGCCTTATGCCATTATGTCATATGTTGAAATCCTTATTCCGGTATTACTGTGTCTCCATGCCTTTTTTCCAAGTAGCAGACGTCATGTTGCATGGTTTTTGATATTTATATGTAAGTTTTTCAAATTTTGCTTAATTTTAAAATTTATTATTTTGATCTTGAATTATTTATAAACTGGAAAGTGGTTTGATTATTGTGAGTCAAAACTCTAAGTGGTTAAAAATTAGTATGAATTTTTTAGCTTCTTAATGAATATGGATTTAAAACTCTCCAGTTCTTATTTTATGAAATGACTTGCCTTTCTGGTAATACAATGCTGATTTTTTAGTAATTGCCTTTTCATTACTTTGTTAAGAAGAAATGCCAGCTGTTTAATCACACCTACCCCTGGAAAAGAGGTAAACCTTTTGAACAGTTGAATTTCATCAGAAGCTCTATAGCTTTTTGGTGAGAGGAAGTGATACTCTTTATTACAAGAAACAAGGAATTAACAAAAATAAGGAACTTGTTGCTACCTTTCTTTTCTGTTGAACATTAAAAATAATTTGGTTTGTGGACTGGGCATGGTGGCTTATGGAAAAGAGGTGAGCCTTTGTGAAGAACATAATGGAAAAGTGCATGTACGGGAAATAACAGCACTTTAGGTGTAGTTCAGGTGAGCAAGATGCCAGATAGTTTCTACTAACCATATACTCTTTCTGCTTCTTAGCGTCGTTGTCACTGCTTCTGTGGCTTTTGGGTTCAAAGTAGATTATATATATTCCTAAAGCTTGGTGGAGGTAGTGGAGCTATCACACACTCAAATGAGCTTGTATATTTATAATACAATATAGTATTATAGTAACAGTTATCATACACTGAGATATAGTTTCTGTGCTTGTAAAAAATTCTTGAAGTGAGGCCGGGTGCGGTGGCTCATGCCTGTAATCCCAACGCTTTGGGACGCCGAGGCGGGTGGATCATGAGGTCAAAAGATTGAGACCATCCTGGCCAACATGGTGAAACCCCGTCTCTACTAGAAATACAAAAATTAGCTGGGTGTGGGGGCGTGCGCCTGTAGTCCCAGCTACTTGGGAGGCTGAGGCAGGAGAATTGCTTGAACCCAGGAGGCAGAGGTTGCAGTAAGCCAAGATCGTGCCACTGCACTCCAGCCTTGGTGACAGAGCAAGACTCCGTCTCCAAAAAAAAGAAAAAAAAATTTCTTGAAGTGGAATGATGTACACCAAATACCCACTTTATAGATAATTACAGGGATGGTGAAAAATTAGTAAATAGCTTCACAAAAGAGGCAGCGTGATACCTTTAGTGTTTTCTAGAATTTTTTTCTGGATATTATATGTAAGAATTTATTGTTTGAGGGAAATACGAGGTTTCATTGTTTAAAATCAAGAGTGTATTGTTTACTGTTTTACAGTATTATTTAATATCCAACTGGTCTCCAATCTCCATTACATAGGGACTGTACAGAGCCTGTGAAGATGTATGAATGGTATCTTTTATAATCCACAATACATTTCTGGTAAGATGGAATCACTACCTCTGATCACATATCAGGCTAACGATAGAGAAAGCATTAGGTTTAAGTTGAGGGCTAAGAACTGGTTTGTTTAAAGGTTTAAATTGTTGGAAAAGAGCATTTGCCTTCTTTAATGAATGATGGTCTCACAATTCAGTTGACTTTGACCTAATATTTAAGAATATAAATATATTTTATTTGAAAGGCTGAGTGTTGCCCTCAAACACTTGCTAAAACTGCCTAGGGCAGGATTCATTAGGGCTTGCAGACAATGTCACCTAAATTGCTGAATGTACTCATTATAATATGATATCTGACAAAGGTAGTACAGCGTTTCTGAGTCATTTGGGACCAACTGCAGTGGTTGTTTAAAATGCTGGTTCCTGCACACAATTCTCTATCTACTGAAGCACATCTGTTTTCTTTGTTTGTTTTGCTTTGCTTTTTGTTTTTAAAGTTTCCCCCAGTGATTCCAGTGCACCTGAAAAGTTGAGAACCACAGGCTTAGTGGTACGTTGGGGTTTCCCACGCTAGGCTGCATAGCATTATAACCTGGGAACGTTAAAAAAAATACAGACATTCTTGATTCTTAGTGTAGTTATGATGTGGATCCTACGTATTTTTTAAAAAACTCTCCAGATAATTTTGATGTCACGAGTCACTAGTATAGACTATCTATCTAGTGAGTTGTATTATAAGCGATGAAATACTTTAAAAGCTACCCAGTAACTCTTGGGATTAATTTTATGAAATAAATTCTGAGCTGCTGCTTTTGATATAGTCAGACTTAAGACTGAACCCCAGTAGACAGGCAATAGATATAGAATTCTGGTTAGCTAATTGAACTTTTGTGACCTGTTTAAAAACAAATCAAATTTATTGAACAAATGACAAGGCACAAATACTTTCAGAATTGTATTTCAGTTTTGAAGATTTAAAAAAAATGTGAAAATAAATATATATTAGTATCCTTTATTTTAAAGTCAATTGTAAACCAGAAGTACTGTTATTTTGGTGATTAAAATCCAAAACTTTAGCTGTATTTCAGTAACAAAAACATACCTTACTAGACTGTGATGGCTCACACCTGTAATCCCAGTGCTTTGGGAGGCTGAGGTGGGAAGATTCTTTGAGCCCAGGAGTTCAAGGCTGCAGTGAATTCTGATCGCACCACTGAACTCCAGCCCGTATGACAGAGTGAGACCCTGTTTCTAAAAACAAAACAAACAAACAAACAAACAACGTATCTTACTGACTAAACTGGAATGGAAATCTTATAATTAGTGTTGTATTTTTCTGCAAAATAGTGAATTGGTACTTGGGAGACTTCTGTTCTTTGTTGAAAAAAATTGCCTTTGTTTTGAAATTATATCACCTGTGTTCTGAACTAAAATGATGGGAGTTCATTTTGTATTTACTTTGCAGTAAGTATCATGTAAATATGCAAATGTTGAATGTAATATAGATTGTGTCCTCATTGAGTTTTTGGGTGATACAGTTTATAAATATAACAATTATACACCCTCATACATTCGTCTGATTTTGAGCTTGTAAGATGAGAACTGCTTTTTACACATTTAATAAAAAAAGGTCTCTGAATTATCTGATGTCATTTATCAAGCATCCTTCTGTGCACAGCGCTATATACTCCCCTTCATGTACATTATTTCAAACATTCTACTCTCTTCTCTTCTCACCTGTTATCTTTCTCTTAATGTTCTCCATCTATTGTGTCACAAAATTATGGGTCCACTCTTGAAATTTCTTTTAGAAAGGTGATAGAAAGTCCAGGCACGGTGGCTCATGCCTGTAATCCCAGCACTTTGGAAGGCCAAGGTGGGTGGATCACTTGAGGCCAGGAGTTCGAGACCAGCCCGGCCAACATGGCAAACGCTGTCTCTACAAAAAATACAAAAATTAGCCGGGTATTGTGGTGCATGCCTGTAATCCCAGCTACTACTCAGGAGGCTGAGGCAGGAGAATCACTTGAACTGGGAGGCAGAGGTTGCAGTGAGCCGAGGTCACACCACTGCACTCCAGCCTGGGCGACAGAGTGAGACCCTGTCTCAAAAAAAAAAAAAAAAAAAAAAAAAAAGGGATAGAGGCCAGGCATGGTGGCTCATGCCTGTAATCCTAACACTTTGGGAGGCCGAGGCGGTTGGATCAGTTGAGGTCAGGAGCTCAAGACCAGCCTGCAGCCTGGCCAACATGGTGAAACCCTGTCTCTACTAAACATACAAAAATGAGCAGGGTGTGGTGGTGTGCTTGCACTCCAGCCTGGGCGACAGAGCGAGAGCGAGACTCCATCTCAAAAAAAAAAAAAATTAAATAAATAAATAAATAAATATGATAGTGTGAAAAGATTCTAGTCAAACCAATTTCATAAAGTTTTTCACTTTTCTTTGAGAACAAAAATAATACCCACTGTTAGTAGTTTGGTAGAAAGTGCTTCAAAAGGATCCCTGCATGTACGACTTACAAAAAATGAAAATTTCCAACTGATAGTATATTTTAGGTCAGATTTTTAAGTTTTTTTTTTAAGGCTATTTTATTAAAAAAAAAAAAGTGGGCTCTGCGAACAGGGTTAGTCCATTCAGGCCTTCAATCCTGGTGGTGATTTTGTCCTTTTCAATGATGTGGACAATAACTCCCATGTCTGACACTGCATCCTGGTCCGCAGCATCCAGCATGGCTTGAGAGATGCTTTTTTTTTTTTTTTTTGAGACGGAGTCTCGCTTTGTCTCCCAGGCTGGAGTCCAGTGGCGCGATCTCGGCTCACTGCAAGCTCCACCTCCCGGGTTCACGCCATTCTCCTGCCTCAGCCTCCCTAGTAGCAGGGACTACAGGCACCCACCACCATGCCTCGCTAATTTTTTGTATTTTTAGTAGAGACGGGTTTCACCGTGTTAGCCAGGATGGTCTTGATCTCCTGACCTTTTGATCTGCCTGCCTCGGCCTCCCAAAGTGCTGGGGTTACAAGTTTATTCCTACTGTTTTACCTCAGTTTGTATGTATGAGGTCAGATTCCATTTAGTCTTCAGGTTAGCATTTGAGTGAGACTAGGTTTATTTTCAAAACCTGTAGGAGAATGAAGTGAGTAGTCAAGAGAGACAGTTCTAATGACTGCAATTTGAAAAGCACTTAAAGCAAAAATTCCAAAGAAACACACTGTAAAAGAAGGGCAATCAAAGAGAAGGTGGGTAAAATTTGGGATGGGATGGGGGTGGTGATTGAGAAAGAGAAAAGAACAGGCCTAGACCAACGTGGAAGGTCAAGGTAATTTATGCTTCATGTACGTACCCTGAATAAGGGAGGCTTATTCTGTAAAGAATAAACAATCCACCTATTTTTCTGTAAAGAATAAACAGAATCCACCTGTTTTTGGTTAAAAGTAACAAAAAGTCGCCCCCTACTGTCACTTTATTGTAAACGGAGGAAAAGTTTGTAGCTGTTCATTCTGGTTTAGACCATAAATATATTCCTAATGAGCTCTAGGAAGCCTGCAATGTTCAAATCCTGATAAGGATGGGCTGAAAATCACTCTGAGAATGATTTTCACTCTTATTTTTAGGCCTGACTTTTATTAGTCCATTAGAAGAGAGAGTTAAAAAGTACAAGGGAATACAGGCCTGGCGCGGTGGCTCATGCCTATAATCCCAGCACTTTGGGAGGCCGAGGCAGGTGGATCAGAAGGTCAGGAGTTCGAGACCAGCCTGGCCAACATGGTGAAACCCCGTCTCTACTAAAGATACAAAAAAGTGGCCAGGTGTGGTAGGGCGTGCCTGTAATCCCAGCTACTTGGGAGGCTGAGGCAGGAGAATCGCTTGAACCTGGGAGGCGGAGGTTGCAGTGAGCCAAGATCGCCCCATTGCACTCCAGCCTGGGTGACAGGGTGAGACTCCGTCTCAAAAAAAAAGACGAGGGAATACTAAGAAACAAAAATATGTCTATAAACCTGAAGGTTCCTAGGCTCCCCTTTGATTATAACATTTAAAATTTTAAAGCACATAGGGCCTTAGTAATATAGTGTTTAGGATTATGAACTCAAGTCAGATTGAAACCGGGCATGATGACTCACACCTATAATCCCAGCACTTTTGGAAGCTGAAGCAGGAGGATCACTTGAGCTCAGGAGTTCGAGACCAGCCTGGGCAACATAGTGAGACCCCCCCCCCCATCTCTGCCAAAAAAAAAAAAAGAAGAAAAGAAAAAATTAGACAGGTGTGGTGGCACATGCCTGTAGTTCCAGTTACTTGGGAGGCTGAGGTGGGTGGATCACTTGAACCCAGGAGGTCAAGGCAGTGAGCCATGATCCCACCACTGCACTCCAGCCTGGTGATAGAACATGACCCTGTCCCTAAATAAATAAATAAATAAAGTCAGACTGCTTTGGTTCATGTTCCTGCTTGATTTGGGGCATTAGACAAATTGCTTAAATTCTGTGTTCCTAAGTTTCTAAAATCGTGAAGTTAGGATTCTAAGAGCTTGTAACTTGATAAGGATGTAAAGTTTCATGATATCTATATAAAAGCCCTTATTAACAAAATAGTAAGAGCTCAAATGTTGGATATTATATCTTAGTACCTCGAAGTCACATATCTACATGGGGGACTACTTATTTTGCCACCTTTTGCACATCTATTTTTGCTCATCGGGTTTCCACTGCCTCTAATGTCTGCCTGTTGGAGACCTGTTTATTCTTTGCAAGTCAAATGGCACCTCTTTACAGTTTTTCTCACTGCCACCCAAAGAATTTATTTTTCTGTGTTCCCACAGTATTTTCATAATACATTGTCTTAACACAGTATTAGTTATGTGTTCATGTGTTTTTCAGATGCGTTCTGGGTATATGACTGAAGTGAGTCATAGGAAGCAGTGAACTGCTGCTGCCTGGAACCTCCCCCTACCCCATTCCCTGCAGTCCCACCCTCTGCCCAGCATGCTTAGGAACATTCATTGTAGGGAACCCAAACAATCCCTGTAAGTAGGAATTAAAGAGATAGAAGGTAACTAGAGTAAATAGATTAAGAAAGCAACCAGATGGCTTAACATGTCATCAGAGACTTTCTGTGCACTTTCATTTTCATGGTATGAAAGGTTAGGTGTATATTGCAAGTTCTGAGATGTACCTTGTCTTGCTGCTGCCCAAGACTGCCTTCTATGTAAGTTCCCCCTGAATAAATTTTTGGCTACCTACCAACCTGGAGTGGTCTACCTCTTCCTTTGGTCTGAGCTTGCCCTCCACTTATGGAGGCAATTATTGGTTCCAGTAGGGAGTTTTCCTAACATGAGATCAAAGATATTTCTTTCCTTTTCTTTTTTTTTTTGCCGGAGTCTTGCTCTGTTGCCAGGCTGGAGTGCAGTGGCTCGATCTCGGCTCACTGCAACCTCTGCCTCCCGGGTTCAAGCGATTCTCCTGCCTCAGCCTCCCAAGTAGCTGGGATTACAGGTGCGCGGCCCAAGATATTTCTTAATTATCTTTGTATTCCATGGTGCGGTGCCTGGTCTATAGCTTATTGTGAGGGCTGGCAAGTCTGAAATTTGTAGGGCAGGCCAACAGCTGAAAACCCAGGGAGGAGTCGATGTTGTAGTTTGAGTCCAAAGGCGGTCTGGAGGCAGAATTTCCTCTTCCCTGGGGATCTCAGTCTTTTTCTCTTAAAGCCTTCAACTGCTTGGATGAGGCCCCCACTATTATGGAGGACAATCTCCTTTAAGTCTACTGAATTAAATTTAATCTCATTTAAAAATACTTTCACAGCAACGTCTAGACTGGTGGTTGGCCAGATACTGGGCACCATGGCCTACCCAAATTCCCACATAAAATTAACATTCATAGTTGGTTTTCAGTATGTATTTTGGGCTTGAATTGAATCTTGTAGGAAAGAGATATACATATATTTTTAAAAGTTATAACGAAAAACTGGATTACATAAATGACAAATAAAGAATGTTACAATTAAAAAATTGAATTTCTGCAATTCAGACATGGCTAAGGAGCTTGTAATCCTTGGATAATACAAGCCACTGCTTCCATGCCTAATTATGTATTTAATTATACTAAAAAATAATGATAACAGGTCCTGAGATTTTAGAAATCAAATGAGCTCAGAGATAATGAGTGAACTGGAGGATAAAAAAATAGATGCCATGTCTATTTAGATTTATATATTCTCCATCAACTAGGGGCTGCTCAGTTCTCTTAAAAATAGCTTCAGGAAAGAGGTGGGCCAATTGAGAGCAGGCTCAACAGATAATCTGGCTCTCAGACTTTTTAACAGTACAAGGCACAAAAGGGATAATGCTGCCATCTTGTGGTATTGTTCTCCCAGTTCTACAAATTCTAGTATTGTCTCAATTGGTCTGATGAAGTTTGGCCGGCCTAGGCCTTTTTTCTTTTTTGAGATAGTCTTGCTCTGTTGCTCACACTAGAGTGCAGTGGCGCGATCTCGGCTCACTGCAACCTCTTTCTCCGGGTTCAAGCGACTCTTGTGCCTCAGCCTCCAAAGCAGCTGGGACTACAGGCACCCACCACCACCCCTGGCTAATTTTTTGTATTTTCAGTAGAGATGGGGTTTTGCCACGTTGGCCAGGCTGGTCTCGAACTCCTGGCCTCGGCCTCCCAAAGTGCTGGCATTACAGGTGGGAGCCACTGCTCCTGGCTGGCCTAAGCCTTTTTAACTATAACTTTTTAGGCAAATTAGGATTTTCTGTATGGTCTGACCTTTGTTTAAACAGTGAGATGCTTGAAAGCAATCTATCTGAAACATTTTATAGGATTTAAGATATTTTCTAACTTCTTGAGTCTCCCAGTTTGATGTTAGGCTTGAGGTTTTGATCAATTAATGATCAATTCATCTGTCATCTATTAACAGCCATGCTCAGAATCGTCATTTAAGAAAAACATTCCAGTCCAAAGATCTTGCTGGGATCTTTGGGATCCCATGTGTTTCCATGCTTTTATTCATCTGAGCCTACAATGTCAGGCCTTAACTGATTGGATATGGGGTGGACACCTGGCCCAAGAGTAGCCAACCCACGGGCTAGTCAGTGATGAATTGGCCTGGCAGGAGAAACTCTGCCTAGATGGAGACTGCAGGGAATCTCAATGGCTTAGTCAATTACCATCTGGGGAATATGCACTAGAATAGTCAGAGTCAACCCTTTAGTAATTAAATAAGTGAGAGGGCACACAGATACTGACAGAGTAGATGAGTATTAAGTGGAGATGAGTAGGAGGTTGATGAACTTCTGCTTCTGAAAGGGGACAAAGTAATCAGCTCCCTCAAAATGCCTTGGATCCTGAGCCAATTTGCCTGTATGGGCTCTGTGAGACTTGGGCGCTAGACTTTTCTTGGGTTCTAGGCTAAGGTTCTTGTTTTCCACATTTTCACAAACATTTTTACCATACCGCCCTCCTGTGCCTAACAGATCTCTGTTTATTGCAACTATAAGCATATCACTGTCTTGTAGGTTATTCTAGTAAGTTATATTTTTCAAAATGTTTTAATGTACATTATTTAATTTAATAATAAGGATCCTACTTAGGAGTTTATGTATTTTCCATGTCTGCTAATCCAGGAATTCAAGGACGAAGATATCAATGACCAGCACAGAGATGTAATCTTCCTCTCGGCCACACACCTGGGTGTTTCCCTTATTTTTTTGCTGCGTGTTTCCTTCATGTCGTCCAATTTCTTTTCTTATTCTCATATTTGGCTAGATTTTTAATACCAGATCTATGTCAGCTCCTTCTCAAACCTAAAATTCAGAGCCCCAGCTCTGTTGAGCGTGTATTATATTTCAGTTGCTTTATACATGTTATCTCATAACAGCAACCTTAGGAGGTAACTATTGTTATTACCATTTTACAGGTGAGGAAGCTGAGACGCATTGGGTCTGATAACTGCCCAGGATCACACAGGTGTAGGTGGTGGGGCTGGGATTTGATTTTTGGAAAAAGGTGAATTTTCTTAAGTTGGAGACCCTAGGAGTAGGGATAGAAATTGACCTTAGGAGTTTTACTTTAAATATCTTGATAAAACTATATCCATAATGGGGAATTATGGGGCTACACCAATCTATCTGCTATTTTTCTTTATCCAGTCTGATGATATTGGAAGAACAAAAGTGAAGAAGGCATGAGTTTCTCTGTAAGGAGAGAGCCTAGTGGTGAGGATACACAGAACTGTTATTTTCCTGCAAGGTTGCTTTAATTCTAGACAGCCGGTAAAACTCCACACCTCTAGGGATAGAAATGAGCAACAGTGAGACTAGAACTGGGTGAGATTTGGCTCAGGAGCGTCTCCTTGAGATAACAATGATGCTGATAGAAGGAAGACAAAGCTGCTAGGAGAAATTAACAACTGCGGGATGGTTAGGACATTCCCGTTAAGGCAGGGCTGTTTTGAGACATTTCATCCCCACCACCATCTGGAGAAATCTATCCTTGATTCTGCCTTCCTGGGCCTGCATTTCTGGGTCTGTAGCCTACCACTCAGCTCCATCTATTTTGCACCTTCATAGCTTTGAAGAAAGAGCATAGCTAGTACTAGAAGCGAAATTTTTATCACTGGAGAAAGTTAGTTTCCCTTAGGGATAAATGTACAGACAGGAGGTGATCCCTAAGACTCTTACTGGCATTAACGTACTGTGACATCAATGGCTCTTGCTGCAATTGCAGCTTCCAGGCAAATGCACTCATTGCAGGTGGGTTGTTTTTGGCCTTTAACCACCTCACAGCCTAGGCCTCAAGTGAGGAATCCTAAGATCTGTCAATTCACCCTCTCAGAATGGAGGAACAGGGAATAGACTGCTTCTGAGTCAGGGCAAGTACTTCTTTCCTGTTTGGATTGCAAGTATAATAGCAAGGAGAGAGGAGGTGAGGCACACACGAATCACTTTGTCCCTATGCAGTCTGCCTGGGAGCCGTCTTATTCTACTGACTCAAAAGACACTCCTGAAAGCAGTGCCATCCTGAGCAGCAGCTTGTATTACTTTACAAGTCAGACCTGTTATTAAAGACGCAGACTGGCATTTAAATCAGGCTGTGTCACACCCATCCTGGTCTTTGTTCTGGCTCCTATGGTGGCCAGGAGAATGTGCCTCACACACCTCCAGCCACAGGGAACAAAATGGCCTAAGGGCTCCATTGCTGTACTGAGACCTATCTGCATTTGCACCCAGGCATGCTTCCTATACAGGCTGCTCCTAGCAAATAGTTAAGGCCGGCAGGGATACTAAGACAGGTCTATTCCTGGAAGACATGGGACTTCTCTGACTTTGATTCAAGGACTCCCTGTTAGCCTTGCTGAAGCTCTGCTTGGTAGTTTAATGCTTCTCCCCAACCCTCCTTTACTTCTTCACTCAGGCAGATAGTACAGATAAGAACAAAGAGGCTGAAGGAAGTGGACGTGTTTGAAGGACTATATTATATAAGGCCGGGCCAGGCGCAGCGGCTTACACCTATAATCCCAGCACTTTGAGAGTCTGCGGCTGGTGGACTGCTTGAGCTCAGGAGTTCGAGACCAGCCTGGGCAACACGGTGAATCCCCATCTCTATTTTTGTAATAAGGTATTATATTTATTTTAAAATCGAAAATATAGGCCGGGAGCGGTGGCCCACGCCTGTAATCCCAGCACTTTGGGAGGCTCAGGCGGGTGGATCATGAGCTCAGGAGATCGAGACCATCCTGGCTAACACGGTGAAACCCCGTCTCTACTAAAAAAAAAAAAAAAAAATTAGCCGAGCGGGGTGGTGGGCGCCTGTAGTCCCAGCTACTCGGGAGGCTGAGGCAGGAGAATGGTGTGAACCTGGGAGGCGGAGCTTGCAGTGAGCTGAGATCACGCCACTGCACTCCAGCCTAGGTGACAGAGCGAGACTCCATCTCAAAAAAAAATATATATATATATATATTTAATTAAATATATATTTAAATGTATAATATATTTAATTTAATGTTTAAATATATAATATATTTAATTTAATATATATATAAAATTTAATATTGACCATCAGCGCGGCGTGCAGAACTTCTTAGTGATGGTAACCTTCTCATCAGTGCATTTCGATGGCTGGGAGAGTGGTGTATCTTGTGTGCCTTCTCATAGGACATATTCTCTGGTGGGTCTTTTGGCCATATATATATATTTAATATATATAATATATATATTAAATATATATTATATATATTAAATATATAAAAATATATATATTTTATTAAATATATATATTTTATTAAATATATATATTTATATATATTTATATATATTATATAATATATATTTATATATTTATATATATTTATATATTTATATATATTATATAATATATTATATTAAATATATATTATATATTTTATATTATATATTTAATATATATTAATATATTAATACAAATTATATTATAATAATTGTATATTATTTATATATAATTAATATATATTGAAATATATAAATATATAATAAATATATAATTAAATATATATTAATTATATTAATATATAATATATATTTAATATTTATAATATATAATATATAATATATTTTAATATATAGAATATATAATATATATTAAATATATAGAATATATAATATATATTAAATATATAGAATATATAATATATATTAAATATATAGAATATATATTAAATATATATTCTATATATTTAATATATATTCTATATATTAAATATATATATATGGCCAAAAGACCCACCAGAGAATATGTCCTATGAGAAGGCACACAAGATACACTATTCTCCCAGCCATCGAAATGCACTGATGAGAAGGGCACCATCACTAAGAAGTTCTGCAGGCCGTGCTGATGGTAGGAGTGGCGGTTACAATCTGAGCTTGTCAGCATCTGTGGGCATGATGGGGGCCAGGAGGTGGCACTTAACTGCCAGGAGCCAGGAGGCTTTAATTGCCTTACCCACCAAAAGGCAGGGTTTGAGTGACAATCACTGGGCTTTACCAGCAGGGGGTTGTGGACATGGTTAATGGAGCGTAGTGTCTATTTTGCACTTAGAAGCAAAACAGGCAGGCAGTCAACAAGGATGCTTTTAGCATCTATAACGGGATCAACAAACTGTTCAGGTAAAGGGCTAAATATTTTAGACTTTGCAAGTCATACACTCTTTGTGGCAACTGCTCAGCTCAGCTGTTGTAGCACAAAAGCAACCATAGACGATATGTAAGCAAACGAGTGTCCCGTGTTTTAACAAACCTTTGTTTATGAAAAATAGATGATTGACTAGATCAGGCCATCAATGGCTCCTGGGCCATCATATACTGATCCCTGATCTATTTATTTTTTTAAAGCAAATTGGAGGAGCAAGAGGCTGAGGGCAGTAATTTCAATAAAAATCCGGCTCCCTTGCCCAGTTCCCAGACTTAAGTTAATTTTTAGATCTGGATACATGGACTGGAGAGGTGGTTGAAGGAAGAACCGTGCAACATGATGGCAAACATATACTGTGATGATTCCCCTAGTCTCCTCAAAGGGACCTATGGCCATTTTCTTGGGTGACTATACACTGAAGGGGGAATAATCAGACATTTATAAAGTAATTGGACAGGCCAGGCGCAGTGGGTCATGCCTGTAATCCCAGCACTTTGGGAGGCTGAGGCTGGATCACTTGAGGTCAGGAGTTTGAGACCAGCCTGGCCAATATGGTGAAACCCTGTCTCTACTAAAAATACAAAAATTAGCTGGGCGTGGTGGTGGGCGCCTGTAATCCTGGCTACTTGGGAGGCTGAGGCAGGAGAATCGCTTGAACACAGGAGGCGGAGGTTGCAGCGAGCCGAGATCGTGCTGCTGCACTCCAGCCTGGGCGACAGAGCAAGACTCCCTCCCGCTAAAAAAAAAAAAAAAAACTATTGGACAAAGGGTCTGAGTTGCACTGATACTGAGAGACCCAAAGAAGCATCATAGCCCTGCTGTTAGAGCAGAGTTTAGGAGGACCAACTAAAAAATGGGGTGCTAGATAAAGCCCAGTTTACAATGGGCCCAGGAGGCCTGCAGATCCATTCAGTGGTCACACTACATCTTTTCCCACCACTCACACCTCCAACACCATGGGGGTCTGCTGGCAGAGCTGACTGCACTATGGCTTGGACCTGCTGCAGCACCCTTTCTCGTTCTAGCCCCACTCAAGCCAGAAGCTTTCTGTGTCACCCAGTACATGGGCCAGAAATATATCCCCCAGGGGTGGAATATGTTGTCTCAAGAACACAAAAAGGCCTACAAGGCACTGCCTTCTTTCCTCAAAACAGGGCTAGAAGATACATCAATTTGCCTTTTACTTTAGAACAGGCTATTCCAGAATACTTCCAACCACGAGACCTCCAAATATGTTTCTGAAATGGCCTGTTCTGGACTCTTCACAGGGTTTATCTCCTACGCTCTGAAATGCACGCATCTCATCAAGGCCTCCAGCATACTTGCCCCTCTGGCTGGTCCTGTCTAATGAGCTTTATGTCATCTCAGTGTAATGGATCAATGTGATATGTTCTTGGATGTTTAAGAGGTCCAGATCTCTCAGACTATCTTATAATAGGAGGTGGGATGGGTAATATAACTCTAAGGCAAACTGTAAATTAATATTGTATGGTTTTTCTGCCCACAGAGCCTCAGCCAGCACTTCCATCTGGAAGCTTAGGGAATGCTTGATCCACAGTTGTGGAATCCTGCGTAGCAGAGCATCCAACTAGGGAATCTACTTCAAGTGAAGGAGGTGTGGGAGTGGGTCCTGACCATGGGATTCTCTGGTTGTGTTATGAACTGCACCACCCAGAAGCAACTGGCCTTATAGATTGTTGAGATGGTCTTCTAAAGTAACAACTGAAATGGTAGCTCTGAGAAAGGATGTGAAATAATGAAGTGCCATCTTTCAGGACACGGTGCATTTATTAAATCAGTGACCTCTCTATGGTTCTACTTCCCTAGTAGGAAGGATACAAGGGTCAGGAAACTAAGGGGTGGAAGGAGAAGTGGCCCTACTTACCATCGTTTCCAGTGACCCACTTACTACCATTCCCCAGTGATCCACTGGGGGATTTTCTGCTTTCTTTCTCTGCAACTCTAGGCTCTGCATGATTGGAGGTCCTGATTCTCAAAGGGAACACACTCTTGCCAGGGATATAATAAAGGTGCCACTGAACTATAAGTTGTGGCTGCTGACAGGGTGCTTTGTACTTTTTGTGTTCAGGCACCAGCAGGCAAGAGAGGAGCTGGTATACTAGCAAAAGCACTGAAGTGATCGTTAGGGGGAGGTAAGTTCATTTACAAGATGGGGCAAGGAGGAAGATGTGTGGAACTCGGGTGATTCATTTGGGTACCTCCTGTACTCCCTAGCCCCATTATAACTGTGAATAGATAGACGCGGCAACCTCAGCCTTAGAAGAGTATGATTATCGTGAGTTCAGACCCCTCAGGAATGAAAGTTTGGGTTACACCACCAGGTAAGCCACCAAGACCGGCCAAGGCGATAGCTGAGGGTGAAGGGGATTTAGAATGAATAGTGGAAGAGGGAGAAGGTAAGTACTAATTGTGGTCCTGTGATCAACTGTGGTGATCTTGGGACTGTAATTCATCCAACCAACCCCCTCTGCTCAGTTGCCCCTTAGGAAGGAAGGCCCATGAGGACTATGGAGTAGCTGCTCCTTGCACCTGTGTGGAGAAGTACATCTATACGGCTCAAGGGGTAGATTGTGGTGGCCATTAGAACATGCCTCACAGACCTTCAGCTACAGGGAACCTCATTTTCTGGGCCCCAGTTACTTTGCTCTGAAGTGTACTGCTATGTTTGTACTGAGGATGCTTCCCATGGGCTACTCCTAGCCCAGTGACAGCTCAGCAAGGATACTAGGCAGACCCATTCCTGAGAACAGAGATGGCTACATAATTTGCAAGATCTAGTGCAAAATGAAAATGCAGGCCCCTTGTCAAATATGATGAAAAAATTTAAGATGGCAGCAGCAGAGGATTAAGCCAAGTATTGGCCCTGTGTGACTATACAGGTGACATTCTCATTAAGCTGATTCTGCCTGGAAAATAAGGGATTTCTCTAAGACTGGCTCTGACAGTTTTGCTAAGCCTTCCTTAGAGTACACAGCTGTATACAAAACTTCCACTCAACTTTTCGTCCCTGTCTTGTTCTTTTGAGGTCAGACTTGCATTGTAGGCTGATTGCTATCTCAACCATCTCCCTCTCATTTTCTCCCTAAGAATTTGCTTAAAAATCCTTGTATGTTTAGCTCTGTCTTGATGCCTGCTTCTCAGAGTACATGGATTAACACAGAGCCTTAATTCTGCTATCTTTTCACACTTGTATGTAACAAACCCTCCAACATAAAATCTCTTTTTCCCACCAATAAAAGCAATTTAGGCTTCTTATTTCCTGGATCCCAGCTGGATACTACTTACCCATAAAATGACTTGATTTCAAATGTACAGTGCAGGTCACACAGAGATTAAACTTAATTTGTATCCCATTTTTACCATAGCTTCTCCCCTGATTGACAAGGCTGATTGTATTTTGGACATGGGATTGCGGTAGAGGTTCCCGGGAGAGGAAGAGACATTTGGAAGAAAAAGGTGAGAAATCAGCTGGGCGCGGTGGCTCAAGCCTGTAATCCCAGCACTTTGGGAGGCTGAGGCAGACGTGTCACGACGGGAGTTCGAGATCAGCCTGACCAACATGGAGAATCCCCATCTCTACTAAAAATACAAAATTAGCCGGGCGTGGTGGCACATGCATGTAATCCCAGCTACTTGGGAGGCTGAGGCAGGAGAATCACTTGAACTTGGGAGGTGGAGGTTGTGGTGATCCGAGATCAGGCCATTGCACTCCCAGCCTGGGCAACAAGAGCAAAACTCCATTTAAAAAAAAAAAAGAAAAAAGAAAAAGGTGAGAAATAATTGAGAGAAAAGAGAATTGGAGTAAGAAAGAGGGAGAAAAGTAGATGCAGAAAAGCCTTCAACAAAATTCAACAGCCCTTCATGCTAAAATCTCTCAATAAACTAGGTATTAATGGAATGCATCTCAAAATAATAAGAGCTATTTATGACAAACCCACAGCCAATATCATACTGAATGAGCAAAAACTGGAAGCATTCCCTTTGAAAACTGGCACAAGACAAGGATGCCCTCTCTCACTACTCCTATTCAACAAAGTGTTGGAAGTTCTGGCCAGGGCAATCAGGCAAGAGAAAAAAATAAAGAGTATTCATTTGGGAAAAGAGGAAGTCAAATTTCCATTTGCAGATGACATGATTGTATATTTAGAAAACCCCATCTTCTCAGCCCAAAAATCTCCTTAAGCTGATGAGCAACTTCAGCAAAGTCTCAGGATACAAAATCAATGTGCAAAAATCACAAGTGTTCCTTTACACCAATAACAGACAGAGAGCCAAATCATGAGTGAACTCCCATTCACAATTGCTACAAAGAGAAATATCTAGGAATCCAACTTACAAGGGATATGAAGGACCTCTTCAAGGAGAACTACAAACCACTGCCCAATGAAATAAAGGAGGACACAAACAAATGGAAGAACATTCCGTGCTTATGGATAGGAAGAATCAATATTGTGAAAATGGCCATACTGCCCAAGGTAATTTTTAGATTCAATGCCATCCCCATCAAGCTACCAATGACTTTCTTCACAGAATTGGAAAAAACTACTTTAAAGTTCATATGAAACCAAAAAAGAGCCCGCATTGCCAAGATAATCCTAAGCAAAAAGAACAAAGCTAGAGGCATCACTCTACCTGACTTCAAACTATACTACAAGGCTACAGTAACCAAAACAGCATGGTACTGGTACCAAAACAGATATATAGACCAATGGAACAGGACAGAGGCCTCAGAAATAACACCACACATCTACAACCATCTGATCTTTGACAAACCTGACAAAAACAAGAAATGGGGAAAGGATTCCTTATTTAATAAATGGTGCTGCGAAACCTGGATAGCCACATGTAGAAAGCTGAAACTGGATCCCTTCCTTACACCTTATATGAAAATTAACTCAAGATGGATGAAAGACTTAAATGTTAGACCTAAAACCATAAAAATCCTAGAAGAAAATCTAGGCAATACCATTCAGGACACAGACATGGGCAAGGACTTCACGCACCAAAAGCAATGGCAGCAAAAGCCAAAATAGACAAATGGATCTAATTAAACTAAAGAGCTTCTTCATGGCAAAAGAAACTACCATCAGAGTGAACAGGCAACCTACAGAATGGGAGAAAATTTTTGCAATCTACCCATCTGACAAAAGGCTAATATCCAGAATCTACAAAGAACTTAAACAAATGTACAAGAAAAAAACAAACAACCCCATCAAAAAGTGGGCAAAGGATATGAACAGACTCTTCTCAAAAGAAGACATTTATGCAGCCAACACACATATGAAAAAATGCTCATCATCACTGGTCATCAGAGAAATGCAAATCAAAACCACAATGAGATACTATCTCACGCCAGTTAGAATGATGATCATTAAAAAGTCAGGAAACAACAGATGCTGGAGAGGATGTGGAGAAATAGGAACACTTTTACATTGTTGGTGGGACTGTAAACTAGTTCAACCATTGTGGAAGACAGTGTGGCAATTCCTCAAGGATCTAGAACTAGAAATATGATTTGACCCAGCGATCCCATTACTGGGTATATACCCGAAGGATTATAAATCATGCTACTATAAAGACACATGCACACGTATGTTTATTGTGGCACTATTCACAATAGCAAAGACTTGGAACCAACCTAAATGTCCATCAATGATAGACTAGATTAAGAAAATGTGGCACATACACTTTGGGAGACCAAGGCGGGCGGATCACAAGGTCAGGAGATCAAGACCATCCTGGCTAACATGGTGAAACTCCGTCTCTACTAAAAATACAAAAAGTAGCCGGGCATGGTGGCGGGCACCTGTAGTCCCAGCTACTTGGGAGGCTGAGGCAGGAGAATGGTGTGAACCCGGGAGGCAGAGCTTGCAGTGAGCCGAGATCGTGCCACTGCACTCCAGTCTGGGTGACAGAGTGAGACTCCATCTTTAAAAAAAAATAAAAGAAAGAAAATATGGCACATATACACCATGGAATACAATGCGATCATAAAAAAGGATGAGTTCATGTCCTTTGAAGGCACATGGATGAAGTTGGAAACCATCATTCTAAGCAAACTATCACAAGGACAGAAAACCAAACACCGTATGTTCTCACTCATAGGTGGAAATTGAACAATGAGAACACTTGGACACAGGGCAGGGAATATCACACACTGGGGCCTGTCAGGGGGTGGGGGGCTGTGGGAGGGATAGCATTAGGAGAAATACCTAATGTACATGACAAGTTGATGGGTGCAGCAAACCAACATGGCACATGTGTACCTATGTAACAAACCTGTACATTGTGCACATGTACCCTAGAACTTAAAGTATAAAAAAAAAAAAAAAAGAGGGAGAAAAGTAAAGGGTAGTTGAGAGGAAACAAAGAAGGCTAAAAGGGACATTAATCTATTCACGAGGGATCTGCCCCATGACTCAGACACCTCCCATTAGGCCCCAGGCTCTGCCTCCAACATTGGAGATTTTTTTTGAGATGGAGTCTTACTCAATTGCTCTGGCTGGAGTGCAGTGGCGTGATCTTGGCTCACTGCAACCTCTGTCTCCTGGATTAAAGCAATTCTCCTGCCTCAGCCTCCTAAGTAGCTGGGACCACATGTGTGCACCACCACACCTGGCCAATTTTTGTATTTTAGTAGAGATGGGGTTTCTCCATGTTGACGAGGATGGTCTTGAACTTCCGACCTCAGTTGATCTGCCTGCCTTGGCCTCCCAAAGTGCTGGGATTACAGGCATAAGCCACTGCACCTGGTGGAGATCAACTTTCATTATGAGATTTGGAGAGGAAAATCATCCAAACTATAGCACTACCTTTTAGGCTAATAATTTTAAAAATGTGTTCATCTCTTAAATCATGTAGAAAAAAAATAGTGGAATTAAGACTGTTAAAACAATACTAACCTTTATTATTGCCCATGTATTTACCTTTATTGAGATCTTTATTTCTTCATACAACTTTGAGTTACTGTCTAGTGTTCTTTAATTTCACTCTGAAGAACTCCTTTGAGAATTTCTTACAGGGGAGATCTAGTGGTTACAAACTCTCGTTTTTTTGTTTATCTGGAAATATCTTAATTCCTGTCTCACTTTTAAAGGACAGATCTGCTGGTTATACAATTCTTGGTTGACAGTTTTTTTCTGTTTTAGCACTTTAAATATATTGGCCCATTGCTCTCTGGCCTCCAAAGTTCCTGATGAGAAATCTGATAATCTTATCAAGGATCCCTTGTATGAGACAAATTGCTTCTGTCTTGCTGCTTTCAAGATTCTCTTTTGGTCTTTGTTTTTCAAAATTTTAGTTATAATATGTTTAGTATGGTCTCTTTGAGTTCATCTTTCTTGGAGTTGAGCTTTTTGTATGTTTGTATTTATATATTTTATCACATTTGGAAACTTTTCAGCCATTATATATTCAGATATTATTTCTGTTCCTTTCTCTTTCTCTTCTCCTCTGGAACTCCCACAATGTGTATGTTGATCTGCTTGATGGTGTCCCACAGATGTCTTAGGCTCTGTTCACTTTCCTTCAGTAATTTTTATTTCTGCTCCTCAGACTTAATAATTTCTATTGTCTTCAAGTTCTATTATCTTCAAGTTCACTGATTCTTTTGCTTGCTCAAATCTGCCTTTGAATCCCTCTAGTGAATTTACATTTCAGTTATTGTACTATTTTTTTTTTAATTGAGACAGAATCTCTCTCACTAGTGGGAGGCTAGAGTGCAGTGGCATGATCTCAGCTCATTGCAACTTCCACATCCTAGGTTTAAGTGATTCTCGTGCCTCAGGCTCCTGAGTAGCTGGGATTACAGGCACCACAGCTGGCTAATTTTTGTATTTTTAGTGGAGATGGGGTTTCACCATGTTGGCCAGGCTGGTCTTGAACTCCTGGCCTTGAGTGATCTGCCTGACTTGGCCTCCCAAAGTGCTGGGATTACAGGCATGAGCCACTGTGCCTGGTCCAGTTATTGTACTTTTGATCTTCAAAATTTCTTTTTAGATTATTTTTAAGGTTGCTTTTTTCTCTCTGTCTCTCTTTCTCTCTGTCTCTCTTTCTCTCTCTCTTTTTCCTTCTCTCTCTCATTCTTTCTCTCTCTCTTTTTCAACAGGATCTTGCTATGTTTCCCAGGCTGGTCTCAAGTGACCCCCCTGCCTTCTGAGTGGCTGTGACTGCAGGCATTCACCACTGTGCCTGGCTTAGATCTTACATCTATTTTTTGATATTTTCATTTTGTTCATACATTGATTTCTTGATTTTCTCCACATCTTCCTTTTGTTCTTTAAGCATCTTTATAATAATTGTTTTAAAGTGTTTGTCTAGTAGGTCTGCCATCAAGTCTTTTTCAGGGACAGTTCATAATGATTTAGTTTTTCCTTTGAATGGGCCATACTTTTCTATTCTTTTTGTATGCCTTGTGATTTTTGTTGAAAACTGGACATTTAAATCTAATAATGTGTTAACTCTGGAAATCATATTTTTCCCCTTTCCCAGAATTTGCTGTTTATTATTATTATTTTTTATTGTTAATTGTTGTGGGCTGTCTCTGTGCAAAGATCAGCTAAGGTGTCAGCTTAGGGTCTTCTCAGATCTTTCCTAAATCTATGCATTTCTTTGAGAATACACAGTCACTTTCTAATTTTCCCCATATATACAGTTGCTTTTGAGTGTCCTAGTCTTTAATGTCTGGCTATTAAAAGAGAGAAAAAAGAAAAATGAAGAGGTGAGGAAGGGGTACTGGATCTTTAAATCACTTGAAAGTCACTTCAGCTTGAGGGAAAGGAGGTTGCAACGGGGTGGGGGGGCAGGTGCAACAACATGGCCACCTGCCTCTTTGTCTGCATCTTTATGATCAGAAGCTGCAATCAGCAAGCAGAGCACACATCCTCAATATTGTAGCGGCATGCTTTTTGCCCACCCTGGCTCCCACAAGCTATATGTAAGCTGTTCCTGGAACATACAATATTTTTGAGACAAGATCTTGCTTAGTCAACTAGGTTGGAGTGCAATGGTGCCATCATGGCTCACTGTAGCTGTGACCTCCTGGGCTCAAGCACCCCTCCCACCTCAGCCTCTGAAGTAGCTGGGACCATACGCATGCGCCACCAAACCTGGCTACTTTTATTTATTTATTTATTTTTTGGAGACAGAGTCTCACTCTGTTGCCCAGGCTGGAGTGCAGTGGCGCAGTCTTGGCTCGTTGCAGCCTCTACCTCCTGGGTTCTAGTGATGCTCCTGCCTCAGCCTCCTGAATAGCTGGGACTATAGGCGTGTACCACCATGCTCGACTAATTTTTGTATTTTTAGTAGAGATGGGGTTTCTCCATGTTGGCCAGGCTGGTCTCAAACTCCTGATCTCAGGTGATCTGCCTGCCTTGGCCTCCCAAAGTGCTGGGATTACAAGTGTGAACTACTGCATCTGGCCTTGGCTAATATTTTTAAAAATAATTTTTAGAATTTTTGTAGAGATGAGGTCTTGCCATGTTGCCCAGGGTAATCTTGAAAATCGTGAACTCCTGGGCTTAAGTGATCCTCCTGCCTCGGCCTCCCAAAGTGCTAGGATTACAGGCATGGGCTACTGTGCCCAGTCAAAATATGTACTTTATTACTGCAGCTAACTGAGACAAATTAATATATTCTCTTTTAGAGTGATGATGTGCAAACACAAAGATAACTTTTGGTCTCCACAGTCCCACTTGCTCTGAGGTATTCTATGGCCCAAGAGACACAATGTTTATTCTTTTGGCATATCTTTGAGGTAGTTCTTGAAGTAGGAGAAAATATTTTAACTCCTTTTTCTTTCCTTTTTTTTTTTTCTTTTGAGACAGGGTCTGGTTTATAGCCCAGGCTGGAGTGCAGTGGTGTGATCTCGGCTCACTGCAACCTCTGCCTCCTGGACTTAAGCCAGCTCCCACCTCAGCCTCATGAGTAGCTGGAACCACAGGCACATGCCACTATACCTGGCTAATTTTTGCATTTTTTTGTAGAGACAGGGTCTCATTTTGTTGCCCAGGCTGGTCTCAAACTCCTGAGCTCAAGCGATACACCAGCCTTGGCCTCACAAAGTACTGGGATTACAGGCATGAGCCACCACACTTGGCCTTATCTCCATTTTAACGATGACAAAATTCAGGTGTAAAGAATTGCCCCAAACGCGATTTGAGACCAGATTTCTGAGAAAGACTTGATGTTAGATCCAGTACTTTTCTTATGTCCTAGGAGACCTTTCTGGGTAGAGTCTAAGCCTGCCTGAGCCACACCCCTCCCTGCCCTCCCGCACTCTAGTATACATTTATTTAGCAGAACCTTTTGTGGCTCTAGGACTGAGTATTATTATTATTATTATTATTATTGAGACAAAGTCTGGCTCTGTTGCCCCGGCTGGAGTGCAGTGGCACGATCTCGGTTTACTGCAACCTATGCCTCCCAGGTTCAAGTGATTCTCATGCCTCAGCCTCCTGAGTAGCTGGGATTACAGGCATGTGACACCATACCTGGCAATTTTTTTTTTTTTTTTGTATTTTTAGTAGAGGCAGGGTTTCATCATGTTGCTCAGGCTGGTCTTGAACTCCTGACCTCAAGTGATGTGCCTACCTTGGCCTCCAAAAATGCTGGGATTACAGGCATGAACCACTGTGTCCAGCCAATTTTCACTATTATACCACTTTGTTTATATATGTAGAAAAAAGTATATGATAAGAAGATCTTATATTTGTGGAGCCTATAGTAGACATCTTTCTTTCCCCATCTGCTGCTGCCAGTATTCAATCCCCCTTTCCATTTTTTGAAGGAATACCCATCATAATAGTTCTGGCAGAAGTAAGGGGGCCAAGTATATTCTCCCTGCTCTGACAGCTACAATGCTGGCCTTTGACATACAGTTGGTCAATTGGAAACTCCCACTGAGAATTTTCACTCTCACTCTCTTTATATTTGTGTCGTTCATTCTACAGTAATTTGTGATGACATGGGAGCATCCTGGGGGTAGCCAGGCTGTTTCTACTAAAAGAAGGTGGACATTCTGCTTTTTGATTATCCACAGCTGTCCTCATTCCTGTGCACTTCTCCTCCCATCATTACCCATCATTTTAATGGTTCTGTGAATCCCTGAGAGCCTTTTAATGTCCCTTTTCTTCTTTTTCTTTTTTTTGAGACAGAATCTCGCTCTGTTGCCCAGGCTGGAGTGCAGTGGCACGATTTCAGCTCACTGCAACCTCAACCTCTGGGTTCAGGCAGTTCTCTGCCTCAGCCTCCCGAGCAGCTGGGATTACAGGCACCTGCCACTGCACCTGGCTAATTTTTGTATTTTTAGTAGAGACGGGGTTTCACCATCTTGGCCAGGCTGGTGGTGATCTCCTGACCTCGTGATCCACCTGCCTTGGCCTCCCAAAGTGCTGGGATTACAGGCGTGAGCCACTGTGCCCAGCCTAATGTCCCTTTTCTACTTAAGGCATCCAGAGCTGGTTTCTTTCTTGCAACCGATAATGCTGATTGAGATAGAACCTCCATATACATTAGTGCTTCTTGTCTGAAAACAACAACAACTTGACCTTCAATGACACAGATGAGGTTACTCCAGCTACCCTGTAGACTGATGTAGTTTTAGTTATTATTTGATAAGCAGATTAGCTGTGAGGAAAACAGCATGTTTGGGAGGTGTTGGGGCTGTCTTTTAAAAACGAGGCATGAAACCCAAGTATTGCCCTGTAATATGGTTTGGCTGTGTCCCCACCCAAATATCAACTTGAATTGTATCTCCCAGAATTCCTAGGTGTTGTGGGACGGACTCAGGGTGAGGTAATTGAATTATGGGTGCTGGTCTCTCAAGTGCTATTCTCATGATAGTGAGTTAGTCTCACGAGATCTGATGGGTTTATTAGGGGTTTCTGCTTTTGCTTCTTCCTCATTTTCTCTTGCCGCCACCATGTAAGAAGCGCCTTTCGCCTCCCTCCATGATTCTGAGGCCTCCCCAGCCACATGGTACTGTAAGTCCAATTAAACTTCTTTTTCTTCCCAGTCTTGGGTATGTCTTTATCAGCAGTGTGAAAACAAATTAATACAACCTGTTCATCTGCCTATCTGGTTCTGAGACTGCCCTGTGGCTTGGCAGGATGAAACACCATGTGATGCTTGCTCCCTGATGCATAGCAAGAACTCATTCCCAGCTCTCCCACAAGTCTCATTGCTTAGCTGTGAAGCCTTGGCTGGGTTACTGTCCCAGCTAGGGAGGGTTTGCTGGGGAGGCTAGGGTATGAGTTGTTTCTCTAGCTACTCATCCAGGAAGCATTTGCAGCAGGGAAGGGATGAGGGTGGGGCTTGCTGATCGGGCAGGAAAGACAGTACTGGAGGATCAGCCTCTTTGCTCTGATCTTCCTCCTGAGCCTTCCCTTTCTTGTGATAAGGATCCCTTTCACTGTTCCATTCTCTATTTCCACCCATTCCTGTTGCCAGCCCTTCCTGCCCACGTGTCTGCAAATCTTCCCAGAGCCCTGATTTGGATTTATTTTCCTTCTCCCGGATGTTCTTGAATTGGGGTGTGTTCCTCTTAGTGCTAGCTCCTCCTATCACTTCTTCTTCCCATCCTTTAATGATACTTCTTTCAGTTTCCCATATCCCCAAGTGCACTTTCATTCCTCGCAAACTTCACATGGGTAGGAATCAAGTCTGATTTTTTTCAACAGTGTATGCCTAGACAGCGGGCACAGGGCTTGCTGGACACAGAAGGCAAGGACTCAGAGAATATCCACCAGATGAAAGAATGACTGCATGAGTAAGTGAGTCAACTCTCAGTCCCCTTCCTTGTCTGATGGGCAAGTTACAACTTCTGTTCTCCTTTGAAGTATTCTCTTTTGCATTGGAAGGAGGGCTCTTGAGTGAGATAGTAGAATACATACACTGGAGGATCTCAGCATGTGGGATATGCTCAGGACATTTCCCTCCCCCTCCCCTCCCCTCCCTCCCTCCCTCCCTCCCTCCTTCCTTCCTTCCTTTTTTGATGGAGTCTCGCTCTGTTGCCCAGGCTGGAGTGCAGTGGCACGATCTTGGCTCACTGCAACCTCCGCCTGCTGGGTTCAAGCAATTCTCCTGCCTCAGCCTCCCGAGTAGCTGGGACTACAGGCACGTGCCACAATGCCCGGCTAATTTTTTTGTATTTTTAGTAGAGACGGGGTTTCATCATGCTGGCCAGGCTGGTCTCGAACTCCTGACCTCGTGATCTGCCTGCCACAGCCTCCCAAAGTGCTAGGATTACAGGCACGAGCCACCGCACCCAGCCCAGGACATGTTTCTTAACTCTGAATCTGGTTCCACAGCCATCAATCTCAAACCACCCAGCAGGCAGCACATCTCCTGTGACTCCTTCCCGCCTGCATCCTTCCCATTTAAACCAGGGCTTCTTGGCTTGGATGTGGAGGGTGATGGGACTGGGAAGTGGGGTGAAGCATTTTGGAAATATAGGAGGGGACTTTTTATTTGTCATAAATTTGGGAGAGAGTCTATTGGCATTTAGAGAGTGGGAACCAAGGAAGCCAACCTCCCTTGCTATGTGAACAGGGCCATATAACAATGAACTGTCCTGGCCAGTCATGGTGGCCCACTCCTCTAATCCCAGTACCTTGAGAGGCTGAGGCGGGAGGATGGCTTGAGCCCAGGAGTTCAAGACCAGCCTAGGCAATGTAGTGAGATCTCCATCTCTACAAAAAAAAAAAATAAATAAATTTAGAAAAAAATTAGTTGGGCATGGTGGCACATGCCTGTGGTCTCAGTTATTTGGGAGGCTGAGGTAGGAGGACTGTTTAAGCTCCAGAGGTCAAGGCTGCAGGAAGCTGTTATCGCACCATTGCACTCAAACCTGGGTAGCAGAGTGAGACCCTGTCTCAATTAAAAAAAAAAAAACCCAAAAAACCAAAAACCCAATTAACTGTCCAGAGTCCTGCACAATTTCTGGTGTCCTGTGCCTTGCACCAACATTCAAGTATGCAAAAAACCATTTTTTTGGTAAAGTTATTTAGGTTCTAGTTCAGATAATTATAAACATTAAGCATTTTGCATGGTTTTCATACTAAAATTTCCAGGAATGTTTCTATTGGAATAAAGGAAGAAAAGAGTATACTTTGTTTTGTTCAGAGCTTCTTTACCAGAGTTATTTGCCATTTCAAAAAATCATGTTGGCTGGGTGCGATGGCTCACGCCTGTAATCCCAGCACTTTGGGAGGCCAAGGTGGGTGGATCACTTGGTCAGGAGTTCAAGACCAGCCTGGCCAACATGGTGAAACCCTGTCTCTACTAAAAATACAAAAATTAGCCATGGGTGGTGGTGGATGCCTGTAGTCCCAGCTACTCGGGAGGCTGAGGCAGGAGAATCACTTGAATCCGGGAGGTGGACGTTGTAGTGAGCTGAGATCACACCACTGCACTCCAGCCTGGGAGACGGAGTGAGACTTCGCCTCAAAAAAAAAAAAAAAAAAAAGAAGAAGAAGAAAATCATGTCACAGAAGCAATGCTGCAGATGGAATTGAGTTACCAATAAAAGTCTACAGTCTGCGTTTGTATTGTATTGTTCATGATGATTTTGCCATAGATACAGTCAGTCTCTTTGATTAAAGATAGAAAGTATCAGTTGAAAACATTTAAAAAAATAATATTCAAGGCTGGGCATGGTGGCTCACGCCTGTAATCCCAGCACTTTGGGAGGCCCAGGAGGGCAGATCGCTTGAGGCCAGGAGTTTGAGACCAGCTTGGCCAACATGGTGAAACCTCATCTCTACTGAAACATACAAAAATTAGCCGGGCATGGTGGCACACACCTGTAGTCCCAGCTACTCAGGAGGCTGAGACACCAGAATTGGTTGAACCCATGAGGCAGATGTTGCAGTGAGCCGAGATTGCTCTACTCACTGCGCTCCAGCCTGGGCAACACAGTGAGACTCTGTTTCAAAAAACAACAACAACAACTATATATATATATATATATATATATATTCAAAATTCATAAAACCAAATAAGTGTAAAAGAAACTCAAACTTTCAAGGGTTTATTTTTGTTTGTTTTTTTGAAAGCTTCTAGCACTTGCACTTCTCAGGTTATGAGACTTTTGGGACACCCTGTATTTATTGTAAAAAGGGTTACTGAATCTGATATGGTGGAGAACCACTCACTGAGACTTTACATCAACCTGGAAAGAGCCGCCAACTGAAAATGTCCAGTCATGAATATGGGATGGGACACTGTGGAGGCCAGTGGCTGGAAGCCAGCTTACCCCTGCCTGCGCGTTTTGAAGGAAGGGCTCCAGCGCACACCAAAGCTGAACCTCGGTCACCTTCTCTGTGAAATGAGCGCGGGAATACCTGTGTTTCTGGGCAGCTGTGTGAACCCGGTGAGAAGCCCAGGGCACATAGGAGGACCCAGTGGGAACAGCCAGAGCCTCTCTGCACAGCGCCCCGCCTCCGCTTTTGCCTGCCCTGATTACAAAACGCTGTTGGCACCCAGGGGCGGAAGCGTCAGGTGGCCTCGGTGTCCTCCGCCTGTGCGCCCCAGCCTGCGGGGCCGCCCTTCAGGGCGCGCAAGGGGCGAGTCTGTCCAGCCGGCAGCACCCCAGGCCGGATGGACGCTTGTTCCTGGTTCTGTGCCCCGTGAGCGCTCAACGCCCTGGTGTGTTCACTGACCATGGTGCCTGGGCTGCGGCGCCGGGCGGGGCACGGCGGGACTTTTCGGGACCTTTCCTGGGGGGAGCCTCGCTTTCCCCGCCTCCAGCCTCCGCCCGGATGGCAGGCGGGCGGGGCCCCAGTCCAGGCCTTGAGACCCAGAAGGGAGCGAAGGTTTTTGCTGCGCCAACGCAGTGACCGAAGGCTCCGCTCACGCCCGGGTAAGAGGCATCCGCGGCCGATCTTTGGCCCTGGGCCAGCGGAGGGAGACTGGGCGGGGACAGCGACCACCACTGAGGCTGTTTGTTAGCTTAACTCGGTTTCCGCAGCTGGGACTCCGCAGACCCGGTGCGCCGCGCCCCAAACTTTGCTTCCTCAACTCCGGACACCTGCAGCTCTTGCTGCCCTTGTCTGGAACCCGGGTCTTGGGACTCTTGCTTCCTTCTCAGAGTGTCAGAGCCTCAGGGCCGCGGAGAGGCCAACCCGCGAGGGGTGCTTAAAAACCGAAGTATCCGTGGTCTTGGTGTGTGGACGTTTCTGGCGCCTTCCACCTGTTGACTGTCACTCGGCACCGTCCTGGAGCGGGAGTGGGTGCTCGGCGTCCGGGGGCCAGGGATTGACACAGTCATCCACCGACACTGCGCGTGGGACAGAGGGGGCGCTCGAGGGGTCGGCTGCAGCTGAAACCTGAAGGGGAGAGGATTTAGGGCACCTGCTGAACAGGAATTGGTGGAAAGGGAGAAGGGGTCTTCTGGTGGAATCTGGGCTCATTTCCTTTCCTCTTCATCTGTCTCTTTTATTTATCAAAATTCCAACCTGGCTTTTTGCTCAAAGACGCTGAACAGAGCCCCTGGCTTTGCCTGCGCTGCCCATTGCTATAATGCAGGGCTCTGTTCCATTTTTGTGCTGTGCACCCCTTTGGCATTTCTGGGAAGGCTAAAGACTCTCAGAACAATACTTTTTTTTGAGACAGAGTCTTGCTCTGTCGCCCAAGCTGGAGTGCAGTGGCGCGATCTCGGCTCACTGCCACCTCCACCTCCCGGGTTCAAGCGATTCTCCTGCCTCAGCCTGCCGAGTAACTGGGATTACAGGCGCAGCACACCTGGCTAATTTTAGTATTTGTAGTAGAGGCGGGTTTCACCATGTTGCCCAGCTGGTCTCGAACTCCTGGCCTCAAATGATCCGCACACTTCGGCCTTCCAAAGTGCTGGGATTACACGAGTGAGCCACCGCGCTGGACCAGAACAATGCTTTTTTAAAGGTATAAAACAAAAGGAAGAGTATTATAAAGGAAACCAATTGCAAAACACATGTCAAAACATTAAAAGAATTTATGATATGGTAATATATATGTCTTTAAAAAACGAATGCGTTATTTAATAACAAGGTTATTAAATAACAAGATCTAGCAGTGGATTAAATAGTTACCATAATTTTGAAGTAGTAAAGAACATAAACAATTATTTCAAGATATAGGTAATACTTGTAATATAAGAAAATATCTGTAATTTCTTTCTTCTTTTTTTTTTTTTTTTGAGACGGAGTCTCACTCTGTCACCAGGCTGGAGTGCAGTGGCGCGATCTCGGTTCAATGCAACCTCCGCCTGCTGGGTTCAAGTGATTCTCCTGCCTCAGCCTCCCGAGTAGATGGGACTACAGGTGTGTGCCACCACACCCAGCTAATTTTTGTATTTTTAGTAGAGACAGGATTTCACCATATTGTCCAGGATGGTCTCGATCTCTTGACCTTGTGATACGCCCACCTTGGACTCCCAAAGTTCTGGGATTACAGGCATGAGCCACTGCGCACGGCCAATATCTGTGATTTCTATTGGTGACAAAGTCTTAGTATTGCCAATACTGCTGTGGTTTGTTGGCTACATACATAATTGAAGTAAATGTTAAATTTCAGTTAGATACTAGAGAAATAAAAGATGTAAATATTAAATATCCGTAAAAATAAAGATGTAAAATACTTTTCCATCTAAGTTTTTGGGTCCAGGTTAAGATCCTCTGATAGTAGAAAGGGCACTGACCCAATGACTTGGCTTCTGGGCTTGACACTTCCATTGACATTTCCAAGGCCCATTGTAACCTTGGCTTTTTTTTTTTTTTGAGACATGGTCTTGCTGTGTCGCCTAAGCTGGAGTACAGTGAGGTGATCTCTGCTCACTGCAACCTCCTCGCAGGTTCGAGTGATTCGCCTGCCTCAGCATCCCTAGTAGCTGGGATTACACCAGCCACCCACCACCACACCTGGCTAATTTTTGTATTTTTTGGTAGAGACAGGGTTTCACCATATTGGCTAGGCTGGTCTTGAACTGCTGACCTCAAGTGATCTGCCCTTGTCTGCTTCCCAAAGCAACCACCACACCCAGCTTAACTTTGGCTTTTGAATTTCTTTTCGCCTCAGCTTCTTCATTGTACAGTGGAGATAATAACACCTTCCCAAGTATTTAAGGCACCCAGCACTGCACTTAGTGTAGAGGGCTGAAGTAGATACCATTTATCAGAACTTATTTGTATCCCTCCCAAGCTTATGGCCTTATATCCCCAAGCCTGGGGAGGTACTCATTATTTATTGAATGAATAAGTGGGTCAGAAAGGGTTGCTTGTGACTAAGTCCAAAAAACAAAATTCATTAAGGAGACAGCTGGTGGTTTGGGAAATGACTTTGTTTAAATTTGGGGCTTTTTTTCTGGCTGGAAAAATATATAAACACATTTGGAACGGGGGTGTTTGAAATGTCAGTCAGGGCCCAGGGTCTGTGTGTGCGTGTCTGTGTGGCTGGTGTTCTGCCAGTGAAAATGAAACTGAATGTTGAAAGGAAACCGGATTCCTTTGCAGAACAGTTTCTCCTCCATGTTGCCTGTGTCTAGCTTTGTTAATCCGATGTGTTGTAACACAGGAAATGTCTTATAAAGAATGGAGACGGACCCATGACAAGGCATTTCTGGGCATAGATGTACTTTTTTCTTCTCCTTTCACGTTTCCCTGCTCCACTATCTACTATATAACTCCTCTTTGACTCTGAAGACTTGGTAAATAGGAGCAGTTTGGATAGCTTATGGAAAGCTGCCCAGACCTGGCTGGAAGCCAACTAGTTGCTTCTTAATCCCAGCCTTAAAAATCTTTGTAATCCCCAGATGTAGGTGGTAATAATAATAAAGAAAAGTAGATCTAGCCAACCATCCCTGTGATTTACATTGAGAAAGTGCTAAATTGGGACAGGAGGTAGAGAACTTTGTGGAAAAAAACAAAACAGAACAAAAAAACCCTCGGAAATTTAGAACACACTGGGACTATCTATGTCTGTAACTTTGGGAAGGGCAAATACTGGTGTTATGGACTCACCAAATTCATATATTGAAACCCTAGCCCCCAGGATCTTAGAATGTGACTGTATTAGGAGATAGTGCCTTAGTTAGAAGTGGTGGTGAGCACCTGTAGCCCCAGCTACTTGGGAGGCTGAGGTGGGAGAACTGCTTGAGCTCAGAAGTTCGAGGCTAGCCTGAGCAACATAGCAAGACCTTGTCTCAATAAAAGAATAATTAGCCAGGCACGGTGGCTCACGCCTGTAATCCCAGCACTTTGGGAGGCCGAGGTAAGCAGATCGCTTGAGGCTGGGAGTTTGAGGCCAGCCTGGCCAACATAGAGGAACCCCGTCTCTACTAAAAATTCAAAATATTAGCTGGGTGGGGTAGTGTGCACCTGTAATTCCAACTACTCAGGGGGCTGAGGCATGAGACTTGCTTGAACCGGAGAGGAGGAAGTTGCATTGAGCCAAGATTATCATGCCACTGCATTCTAGCCTGCGCAACAGAGCAAGACTCTGTCTCAAAAAAAGAAAGAAAGAAAAAAAAAAAAGGAAAATTAAGTTAGGTCATTAAGGTGGAGCCCTAATCCAATATGAATAGTATCCTTATAAGAAGATGACTCGTCAGGAGCACATGTGCACAGAGAAAAGGCCACGCAAAGGCACACTGAGAAGGTGGCCATCTGCAAACCAGGGAGAGAGATCCCAGGAGAAACCAGTCTCATCAGCACTGAGGTCTTGGACTTTCAATCTCCAGAACTTTGAGAAAATAAATTTCTGTTCTCTAGACTTCATCTAGTCTATAGTGTTTTGTTATGGCAGCCCTAGAAAATTAATACAACTGGTTCTACCAAATGGACAATAGGTTTAAAAAAAATGGCTACAACTAGGCACCATCTCTTTTAAGTCATGATCCCGACATGTCCATCACTTGCTCTTAGGATCTCTTACCCAACCTATGCAGAAGAGTCTCCCATGTACTTTCCTTCTACAGACACCCTGTGTGGTCCCTAGGATCTTGCCTGAAGTTGTTAAAGCCATATTCAGCTTCATGATTTTGACTGTTAGGAAAAGAAAAACTTGGCCTCTTCAGCAAGTGACCTAGGTTAGCTGTTGTGCCATGTACATAGTAAGTACTTTGTAAATGTATGGTGGGTGATGGGTGATGATGTTATGATCATCCTTAAATACCATGGGGTGACTCCCTTCTGATCATAATGAATCTCCATGTTTTGGCCCTAGCCCAGCCCTCAGGGAACTTTCATGCCACCTAGCTGGGAACCAGCAGCTCTGGCCCTAGCTACATGAATGGAGAGAAAATGGCTATGTCTGTATCCTGGTACCAATTCCTGACTTCTGGGAGGGAGGGCTGCTTCTGGAAGTGGGGATTGTGGTGATTTCACTCTATGATAACTTTCTTATATCTTTGGCTATTTGTTCTAAGGTAGCCCATGATGTCTCCATAGGAAAATGATGTGTTTTAACAACCACCATGTTTGGAGTATAGATTGTGAGAGCTCTTCAAGACAGTGCTGGGTCTAGTAAATGTGGTTTTGTGTTTCTGTGAGCACATAAATGATGCTTGAGATGGATGAGGGGCCATCTGAGTTTGGAGGAAAATCATGAGCCTTTCAAGGTCTAGGTGATCAAATCTAAGCTTGTTTTGAATCATTGAGTAAGAAAGGTCTTTAATGGCAACTAGACACCTCCACTTATTTTACACTCAGGGAAATGGACTCAAAATGGTAAATGACTATCTCATGGTCTTACAATCTCCATTTCCTCACTTATAAAATGGGAATAATAATTCCCACCTCTCTGGTTTTTGTGAGTAATTACGTAAAGTGCATAGCACAATGCCTGTCACATATCAACACTTCCACAAATGATTTGGGGACTTGCGGGGAGAGATTGAGAGGAATGGTTTCCATTCTAATTATGTTCCAGACCTGCTTATTAAAGCCTTGTTATTCTTTGCCACAAAAATTCACATCTCTGATCAATCTAAGGAGTTATTAGAACAAGCGTCCCCATTTGAAAGCCTGCTTGTGAACTTCCATTTTCCTTTTCTCATTTAGAGGATAGCAAAGTTTTAGAGAAGCAGGGGACCTTTGATGCCACCCAATCTGATCCTTTATTCCATTGATGAAGAAAGCATGGCCCAAAATGGGTCAGGAAGAGCTGTACCTAGCACTCCCTGGACTGTGGTCCTGGGTCTCTTGACTCTTGATATGCCCTCAGACAAAGCTTCACCAGGAACGGGTCATTGTCATCTAGCTGGACACAGAAGAGACGTGAGCTGTCTACACCTCATTCTGTCTCAACTATTAAAGGATTGAGTTTAGAGTCTCTCCAACTATGTCCAAATAGCAAATGTATACCTTGAAATTAAAGAGTGTTTTCTCATTATGGTAAGACCTCACACACTGGATTCCAAGGAATGATATACTTGAATGAAATGGCCAGTCCCGTTTACAGTGAACTCCTTGCATGTGAGACTCTGAGTGGAAATCCCAATGCTCCTGAGGCTGATGAGTAATTTTAATGTGGTCATTTAACAAACTCAGGAAAACAAGTTCATCCCTGTTGTGTGACTGGGAGTACACTGATTCCACCTCAGGCTTCTTTTTCCAGTGAGTCATGTCCTACAGTCTGCAGATGGGCACACACAGGCATATACAGACTAGAAAGGAAACCTGAAAATTACCTGACCAGAGGCCAACTATGAGTGGTGGGGTTGAAGGGGAGCTAAGTCGTGCTTCTTTATGTACTAGAATGTGAGAAGTCAGGCTCCCACTGGCTACAGCAAGCAGAAAAACAAGGTGTTCTTTCATTTTTTTTCCCCCTATATAATTCAGTCAAAACTCTTAACTTTCATTTGAAATAATCCAATTGACTGACATATTTTTTCTTTCCTGGAATCTGAATGCAAGCATTTTCCTTATGTAAATATAATTTGTGTTTTCTGCTTAGCAATTGTATTGGTTTGGTGAAATTGTCAGTTCTCTTGTTACAATGCATTCTCTGATTGTAAAATAAGGATAGGTCAGGATAATTTGTAGGAAATTTCTCAGGAGCAAAGGGAGCCACTGTTTCATTGTAAAGTCCTCATTAGCAACTCTTAATCAGTAACTCTGCAAAGAAAATTCCTACAGTTTTGCCCCTGAAGAGTGAGGGAACTAAAGAACCCCAGTGCAGCTCCCAGTCCTTGAATCATCAGAGAGCTATATAGATTGTTCCTATTTCCCCAGTGACTCAGTCCTGGCCCACTACTGGTGTACTTGCTTCACAGCTTAATATTTAAACAAATGTTTGGATTTATAACAGCTCCAGAGGGAGAGTTTCAACATGGCCCTGCAGGGCTAAGTGAAGATTGCTCCATTTTCTTTATTTGTTAACAGTATAGTAATCCAGTTCCTGAACACACAAGGCAAGAATAGCACTGCCATTACTCAAGCAGAGGTGTGCCAAGAGGAAGAGCACAGCTGCTATCCTTTCTCGGAACAACACTCATTCAGTTTTCAAGGGGGGTGCTTTCCTTCTCCCTCACAGTGCCTTGGACCTTTACTCCACTTTGAGTAATTCTAGTATTGCTGCTCACATCCTGTCTTCATTATATTCACCTGAACAAGTGGATATAATGTCATCGTTCACATTCTTCCTTCTTCTTTATCCCCTATAGCTGATTGTCGCAAAAATGTCAATGTGTGTCTCACATTCACACCCCTCATCTCTGTTCCCATTCAGACCCCACCCTCACTGTGCCTGAATTTCTGAAACAGCCGCTTAATGGATCTTCATATTCCTGGTCTTTCCTGTTATAACAGACAGACTCTTCTTACCCATCACTGGCTGTGCAGTGCCTAGCACAATCCCTGGCATTTAGTAAACAATCAAAAATGCTGAACTCAACTGAATTGCTCCAGTTCATCCTCTCAGCTTCCCCTGGGGACTCTTTATAAATCCAGTTTTATTAAGACCTTCCAAGGGCTCTCACTGCCATTAGCAGTAACCACAGGCTGAAATGCACACCAGGGCTGAGCAGGTAACAAATGAACAACATAGGCTGAGTGGGGCTGGAGTGAACTGAAACCTTGTGCATGGTGGAGAAGACCAATGACTGCTCAGCTCCAGCCAAGAGTTTCCATGTGAGAATGTGGGCTTAGTGTTAGAGGCCAAGAATCTGGAATATTTTTTGTCGAGATCTCCAAATTTTTTAATGTTGATGACTAATTCAAAATTCAAGAAAAGCACTGTGAGCCAAGCAAAACACAGCTCTGGCCTGCACTTGGCCTGCAGGTTGCTGCTTTGTGACTCCTAGATCAAATTGCCATTGTCTGGGAATAAGCTCTCAGACCTAAACTTTAGTAACACATGCCTATCCAATCTCATTTCTCCCTCTTCCCAGAGCGCTAGACTGCCCTCCTTTATATCCACCGTTAGGAGATTCTCATTGCAAGTGATTCTCCTTTCAAAATCTTGAACCCAACTGTCCAAAAGTAGCCCGAACAGGTCCCTGACATAACTTCCCTTTTTCTGCTCACATAATTCCTTTTTCTTCAGCTGTCTAGATGTCAACTTTGACTTTTTTTTTTCTTCCAGAAGCCTTTCCCACGTCTTCCGAAATTATTCTCTCTTCCCAGCCTCTATCTTATCTGAATCTTTGTTTGCATTTCTAATGCTAACACCTAATTCAGGAGCTTATCGCTCACACCTGGACCACTCCAATAGTCTCCTAACTGATTTGTCAAAATTAGCCCATGTGAAACTGGTTTTGTTTCTCCTCCAACAGGAGGGTTAATTTGTTCCAACACCAGAAGATTCTCTTACTCAAAGCTGCCCCTTTGTGCGATCACTTTCCAGAACTTTGTTTTCCCATGTAAAGCCTCAATGCCCTAGCTAAAAGAGTGGGAGGGGGTCAGGCCTGGAGAAATTGCTGTCTCTCAGCTTGCATCCTTACATACAGTGGGCGCTCAATGAATACTTGTGGACACATTCTTTTTTCTTTTTGAGATGGAGTCTTGCTCTGTCACCCAGGCTGGAGTGTAGTGGTGCGATCTCGGCTCACTGCAGCCTCCGCCTCCCAGGTTCAAGCAATTCTTCTGCTTCAGTCTCCCAAGTAGCTGGGACTACAGGTGCGTGCCACCACGCCCAGCTAATTTTTTGTATTTTTAATACAGATAGGGTTTCACTGTGTTAGCCAGGATGGTCTCAATCTCCTGACCTCATGATCCGCCTGCCTCAGCCTCCCAAAGTGTTGGGATTACAGGCGTGAGCCACCATGCCTGGCCTGGAAACATTCTTAAACAGCAGCAGAATTGTGACCATGCGAATTTCATGTAAGTCTATTTCACAAAGATACACTTACATATTTAGCATAGCTAAATGTAAGTAATTTAATCGTATATCATTTGCGCAGGTAAAAATTCTCCTAATAAAAATTCAGCTTAGATTATCTTTCCTGATTTTCAGTTCTGCAAACTTAGCCCCTGTGTGATTGAGACAAATTCAGTGTAGGTATAAACCTGAATTTGCACATAGACTTATATGCTGCAGAAAACTTGTTTCTCACCTTCTTTTCTGAGCACTTCTGGCTGATGCCCTCCTTTATCAAGGTTAAATGGATAAAATAGATGTGAAGATTTTTCTTGGTGGAGAAGATATCTTAAGTTTCAATAGAATGGAGGATAGTATATGACAAAGGAAAGGAAGGCCACGTGCTGCTTCTTCTAGAGCGGTTACTGCCTTAAAAACTCAAACTGTAGCTATGTTATTTAGTTGCAAAAATTTATAAAAATTTAGCTCAATCACCCACAAATTGTAACATTCTTCGGTACTATGTAATTAAATTGCATTTTAGAGACGGCATAGAGACGGCGTATTTTTTTTTTCTCCTTTTTGAGACGGAGTCTTGCTCTGTTGTGCCCAGGCTGGAGTGCAGTGACGCGATCTCGGCTCACTGCAACCTCTGCCTCCCAGGTTCAAGCGTTTCTCCTGCCTCAGCCTCCTGAGTAGCTGGGATTACAGGCACCCGCCATCATGCCTGGCTAATTTTTGTATTTTTCAGAGACAGGGTTTCACCATGTTGGCCAGGCTGGTCTTAAACTCCTGACCTCAAGTGATCCACCTGCCTCGGCCTTCTAAAGTGCTGGGATTACAGGCATGAGCCACCGCGCCTGGCTTTTAAGATGCCGCCTGACAGTTTAGTGGATATGTGAGGAGAAGAAGCCGAGCAAAAATGTGTTAAACATGTAAAAGCTTCCATCTGACTGAATAGTTGGCACATGCATTTTAATCTAGATGTATTACAACGTACCTGGGATTTGTTTTAATCAAGTATGGTGAGGCCAACAGATCAGGAGGTGACTGCCATGAAGGAAGAAGCTCTTACTCACAGTTCCCTAGAAACAGGAGGCATAACACCTCACATGGGGCCATATGGGAAAGCACCTGCGTAGGTGAAGGGGCAGAAAAAGTGAGGGGAAAGAACAGGCAAAAGACTGTATTGTGAGGCAGGGGAAAGGGCTGGCTAGGTTTGGGATTGGCTAGTTTGAATAATTTTAGAGTGCTCCAGGATTCATGAGCTGCCTATAGTTGTAGTTGTCTGATGCCTGGCCCTGGAATAATAAGGGCAGGGGAAAATTGCCTCTTGCAGGGTTAAAGCCAAATAGAGGAGGTGGTTCAGAATATGGCTCTGGATTGATTGGTTTACATATCAAAGGTGTGGTCATAGGCAAGCCAGGCAAGCCATTTACCATCTCTCAGAGTTAGCTAGTCCTGGGAGGGGCAGTCTCTGGGATTAGCAAGACCCCAAAATGTCAAACCATAAAAAAATACAGACAATGAAAAACAGAATTAATACAGCAGGATTCAGAATATTGACAGGAAGGGGAAACAGTCAGTTGCCTTCCTGGTTTCATGAAGTATCTAATGCAGTGCCATTGATATGTGCTGTAAATATTACTGGACACGTTACTTGCATGTATTTTGGATTAAGAGGAGATTATGCTAAGGATCTCATTTATGGGCTAATGTTTGGCATTTTCTTGGCAACCAAAGTCATGCTAATCAGGTGACAGTAACAATTTCCTTTTTAAGGTATTTCCAGATTTAGACCCGCCTTCTTAGAGTTTAAGTCAGAGGGTGTGATGGTTAATTTTATGTTCCAGTTTGACTGGACTATGGGGTGCCTAGAAATTTGGTCAAACGGTATTCTGGGTGTGCCTGTGAGGGGGTTTCTGGATGAGAGTAACATTTGAATGGGTAGATTGAGCAAAACAGATTGTCTTCCCCAATGTGGGTTGGCCTTACGCAATCAGCTGAAAGCCTCAGTAGAACAAAAAGGCGAACACTCCCGTGAATGAGAGACAATCAGCCCTGCCTGCCTGAGTGTCTTGGAGCTGGGATATCGGATGTTCTTCTGTGTTGAGAGTCAACTGAAACATGGCTTGTCCTGTGTCTTGAGCTGGCCTTGAGACTGAAACTGTACCATAGGCTCTCCCGGGTCTTCAGCCTGCTGACTACAGAATTGGGACTTAGCTTCTATAATCTTGTGAGCCAGTTTCCAGGAATGTCCTTCATGTAATAGGGAAATGATGATGTTTGCTTTGGTTGCCTCCCTCATTCCTTTCACCTCCTCCAGTTAAATCTTGTTTTGACCCTTTATTGGCTGTGGGTGCAGGGAGTTTTCCCATGTTCCAGGAGGCAGCCAGCTTGTAACTAGCAAGCATTGCTATGTTTGTATTTCTGATACATTTTCTAAAAGAGATCGCAGAACAAAGGGTCCTGACTCACCAAGGATACAGGTATTTGTTGTGATTTACTTTCTCATTCAAAATACATATTGGATATTGTATCTAATTTTGTATTGGTAATTTTGGGTTATGAAACCCCAGATTTGAAGCCCCAAATTGTATAGGGTTCAATGCCCATAAAACCCAGATCTGCCCCTGCTTAGAGGCCGGCCCCTCTAGGAGACAGCATGTGGGGCCACCCAGAGATGCAGGACTCTTCTGTTCTGCCCTATCGCAGCAGAGAGGCCATCCCTGGAGCTGGAAGGTGCAGACTGGGAATTGCTCCTTCTCTGAATTGCTAGCTCCTGCTAATGCCTGCATTGCTGCTGCAAAGGATATTCAGAAAAAGTTGCTCGTCAGAAAAAGAATTCATGCTAGCTCTGGCCCTGCTGCTGATGCATTGTGTGAAACCCTTGAGTGACTTCACCTCTTGGAACTCAGTTTTCCCATTTGTAAAGTGATATCAATACTTCCGGTGTGGGCTCAGGTTTGGGCCCTGTGAATTGTAAAGCTCTATGCACATGGGAGGATGTATGATTATAAGTTGTGTTGCTATTACTTGTATTGCTAATATCTTGCTATTATTGAAATATGCCCAAACCTTAACATTTCAGTGACTAAAGAGCAAAACCAGTGTTCACTCTGACATAGTTTTTTTAAATTTTTCATTCATTCACTCATTTTAAGTTTTTATTGTGTAAACTTTCATCAAACATGTACAAAAATAGACTGCCACAAGGAATGCCCATATATATCCATCCACTGATTTCAAATTATTGCCAACTCATGGCCCATTTTGTTTCATCTACACCCCTACCCACTTACACCTCCTAAAATATTTTCAAGCAAATTCCGAGTCATTTCAACTATAAGAATCTCGGTGTATATTTCTGAAAGATAAAGACTCCTAAAAAATTAAATCAGTACTATTATTGTACCTTGCCCTTCTCTGCCAAAAAAACTTAATTTCTTTCTTTTCAGTTTATTTAGTAAGCTAAAATTTAGTAACAGGGAGGCCGAGGCTGGTGGATCAACTGAGGTCAGGAGTTCGACACCAGCTTGGCCAACATGGTGAAACTCAGTCTCTATTAAAAATATATAAATTAGCTGGGTGTTGTGGTGGGCGCCTGTAATCCCAGCTACTCAGGAGGCTGAGACAGGAGAATCGCTTGAATCCGGGAGGAGGAGGTTGCAGTGAGCCGAGATCATGCCACCGCACTCCAGTCTGGGCAACAGAGTGAAACTCTGTTAGAAAAAAACAAAACAAAACAAAACATATATTCACTCTCACCTCCCACCTCACTCCATGGGATTCAACCAAGCTACTTTAACTTTTTTTTTTTTTTTTGAGACAGGGTCTTTGTCTGTGGCCCAGGCAGGAGTGCAGTGAGGCAGTCTCCACTCACTGCAACCTCCTCTTCCTGGGTTCAAGTGATTCTCCTGCCTCAGCCTCCCTAGTAGCTGGGATTATAGAAGCACACCACCACGCTTGGCTAAATTTTGTACTTTTAGTAGAGATGGGGTTTCGCCCTGTTGCCCAGGCTGGTCTCGAACTCCTGAGCTCAAGCAGTGCGCCCGCCTTGGCCTCCCAAAGTGCTGGGATTATTTTATTTTCATTCAAATTTAAAGTAGCTTGGGCCAGGCCCGGTGGCTCAGGCCGGTAAATCGCAGCACTTTGGGAGGCCAAGGCGGGTGGATCTCTTGAGGCCAGGAGTTTGAGACCAACCTGGCCAACATGGCAAAATCCCGCCTCTACTAAAAGTAGAAAAATTAGCTGGGCGTGGTTGTGGGTGCCTGTAATCCCAGCTACTCGGGAGACTTGAAGCACAAGAATCGCTTAAGCCCAGGAGGCGGAGGCTGCAGTGAGTGGAGATCATGCTGCTGCACTCCAGCCTGGGCGACAAGTGACAGAGCAAGACTGTCTCAAAAACAAAATAAAATAAAATAATTTCAGCCAACAGGCATTTTTCCTGAATTATTAGATAGTTTGAATTAAGTTCTGTTGCTTAGTCATGTGACCTTAGGCAAGTTCTCTATCTCTACTCAAACCCTCAATTTTATCATCTGTAAAATGGGGATTTTATTTATAAGGTTATGAGGAGTCTTTGAGACAGCACAAGTACAACTGGTAAACAATAAATGTTAGTTATTATTTCAATGATAGTTTTTTGTTTTTTTGTTTTTTTGTTTTTTTTTTGAGACGGAATCTTGCGCCACCGTCACCAGGCTGGAGTGCAGTGGCACGATCTTGGCTCACTGCAACCTCCGCCTTCTGGGTTCAAGCGATTCTCATGCTTCAGCCTTCCCAGTAGCTGGGATAACAGGCATGTGCCACCATACCCAGCTAATTTTTGTATTTTTAGGAGAGACGGGGTTTCACCATATTGGCCAGGATGGTCTCCATCTCCTGACCTCGTGATCCGCCCACCTTGGCCTCGCAAAGTGCTGGGATTACAGGCGTGAGCCACCACACCCAGCCAGAATAGATTATTTTCCTACCAAATCCTGTCTTCTGGATTTGAAATAAGAAAATATTTGGTTAAGAGGTGTAAATAACTGATAATAGCATTAGGGCTGACTTAATTAATTAAATACGCCCAGAAAGCCCAAGTGGGAGGATTTAGTTGAGGAGGAGGAGGAGTTTTCCAACAGTCCCTCCACCTGGGCACCAGGTGTAAGCCTGACCTGTGCCGTGTACACAGTGCTCATTCGTGCCCTGAGACAGGAAGCTACAGAGATCCAGACCAACAGCTCACAGTAAGCTTGGGCCAGGTCTGGCGGGAAGAACAGAGTAGGCAACAAGAGCTGGACACTGTTTAATGATTAGACTGTTTTCCTCTTTGATTTTGGAAGTGTTCTACAAAGGTGATCTGTTAAAGGTTGGCCCTGTGGTTATTGAAACCCAAAGCAGAGTGGGCCCAGCCTGGCCTAGGCTTGAGAGGAAACAATTGTAAATCAAAGACCCACTGTGTCCTCAAAAGCAAAAATAGCTGAAGGGTTGATGACAATCCTTGGCTTGGTGAATCTTTCATTAAGAATGCTCTGAGTAATTCTTGCTTAGCCAGCAGCTCTGTTTGAACTCTGCCAGGTGCCCTGGCTGCTCACAAACCATGTCATGTGACATAAGATTAGGAAGCTTTTGACACAGGCAGTCTGTATTGCTTGTCCAGGAAGGGCTGTAGTGGAAAGGTATGAAGTCCCAAAGACTTGTCCAGACCAGGTCTGGAACTAGGGGCCAGTGATGGAAGTAGGGGATGCCCAGTCCGCTGTCTTATCTTTCAATCAACAGGGACTTTACTTCTCCAGTTAGACTGCAGTCATATCAAAGCATTCATTCCCATCCTTTGAAGGAGGGACACAATCAATTTAGAATAGAGGAATTTTAATCTAACTTAAAAGCATAATACTATTTGATTATAAAATATATTGCATGTGCCATTTGGTAAATGAAAGTTAAATTTACCTTATTTATTGATGTTTTTCTTTTTCTTTTTTTTGAGACAGAGTCTTGCTCTGTTGCCCAGGCTGGAGTGCAGTGGTGCAATCTTGGCTCACTGCAACCTCCGCCTCCCTGGCTCAAGCAATTGATTCTCCTGCCTCAGCCTCCTGAGTAGCTGGGATTACAGGCACCTGCCTCCATGCCCAGCTAATTTTTTTTGTATTTTTGGTAGAGACAGGGTTTCACCATGTTGGCCAGGCTAGTCTCAAACTCCTGGCCTGAGGTGATCTACCTGACTTGGCCTACCAAAGTGCTGGAATTACAGGCGTGAGCCACTGTGCCTGGCCTCATTTTTTAAGAATTGCTGGGGTAAGGGGAAATGAGAAGGTGGGATATGGGCAATGCTTTTTGTTGTTGTTGTTTTTGTGTGTGTTTTTTTGAGACAGTCTTCCTGTCACCCAGGCTGGCGTGACCTCAGCTCACTGCAACCTCTGCCTCCCGGGTTCAAGTGGGGGTCCTGCCTCAGGCTCCCAAGTACCTGGGATTACAGTTATGTGCCACCACAGCCCGCTAATTTTTGTATTTTTAGTAGAGATGCGGTTTCACCATGTTGGCCAGGCTGGTCTTTAACTCATGACCTCAAGTGATCCATCTGCCTCAGCCTCCCAAAGTGCTGGGATTACAGGCACGAGCCACTGTGCCTGACTTTTTTTTAAGCCTTTGCAATGTGGTCTGGCTCTGTCGCCCAGGCTAGAGTGCAATGGCATGATCTTGACTCATTGCCACCTCCACTTCCTGGGCTGAAACCGTCCTCCTACTGTGTCCGGAATTGGTGGGTTCTTGGTCTGACTGACTTCAAGAATCACCCTGTGGACCCTCGTGGGGAGTGTTACAGTTCTTAAAGGCGGCGTGTCCGGAGTTTGTTCCTTCTAACGTTCGAATGTGTTTGGAGTTTCTTTCTTCCTTCTGGTGGGTTCGTGGTCTCCCTGGCTCAGGAGTGAAGCTGCAGACCTTCACAGTGAGTGTTACAGCACATAAGGGTAATGCCAGTGTGGACTCAAAGAGCGAGCAACAGCAAGATTTATGGCAAAGAGCAAAAGAAGAAAGCATCCACAACACGAAAGAGGACCAGAAAGGACTGCCACCGCTCGCTCGGGCAGCCTGCTTTTATTCCCTTATCTGGCCCCACCCACATCCTGCTGATTGGTCCATTTTACAGAGAGCTGATTGGTCTGTTTTTATAGAGAGCTGATTGGTCCGTTTTGACAGGGTGCTGATTGGTGTGTTTACAAACCTTGAGCTAGACACAGAGTGCTGATTGGTGTATTTACAAACCTTGAGCTAGACACAGAGTGCTGATTGGTGTATCTACAATCCCTTAGCTAGACATAAAGGTTCTCCAAGTCCCCACCAGATTAGCTAGACACTGGGTACTGATTGGTGCCTTTACAAACCTTGAACTAGACGTAAAAGTTCTCCAAGTCCCCACCTGACTCAGGAGCCCAGCTGGCTTCACCTAGTGGATCCCGTGCCAGAGCCGAGGCGGAGCTGCCCCCGGGTCCCGCACCGCGCACCTGCACTCCTCAGCCCTTGGGCGGTCAATGGGACAGGGCATCACAGAGCAGGGGGCGGCGCCCATCAGGGAGGCTCACCCGTGTGGGAGCCCACCGCTGGGGGGCTGGGGCATGGCGGGCTGCAGGTCCCAAGCCCTGCCCTGTGGGGAGGCAGCTGAGGCCTGGAGAAGAATTCAAGCGCAGCACCTGCGGGCCGGCACTGCTGGGGGACCTGGTGCACCCTCCGCAGCTGCTGGCCCGTGCTAAGCCCCTCACTGCCCGGGCCTGTGGCACCAGCCTGCCACTCCAAGTGCGGGGCCTGCTGAGCCCACGCCCACCCAGAACTCGTGCTGGCCCGCGAGCGTCGCTGGCAGCCCCGGTTCCCGCCCGCGCCTCTCCCTCCACACCTCCCTGCAAGCAGAGGGAGCTGGCTCTGGCCCCTGCCAGCCCATAGAGGGGCCCCCACAGCGCAGTGGCGGCCTGAAGGGCTCCTTGAGCATGGCCAGAGCGGATGCCAAGTCCGAGGAGGTGCTGAGAGCGAGTGAGGGCTGCGAGGGCTGCCAGCACGCTGTCACCTCTCACTACCTCAGCCTCCAAGGTAGCTGGGACTACAGGCATGTGCCACTATGCCCGTCTAATTTCTTTTTTTTTGTATTTTTGGTAGAGATGGGGTTTTGGCATCTTGGCTATGGCTGGTCTCAAACTCCTGGCCTCAAGCAATCCTCCCACCTGGGCCTCCCAAAGTGCTAGGATTACAGGCATGAGCCACCGTACCCGGCCTTGATTTTTAAGTGTATTTCATCTTGTAAGAATGTAGAGATGAAGTGGCTGCATTCTCCTGTATCATTGGTAGTTAATTCTTCTTCTTCTTCTCCTTCTCCTCCTTCTCCTTCTTCTTCTTCTTCTTTCTTTTTTTTAAAAACAGACTCTCACTCTGTTGCCCAGGCTGGAGTGCAGTGGCATGATCTCAGCTCACTGCAACCCCCCGCCTCCTGGGTTCAAGCAATTCTTGTGCCTCAGCCTCCCAAGCGTGTGCCACCACGCCTGGCTAATTTTTGTATTTTTAGTAGACAGGGGGTTTTGATATGTTGGCCAGGCTAGTCTCAAATTCCTGACCTCAAGTGATCTGCCCACCTTGGCCTCCTGAGGTGCTGGGATTACAGGCGTGAGCCACCACGTCCGGCCGGTAGTTAATTCTTATTTCTTAAAAAAGCTGTATGTTTCAGGCTATCTTCTGAGGAGACTAAGAAATCATATCAGATTTATGCTCCTTGTTGACAGAAGTTTTCAGTTTTCTATTTCTTCTCTGCTGACTTTAGGGTCCAGTTTGATCTTCCATTGAGTGATTGATTGATTGATTGATTGAGACAGAGTCCCACTCTGTTGCCCAGGCTGGAGTGCAGGGGTGTGATCTCAGCTCACAGCCACCACCACCTCCCAGGTTGAAGCAATTCTTGTGCCTCAGCTTTCACAGTAGCTGGGATTACATGCACGGGGTACCACGCCGGCAGGTCCGGCTACTTTTTTCTAGTTTTTGTAGAGACCAGGTTTCACCATGTTGGCCAGGCTGTTCTGAAACTCCTGATCTTAAGTAAGTGACCCGCCCACCTCAGCCTCCCTAAAGTTTTGGTATTACAGGCGTGAGCCTCCTTTTTTTTTTTTTTTTTTTTTTTTTTGCCTTCTCGTTAAGATTGTGTGGCTGGCCGGGCACGGTGGCTCACACCTGTAATCCCAGCATTGTGGGAGGCCGAGGCAGGTGGATCACTTGAGGTCAGGAGTTCAAGACCAGTCTGGCCAACGTGGTGAAACCCCATTTCTACTAATAATACAAACTTAGGTAGGTGTGGTGGCAGGCACCTGTAATCCCAGCTACTCGTGGGGGCCGGAGACAGGAAAATTGCTTGAACCTGGGAGGTGGAGGTTGCAGTGAGTCGAGATCCAGCCTGGGCGACAGAGCAAGATTCCGCCTCAAAAAAAAAAGAAAAAAGAAAGATTGTGTGGCTGTTGCTTCCTTCAATTTTATCTTTCTCTGCTTGTTGCTATAAACTTGGTTTAGGTCAATGTCAGAAATTACTGTTGGTTCCTAAGTGATGTTTTCTGATGCCACTTCTAACATCAAATATATGTTCTCTTTTTCAATACCAATCAATACCAACTAGGTGCCCAATAATTCAATTCAATTGTGGCATTAGCTCCCGGAGTTAGTGGAGGCCCCGTAGTTTAAAGCTCAGTCCCACAAGACTGCCCTCACTTCAGACGCCAGCCAGGCAGGGCATCTGCTGCTGGCCCCAAGGGGACCCACACCTGTGTCTAGCTGACTACAAATCCCAAGGCTCCCATGATCCATCCTCCTCAGGTTCTATAATCAGCTAGAACTACTCAAAGAACTCAGGGGAACACTCTACCTCAGTTTACTGGTTTAGTATAAGGGATACAGCTCAGGAATGGCCATATGGAAGAGACATATGGGGCAAGGTAGCAGGGTGGTGCAGAGCTTACAGGCCCTCTCCGGTCACACCACCATCCAGCACATCAGTGAGTTCACCAACCCAGAAGCTCTTGTCTTGTTATAGAGCTCAATTTCCAGCCCCATTCTCCCTCCCAAGGTTAGAGGTGGGGCTGAGAGTTCCAACCCTCTAATCGTAGTCACGTGTTTGGTTTTTCTGGTGACCAGCCCCCTCCTGAAGCCATCTAGGGATCCCACCTTGAGTCACCTTACTAGCATAAACTCAGGGACTCATTATGAAAAACAAATGACACTTCCATCACTCAGGTAATCCCAAGAGTTTTAGGAACTTGGAGCTGGGAACCAGGAACAAAGACAGAATATGTTTTATATTACACCATGGTTTAAAAGTGGCATTTAGGCTGGGTGGGGTGGTTTATGCCTGTAATCCCAGCACTTTGGACGGCAAGGCGGGCAGATTACATGAGGCCAGCCTGGCTAACATGGTGAAACCCTGTGTCAACTAAAAATACCAAAATTAGCCAGGCATGGTGGTTTGTGCCTGTAATCCCAGCTACTCAGGAGGCTGAAATGGGGAAATCGCTTGAACTCAGGAAGTGGAAGTTGCAGTGAGCCAAGATCTCCCCACTGTACTCCAGCCTGGGTGACAGAGTGAGACTCAAAAAAAAAAAAAAAAAAAGTGGCATTAAAAAATTATGATTCTGCATTATTGCCCTGGTTTGTTTCTGGTCTTTGACATTGCATCATGCTCCACCTTCTCTATAGGCAGGGTTGGATTATGGTTCTGGGTTTTCTGATTTGGAAGTTTAGGTGATGTTACATTGTTAGAATTAGAAAGTAATTGAGATTTTTGGGCATTTTGAAACTTGGACATTTCTTATAACACATTCTTTTGTGTTTGTGAAGTTGTTTCTTATAGTTGGAAAGTGAAATTTGACTGCAAAGGCCAGGACATTCTGCTTCATGACTATTAATGATGTCAATAAATCTGGTTCAGAGGACTTTTTATTTATAAATACTGAATCCAGGAATAGGCTATGGATAATTAATGAAATAAAGCAGAAGTAGCCTTCTTGGCTGAGTGAGGGAAATATTTGTGTAAATTTTCAAGAGAGGAACCATGAAGTATTAGACTGGAAGGGAGCTAGTGAAGTGGCTACATTGACTGGCGTGTATACCCATGGTTTATCGTGTTGCGCCAGGAAAATTTAGGACATGGACACACACAAGGAGTTTCGGAGTGGAGGTTTAATAGACAGGAGAAAAGAGAAAGAAAAACAACTCTCTCTATTGAGAGAGAGGGGTCTTCTGAGTGGAAAGACGTGGCCGGTGGTGGATATGTCAGATTTTATAGTCAGGTTGGTGGAGGCGGTGTCTGATTTACATAGGGCTCACAGATTGGTTTGATCAGGTATGATGTTTACATAGTGCATCAGGAAGGCTGGCCTCCCCACCCTCATCTTATTATGCAAATGAACTTTCCCCTTAGTTGGGGCCATCTTGTCTGCTCCTTACTGTACACATGGCTGACAAAGCAAAGGGAAAATGGAGCCGCCATCTTGAACATGATTGCCAGCATCTATGTCTGCAGCTCGATTTTACAGGCTGCTTTTGTTAGACAGGAAAATGATTTGGGGCTGCTTTTCATTAAAAGGAAAACCTTACCGAGGACTTCCATACCCTCACTATCTGCCTAAGTAAATTTTTCTTAACTCTTGTATCACTTGGAGGCCAAATAACCTCAGACAGGGTGGCTGGAAACCAGAAACTTAGCCAGGCCTCCTCCTAGATTGCTCCTCCTGCCCCTGCCCCATGGGGCGCTTCCTATGGGGCTTTTCCCATGGAGATAGATATAGTGTCAGGACCATGAAAAACATGATTTTTCTTTTCTGGAAAGTGAGAAGTTTTGCTGTGATTCTATCATTCTGTGGACATTTAGAAAGAAAAGCAGGATGTGATGACTGGGTACACACCATAAAATATCTTCTTCCTTCCGTATGAAACATCAATATCTTACTTGGTGATTTCTTCTTCTCTTCAATCTAAAAAAAATCTATTTGAGTAATTTTTAAAATTTAAAATGTACAGTGTATTAAAGAAAATTTGTGAAAAGTACATACAAAGAAGAGGGAAAATAATTATAATCATTAAAACCATTGCTAATATTTAGGTATCAGTATCATGAAAAATGGTTTCCCTTTTCTGGGAAGTTGTAGAAAGTATATCTTTTTTTTTTTTTTCTTTTTGAGACAGAGTCTCACTCTGTTGCCCAGGCTGGAGTGCAGTGGCGCAATCTTGGCTTACTGCAACCTTCGCCTCACGGGTTCAAGTGATTCCCCTGCCTCAGCCTCCCCAGTAGCTGGGACTACAGGTGTACACCACCATGCCCAGCTAATTTTTTTTTGTATTTTAGTAGAGACGGGATTTCACCATGTTGGCCAGGATGGTCTCGATCTCCTGACCTTGTGATCCGCCCGCCTTGGCCTCCCAAAGTGCTAGGATTACAGGCGTGAGCCACCGTGCCTGGCCTATTTTTTTTTTTTTCCCCGTTTAACATTATCACACAAGCATTGTTTTGTTGCTGTTGAGACATATTGTTCTAAAGATCATAGAGATAGTATGGTGTAGTGGTTTAAAGTAGAGGCTCTCACACCAAAATACCTGGGTACAAATCACAGTCCACCCATGGGCTATATAACTTTGAGAGTCACTTAACTGCTATCTGCCTTAGTTTTACCATCTGTTAAATGGGAATGATGGTGGTAGCCAACTCACAAGTTAAATGCTTATGTAAAGGACTTTGTAAATGTTAATTATCATCTAAAGGAAGATTTTATTAATATTAATTTTATTTATTTATTTTGAGACAGGGTCTCCCTCTCTTCCCAGGCTGGAGTACAGTGGTGAAATCACAGATCACTGTGGCCTTCACCTCCCGGGCTTGAGTGATCCTTCCACTTCAGCCTTGGTAGTAGCTGGGTGCACCACCATGCCTGGCTAATTTTTTTTTTTTTTAAATAGAGTTGGGGTTTCCCCATGTTTTCCATGCTAGTCTCAAACTCCTGGGCTCAGGTGATCCCTCTCTCTCAGCCTCCTAAAGTGCTGGGATTACAGGTGTGAGCCACCATGCCCAGCCAATATTAATGTATGTGTATAGTAGAGACTTTTATAAAATACATAAAAGCAGAAGAAATCAAAATCACTCATTATTCTAAAACCCAGAGAAAACCACTTGCCAGTGTTAAAATTTTGGCTTTGTTTTTTCTAATATATTTCCTCTTACATAGTTGAGAGAATATTGCATTTCTAATTTGTATCCTGATCATGATGTAAACATTTTTTATTTATTTTATTTTATTGTTTTTTTCAGACAGAGTCTCACTCTGTCACCCAGGTTGGAGTGCAGTGGCATGATCTCAGCTTACTGCAACCTCTGCCTCCTGGGTTCAAGCAATTCTCATGGCTCAGCCTCCCTAGTAGCTGGGATTACAGGCACACACCACCACGCCTGGCTAAAAATTTTTGTATTTTTAGTAGAGACAGGGTTTCACCATGTTGGCCAGGGTGGTCTTGAACTGCTGACCTCAGGTGATCCACCTGTCTTGGCCTCCCAAAGTGCTGGGATTACCGGTGTGAACCACCACGCCTGGTCTATATATTGTTTATGAACATAATTTTAAAAGACTTCAGAAATCATCTTGTGTTCCATATTTTAGTTAACCTTTCCCCAGTGTTTTGATATTTGCATTGCTCTCTGCCCCCATATTAAAGTGGTGACCTGAGCCTTCCCTGGCCCGTGTGGAGCCTGCATTTTTTTTTTTCTGTCCCCAGGACATAATTAGCCCTAATCCACAAACCAATTAGTAGAGGGGTGACCAGATTATGAATACATTTGTGAAAAACATCTTTGTAGTGGTTTTTCTTCTTCAGTATTAGAGGTTATTTCCTTAGATTAGATTCCTAGAAATGGAAATGCAGGGTCAAAGGGTAAGTTTCCAGAAGGGTTTTATTGACTCTAGACTCCTGGAAACACTGTATGAGCCTGTCCTACTTACCGTGGGCCTCCAAATCCCCTTCCTACAGCTCTAGGTTGCTTCTCAGATCTGAAATATTGAAGAAGTTGTCGGGGCACCAAAACTCTGGAATTAAGTTAATCTTAACAGCCCCTCAGCTCCTCTTTCCCATTCCCTATTATTTTTCCCCCTCTCCAAGGCCTTTCTTTCTTTTTGTAGCTCCTCTGCCCTGCCAGCTTTCTCTAATCCCCTTGTGCAGGCTTCCTCTTCTCCAGTCGGGAGGATGGAAATGATATAATTAAGTCATTTTATTAAGTAGTTAGTAACCTTAGCAGCTAGAAGTGTTAGTCCCCAGCTGGACACTTGCATTTTAATAAAGGGTTCTTGGAGCAGTGGTGAACCCTAAGAACTGGACTTGACGGTAGGATTTGGGGCACTGTCATACCCAGGGAGGGAGATATCATGAGCCGGAGCCACTCAAGGTTTACAAGTAGATGGAGTCCTGGATGTCAGGCCAGCTTTGTGTGTGGGGTAAAGCAAAGGTCAGTCTTTGAGAAGCCTTAATTTCCTCTCTGCCAAAGCACTAACTGCTGAGAGTAGAAACAGGTTTTCTTAAAGGTAAAGTGAGTCTCTCGGAGGAACTATTAAGGAGAAATTGTTTACTGAATTGGATGTAATAAAAGACTAGTCAGCAGCATATACAGATTCCTTCCATAAAATATAACTTTATGATACCAGGCAGGGCTCCTTTTATGGCTTTCTAAAATCGTTTGGTTGAAATTGCTAGAGGTGTGGAGGGCCTTCACTTGTGTGTCGGTAGCCAGTGATTTGATTACATTATATTTCCCTGGGCAAGCAGAGCCAGGAGGCCTCTGGATGGGGGCTGAGGCCTTGATTGCCCTGGTGGGTACTCTGAGTTGCAGAAGGTGGGTTTCTTGCTAGACGGTTTCTGTTTCAACAAGGTCTCAGGTGCCTTTTACTGCAAGGAATGTTGTAGGTCTCTAATTGTGGACTCGTATATCAGTTTTAATGGACTGAAAATCCACAGAAAGCACTGGGGAGTGTGCCTCCGTGGAGAATGGGCCAACAGCTGGATACAACCAGATGGTGCCCTAGATCTTACGGATGGACAAGGATGGGTACAGACAGGTTATTAGGAAGGACTTAAAGAGTTGGGGAACCTGATTCAAACAAAGTCCTCGATAGCCTGAACGTAGGCGGAAGGGGAGAAATGGTAAGTGTAGTCAACTGATAGCTACCAATTGGGTGCTCTCAGGAGACCTTGGGACCACAGCCAGTGGGGAAAGTGGTCTTGAGAGATGATGGGGACCAGCTGGAGCGGGCCAGATGCCGGCCTCCCTTCCTCCTGGAAAGAAAACGCTTCAGTCCCACGATGGTTTCTACCTTGGCACTCACAGCCCTGTCTCTTCCCTTCCAGCCTGATCCTGCCTGAAGATGGTGCCACTGGTGGCTGTGGTATCAGGGCCCCGTGCCCAGCTCTTTGCCTGCCTGCTCAGGCTGGGCACTCAGCAGGTCGGCCCCCTTCAGCTGCACACCGGGGCCAGCCATGCGGCCAGGAACCATTATGAGGTGCTGGTGCTGGGTGGGGGCAGTGGCGGAATCACCATGGCTGCCCGCATGAAGAGGAAAGTGGGTGCAGAGAATGTGGCCATTGTTGAGCCCAGTGAGGTAAGCCTCCCCTTTTGAGGGCCTGGGTGTGTGTGTACGTGTGTGTGTGTGTGAGTGTGTGTGTGTGTGTGTTCTGGGGTTGGATATGACTATCAAGCAATGGGTCTTCATATGTTCAGGTTAGGGCTTCTCCTGGGCACAGAAAGCAGCCTATCCAGAAGGACTGGGAGGAAGTGGAGGGAAAGAGAGAGGGAGAACAGATCTCTTGGCTTTTAGTGTTCTCCTCTGTATTAGTTTCTTAGGGCTGCCATAACAAATTACTGCAAATTGGGTGGCTTAAAACAACAGACATCTATTCCCTCACAGTTCTGGAGGCTAGAAGCCTGAAACCAAGCTATGGGCAAGGCCATGCTCCCTCTGCAGCCTGGGTGAGAGGGATGGGCAGGTGGCTTTGTCTCATGCCTCTCTCCCAGCTTCTGGTGGTTACCCTGAAATCCTTGCCACTCTCTGGCTTGTAGCTGTGCCACTCCTTTCTCTGCCTCCATCTTCACAGAATGTTCTCTGTGTGTCTCTGTGTCCCTGTGTCTTCACATGACCCTTTTATAAAGCCACCATTCATTGGATTTATGGCACACTCTATTCAAGAATGACCTCATCTTAATTTGATTACATTTGCAAAGACCCTATTTCCAAATAAGGTTACATTCCCAGGTACTGGGGTTAGAACGTCAACATCCTTCTTTGAGAGAGATACAATTCAACCCATGACACTCTCCCAGTGCCAACCTCCTGCCCAGAGGAAAATCAATGGCCACTGCACTTGCCTATCTGTTCCTGTCTGGAGAAGGGATGATGAGTTGGGGAGCAGGAAGGCCTCTGGAAAGCTGTCAGTGGGCTTAGAAATTTAAATGCAAGGGCAGATTATAAGGGAGAAAAGGTAGCTGACACTAGGAGGGAAGACTGAGTAAGGCGCTGTCTCACAAAAAACATGTTAAGATTGTCCAAAAGCTTCAGAAAAATATTCAAGATTTTTGGTGGTTTGCCTAATGTTTCCTGTGGAACTAGGCATGTACTGGTTGGGAGCTGTATCCTTGGGAGGAAAAAGCAAAATGGATCAGGTGCCTGTTTCAGGGGGAGGACAGGACAAGGAAGACATACTCCTTTTCAAGATTTGTCCCCAGCAGGGAATGATGTTAACCAGGGCCATGATTTGAGAGGAAACTAGGGGGCAGTCTCTATCATTTTCCTTTTTAAAGTGACGTCTGTTCAATTCAGGAACCTCACTTTAAATGACAGTGGTCTGAGAGCTGTGTCAGGTGGCTACTGTTTCTGGTATATGTTGTATTTTAGCTAATGCGTGGGCGGGTCTCCCAGTCAGGCTTCTCTTTGTAAGGAGACTGGCTCTTCTGGGACCTGGGCACAATTCAGGCGGCCAGAATCAAGTTTGTCCTGCCCCGTGAGGAAGTACAGGACAGGAATTTCTGGAAGGAGCTGCCAGAGCCCCAGGCTTGGTACTTTCCCTGCTGAGTCTGATTTAGTGATAGCTGGAGCTGATGTTCATAGTCTAAAAATAAAATCTGAGCTTGTATTTTTGCTCCTCTTACTGTTCAAGATAGACTGGCCATTGATGAGCTCTCATAAATGGAGACCTCTGTCTTCCTCCCTCTTGGATCACATTATTGCTTGTAGGGAGATTGCAAAGTCATTCCTGGTGTCCTCTTCACCTCTCTGTGGGTTTTGGCAGTGCTGGCCAGCTACTTTGAGGCATTTTGGCAATATTGAGAGCTCTTGGTCCCCAGTCTACTCTAAGTGGATTGGAATTCTTAGAGGCCATTAAACAAATCTGCCCTTTGCCCCTATGTCCAGAACTTTTACAACTAACTTAGATCAAGAATGGACTGTTGCTGGGCACAGTGGCTCAGGGCTGTAATCCCAGCACTTTGAGAGGCTGAGGAAGGCAGATCACCTGAGGTCAGGAGTTCAAGACCAACCTAGGCAACATGGTGAAATGCCATCTCTACTAAAAATGCAAAAATTAGCCAGGCATGGTGGCACATGCCTGTAGTCCCAGCTACTCAGGAGGCTGAGGCAGAAGAATCGCCTGAACCTGGGAGGTGGAGGTTGCAGTGAGCCGAGATCGTGCCACTGCACTCCAGCCTGGGTGATTGGGGTGATTGGGCGAGACTCTGTCTTAAAAAAAAAAAAAAAAAAAAAAAAGGACCATCTGAAGCAAGAAAACTCCAGAAGATAGTGAAAGTTTGGGTATGCATTGCATTGTGGAGTAGGATCTGGTACTTATTGTCTTTGGTGTAAAATCTCTGAGTCTCTGAGAAAGTAGAAGAAGGGCTGTTCAGGAAACACAGCCCTCACTGGGCTTGGGAAACACAGTTGGAAGTTAATGAAGTTTAGAGGACCTCTGGAAGGGGCTGTAAACTTTCCAGACTTACCACTGTCTCCACATGCTCCTGAGGAACCATATCTAGGCTGCTGGGCTTAATTTTTAAAATATTTGTTCACATGAAGTATCCATAATATGTGTGTAGATATGCACGTGCATATAACATGTACATATTAAACACCAAATCAACTTTCAGCAATACATAATGCAGTGGTCACTAAAGATAGTTTATAGCTTTTCTGATGATCTTGGAAGAATTCTTGTGTGGAGTGACTGTCCTTCAGAGCTTACCATAATAGGAGACGCCTAATAGACGGAGCTAACTTTGTGGAGACTTTTCCATACGATGCTCTAAAGGTCAGGAGGGAGTGATTGAAAGAATCTAGCCCATACTGTTAGCTATGACCCCTTTTGATCAGTGTCAAATTGCAATAAATCTTCAAATACTTTGTTTCTCAGAGACATTTCTACCAGCCAATCTGGACACTGGTGGGTGCTGGTGCCAAACAATTGTCCTCATCTGGTCGTCCCACGGCAAGTGTGATTCCATCTGGTGTAGAATGGATCAAAGCTAGAGTGACTGAGTTGAACCCAGACAAGAACTGCATTCACACAGATGACGACGAGAAGGTAACCACTGAGGCCTTTAGATTTTTTGTTAATCTGACAGCTTGTATTAATATGCAGCCATCTTAAACTGGATAGCCTTGTGTTGAAAGAGCGGTATATATGCATGTGTGTGCATGAACGTATGTGTGTTGAATACTACACAAGATGGCAGGGTATGTGGTAAGTGGAGGATAGATGGAAGGACTGAGTGATATTGAGTTAATAAACAACTAAGATAAGTATTTGTTGAACACCCACTGTGCACCCTATTGCTTAGTATACTATCTTGCACCTGAATGTTTATCAGACCATTTGTTTATACGTTGCTACATGTTAAAATAGCAAGCACCTTCCTCCTTCTCTTTTTCTGAAGCAATCAGATTTTCTACCGGTCGCCTAGCCTCCCAGAACAATAGGATGCTGGAAAATATCCATCCAGCCACCCTGGGGGGCGCTCTACCAGAACTGTAGGGGAATCCTGTGACTCTGAGGTTCATGCCAGCGCTAAGGAGAATTGTTGCTGGAGCTTGAGGCTCACAACTGCTCAGCACCTTTTAGAAGTCTCCCACCCTCACCACTCAGGGGTCAAAGCTTTTCAGCAGTGGCCGCCCCATGTTTGACTGAGGTGATAAGAGCAGGATGGTGGAAGGCCTGCTCAGAAGCCATCTGCAGCTTTCTTTTCCCCCACCTGCTGCTGAGCCCAGGGCAGGGGCAGGCAGTGCAGCCACCGTGCTCTGACCTGTTCCAGGCTCCTGTGGTTTTTGGACTCACAAGGTGTTATTGGTCTTAATCCTCTGCCCCTTCCCCCTTCAACTGGGACTCTGGCATTTTCACGGAATTGTAGAATCAGAGTTGGGTGAGGATCCTAAAACGTTTTCAAGTCCAACCCTTCCTCCAACAGAGATTCATCTGCTGAGGCATTATTTTTTTTGAGACAGAGTCTCACTTTGTCACCCAGGCTGGAGTGCAGTGGCACAATCTTGGCTCACTGCAACCTCTACCTCCTGGGTTCAAGCGATTCTCCCACCTCAGCCTCCCCAGTAGCTGGGACTACAGGTGCGCATCACCATGCCTGGATAATTTTTGTATTTTTTGGTAGTGACGGGGTTTTACCATGTTGGCCAGGCTGGCTCGAACTCTTGACCTCAAGTGATCCACCTGCCTCAGCCTCCCAAAGTGTTGGGATTATAGGGGTGAGCCATTGTGCCCGGCCTGCTGAGGCATTGTTAAGCTTTTTTTGGGTCATGGATCTTTCTGGGTACCAGATGAAAGCCCTCTCTAGAAAAATGCACCTATGTATCAGATTTTGCATTTGCTTTTAGGGAGTTCAGAGATTTTCTGTAGCTTTTCCCTGGACCCTGATCAAGAGTACCTGCTTTGGCTGAGCATGGTGGTTCACACCTGTAATCCCAACACCTTGGGAGGCTGAGGTAGGAAGATCACTTGAGCCCATGAGGTCAAGGCCAGCCTGGGCAACATAGTAAGACCCTGTCTCTACAAAAAAAATTAAGACATTAGCTAGGTGTGGTGGTGTGTGCTGTGGTTCCAGCTACTTGGGAGGCTAAGGTGGGAGGATCACTTGAGCCCAGGAGTTCAAGGCTGTGGTGAGCTGTGATTGCGCCACTGCACTCCGTCTTAGGTGACAGAGCTGTCTCCAAAAAATAAAAAAATAAAAAAAACACAAAAAGAAAAAAAGAGTACCTGCTGTATAGCATTTATGATCCTTGGCTTTCTGGCCTCCATTCATTCATTCTACAAATATTTATTAAGCATCTACTATAAGCCAGGTGCAGTTTTAGGCATTAAGGATATGTGTAGTGAACAAAAACAGACACAAATTCTTATTGAACTGGATATTATATTCTAGTCAGGGAGAACATACAATCAACATAGACATGATAAGTAAATTATATAGTATGTTAGAATGTGATGGTTATTCATGAAAAAAAATAGAGCTGATTTGGAGCTAATTGGTATTGGGGCACATGGAGGTGGGGGATTGAATTTAAAATAGGTTGGTATTTACATAGTCCATGGCCAAGGAGTTCTCTGATAAGTTAACTCTTCATCTTTTTAGACACGTGGGTTATATGAAAGTTCTGTCTTCACTGAGCCAGAATCCACCTTCCTGTAACTTTTTTTGTATTCTTTCTTGGACACCCAGGATGTTATTGTTTTTAATACACTTAATACCTTTCTTAATACTTTTATTCCTTGTTTTGTCCTGTTGTGTATGAGAGAAGAATGTCTTCTCTCTTTTCTGTGGAGAAACCCTTCAGCTATTTGAAGATGGCTCTTATGTTTTATGTAAATTTTCTCTAGGTATATGTGTCCCCCCCATCCTCATGTCCCTCAATTCTTCCTCACATTTCATGGTTTCCAGTCCCCCCAGCCCCCTCTTTATTCTGCTTTAAACACCATCTGGCTTGTTAGTGCCCCATGAAAGAGGTGCCTGGAAAGAAGGCAACTTTACAGAACAGCCCAGAATAGCGTGGAGCCATTCTCTCCCATGATCTCATGCTGCATAAGTTAGCATTTGCCTTTTTCGTGACAGTTACCACGGTGCTGATTCATGCTGGGCTTGAGGTCGGTGCAAATTGCTGGGCCCTTTTCACATGACCCACGATCAAGTCAGGCTTCCCCCATCCTGAAAAAGTATAGTTGTTATTGATTTTACCTAAAGGCAGAAATGAATATATATAAGCAAATACCTATATGCATATATATTTATTTTAATTAAAATTTTTATATATGGCTTTTGTCCTGTTACTAGTTCAGAACTTTCTTATTTTTCTCAATGTCTCCGGGAGACCAGACTGAATTACACTCAAGATTGTTCTCAATCACAAGGTTGAGCTTGGTGGCTCTCTTACCTTGCCAGTCTCCTGAACACAGGGCCAGGAGACCTCTCTCATATCACACACAGCATCTCTTTGGTACAGCAGGGCCTGCCTCATTGTTTGGACCCCTTCAAGCTACAGGAAGAGCTTTAGAGCCTTCGGTGGTTGGGTTCATGCTCATCTCAAGGACCATATACTTTACTCATCTCTTGGGAATGACAGGCACTACTAGGTGTTCTCACTGCTGAGTCCTACCTATTACTCCTAAGGTTAGACACTTAGGAAAGCTGTAGTGTCTTGTTTTAGGGCAGAGAAGTTGGTGCAATGTAGTGGGACTTTCTTCCAAGATTTTATGAAGCAAAACGACTTCATAGCCAGATATCAGAAATACACATGACATCTCATGTGAGAAATCATCCTGCTGGTTTTAATTCATCCTCCCAACACATCTGGGTCTTTTGGATTTATGACTCTGTCAATCCATTAGCAATTTTTCTATCTGTTATTCACAGGTGGTTTCATATAAGTTCAAAGTTTTAACTCTGTAACATGTCACTAGAGAGCTTTTTTAGATTGCACAAAATTAGTCAACATTTCTTTAGCAAATATTATTCAAGTGACCAAATCATTCCATTCTGTCTTTTTTTTTTTTTTTTGGAGACAGAGTCTCACTCTTTTGTCCAGGCTGGAGTGCAGTGGTGTGATCTTGGCTCACTGCAACCTCTGCCTCCCAGGTTCAAGTGATTCTCCTGCCTCAGCCTCCCGAGTAGCTGGGATTACAGGCATGTGCCACCACGCCCAGCTAATTTTTGTGTTTTTAGTAGAGACAGGGTTTTGCCATGTTGGCCAGGCTGGTCTCAAACTCCTGACGTCAGATGATCTGCCCACCTCGGCCTCCCAAAGTGTTGGGATTACAGGTGTGAGCCACCGTGCCCAGCCCATTCCATTCTTAGTTTACACTTTCCCACCTTATTGGTGAAAGACTGAGCTGAAGGCACTGTTGAAACCCAGACTCAGTGTGTCTCTGATTCTTCCCTGATCCGGGGGTGTGTTTGTCTGAAACACATCTCAAGGCCCTGTGTAGACTGGTCCTTGCTCCTTCTCCAGGCTTAACCTGGTTCTATTCTCTCCTTGTTCCTGCTCCTGCCATACTGGCCTCCTATTTCCTCAAATGCCTCAGCCTTTTTCTTACCCCAGGACATTTGCACATGCTGCTTCCACCTCTATCCCTAGCTAACTGCTACTCATCTTTAGCTTCGATATGACTCCTTCAGGCAAGCCTTCCTTGACTTCCCAGACTAGGTCAGGTTATCCCTTGATGTGCTATCACAGCATTCTGTGATTTAGTAATTATTTGTGTCATTATCTGGTAATGCCTATCTCACTCACTAGATGGAGTTCCTGAAGGGCAGGAAGTGTATCTTTCTTGTCCATTGTTTTATGCCCAGGACCTAGCACAATATCTGGCACATAGAAGGTGCTCAGTAAATATTTGTGAGCAAATTGTGTCTGTTTCTTCATTTGTAAAATAATAATAATAATAGTACCTAGATACCTTATGAAGTTGTTGTGAGTGTTAAATGAATGAAACCATATGAAGCACTTAGAACAGCACCTTGCACAGAGTAAATGCTCAATAAATGTTGCTGTTATTTTTAAAAGAATACATAAAAAGGAAAAGGATATATTTATTGAGTATCTACTATATGCCAGCAGTTCTTGATTGCTGATTGAAAGCAGCAGGCTTATCATCTGTGAACCTATGTTGGTGCTCCTTTTCCTCTCCCCTCCCCTTCCCTCCTCTCCTCTCTCCTCCCCTCCCCTTCTCTTCCCTCCCCTCCCCTTCTCTCCCCTCCCCTCCTCTCCTCTCCCCTCCCCTCCTCTCCTCTCCCCTCCCCTCCCCTCCTCTCCTCTCCCCTCCCCTCCCCTCCCCTCCTTTCTCCTCCTCTCCCCTCCCCTCTCCTTTCCTTTCTCCCATCCCCTCCCCTCTCCTCTCCTTTCTCCCATCCCCTCCCCTCTCCTCTCCTTTCTCCCCTCTCCTCCCCTCTCTTTCTTCCTTCTCCTTCCCCCTCCCTCCCTCCCTCCCTTCCTTCCTTCCTTCCTTTCTTCCTTCCTTCCTCTCTCCCTCCCTTCCTTCCTTCCTCCCTTCCTCTCTTTGTCTCCTTCCTCCCTCCCCTCCCCTTCCCTCCTCTCCCCTCCCCTCCCCTCCTCTCCCTTCAGCCTTGCTCTGTTGCCCAGGCTGGAGTGCAGTGGTGAGATCACAGCTCACTGCTCCTTGAACTCTTGGGCTCAAGAGTTCTGAGCCGATCTACCTTAGCCTCCTGAGTAGCTGGGACTACAGGCACACACTACCATGCCCAGCTAATCTTTTAAAAAATTACTATGAAATGTCTATTTAGTAGTTGAGTCTAGAGTTTTGCAAAGGATTAATAGCCTATTTACTAAGATGTTCGTGTCAGAGTTTACGTCTTCTGACCCCTGTGTAATATGAGAATACTTGCAGATATTCAGCCTTCTGGCAAGGTCTACACTGTTGTGCGTAACTGCTCAAAAGTCTTGTCTATAAGCTTTTGCTGTTCCTGGGGGTTTAGGTCATCTGACCTGAAAACTTGAACTCATTCAAAAGGCTTGAGGTTTTCTTCTTGCTTTCTTGCTATGGAGGGTTTATTCTCTCTTAATGATTTTTTCCCCATAATCTTAAGCTGGCATGTTTTTAGTCCTTAGACATAATGAATATTATGCTCTAATAAAATAGAGCATAATCAATATTATTTGCATCATGTTTGGTGGTGGCCTGCACAAACCAAAAGCTCCTCTTGTTTCCAGTGGTCATATGTTTCACCTGTAGATCATCACTACCAGACCCCATGCTAGCTCTTACCTAATATGCCCGGATTGCTCAACATGGTTTGGCCGGCCATTTAACGGGCCTGGTGCCCTTTCCTACAGAAGATGGAATTTCAATACATCATCTTTCTTTATTTCTTTCTTTCTTTCTTTTTTTTTTTTTTTTTTTTTGAGATAGAGTCTCTCACTGTCACCCATGCTGGAGTGCAGTGGCGTGATCTTGGCTCACTGCAACCTCTACCTCCTGGATTCAAGCAATTCTTCTGCCTCAGCCTCCTGAGTAGCTGGGACTACAGGCGCCCGCCACCATACCCAGCTAATTTTTTGTATTTTTAGTAGAGACAGGGTTTCGCTATGTGGGCCAGGCTGGTCTCGAACTCCTGACCTTTTGATCCACCCGCCTCAGCCTCCCAAAGTGCTGGGATTACAGGCATGAGCCACTGCACTGGCCAAGACATCATCTTTCTATGGATAGGCAAAACATACAGATGAAAATGCTTATATTATCTTCCACTTAGAGAAATTGTACTTTTCACAAGCAACTGAAATCATTCATCTATCCATTCACCCACCAAACATTACAGAGTTCCTCACTTTAATTTAGTGACTGTGCTAGATTCTAGGAATGTAAGGAATAAGACATAACTTTTATCCTCTAGGAGTGGTCAGTGTGCTGGGGAGAACAAGTGCTAGGAAGCCTCATGCACACTATGCTGGGGAGCTCCTGGGAGGGGCCAGTGGTGAGGGTGATCGTGTCATAGTGGGAAAGCCTGCTGTGGAGGTGGCTTTGGGGCTGAAGCTCCCGGATGCCAGGGCAGGGCCTCTTGACTGCACGTTACTTCCCTTGGCTCCTCAGCCAGAGCCAAGCACTCTCAGGTCTTGGAGTCCTCTCTCTCCAACTGCGATTCGCTCGGGTTGCTTGCTCTGCTCTGCCATTTAGTACAGGATCATGGTAATCACCACCTGTTTCTTCTTTCTGGGCTCCTGAGTCTCACTGCAATCATTTCCTAACTCCAGTTTTCTAGGCAAGTTCTTGTACTTTACGGCCACTTTGTTTACACTTTTTGGCCTAAACTTGTCTTCCTCTTTGTCCTAAACCCACATTTCCATCATGCTACTTATGCATACAATACCCGTATTTGAAGAAGGGACTTTTTTCATCCCATACAGGTCATTAAATAAGATCAGGTACACTATGTCATAGCCTTTCAATGACCTTGAGATTGCTCAAAAGAGCAATCTCCCAATTACGATATTGGTCCAATCCACATGACAGGTCAGACTTGCTTGGGACTCACATATTACCCAATAGATTTTAGTTTTTTATTTTTAATATACAATATACTAATATATATTTTTTATATATATATTTTTTATTTTTTTTTAATTTTTTTTTGAGACAGGGTCTCACTCTATCAACAAGGCTGGAGTGCAGTGGTGTGATCTCTGCTCACTGCAACCTCCACCTCCCAGGCTCAAGCGATTCTCCCACTTCAGCCCCCCTGGGGACTACAGGTGCATGCCACCGCACCTAGGTAATTTTTGTATTTTTTGCAGAGACAGGGTTTTGCCATGTTGCCCAGGCTGGTCTCCAACTCCTGAGCTCAAGTGATCCACCTGCCTCGGCCTCCCAAGGTGCTGGGATGACAGGTGTGAGCCACTGTGCCTGGCCTACCCCATAGATTTTAGACAGTGGATTGTCTTTTAAGATTAGGAAGCCCTTCTCTTACCTCTCAATATGAAAAAGTGTTAATACAAGCACTGTACAAATAATTGTGGCCTCTCACTGTGTAAACACATAGCTGTCTCAAGCTTTCTGGGGCTAGGCAGCTTACAAAATATTTGTGAAGCAGTGAGGTGTGAGGCATAGACGGCAGAGGGCATGATGGGAGTGGACACGCATCCCTCCCTGCCAGTCTGCCCACCTCCCCCAGCCCCAAGACATTCAGATTAAAAAATGGGAACCTGGGCAGGACTCCCAACCTTGTTCTGCTTCGATTTTCTCATCTGTTCTATGGGCTAATAATATTTCCCTGCCTCCCTTAGACCACATGGAACCACATCTGGGGCCTGAGTCAGTCCTTGAGTTGATGCTTCTTGAGTCCTGGTCTAAAATAATGTCTTTTTGTGTTGCAGATCTCCTACCGATATCTTATTATTGCTCTCGGAATCCAGCTGGACTATGAGAAGGTACCGTGTGAAACTGTTTCTGTGTTACGCTGGCTTATCTATGCCAAGAGCAAATGCTGCATTTAGTTGCTTTATTATATTCATTTTGACAAGAAAGGGGTTCTAAGAAAATCTCTTCTGGTTTTATTTCTTGGCAGTCCTTTTACAGTTTTAAGGAAGTCTTCTCTAAGATTCTGTCGATAATAACCATATGTTCTAGCTTTAAGCTTTAATTAGAGTTCAGCATGCTCATGCCTTAATGATTAATTCTTGCAAAACAGCAGTTTTCTTTCCACATTTGTAAGAAACATGTCTTTCTATGTGGGACAGAGTTGGCTGTATTGAAGATTACATTCCGCTTTGGAAGTAGGGTTTAGATTATAAATTTTAAAGCAGACTTTAAGGGGTGGAACACCAGCAGTTAGCTCGTCTGTTGCTGGAGGGACATCTGGGTTTTGTTGTGTCGATACTGGGTTTTTAGTGTGAAGTAACCGATGCAATGGAAATGCCACTCAGAAGTTCCTCAGATCCCCGTTTTCAGTGAGCTAGGGAGCCAGATGCAATTTGAAAGTTTTGAGATTCAACTTCATTTTTCTAAAACATAGCAGAGTAAATCGGTAAATATTATCATTTCCAGAAGGTTGTTGGGGACTACAGATAAATAGTTGGAGTACAGGAAACATCTGTGCTAACCGGGTAACAAGCTTCAGGAATGTGACCTGGGCAAGGGCCTCAACAGAGTTGGCCCAGTAAGAATCTTTGAAGTGTGTTGAATTGTGTCATGTCCAGGGGAAGGGTAGTGAAAATGTCTTGGGTTGTGTTGTGGGAAAGTTCAGAGAAGCTACAAGTTGTTGTGAATGTTGTAAGATGGTTTTGAGTCATGGTGCCATGGGTCGTGAGTCTGTTAGAATGACAGACAAGCTATGAAGTAGACGATATGGAGAAAGGTGTTTATTACAACTACTTTCAAGGGGGCCATACCTTCCAAAAAGGCCCCCACAGTGTTGACCTAGCAAAGGCAATGCGTCTCCATGGTACTGTCTTCCCAAAGCCCCAGTGTCATGTGAGAAGCACTGCAGAGGCCAGTGCTCAGAGTTCATAGCAGCCTCTTGTAGCAAACCAAGTCACAGAGATATTTAAAAGTAGCCATTATTATGGAATCTCTATTACATACCAGGAACCATGGTAGGAATCAAATATTGTTTCTTTTTTCTTTTGAGATGGAGTCTTGTCACCGAGGCTGGAGTGAAGTGGTGTGATCTCAGCTCACTTGCAATTTCCATTTCCCAGGTTAAAGCAATCTCCTGCCTCATCCTCCAGAGTAGCTGGGATTACAGGTGCCCACCACCATGCCCGGCTAATTTTTGTATTTTTTTTAGTAGAGACGGAGTTTCACTGTGTTGGTCAGGCTGGTCTCAAACTCCTGGCCTCAAGTGATCCACCCGCCTCAGCCTCTCAAAGTGCTGGGATTACAGGCGTGAACCACTGCACCCAGCCAGGAATCAAAAATTGATTCTTTACAACTACTTGTGAGGGAGGCATTTTTATCTTCACTTAATAGATGAGGAAACTGAGGCTAAGGGAATGTAATAACCATGGTCACTGTGCTACTTGGGACTCTTTGATTGCAATTTCAAGGAAACTACTCAGGTTGGTGTAAATAAAAAGTAGAGATCATTGATGAAAATACTGAGATGTTTCTAGAACACTAGGGCAAGGATGTAGCTGGGCCTCTGGCAGGGCTGGATCTCCACTTTGGGTTCTGTTGGACTCAGGCAGCCTCTCTTTGTCCATCTCTCTTAGCCTCTTTCTCAGGCCAGCTTCACAGGGTCTCTGCAGCAGGCCGTCCTGCCTGCCGGTCTACTCTGTGTGATAGGATAGTCCACGGCTCCCCAGTGCACAGCCTGTTGCTGGAAGCCAAAGGAGGAGTCACATCTCATCTCTTTCCCTGACTCTCCCTTTCCCTCTCTCCCCTCCTCTCTAGCTCTCTCTGCTTCAGAATTCCCAGGGAAGCAACTCTGACTAGATGAGGGGTCAAAACCACCCTTTTTGACGCAGGTTTTCCTGAAAGGAGCTTGGTTACCACTTTACGGCAACTTTTCCATCAACGACAGCTTCTTAAAACTAGAGAAAACTAATGAAGGTGATAAGACATCAACTGCTTGTTTCTGCTTGTTTATCTCTTGGATAGTGAGATTTGCTTTGGGAACTAGAAGGTATGGCGGTCCTGTGCGAAGACCCCCAGGCAGGTGGGCAGAGGCCTTGGTGTCTGGTTCTTTAAGATTCTGGGCAGGGCTCCATCCATTCTAGGGGTTAATATTCCCCTGCCTCCCTCAGAAGTACATAGTGAATATCCATTGTTAGCATTGATGTGAAACTTTGAAAACATTTAAATGCAAGGTGATTTTATAATAATAATGATATTATTATTGAGACTGCCAATGTTACTACTATCTAACTGTAACAGGGGTGAACAGTAACAAATAGTTGCTTTTAACATTGAGTGTGATAAGTAATGAACTCAGGCCACTGAGGAGATGAGAGGACTCTGTTTCCTTGAGACCTCAGGGATAAGTGTCTGGAGTGACTTTGGAGGTGGCCCAGAGAATGGGCTGGGGAGGCTCTGAAGGACCAGGCCATCTTGATGACTGTTTCTTGATGATTGAAGTTGAACCTGCTCTTGCTGAGAACTGAGGCTTAAGTCTCTTTAACTCAGTCTGTGACATCTTCATTGCACTCTACGAGCCTTCTAACATTTATAATAGGTGTCTAGTTGATCTTATTGGCAATAATCAGCTAACATTTACAGGACATTTGCCATGTGCATGTGTCCTGTACATGCATGGCCTCATTTGCTTCTGCCTACAACCCTGTGAAGCAGATACCTTATCCCCATTTCACAGATGGTGAACGTTAGGATTCTCAAACCTGAGTGTGCATCTGAATCAGCTGGAGGGCTTGTTAAAACACAGATTGCTGGGCCTGCTCCCAGTTTCTGATTCAGTAGGTCTAGGGTGGGGCCTGATAATCTGCATTTCTAGCAAGTTCCCAGGTGGTGCTTGTGCTGCTGGTCTGAGCACCACACTTGGAGACCTACTGGCTTAGAAGTATTAGGTAATTTACACAGGGTCACAATGCTAGTAAGTGGAAGAGCCAGGACTCAAACTGGTATGTGGGATCCTAAAGTCCATGTTTTTAGGCACCTGGCTTTAGTGCCTTTATCTAGAGTTTGGTCTGGTACAACCTGATAAAGAGTGATTTAAGTTTGCTATTCTTGATGATATAAATGGCTCTTGGTCCTGCCAGTTGTTCTTTCCAGTGAGGCAACTGGGTCTCCTAAAAGGAAGGCTGGCTGGCGTCTTGTCCTCACTCCGATGGTGGGAAAAGTTGTATTCAAATTGTATTCTCAAGGCCAGGGAGTTGAAGGGTTCCTCTGAGCTGAGCCCATTCTGCAGTTTGACAGGTGACTACAGGTGCCACAGCTCTGGTCTTAGAACCCTCACCCACCTGCCTGCTCTAGGCATGTGGGTATTGGAGGGTAATGATAGTACTGAAATATTTGAAAGGTTGTAGAAATGGCAAAGAACAAGGACTCTAAAGACATTTGCACTTTTGTTTAAAATAATTTTTGTGTACTTTGTTGCAGATTAAAGGCCTACCTGAAGGTTTCGCTCATCCCAAAATAGGGTCGAATTATTCAGTTAAGACTGTAGAGAAGACATGGAAAGCTCTGCAGGACTTCAAAGAGGGCAATGCCATCTTCACCTTCCCAAATACTCCAGTGAAGTGTGCTGGAGCCCCTCAGAAGATCATGTACTTATCAGAAGCCTACTTCAGGAAGGTATGCTTCCTTTCTGGGGACAGAGATGAGCAGGGCGGACAGTGCTAATTCACTGATTGCAAGAATTCCATTTTATCTCTATTGTAATCCCTTTTTTATCTCGGAATTTTTATTACATGTGTACAAAATTAGTTAACTGGAAGTTTATAAAATATAAAAGAGGAGAAAATCACTCATGATCCAATTGCTTTAATAAAGCTGCAGTTTTCAATTTGACATGGCTTTCCAGCTTTTTTTCTGTATACTTAAATATGGTTACAGTCATAGTGTACATGAAAAATTTAGCTGTATTATGTAATATTAAATAGTCTTTGTTACATACTTTTTAAATGTGTGTGTAAAAGTCTACTGGATGCTGGGTGTGGTGGCTCTCGCCTCTAATCCCAGCACTTTGGGAGGCCAAGGTGGGTGGATCACCTGAGGTTAGGAGTTCAAGACCAGCCTGACCAACATGGAGAAATCCCGTCTCTACTAAAAATACAAAAAAAATTAGCTGGGCGTGGTGGTGCATGCCTGTAATTCCAGCTACTGGGGAGGCTGAGACAGGAGAATTGCTCGAACCTGGGAGGCGGAGGTTGTGGTGAGCCAAGATTGTGCCATTGCACTCCAGCCTGGGCAACAAGAGCGAAGCTCCGTCTTAAAAAAAAAAAAAAAGTCTACTGGAGAGATATGTTAGAGACTGTTTAAATATTTCCATATAGTTAGACAATTAGTTGCAGATTGTTCATTTTTATCCATAATGCTATCCACTACTTCCACTCAAGTTTAAGGTCATGAATATTTTCTGTCCCTTGGGTATACATTAAAAAAATATGATACGGAAAATGCCAATTTAAAAAGCAAAAAAATGTTCTCATAGAACTTTAAACCTTCATGAAAAGAGATATTTGGGCAGGAGGAGACTTTCTCAGCATTCTCCAAATGCTCTCTGTGTAAGAGCAGTTGTCTGCAGCTCAAGTACACCTGGCTTAAGCTTGTAAGGGAAGCTGTTCTTGCCCTCCCTGCTCTTGCCTGGGGTTTGACATTTAGTTTACCAAAGTGCGGTTTGGCTTGAGACAGTGGCAGGATTTCTAGCAGCTAGTCGTGTATGGGGACAGATGGGAAGAAGGGTGGGGAAGAACGGGCTGGGGAGTGGTTGAATGTGCTCATGGAGGCTGGGACTGATCAAGACCTTCCCCTGAGCTCTGTAAACTGCAACAACCCTGTGAGGTAGGGAATTAAAGGCAGTTCCAGTAATCATTTCTGACCCCAAGAAAGTTCATTCTGGGTCATAAAGGGCTGGCACAGCCTTTTGAGACACTTACCCACCTGAATTCTTCAAATGGTGAGATCCGGGTGAGCAAATCATGAAAGGAGCCGAGCAAAGGAAAGAAGAAGAAACCAGCTGTTTCTTCCGTCCTGGAAACTTCTTTGTGTAACTCTTTTCTCCCAAGTCTTAGATGGCCTACGAGGAAGGTTCGAGTACCATAAGATCTTAGGCATTTGGGAGAATATTGGCCTCTCTGATCTTAGGCATTTGGGAGAATATTGGCCTCTCTGAACAATATCAAGAAGGTAGGAACTCAGGGTTTTGTTGTTACTGTTTTTTAGTTTGTTTATTTTTTTTTTTTGGAGACAGAATTTTGCTCTGTCACCCAGGCTGGAGTGCAATGGTGCAATCTCAGCTCCCTGCAAACTCCGCTTCCTGGGTTCAAGCCATTCTCCTGCCTCAGCCTCCTGAGTAGCTGGGATTACAGGCGCCTGTCACCATGCCCAGCTAATTTTTATATTTTTGGTAGAGACAGGCTTGTCTCAAACCATGTTGGCCAGGCTGGTCTGGAACTCCTGACGTCAGGTGATCTGCCTGCCTCGGCCTCCCAAAGTGCTAGGATTACAGGTGTGAGGTACTGCGCCTGGCTGGAACTCAGTTTTGCTCACTGCTGTTCCCTCAGCACCTAGGACAGTATCTGGCCAACTCTAGAACTTTGTTAAATATTTATTGAGTAAATGAATACATGAATATATGAATAAACATTCCGTTCTACTCTACTCTGTCTTGACCTGGACCTAACCTTCACCTCTGGCCTTCAGCTGGACAGTGCCCACCTCAGCCCCCAACTCAAGTGTGTACTTAGTTGTATGTCATGGGCAGAACATAAGGAGGAGGCAGTGGATTGGTCTACCCATTGCTCTGCCAGGACATAATGGTGGCAAAAGCTAGCAAGGTCCCTGCTGAGGGTTTTAATTCTTGTCTGGATTAAAAAAAAAAAAGGCAGCTGCAGTCATGCTTTGGTGTGAATGGTTTTCTTATTTTTCTCAGACAGGGAAGCGATCCAAGGCCAATATCATTTTCAACACTTCTCTTGGAGCCATTTTCGGGGTTAAGAAGTATGCAGATGCCCTGCAGGAGATCATCCAGGAGCGGAACCTCACTGTTAACTACAAGAAAAACCTCATTGAAGTCCGAGCCGATAAACAAGAGGCTGTATTTGAGAACCTGGACAAACCAGGAGAGACCCAAGTGATTTCAGTGAGTGGTGAGGCTAAGCTGTCAGCATGAAGCGTTGTCTGCTGAAACGTGCCATAGATACATGGGGGCTCACACCACCCTATCTGCCATCATTGTGTGCTGGGGAAGACTGGGTGAAATGAGCATCTTAGGGAAGTGTTAGGGCAAGAAGGTAGGCCAAAATGGTTGGGGAAGAGAAAGATGTAAGAGGCTGTGTCAGTGGGAGGTGAGAAGGTGTCGTTAGCTGGTGCCAAGTGAATTTTTGTCCTATTCCTTTGACTCAACTTTTCCTGGCATCGAGTCACTTGAGGTAGCCAAAAATATTCCACAACTTTGGTTACTGTGTAGAGGTAAGGGAGGGCTTCCTCGAATGCAAGATCTGGTGATTGTCTCAATTGGTGGCATGTGAGAAACAGTCCTGCTTGTGAGCAGGAAGTAACCCTGTGGGTAGTTGAAGAAAACAGGGATTGGCTGGGCATGGTGGCTCACGCCTGTAATCCCAGCACTTTGGAAGGCCAAGGCAGGTGGATCACTTGAGGTCAGGAGTTCGAGACCAGGCTGGCCAACATGGTGAAGCCCCATCTCTACTAAAAATACAAAAATTAGCTGGGCGTGGTGGCACATCCCTGTAATCCCAGCTACCCGGGAGGCTGAGGCAGGAGAATCGCTGGAACCCAGAAGGCGGAGGCTGCAGTGAGCCGAGATTGTACCACTGCACTCCAGCCTGGGTGACAGAGTGAGACTCCGTCTAAAAAAAAAAAAAAAAAGAAATAATCTCAAACTTAGAGAAGTTACAAAATAAAAATAGTACAAAGAAAATTGTATGTAGCTTTTACCTAGATTCACTTGTAGAATTTTACCATTTGCTTTAGCTTTATCATTTGATTTCTTCCTTCCTTCCTTCCTTCCTTCTTTCCTTTCTTTCTTTCTCTCTTTCTTCTATCTGCCTTTGTCTATCTATCTATCCATCCATATCTAGTTTTTCCAAGGAAATTTACATATATCATGCATCAGCTCTCTTTAGCCCCAAATACTTTAGTGTTAATTTTCTAAAATAGAAGTGTTCTCTTACATAACCACAGTACCATTATCAACTCAGGAAATTTAGCACAGATACAATTTTTTAACTTACTATTTGTATTCCAATTTAGTTGATTGGCCCAACTGTGTTTGTAGCATTTTTTCCTCCAGTGCAGGACTCAGGCTACAGTCAGGTATTACATTCAATTGTGAGGTCTATTTAGCCTCCTTTAATCTGTGATGTTTCTATAGCTTTTCTTTGTCTTCTATGACGTTGATATTTTGAAATAATACAGCCCTCTCCCCCACCACTTTTCTTTCAGTAGAATGTTCCTCATTTTGAGTTTGTCAGTGTTTTCTTGTGATTAGTTTCAGGCTTTGATATGTATTTATTTATTTATTTATTTTTGAGACGAAGTCTCGCTGTGTTACCCAGGCTGGAGTGCAGTGGTGCAATCTCAGCTCACTGCAGCCTCTGCTTCCCAGGTTCAAGCGATTCTCTTGCCTCAGCTTCATGAGTAGCTGGGACTACAGGTGTGCACCACCATGCCCGGCTAATTTTTTTATTTTTTATTTTTAGTAGCGGCGAGGTTTCACCATGTTGGCCAGGCTGGTCTCGAACTGCTGACCTCAAGCCATCCACCTGCTCGGCCTCCTGAAGTGCTGGGATTACAGGCATGAGCCATCGCACCTGGCCTCAGGCTCTGTTTGTTAGACTGGAACATTGCATAAGCATTGTGCCATTCTAAGGTATCACATTTGCAAGCATACAGTGTTCATCTGCCCTTCATTGGTGATGTTAATTTTGATCAGCAGTCAAGATGTGGTCCAGTTTTTCCAGGGGATAATTACAATTTGTTTTCTCCCTTGCTACTAATAAGAAGTCTGTGGGAAGACACTTTAAAACCATGTAAATAGTCTACTCATTCAAGTCTCCCCACTAGAGTTAGCATCCATTGATGATCCTTGCCTAATCAAATCTTTACTATGGTGGTTGCAAAATGGTGATTTGCTAACTGTGACATTTCCTGCACATTTACCAGTAAGCTCTTGGCATTCTTTCAGCGAGAGTCTTTGCTTCTTAGTTAATTAACTATTGGTATGAACTCATGAGTTCCTATATTTTTTCTTACAGTGTTATCATTCATTATTGTTTTTAATTATTATGGTGCTCAAATTGTTTTGGATTTGGTCAGTAGATTTCCCTTCCAGCTGGCTCTTGTGTCCCTGTGACATGCCCCATCATGTGTTTGAGCACTTCCTTTACTTTCTGGTGTCACAGGTTGTCCCAGGCTCATCTAGTATCTATCTGCAGCAGCTCAGGGTCATCATTTTGAATAGCTCCTGTGTAGTTATGCACACAGAGGCTACTGGAATGTTTGGAGCTAGTTATCACTTTATAAAAGGGTCTCAAATTACTGCTGTTTGTTTTTTGTGTGTCCTTTTTGTAGTTTTCCTTTTTCCTGGCTGTCAGGCCGTTGTTAGTGACTTTGGGAGGTCCCTCCAGCTTTAGCTTTTTTAAATTGCTGCTCCTCAAATGGCCTCACTCAAATGGGCTATGAGTGAGAGCTCATATGAGTGAACTCATTTTTACTTTACAAAAGAGCCCATTTGAGAGAGTCCGTTTGAGTGAGCCCAAGTTGGGCTTTCACTAAAATGAGCTATGAGTAAGAGCCCGAAGCATCCTTTTATGAGCAAAGTGTATGAACTTGAGTGCATGAACTTAACTTTGTTAGTACTTCGTTTCCCAGCTGTCCTCTGGATAGCTGAGGTTGTAGGTAGGGGTGTGGATAAATGAATGGTTATTATTCTTCTAAGGGGTTTGTAATTAAAGAAGATATTTGTGTCCCCTTTGAATTATAGGATTTCAGGTCAGATATTTAGTTCCACTCTTAAAATCTGAATTTCAAAAAATCCACCAGAAGGATGTAAAGCTGTGGCTCTTAACCCTGGCTACATATTAGGGAGCTTTTAAAATGTGCTGATGCCTGGCCTCTTTATAAGAGGTTTTAATTAATTGGTTTGGGGTGCAGATTGAGGATGGGGAGTTTCAAAAATTCCCCTAATGACTAATGTTCAACCAGGATTGAAAACAACTGGTGTGAAGAATTGGGCCGGACGTGGTGGCTCAAGTCTATAATCCCAGCACTTTGGGAGGCCGAGGCGGGTGGATCACGAAGTCAGGAGTTTGAGACCTGCCTGGCCAAGATGGTGAAACCTGTATCTACTGAAAATACAAAAATTAGCCGGGCATGGTGGCAGGAGCCTGTAATCCCAGCTACTTGGGAGGCTGAGGCAGAGAATTGCTTGAACCTGGGAGGCGGAGGAACTAGAAGACACTTTGGAGATTGTCTAGTCTAGTGCATTTCTTTATGGATAAGCAAACTAAAGACCAAAGAGATGAAGTGACTTGTCCAAATAATAGCATTCTATTTTTCTTTGTAAATGAACCTGTTCCTTCAAGCCAGAGATTGTAAGCATGTGATCCACAGATTTTACATATCAGAATCACTAGCAGATTTTAAAGTACAGATTCCCGTGCTTTACCCAGATCTACTAGATTGGGATCTTGGCATGGTGTAGCCTGGGAACCTGTATTTTCCACAAGTCTCCCCAATGCTGCTAATAAACATTAAAGTTTGAAAACCACCACACTGATTGGACTATGTATGTTAATGAAGGAGGACCAAGTTATTTATCCTATACAGTTACAGAAATAAATGATAGATAATGAACAAGCTACAACTAAGTGCCAGTGTTTGTTTGTTTGTTTTTTTCTTTCTTTCTTTTTTTTTGTAGACAGGGTCTCACTCTGTTACCTAGGTTGGAGTGCAGTGGTACAACCGTGGCTCATGGCTCACTGCAGCCTCTACTTCCCAGGCTCAGGCAATCCTCCTACCTCAGCCTCCTGAGTAGCTGGGTCTATAGGCATGCACTACCATGCCCGGGTAATTTTTGTATTTTTTTAAAGACTGGGTTTTGCTGTGTTGCTCAGGCTGGCCTCAAACTCCTGGGCTCAAGTGATCTGCCCACCTTGGCCTCCCAAAGTGTTGGGATTACAGGTGTGAGCCACCACACCTGGCCCAATGTTAATTTCTTTTTATTTCTTTTTTTCTTTTGGAGGCAGGATCTTGCTCTGTCACCCAGGCTGGAGTGCAGTGGTGCCATCTTGGCTCACTGCAACCCCCACCTCCCAGCCTCAAGCAAGCCATCCTCCTACCTCAATCTCCTGAGGAGCTGGGACAACAGGCATGTGCTACTATGCCTAGATAATTTTTTGTGTTTTTGGTAGAGAGGGGTTTGACTACGTTACCCAGGCTGGTCTCGAACTCCTGAGCTCAAGCGATCTGCCCACCTTGGCCCCCCAAAGTGTTGGGATTACAGGCATGAGCCACTGCACCTGGCCATTAATTTCTAATAAATCCATAAAGTAGACCCTTTTGTAGGATGTTAGCTCAGGTAAAACTCCATACCTTTATGATGATTATATGAAAGTATTTAGCTTTTCTTTTAGAAAAGAGTTGTGGAATTTGTGTGTACTTGTGAAATTCAAACACATTAACTCCACCGAGATGACTCTAGTAAGGTTTAGACCTCAGTTCAAAAACGTAGTTCTAGGTCAGGTATGGTAGCTTGCACCTGTAATCCCAGCACTTTGGGAGGCTGAGACAGGTGGATTGCTTGAGCCCAGGAGTTCGAGACCAGCCTGGGCAACAGAGCAAGACCGAGTCTCTAATAAAAGAAAAAACAACAACAACAAACTAGCTGGGTGTGGTGGTGCGTGCCTCCTGGCTGAGGCAGGAGGATTGCTTGAGCCCAGGGGTTCGAGGCTGTAGTGAGCTATGATCAAGCCACTGTCCTCCAGTCTGGCAACAGAGTGAAACACTGTCTCAAAAGTAGTTCTAGTTGACTGCAGAAATGCAGACAGGAGATTAATAATTTAGTAGATGATAGCTGTTGACCATTTCATCCATTATCCTGCAAACATGCATTCAGTTTCAACGTTCATGAACAGACCTGACCTCAGGGACCCATGTGCCCAAGAGCCACCCTCCACCCAAGGTTATCCTGCAGATGAGCAGCAGCCATTTGCAGTGCTCCTTCCCTGAGGTTAATTAAGCTTATATTTGTCTGAGAGTTGTAATAAGTACAAGTCATCTTCCTAATTCCCATTGCCATCAGTGACTGCTGAGCCTCTCGGAGGGCATGGGAACATTGGACTTCTTGTGGAAATGAAGGGCTATTGACTATCTCAAAAGGTTGGAATTGTCTTCAACTGCTTAAGTTTTTACCCTAATGACATGTCGTGAACATTTCAATCAATGTGTCCTTAACTGGACCCACTAGCAAATTGATGAATTTGCTGGAAGGAGTTTGTTAAAAATAAATAAAAAGAATAATAAGAACCAACTACAAAACGTGAAAGAATATTACATAAACAAAAAAATTAAATGAGCCCTCAAAAGTGATTAGGATGGGTCAGTGCACCACTACCAAAGGTAACCTTGATACGGTGTTTTGGAAAAAAATTCACCCCTGCCTTCTGCACTGAAAAGTAAATCCAGTACTGAATCAGACCCCTTGCTCCTTTTCCAAAGTGCTAGCTAATATTTTTACCACCCCTTTTCATCTTAAATTGGTGTTCTGACAGTTTCCTTTATGTGTTTTGAAGTTGACACATATTTGGGAATGATGCTTTCTTACCAGCTCCTAACATATCCTTTACAAGTTTAAGGGATGCTGAGCATCACCTTACAGAATAACGCTGAGGTGCTAAACTTTGCAAGTTGACAGCTGAGGGTCAGGGAGACTGCAACTGAAATATACCACCCCCTTATTTTAGTACTAATAAAAACATCAATGGATTTTTTCAGAATATTAGTGAGCTTTACTCCAATATCTCATGTACCCGTACGTGTGTCCACAGGGCTCTCTTGGTCTCTGTATGGGGAGATCACGTCAACTGAGAGAATGGTTATTTAGCTTATCACCATTCCCCAGGAGAACACATAAGATCTTGGAGAGGGCGTGGACTGGTACAAGTGCTGATTGTATAATGCTCCATGCAGCCATAGCACAGTGTATAGAGTAAGGAAGGTAGGGGGAGAGCTTGTGGAGCTGTAGAAATATTGAATAAATGAAAATGTGGATTCTCTCTTTGTGTGTAGTATGAAATGCTTCATGTCACACCTCCAATGAGCCCACCAGATGTCCTCAAGACCAGTCCTGTGGCTGATGCTGCTGGTTGGGTGGATGTGGATAAAGAAACTCTGCAACACAGGAGGTACCCAAATGTGTTTGGGATTGGGGACTGCACCAACCTTCCTACGTCAAAGACCGCTGCTGCAGTAGGTAAGTCAACCAGCTCCATTTCTCCCTTTCTCAAAAATATGTCACCTCAAGGCATGATTGTAACAAAAACACAAGCTTGGCATCGGCCAGAGACGGTGGTTCCTGCCTGTAATCCCAGCACTTTGGGAGACTCAGGCAGGCAGGTCATTTGAGGCCAGGAGTTTGAGACCAGCCTGGCCAACATGGTGAAACCCCGTCTCTACTAAAAATACAAAAATTAGTCAGGCGTGTGGTGGGCGCCTGCAATCCCAGCTACTCAGGAGGCTGAGGCAGAAGAATTGCTTGAACACGGGAGGTGGAGGTTGCAGTGAGCCAAGATCGCACCACTCCTTTCCAGCCTGGGTGACAGAGCAAGGCTTCATCTCAAAAAAAAAAAAAAAAGGCCTTCCTAAGACAGAAGCAAGTTGTCAATGAACCCAGTGTCATATACAGCAAAAAATACCTTTTGAGTGCTTTGCCCCAGAGTAGCATGATCTTATCTACCTTTTCTAGGTCAGAGGGGTTGTTGTCAGAAGAGGGGGCCTTAGAGTGCATCACTTTTCTAGCTCTCTTGAATTCTGTTACTTCTCATACTGCCATACTGGCATCCCTGGTATCTTTGCCTCTGACACCAGGCAGGTTGGCTATTTTTCTTCTGCCTGAAACACCATAAAGCTCGAGGAGCATTTGTTTTCCCAGAAAACACATGGAAGTCAATGAAAGCTTGCAGACCAGAAAATTGTCCTGTTAAGACAAATACAGTGGAGCATGCCCTGAGTGGTACACGATTAAGGCCTCAGCCTGGAAAACTAAATTCTTCACCTCGATGTTCTGCACCAGCAGTGATGGGGAGAATTGCCTTTTAGATTCTGTCCTCTACTGACAGGAACTGTCTTCTCTGGATGCTATAAAACACAAGACCTTCAGTATGGTCATGTTTTGTGTGAATTAGACACCTGTGGAACAGATTGTGTTACTTTTGCTGACTATTTCAACCTCAAGGTAGACCATCTAGGAAACTCACTGAGTGTCTTTTTCATTATTAATATTAATTTCCTTCCAACTTTTTATTTAAAAAAAAATCTCAAACCTATACAAATTTGAAATAAATTATAATACTCATATACCCTTCAGGTATTAACCAATTATTAATATTTTGTGACATTTGCTTCATCGTATTTATGTATATATGTATATTATGTATGTATATATTATGTGTGTGTGTGTGTGTGTACATATATATATATATATTTTTGTTTGTTTGTTTGTTTGTTTGTTTTTTGGTGGGGGGACAGAATTTCACTCTTGTTGCCTGGACTGGAGTGCAGTGGCGCACTCTCAGCTCACTGCAACCTCTGTCTCCCAGGTTCAAGCGATTCTCCTTCCTCAGCCTCCCAAGTAGCTGGTATTACAGGCACCCACCACCACACCTGGCTAATTTTTTTTATTTTTAGTAGAGATGGGGTTTCACCATGTTGGCCAGGCTGGTCTCGAACTCCTGGCTGCAGGTGATCTGCCCACCTTGGCCTCCCAAAGTGCTAGGATTACAGGCGTGAGCCACCACGCCCAGCCTGTATTTATGTATATTTTCCTAAAAATGTCCTTTTTTGTCCCAGCCCCTCCTTAAATCCACCAGCCAGTCAAGGATCACACACTGCATTGGGCGTCATGCCTCTTTGGTTCCCTTTAATATAGAGCAGGCCTTCTGACATTTTTTTCTTTACTTTCATGACATTGACATTTTTGAAGATTCCAGGCCAGTTACCTTGTAGAATACCCCAAAATTTAGAATTGTCTAGTTGCTTTCTTACGGTTAGATTCAGGTTATATGTTTTGGCAAAAATCTCCATACCTGAGTCTGTGTACCTCCCTCTGTGGCACCTCAGGAGCCTGTCATGTTAGTTTGTCTTGTCTTTAGTGAAGCTAGACTTCCTCACTGGGTTAAGGGGTGTTCTCTCTCTCTCTCTCTCTCTTTTTTTTTCATTGTAAAAGTACTCTCTCTCTCTTTGTAATTTGTAGGTAGTCTGTGGGGTGATACTTTGAAATGACACTCATTTAATGTAAGCCTGCAGCATTTATGTGGTGAAACTACCTGTGATGTGAGGCCCAGATTACCCAGCTTTTAGCCTTCTTCAAACAAATATTTAATTCGATGTTCCAGATAGATAAGACTGAATATGACTGAACAAAAATATTCTAAGTGGAAAGTCTTGTTCCCAGTCCTGCAGTGCATCTGCGTGGCTTTCACAGTCCCCCAACCATGGAGGGAGCATCCCCATTGTTTTTACATTTGTGTCTTACAATCTGCAACCTATTCTATGGTTGCTCTAGAGCTTATTTAAAGAGTCCACTCTTAATTATATCTGGGTTGTTTCCAACCATTTTTATTCAAACAGTACCATAATGAGTGCTCTTTACCTGCTATTTAGGTTGGTGCAAAAGTAATTGCGGTTTTTGCCATTAAGAGTAATGTCTCTAAATTTTTGCCATTAAGAGGAGTGGCAAAAACCGCAGTTACTTGCACCAAGCTAATATTTCACCTGTGTGAAAGTCTATTTACTCTTCTCTTCAATGTCCAAATTACAATAGTACTAGCTGTTCCCAAGCAGATCTTCATTTCTTCTTAGATTCCCTTCCCCAAATCCTCTGAGTATCCCAAGGCAATGCTACACTTTTTCCACAAATCTGTCCTTGGGTTTACTTGCCACCAATCCTCTGTTCAGACCCTTATGCGATTGTGAGCGAGACCCATCTTGCCATGTTGAGTCTGGCTTTCCGGAGCTCATGTCCCCTTCTCTGCTTCTCTCTGCCCCAGGATGCTCCTTTAATTACTCCCAGCACAGCTAAGATCAGGATGTGGCATTTAACAAAAGTTAACTGAAGGCATGGGCATGATAGAAGGGGATTGTAATACAGGGCAAAAACCCAAGTCCCGCACGCCTGCACCCATGCACACTTTAAGCCTGGACGTTGAGTGACTGCTTCCTGGCTCCACAGGCCTCACCTCTCTGTGGTGGCACCCACTGGATGTCTCCACTCCTTTTCCATTGGCCTTGATGTCCTGCTGCTGTGGCCTCCTCAAGTGTTCTCAGTCCAGATTCCAAACTCTTTATGGCCCTCAAAAAGGAACACAGTTTTCCAAAAGGGAAATATGATCTTTAGAGATGTTGCTTTGCCCACAGTGAATATAGCCATTTAATTTTTTTTTGTTTTTTAGAGACAAGGTCTCGCTCTGTCGCCCAGGGTGGAGTGTAGTAGAGTGATCACGGCTCGCTGCAGACTTGACCTCTTGGGCTCAAGTGATCCTTCCACTTCAACCCCCACCCCCCCACCCAAGTAGCTGGAACTGTAGGCATGTGTCACCATACCCAGCTAATTTTTAAGTTATCTGTAGAGATAGGGTCTCCCTATGTTGCCCAAGTCTCAAACTCCTGGGCTCAAGCGATCCTCCTGCTTTGGCCTCCCAAAATGTTGGGATTATAGGCATTAGCCACTGTGCTTGGCCTCATTTAATATATATATATATATTTAGATGGAGTCTTGCTCTGTTGCCCGGGCTGGAGTGCAGTGGCACGATCTTGGCTCACTGCAACCTCTGCCTCCTGGGTTCAAGCAATTCTCTTGTCTTAGCCTCCTGAGTAGCTAGGATTATAGGCACCTGCCACCACGCCTGGCTAATTTTCCTATTTTTAGTAGAGACGGGGTTTTACCATGTTGGCCAGGCTGTTCTTGAACTCCTGAACTCAAGTGATCCACCCACCTCAGCCTCCCAAAGTGCTGGGATTACAGGCGTGAGCCACCGCGCCCGGCCTCATTTAATATTTTTAAGTAGAGTTGTTTACTCTTCATTTTTGTGACCCTCACCCATTCTAGAAAAAAAATCATTGCTTCTTTGATTTGGACATCAGCAAACTATAGCTTATGGGGCAATGCAGTCCACTGCCTGTTTTTGTATGGTGGAAATTTTGTTTTTTCTCATTATATAATATCTTTGATTTGCCGTGGGCCCACAAGGCCTGCAATTTTTCTTACAGAAAAAGTTTGCTAACCCCTGATTTGGGAGATTGCAAAATAACCACTTTAATAAGCATTTTATAATACAAAGGTAACCCATCTTTCCTCAAACGTGAATCCCATGTTCTACCTCTAGAGACACAAACTGCTGTATCTTCATTTTATTTTATTTTTGAGACAGAGTCTCATTCCGTCATGCAGGCTGGAGGGCAGTGGTGCAATCTCAGCTCATTGCAACCTCTGCCTCCGGATTCAATCTATTCTTGTGCCTCAGCCTCCTGAGTAGCTGGAATTACAGGAGCGACACCACGCCTGGCTAATTTTTTGTATTTTTAGTAGAGACAGGTTTCACCATGTTGGCCAGGCTGGTCTCAAACTCCTGTGATCTGCTCACCTTGGTCCCCCAAAGTGCTGAGATTACAGGCGTAAGCCACCATGCTCGGCCACAAACTGCTGTCTCCTTAAAAGGGTAGTCTTTTTTTGTTTTTCTGAGGTGGCGTCTCACTTTATCCCCAAGGGTGGAGTGCAGTGGTGCCATCTCGGCTTGCTGCAACCTCCGCGATTCTCCTGCCTCAGCCTCCTGAGTAGCTGGGATTACAGGCGTGTACCATCATGCCTGACTAATTTTTGTATTTTTAGTAGAGATGGGGTTTCATCATATTGGCCAGGCTGGTCTTGAACTCCTGACCTCAAATGATCCACTTTCCTCGGCCTCCCAAAGTGTTGGGATTACAGGCATGAGCCACCATGCCCATCTGGGCAGTCTTAATTATTCAACATTGAACACAAACTGGGTTTAGATTATATGAAGAAACTATTACTAATATTTTGGGGGTGCGAAAATACTGCGGGTTTGTGTTAAGAAAATTCCCCATCAGAGATACAGACAGGAGATTTATGAGTGAACTGATGTGATATCTGCTCTAAAAATACAGCGGGAAAAAAATAGCATGTGTGATGAGATGCATGAAACAAAACGATGGAATTTGAACATTTTCCTAATAAAAAAGGCAGTCTCCCCATTCTTGCCAAAGAAAAACAGAAACAAATCCCGATGTATGTATGTATCTATCTGTATCTGTCTGTCGTTCTGTCTGTCTGTCTGTCTATCTAGGAAAGAGACAGAGAGATGGAAATACAGGTAGATCTATATATCTGTATCTCTATATCTATAGATCTATATCTATATCCACAGATCTATATCTATATCTGTATCTATATCCACCTGGTCCTGCCTCAGCCAGGACAGTCCGGTAGAGAGGAAGGCCTGCTTTGTCTTATTGGAAATGCCTGGGGCTACCAATCCAGACTGCCTGTGAACAGGGACACAGGGATAACCCACATGGTCAAGAACACTGACTAAGTGGACACACAGACTAAGTTGACAGCCTCAACCCCAAGAGGAGAGGCAGTGGATTTGGGGTAGGTCCCTCCTTACAGCCACACTGGAGGGAGTCGGCTCTTTAGTATCAAACCCATGGAAACACATGCGCAGGCCTTCCATGAATTAAAGAACCCCCTCCGGTAGTCAGAATTTCAATTAGTAAGAAGGTCATGTTCTAGTCACAGTCTTGAGGGATGGGAAATGGAATCTTCTTGTTTACATTAAAGTTATTTGCAAATTAGTTTTCATGGAAAACCTTGATGCTTACATTTTTCTGACTTTCCCATTTCTCTTATAGCTGCCCAGTCAGGAATACTTGATAGGACAATTTCTGTAATTATGAAGAATCAAACACCAACAAAGAAGGTTTGTATGCCTTGTAAGAATCACTGTCTCAATGATCATCTTCCATTCTGTGTAAAAGTAGTGTTTTCCCACAATTTTGCACTTTCTGTCTTTTCTTTTTTTCTGTTTTTCTTTTTTTTTTTTTTGAGATGCAGTTTGCTCTTGTTGCCCAGGCTGGAGTGCAATGGCACGATCTCAGCTCACCGCAACCTCCACCTCCTGGGTTCAAGCGATTCTCCTGCCTCAGCCTCCCGAATAGATGGAATTACAGGCATGTGCCACCACACCTGGCTAATTTTTTGTATTTTTAGTAGAGACAGGGTTTCTCCATGTTGGTCAGGCTGATCTCAAACTCCTGACCTCAGATGATCCACCCGCCTTGGCCTCCCAAACTGCTGGGATTACAGGTGTGAGCCACCGCGCCTGGCCCAGTTTTGCACTTTTTTAATTAGTGTCTCCAATATGGGCATTTCTGTTTTTGCCATTAGTACTATTTTTTTTGTAATATAATTTACATTTTTCACAGTACAAAAAGCTAGAATATACAGAAAAGAAAAAATATATAAGCACTCACAGCAAATAATAAATTCTATAGTGTTAATATAGTACCATGAAAAAAATCTACTTTCCAACTCAGTCTGATTTACAATTTTAGTATGATGGCTACACATCATGTCCACTGGTGACCGGCTACAACCGTGTGATTCTTGCTGAGTTTGACTACAAAGCAGAGCCGCTAGAAACCTTCCCCTTTGATCAAAGCAAAGAGCGCCTTTCCATGTATCTCATGAAAGCTGACCTGATGCCTTTCCTGTATTGGAATATGATGCTAAGGTAAGTGCACTGCCTGGTTCCTGGATGAGGAAAGGGATTTGTAGCACATCTCCACCCAAAGGGGATGCAGCCTCTTTTCTTCATTATTAGCAGTGACCAAGTGTTCTGTCTTCCATGCTCTAGGCCCTCTTTTGCTGCTGGATAAATAATAATAGTAAATCACTTTCACATACCAAGTACTCTATCATCTGCTACCTTACTTTTTTTTTTTTTTTTTTGAGACAGAGTCTTGCTCTGTTGCCCAGGTTGGAGTGCAGTGGCACAATCTTGGCTCACTGCAACCTCCACTTCCTGGGTTCATGCAATTTTCCTGCCCCAGCCTCCTGAGTAGCTGGGATTACAGGTGCCTGCCACCACGCCTGGCTAATTTTTATATTTTTAGTAGAGACGGGTCTCTACTAAATGTTGGCCAGGCTGGTCTCAAACTCCCAACCTCAAGTGATCCGCCCGCCTCGGCCTCCCAATGTGTTGGGATTACAGGCATGAGCCACCGCTCCTGGCCCCTTACCTTTGTTTTTATTGTTATGGGAGAAACCAAACAGTGAGTAAGAGCACAGACTTTGGAGTCAGACCTGCATTTGAGTCATACTTCTGCTATTAGCATGGCAGAAGTCATTAGCAGTGTCATTATGGCCATTAGCAGTGTCATGCTATTAGCATGACATACATAGCTGTGTGTCCCAGGGAAAGTTCTGTTTAATTTAATTAAACACTCTTTGTGTTTAAATTTCTCATCTGCAAAATGAAAGTAACATTGCCTACCTCACAAGATGGAGGTTAATGAGATAACACATAAAGAGGCAGGTACATAGTAGGGATTCAATAAGTAAATAGAGTAATAAAAACGAGTAATTCCTCTTCCTCCTTTTTTTTTTTTTTTTGGAGGCAAAGTCTTGCCCTGCCCGTGGTGTGATCTCAGCTCGCTGCAACCTCCACCTCCCGGGTTCAAGCAATTTTCCTGCCTCAGCCTCCCAAGTAGCTGGGATTACAGGAATGCACCACCATGCCCAGCTAATTTTTGTATTTTTAGTAGAGACAGGGTTTTGCCATGTTGGCCAGGCTGGTCTCAAACTCCTGGCCTCAAATGATCCACCTGCCTCAGCCTCCCAAAGTGCTGGGATTACCGGTGTGAGCCACTGCACCCAGCCACTCTTCTGCATTCTAAAAGCTGATGACCTCCTTTGACTTTTCTAAACCCATATGAGAGAGAAATCTGGGTGTCTACATCAGTGGTCCTGAACCAAGAGTGATCTTCCTACCCCTTGCTGCCCCAGGGACATTTGATAATTTCTGGAGACACTTTTTGGTTGTTACAACTGGAGGGGTGCTACTTGCATTTAGTGAGCAGAGGCCAGGGATACTGCTAAACGTCCTATAATGCCAGGTCAGCCCCCAACAGCAAAGAATTATCTGGTCCAACATATCAATAGGGCCAAGATTGCAAAATCCTACAGTTAATTATGAGGTAATGAAAGCAGAAAGAGTAGCAGTTTGCATGTAGTAGAGGCTTTAGACACATTTGCCAAATTGAGTTAGCACATCCAGGCTCACACAGCAAGTCTTTGTCAAAGCTTAGGAATGGAAGTAGGTTGTCCCCTCCTAGTCATGGGATCTCTCCAACTCACTAGACAATCTTGCTTTACGTGCTGATGAACATGCTCTGTGAGCAGCCTGGCTTCCCTTTCAGCATCCTCCTGACTGAAGTCGCCCCATCTCTCTTGCTGCAGGTACATTTTTTTGTGTTATTTCTTACAGGGGTTACTGGGGAGGACCAGCGTTTCTGCGCAAGTTGTTTCATCTAGGTATGAGTTAAGGATGGCTCAGCACTTGCTCATCTTGGATGGCTTCTGGGCCAAAACTGCAGTCACTGAATGACCAAGAGCAGCACGAAGGACTTGGAACCTATCCTTGTAAAGAGTTCCTTGATGGGTAATGGTGACCAAATGCCTCCCTTTTCAGTACCTTTGAACAGCAACCATGTGGGCTACTCATGATGGGCTTGATTCTTTGGGAATAATAAAATGAAATAATACTTTTATTTTCTGAATAAAAGTTTGTCACTGATTGTGTTCTATGAGAAAATTTTATCTTGGCTGATAGGGATGAAAAGTTCCAGCACTTGGGAGAAAAATATGGTGGTGGTGGGCTAGCTTATATGTTATCTACTGTGAGTATTCAGCTGACAGCTGGCATAATTTCACAGAGCCTATTTGGATTCACTGAAAAGGGTCATTCCAGGGACAATATTGTTTCAAACATAGTGGGCAGTAGCCCTGAACATGTGCTGCTTAGAACTCCTGCCGCGGGAGCACTGTGGAGTAAGAGCCCAGCTGCCACCCCTCTTGTTCCACCACCCTGTTTATGCTAAGGCCATACTTTCTTCCAGCCAGAGACTGAACATGGTGGGGTGCCAGTGCTGGCCCATTCCTTGGAATGTGGGACTTCTCTACTGGACAACTTTAGCTCCAGGACCCCCCATCAACCTGGCTGAAACTTCCTTAGAACTGTGCTGCGTCTGAGGTTCTATCCAGTCCTCCTTCCTTCCCCCTCTGTTTTCATACGTGTCCATCTTTCACGGTGGTGTGAAGGCCCGCCTTGCCTTCTCCTGTTCCGTCTCCTTTATGCTTCCTAGCCATTTCCCCCACTAAATCTCCTGCAAACCTAGTTCTCTCCAGGCACCTGTTTCTCAGGGAACCTACACACAGTGAGACTGGGGTTAGAGGAATCCTGATGTGTATACCAAGCATTTGCTAGATTCAGTCCCAATTTTGCTAACAAGGTTTTGAATGAGTTTGTACTAGAGATATTGCAGGAAATAGTTCCAGTTTATTTGAAGTTCAGCAGTGGCTTAAAAATAATTTGTTTTCCATTAGTTTATTGTAGAAGTTCACAGGTTCAGTTCAATCTGGCATTTTAAAGCTGTGAACATTTCATATTTATAAACTCCCCCAAAGGGAAAGGCATAGCAGTTTATACAATGCCTTAGATTTTTTTTTTTTTTTTAGACGGAGTCTCGCTCTGTCGCCCAGGCTGGAGTGCAGTGGCGCGATCTCAGCTCACTGCAAGCTCCGCCTCCCGGGTTCACACCATTCTCCTGCCTCAGCCTCCCGAGTAGCTGGGACTACAGGCGCCCACCACCATACCCAGCTAATTTTTTGTATTTTTAGTAGAGACAGGGTTTCACTGTGTTAGCCAGGATGGTCTCAATCTCCTGACCTCATGATCCACCCACCTCAGCCTCCCAAAGTGCTGGGATTACAGGCGTGAGCCACCATGCCCCACCACAATGCCTTAGATTTTTATAAGGTTAGAGTTCAAACCCTTTTATGTGTTACTAGATTGCCAAGTCTGTTTTCCTAGCGTTCTCTCGATGATGTTAGAAACTTTGGGCGTTCACTCACTCATTCAACAAATATTTATTGAGCATATACTACCTGCTAAGTACTATTCTTGGCCCAGGGTATATACTGTGTTGAACCAGACAAATAAGGGCCCTGTCCACATTTTTGTGGTGCCTGTGATAGTTTCCTCTTCTTTTCCTGGGATGCCAAGGGAGCTTGTTGAGTGAGGTCCTGGCTTGATTAGAGAAGTAGACTGTCTTCAGTGGCATACAATCTGGGGGAGGGCAGGGCACTAACTGCTCTAGCCGCAGGCCGCTAACCTGGCGACAGGGGTAGAAGATGTTCTCTAGGGTGTCCACACATCCTGGTTTGCCTGGGATAGTCCTGTTTAATACCTATTGTCCTGGCTTAACTAAATAGTGTCCCCTTTAGCTCTCCAAGATGTCGCAGTTTAGACAATAGATTTACAAGCACTCTGGGGATCACCCTCCACCCCCCAGTCCCAGAATGGGAGAGTAGTGCTACGAATGGTGCTAATACAGGACTTGTCACCTCATTGGCTTTTCCATGGTGCTCATGAGACAAGCAGGAGTAGGATTAGTCTGCCTTGTTCTCTGAGTCCTGGCAAAGAAACTCCATCCCTTTATGGAGTTCCTGCCCGAGACTGCTGCCGCCTGGCTCCTGGTGGGCTGCTCACTCTCTCAGGCATGGAGGTCAGGGAGAGCCGGGGGCTGTTCACCTCTAATGGTTCTTCCCTGCAGGGTCTAGGAAGGCTTGGGGATAATCCAGTTGGGACTCTCTCCCTGGATGTAGACAAAAGTGCTGGCAAGGTAAGTTTCTGCATTTTCAGAGAATGGGGCTGTGATTCAGAGAATGGCTGAGGCTCCAGGTGGAGTAACTTTGAAATCCCTTGTGGAGTTACCTCGAGCCTCCTGGGTCTGTTTACGATGATGCATTCTGAAGGAAACCTTCAAGCATCAGGGAATTGATTCCAGGTTCACATTATGCTGGGTAGGTTGTATTGCCAAAGCTGGAGACAGCAGTGACCATGACTGGACAGTTTTCTTTCCCCTGAGCTGGGAAAGACAAAATGTGCTGAATTCCAGAAAAGCTTAGCCTTTGAAACCTTATCCACAAATGTGGGGTGCCAAGGGAGAGGGCTTCCCTTAGCACTGCTGCCATAATTAGGAGTGGGCAGTAGGAAGAGGAGGTAAGACCAGGGTAGGGATAAGGATAGTGATTTTTCCAAGGGTGTTACCTTGGGGTGGGGAGGATGTTGTAGGTCCCATCCTACAGAGGGCTCCAAACTCAGGCCTTCAGGGTCCATAAGTGACGTGGTGCTGAGACTGCCGACTTGGGGAATCTCTTTAAACCCTCCACCCCTTTTCTCCAGAGCTTCTTCCTTCTCAATTCCTGCTTTGGTGTTAGCCCTGGATGAGCTGTGGGTGTAATAACAGAGCTGAGGTTGTAGTTTAGGGGCCACTGGGGTACAGGGAAGTAGGCTAGGCTTAAGTTGACTTGGGGATCACAGAGTTTGAGATTTAATATGATTTTTTTTGGGTATTTTTTTTTTTTTTTTTGAGAGGGAATCTTGCTCTGTCACCCAAGCTGGAGTGCAGTGGCCCGATTTCGGCTCACTGCAACCTCTGCCTCCCAGGTTCAAGTGATTCTACTACATCAGCCTCCTAAGTATCTGAGACTACAGGTGCATGCCACCATACTGGGCTAATTTTTGTATTTGTGGTAAAGATGGGGTTTCTCCATGTTGGCCAGGCTGGTCTTGAACTCTTGACCTCAGGTGATTGGCCTGCCTTGGCCTCCCAAAGTGCTGGGACTACAGGCGTGAGCCACCGTGCCTAGCTGATATTAACATTTTAAATGCTTTTTTTCCTTGTCTAAATTTTGTAAAGAATTTAGAGAACAGGTGTAAACAAGAGGACTAAAAATCACTTCCACATTTGCCACCCAGTTATAATAACTAGTAACATGTTGATGTCTCTCAATTGACCTAATATGATTACATATCAAGTTTCTGAAAACTGAAACAGGATGGCATTGTAAGTAGTGTTCTGTGGCCTAGCGTCTTATGCTTAATAGATAGACACTGAAGACCCAGTGGTTGGTTGTGGAGAGGAGGTAATCGGGGCAATCTCTCAAGGAGCACAGGGCGTTTGTGCCTGCTGAGAAAACTGCTCATTAACCAATTAATGTAACATATATATGTCATGTGCTAAGTAGGGTATTGGTACATAATCAGCATTAGATATTTTCCTCATGCAACTCTTCTTTTTTTTGAGACAGTCTCACTCTGTTGCCCAGACTGGAGTGCAGTGGCGTAATCTCTGCTCACTGCAACCTCCACCTCCCAGGCTCAGCCTCCCGAGTAGCTGGGATTACAGGTCTGTGCTGCCACACCCAGGTAATTTTTTTTTTTTTTTTTGTATTTTTAGTACAGATGGAGTTTCACCATGCTGGCCCAAATGGTCTCAAACTCCTGACCTCAAATGATCCACCCTCCTCGGCCTCCCAAAGTGCTGGGATTACAGGCGTGAGCTACTGCGCCTGGTCTTTTTCTCATGTCATTCTTACAACAACCTTGCAGGAGAAATTATCAAAGACACCTTTCTCAAAAGACATGGAATATTATTCCTTTTGAGAAAGGTGGCTTTTGTAATGCAATGTATAAAAGTAGCTCCTCTGGATGTTTTGGTTTTAAATGCAGTGGTTAACTGTTCCGACATTAAAACAAAGTTCCCCCTTCACATCCTAAGACCACAAAGCTTTTGTTCAGGATGGGCCCCCTGTGATCATCTCAGGGAGGGAAGAAATGCTTTGGATAAGATGAAGGCTTTTGAGTGGATTAAGGAAAACTATATTTCTCCGGTTAGGTTAACTGTCAAGTAGCTAAGAAAATTGCATGTCTATATGCTGGAAGAAGTCAAGGTTAACATTCGGCAATAGGTAGAAAGGTCACAAGAAGCAATTGAGAAGAAGACGGATGGTGAAATACCAGGCAGTTTTCTCCCTCAATATGGATTTTTTAAAAGTAATTTCCCTGGAGTGTAGCATGCTATAAACAATCCTAAATTAGGTCATAACTTTCCATATTTGCATGAAGTAAAACTCCTGTGACTGCATCCCTCAGGTACAATTGGGGGCCACTCCCAGGCCTACAGTAGAATAGAGGCTGCAGAAGGGCAGGTCCTCTGGTGTATACTAGGTACCAGCTGTGTCGGGTTTTCTTGAAGACCAGCCGATAGAACAGAGGACTAGGAGCCCCAGACCTGGATTTGGATCCTGGCTCTCCCACCGACTACTGCCTGAGAGTGTCCAGCTCAAGCATATTAGTCAGCATTTCCTCACCTGTAGGATGGGTAATAATACCGTTTCCACTGAGTTCATATGAGGATTAAGTAAATCAAGGGAAAGCTCTGAGCAGTTTGACAGCTAGACGGTAGCTACTGTTGTTAACTCTAGGAATCCAACAAAGCATTCACAAATATAATTCCCCCTGAAACTAGAAATTTCTATCAGTCCTGCAGAAATGGGATCATGACAGGGGTTTCCAGCATCCTTGCACTAGTCAAAGGGCATGCAGATTCTGTTACTTGCCACCCTTACATCTCTCTGCCTCATTTCAGACTTTCAGCACTGGGAAATTCCCAGTGTTACAGATTCGCCAATGTCGGGTAGTGGGTAAAAGTGCAGGTGTGGACCCGGCCTCTGGGTTTGAATCCTAGATCTGCTTCTCATTGAGTGTATGGTCTAGGGCAAGCCATTTCAACTCTCTAGGTCCTAGTTTTCTTTCTTTTTTTTTTGGAAATGGGGTCTCACTCTGTTGCCCAGGCTGGTGTGCAGGGGCGCCATCTCGGGTCACTGTAACCTCTGCCCTCCAGGTTCAATTGATCCTCCTGCCTCAGCCTTGCCAGTAGCAGGGACTACAGGCATGGACCACTACACCTGGCTAATTTTTTTTTCCTGCCTGCCTTCCTGCCTGCCTTCTTGCCTTCCTGCCTGCCTGCCTGCCTGCCTGCCTGCCTTCTTGCCTGCCTGCCTTCCTTCCTTCTTTCCTTTTTTTTTTTTTTTTTGCTCTGTAGCCCAGGTTGGAGTGCAATGGTGAGACCTCGGCTCCCTGCAATCTCTGCCTCTCAGATTCAAGCGATCTTTCTGCCTCAGCCTCTGGAGTAGCTGGGACTACAGGCCCCCATAGCCATGCCTGGCTAATTTTTGTATTTTTAGTAGAGATGAGGTTTCACCATGTTGGCCAGGCTGGTCTTGAACTCCTCACCTCAAGTGATTCGCTTCCTTTCTTTCTCACTCTTTTTCTTTCTTTCTTGCTCTCTCTCTTTCTCTCCTTCCCTTCTTTCTCTCTCTTTTTCCTTCCTTTCGTCCCTCCCTTCCTCCCTCCCTCCCTCCCTTCCCTCCTTCCTTTCCTCCTCCTCCTTCTCTTCTTCTTCTCCTTCTCCTTCCCTCCCTCCCTCCCTTCCTTCCTTCCTCTTTGTTTCTTCTTTCTTTCTTTTCTTTCTTTCCTCTTTCTTTCTTTCTTATTTCTTTCTCTTTCTTTTTCATTTCCTTTCCTCCTTCACTTCTTCCTTTCTTCTCTTCCTTCCCTTCTTCCCTTTCTTCTCCTTCTTCCTTTCTTTGTTTTTCTTCTTTCTTCCTTTTTCAAGACAGGGTCTCACTGTTGTGTAGACTGAAGTGCAGTAGTGTGATTTTGACTCACTGCAACCTCCGTCTCCTGGGGCTCAAGTGATCCTCCAGGCTCAGCCTCCCATGTAGCTGGGAACACAAGTGCACACCACCAGGCCTGGATAATTTTACTTTTTGTAGAGACAAGATCTATATTGCCCAGGCTGGTCTCAAACTCCTAGGCTCAAGCAATTCCCCCACCTTGGCCTCCCAAAGTGCTGGGATTACAGGCATGATAGTTTTCTTATCTATAAATTGGGGACAAAAATAGCATCTACCTTGCTGAGTTATTATGGAGATTAAATATGTCAAATACTTCTTACATAATGCTAATCAAATACCAAGTACTGTTCTAGTTCTAAGCTATTATTAATTGCCTCAGGTCAATCAAAATTGACTGGCTGCTTCCTCGTGACTTGTAATGAGATATCCCATAGAAACAGATGGGCTCCTTTCCTGGAGTGAAATCCATCTGACCCAAGGTGCGTGGACTCTGACAGGTTTAGCTTATGGAAGGCCCTTTGTATTCAACCTCTCTTTATCGCAAATCAATTCCTCTTTCCAGGGTATATAAATATATACCATAGAGGCCGGGTGCAGTGGCTTCATGCCTGTAATCCCAGCACTTTGGGACACTGAGGAGGGCGGATCACTTGAGGTCAGGAGTTTGAGACCAACCTGGCCAACATGGCAAAACCCCGTCTTTACTAAAAATACAAAAAAATAGCTGGGTGTCCTGGTGCACGCCTGTAGTCCCAGCTGCTTGGAAGGCTGAGGCAGGAGAATCACTTGAACCCGGGAGGCGGAATCACTTGAACCTGGGAGGCGGAGGTTGCACTGAGCTGAGATTGTGCTACTGCACGCCAGCCTGGGCGACAGAGTGAGACTGTCTCAAAAAAAAACCCTCAGAAAACATACATACCATAGAGACATACTATTAGAAATGCTATTTGTTATAGAGGATCAATGAATAAAAAAATGTCATATTAGTCACTCCCATGAACATTTAACTTCTTGTGCATCTAATATAGGTAGGGCTATGGGGATTTATAGAGGAAAGCCTTTGCCCTCAATGAGATCTGTTTGGTTACTTATGTGTCCATCATGTGAATTGCCAAGATAGATGTCCCATCTGTATGTTCTGATAGCATATTTTAGAATATCCCACTGGCTTATATCAGACATTCAGGGAAAAAAAGAGGAAGTTTGAGCTGAATTCCCAAACTAGTCAGAGCTCATTTGGTTGTAAGTGACAGAAATCCAACCCAAATAAGCCTATGCAAAAAAGGGAATTTGTTGGCTCATGTAACTGGGAAAGCTAAGGGTAGACTTCAAGCGTGGCTGGATCCAGGAGTCAAATAATATAGTTACAGCGCTCTCTCTTTTCATCTCCCAATTCTTTTTCCCTCTGAGTCATTTTTTTTTTTTTTTTGAGACAGAGTCTCACTCTGTCACCCAGGCTGAAGGTGGTGGTGCCATCTCGACTCATTGCAACCGCCTCCCAGGTTCAAGTGATTCTCGTGCCTCAGCCTCTGGAGTAGCTGGCGTTACAGGCCTGCACCACCATGCGTGGCTAATTTTTGTATTTTTAGTAGAGATGGGGTTTCGCCATGTTGGTCAGGCTGGTCTTGAACTCCTGACTTCAAGTGATCCACCCACCTCTGGCCTCCCAAAGTGTTGGGATTACAGGTGTGAGCCACCACCCCTGGCCATCTCTGAGTCACTCTTCTACTATAGACACATTTTCGCAATGTGGCCAGGGAAGAGGGCTATGTTCACGACCTCTCTGATTGGTCTCTTTGGAGGAAAGCAACAAACTTTGCTTTCTAAGTGTTCATAGATCAATTTTAGGTGAGGATTATAATTATCACCTGATAAATAAATGTGTTTTCCTTATCAGAATGAGTACAGGGATTTGTCATCTTTTGTTCAGTGCTGTATTAGTAGGACCTAGAATAGTATATATGGCACACAGTAAGGTACTCAGTAAATATTTGTTGAATAACTGAACGAATTAGCTAAATTTTTGTCATTGCCCACTTCATATCTAAGGGAGTGGTTTGCTACCCAAAGAAGGACATTGGAAGAAAGATGTTCTGAGCAATGCCAGACCATTATTATCTCTATGGTCCCGAACCAAGAGCAAGACTTGGCCAAAGAGGAGTGGAAACTTCCCAGGCACAGGGAATAGTATATGTAAAGGGGTAGAGGTGAGGGGATGCAGGACCTAGAGTTAGTTTGGTAGGGGTGGACTACTGGACCACATGAAGACAGGCTGGGAAGCGGTCTTTTGAAGGCCCTTGGGCTGCATTTTTTTCTGTTGCTTTTGTTCCTTCAGCCCTGCCCTTCACCTTCTGCACATTGCCCTGTGCCCCGGGAGGCTAACAGGTATGGCATCAATGTCCTCTCCTGATTATCTGGTTTCTGGTTGGGTTTGGCCAATGGAGGGTGTTGGTAGGAGATGGGAGAGAGGGAGGAGAGTAAGATTGGCCTTTTTATTTATTACTCTGGCTCCCTCCCTGCAGTGCTGTCTTGGCCCCATGATGAGGGAAGAACGGAAGTTAAGAATATACGTTTATGGCCGGGCACAGCAGCTCATGCCTGTAATCCCAGCACTTTGGGAAGCTGAGGCAGGTGGATCACTTGAGGTCAGGAGTTCAAGAACAGTCTGGCCAACAGAACAAAATCCCGTCTCTACTAAAAATACAAAAAATTAGCTGGGTGTGGTGGTGGGTGCCTGTAATCCCAGCTACTCGGGAGGCTGAAGCAGGAGAATCACTTGAACCCAGGAGGTAGAGGTTGCCATGAGCCAAGATCGCACCACTACACTCCAGCCTGAGAGACAAAGCAAGACTGCGTTTCAAAAAAAAAAAAAGAGAAAAAGAAAAAAAGAATATACATTTATAAATCCTTATAGCAATTTGATAGAGAATTTTATCTTTTGAATCTAATATGGGTTGAGGATCACTAATCTGAAAATCTGAAATCTTAAATGCTCCAAAATCTGAAACTTTTTGAGGGCCAACATGATGCCACAAATGGAAAACTCCATATCTGACCTCATGTGATAGGTTGCCATCAAAACTTTATTTCATAAGCAAAATTATTAAAAATGTTGTACAAAATTATCTTCAGGCTATGGGTAATGGTACACCTAATACAATGAATTTCATGTTAGATTTAGGTCCCATCCCCAGCATATCTTATTATGCACAGTAGATGCAAATATTCCAAAATCTGAAAAAATCTGAAATCCAAAACACTTCTGGTCCCAAGCATTTCAGATTAAGGGATACTTAATTTGTAATTAAAAACATTAGGGCTTGTACTCTCTGTGGGTTTTCTCATCTCATTGTTTCCTAATAGTTTTTTTATTGTAAGTTACCAAAGCACTAGTCTGAGGAGAATAGGATTAAAAAAAAAATCAAACACAAAGAGGGTAGAAACCCAAACCTGGTCCTTCAGCACAGATCATTAGAGAAGCTTGACTCTCCATCACTCTTTTGGGTTCTGGAAATTGCTCCCTGCCTTTGTCCTGCTGGGCCTGGAGGGGAAAGAGCTCCACTGCTATCAACCCGAGCGACTACTCTTTGCCTGTGGTTCCCCTAAACCTAGGCCCCTCATTTGTAAACCAGCCCATTTTGAATTATCTTAATTTGACTGTGTCATCTGCTTCCTGTTGGGACCCCGGCGGACCCAAGGTAACCTAAAAATGATGCCAAGCTATTGCGAGAGTTTATGGAGGAATGACAGGAGATTGTAGCCACATGAGTGAGGTATAGACAAGGGAGGAGACCCCAGACAGAGTGACAAATGCCAGGGCCAACTCACTTTAAAATGCTGAAGGCTTGAACTAAGGCAGTGGTACTAAGGGCAGGAAAAAATCCATAGATATTTAAGATATCCTGTCAGTTAGGAAAACAGAAATCTGTTTAGATTTGGGTCCCGTTAAGCTATAAATAGCTTAAGGAGAAGAATTAAATATTGTAGAGGGTGGCAAACCATGACCTTTGAGCCAAGTGCAACCAGTGGCCTGTTTTTATAAATAAAGTTTTATTGGAACATGGTCATGCTTGTTTATGTGATGTTTGGGGTGCTTTTCTGCTACAAAGGCAGAGTTGAGCAGTTGTAACAGAGACCATATATGATCTGCAAAGCCTAAAATATTTACTCTCTGGCCCTTTACAGAAAGAGCTTGCTGACTCCTGGAATATTGGGATGGCAACGTTTACAGAACTCTAGGGGAACAAGCAAGAATCGTGGAAAACTACTGTTGGTTTTCATATCGGGGGCTGAATAAACTGCAGGAATACTGGCCCCAGTGATCTTGGCTGTGGATCAGCCACATCAAAATATGTGATTGCAGGAGACCGCTTAGAAACCTATGCTGGCCTCATGTCTGCAGATGCAGATGTCCACCAACACCAGAGGAGGAAGGGCTTCTCCTCATCTGCCTTCCCATCTGTCACGAGTGCCCCTCATTGGCTGGCACTAAGTGAAACTGATGTACATTTCCAGCTTTTCCTCTTGATACACTGGTGATCATAGAAGGGGCAGGGATAGGGAAGCCCGGGGCTTTGGGGTGACTAGAGAGGGTAGGGATTTGGAGTCTGGGAGGACTCCCAGGCTTTGGTGACAGTGATGAATTGTGGTGATACCCACAGAGAGGATGAGAAGAAGAAAAGAAGAAGATTCTGGACAGGAGGGGAGGCCCTATTGGGAGGTTAGATTCCCAACCCCCTGCCAACTGTGGAGTTGAGTCACAGCCACCTGCCCCAGTGGGGCTGTACTTACATTGATTCATGGAGTAAAACCATTAAGTACTTTTGACATAAAACATTGGTATTCTGAGCCCGGGATGAACAGATTTTGCCATGGCTGATGGATATCTAGCTCACAAGCTAACACAGCTATACATCTTCCTTTGGTAGGTTTCAAGGAGACCTTCCAGGAACTGGAAAGCATTGGCAATTTCTTTGGCCTGGCGCCCTGTTGGCATGCATGGTCTTGTGAATGCCAGAGAGGCCTGAAGCAAAGTAACCAAGTGAGGAGAGTAGATTGGAGGGAGAGGAGGTGAGACGCAAAGGGGTGGAGAGGAGACCAAGGAAACCCTGGGGAGGAGCCTCATTACAGAGGTGAGAGGTCACCTAATGCCCATGGAGCAGGGAGCAATGGAGGATAGGGGGAAAGGGTGCTAGGACTGCAGGTGCTGACCAGCCCAGGCCTCCGCCTCCACCTGGCTTATTGTCAGTCAGAGCTTCACCTTCCTCCAGAGCATGCTCCCTACTGTTGACTGGGGACTGTGCTGTGAAATTTAGCAAGATCTGGCAGAAAACTCTTCCCCATCCTATATCTTTCTTTGGGCAGAGACTCAAGGACCTCAGTTGTGTGACTTTTCACTTCAGCAAAGTTGGTTTTATTAGCTCTACTTCCCCCAGTTTGGTAGTAATCCAGCTCACAAATCCATCCTTACAGCCTACTAATCCATGTTACATCCTACTAGTTAACGATTGTCTTCTAAATGAGGAATGCCTTCCAATTATTTTTATGTGCAAATACAATACTGCAGGTGCTTAAACATCAATAATGGTAAAAACAACATGGTAATTGCTCTAGACTGAATGTTTGTATTTCTCTCAAATTCATATGTTGAAGCCCTCAACCCCAATGTGGCTGTATTTTGAGATAGAGCATTTACAGGAGTAATTAAGGTTAAATGAGTCCACAAGGGTAGGGCTCTGATCCAAAAGAAATAGTGTCCTTATAACGGGAGGAACCAGAGAGCTCTCTCTCTCTGCCATGTAAGAATACAGTAAGAAGGTTGCTGTCTACAAACTAAGAAGAGGGCCCTCACCAGAATTCAATCATGCTGGCACCTTATCTTGGACTTTCAACCTCCAGAATTGCAAGAAAATAAATTTCTGTTCTTTAAGCCACCCCAGTCTGTTGTGTTTTGTTATAGTAGCTCAAGCTGATTAAAAAAGTATTTGAATGGTTGTGGTTAAGATGAAACTTTTCTAGAATTCAACTTACAAATTTAGAAAATGGCTGCTATTTATGATTAGAAACAACATGTTCATTGTCAAAAGTCCTGACACATTTGCAAGATAACATGGCAAAGGAGAAGTAGAACTGAGATTTGAAATCTCTCCCAGTGTCTTGGGAGAACTTGTCGATGTCAGTATTACTTCGGAGTTCTTTTCCTGTTCAGCACTGTCCTATTTCTGCTTAGGTAGTAAAGGAAAGGGGAGAAATGTATTTGTCTAAATTATTTCACTTGCCAAGTAGAAATAAATAAATAAAAATAAAACTTTCATTGGTTTAAGTATCTAGGAAGTCTGGGAAGGAGATCAAGCATGGGTGGATCAAGAAGCTTAATTTCTTAATTTCTTGACCTTTCAGCTCTGACTTTCTTTGTGTTGGTTTCTTTCTCAGGTAGACTCACTTCATATGTTGACCAAGTGGGCCTGGGCAGGGTTAGACTTTCCTGGTCTAGAGCCCACAGACCCAGAGACAATGCCTCTTTTCTGTTAACAGTAAAAATCTGGTGAGAACTTTGAGGATTCAAGCTGGGTTTGTGAGCTTCCCGGAACCAGTCATGTGCTCATCCTTGAAGGAGAGGATTAGGTCAGCCATGTGTGAGCCACATGGACCGAGAATGGGTGTAGGTGTGGGGTTTAAAAACCCACATTTACTACAAGGATAGGAAGGTGGACACATCCTGTCTTCTCCATTAACAGTGTTAATTTATTCATTCATTCTACAATTAGCAATCGCATGGGGCCTGGCCGACTGCTGAGGTTCCTCAGGTGAGTAAGACGGGCTCCAGCCTTGGAGGAGCTTCCAGTCTAAGGGAGCCCGAGTTCACAGAGAGGGTCCCCTAGGACACTGGCACGGCATCCTGCTGGCCAGGAAAGGGAACTGCTGCTCCTCCAGAGAGGATAGGTGGGTTTGTTGTTTTTTTTTTTTTTGCCAGAGAACACCATGGTTCCTGCCAGCACCTGCTTACGACAGCCCTTTCAACGTCGCAGGGCTTGTCAGTGGGTTCTGTGACAGAACCGTGCAAGTAATGGTACGCGGAGAGGGCGCGCGAAAGCGCCTGGCTCGTTCCTGGAGCCCGGGCTGCGGACGCCCCCTGCGTGCTGCGAAACCTGAGGGGTCTCGGTCCTTCCTGGCCTTTTATAGGCCGTGCCTAGAAACGCTTGGCTTGACCAGTTAGAAGTAACGCCACGCTGTGAATGTTTACCACCTGCGCACTGTCAGCGCTGAGTAAAGGGGCCCGAACCCCCGGTTCCAGGAGCCCCTGCTCGCCTCTCCAGCCACCTTCCCACCAGCCCACAACGCACAAGGACCACAGCTTCCAGAGGCGCCGTGCGCTCTCTTTCCAGGCGCTTTCCCCCTGCTGGAATGCTCCACCCCTTCCGCTCGGCGAACTCCTATTCATCCTTCTGGACTCCTTCCCAGAGCTAACTACAGACCTGAAAGATTTCTTCTTCTGCGCTCTCAGGGAACAACAGTCCTTAAAGTCCAGCTCACGCTGCTGTGCTGCAGCGTCGCTCTCGGTCCCCTCCACTGCACTGGGTCTCCCCACTGCACTGGGCCCCCTCTTCACTGCACCCGGCCACTCCACCGCACCCGGTACCCCGGCCCTCTATGGCACCCAGTTCTCTCTCCTCGGCACCCAGTTCCCCGCCCCCACCTCCGCCCCAACGGCACCCAGTCCCTCGCACCCAGCACCGCCCCCGTCCCTCGCACCCAGCACCGCCCCCGTCCCACCAACAGCACCCAGTCCCCCCGCTCCGCCACGGCACCCAGTCCCCTCAGGGCACCCGGTTCCCCGCCTCCGCCAAGGCACCCGGTTCCCCGCCTCCGCCAAGGCAACCGGTCCCCCCCCCCCCCGCCCCCCGCTACGGCACCCAGTCCCCCGACGGCTCTCGGTCTCCTCCACGCCGAGCCTCGGAGAGCAGGGGCTTTGCTTTTCCGGCTGAGGTGTTCAATAAACATCTCTTAAACAAAGGAGTGCGCAAGTGAGATAATATAAGGTAAGTGCTTGCCACTATACGAATGTACAGAAAGGAAGATGTTATTATTTTACTTCAGCCCCATATTTAATTATAAAGCATTTGTGAGCAAAGCTGATTAACACTGATTTCTAATTTCTAGCGTGAGACATGACGCTTGGGAGACAAGCTGTAAATGAGACGTGGGGCTTATGTTTTCGGTAGGTGAGATTTAATGTACACAAGGGTAAGAGTAGGAAACAAAAGTAATTCGAAGTTAAATATGGTCTTTTTGGTTAAATTCTACGGGTTCTGGGAGGAGGGCAATACCATTTCCTGCTGAGGTGAGTTTGCTCACCCATTGCCATAATCACAATCGTAATAAAAATAACATTAATAACTACAATTGATCGAGCTCTTTGAGGCGGACATCGGGTTAGGCATTTTGGATCCAATTTCTCATTTAATCCTCACGACCATCTTGAGGGAGCGCATTTTACCCGTGTTTTACGGGGGACTGAAGCTTAAGGAGCAGTAACTTGCCCAGGTCACGTGGCTAGGAAGAGACAAGGTCAGGTCAGAGCCACAAGAGGGCGCTCTTCCCCTTTCTATTCTATGTTGTCCTGTGGTTCCCGCTTTTCCTCAGGGGCACCTTCCACAAATGTAAAAACCCCACATAAACATCTTGTTTCTCTGTCTTCCTCCTCCCCAGTGTCTCTCTCTCCTCTCAGTCTGTTTGTCTCCTCTCAGTTTCTCTCTCCCTTTCCTTACTTGTTTTTTGTCTCTCTCTTCCTCCTTGTTTTCTGTTTATTTATCTATTTCAGGGGATGGGCAGCCTTGGGAATATGGGCTGTAGGTAGGAAGAGAACATTTCTGGAACTGAAAATTATGCTGCATCTTGTCTAACGGGAAGCAAAATTTTTGAATGTGGGAATCTTGTAAAATCTAGACGTTGGTCATCAATACACATGGCATGAAACTGTAAAACTATGAGCAGCTGTGGTGAGTTGTGACTGGGAAGCCACATGGGGTGTGTATGAGCACATGCATTTGCAAGCTTCCCTGGAGCTTCCTCCAGGTTACTCCTGGGTTCTGCCTTTCCCTGGTTACACTTAGGATTGAAGCCTCATTCACCTCTGTGTATTTGCTCATGCTTTTCCTGTCACTGGTGTTAATTTCTGTAGTCTCTCTGCATGTTTAACTAAATTCTACCTCTTTTTTTTTTTTTTTTTTGAGACAGAGTCTTGCCTGTTGCCCAGGCTGGAGTGCAGGGGTGTGATCTCAGCTCACTGCAACTTGAGTCTCCCAGGTTCAAGCGATTCTCCTGCCTCAGCCTCCTGAGTAGCTGGGATTACATACAGGTGCACACCACCACGCAGGGCTAATTTTTTCTTTTCCTTTCTTTTTGTTTTTTTTAGACAGAATCTCGCTCTGTTGCGCAGGCTGGAGTACAGTGGTGTGATCCGGGCTCACTACAACCTCTGCCTCCCAGGTTCAAGCGATTCTTCTGCCTGGGACTACAGGTGCGTGCCACCATGCCCGGGTAACTTTTTTTTGTATTTTTAGTAGAGATGGGGTTTCACCATATTGGCCAGGCTGGTCTCGATCTCCTGACCTTGTGATTCGCACCCCCCCCCCGCCACCTTGGCCTCCCAAAGCGTTGAGATTACAGGCGTGAGCCACCGCGCCGGGCCTAATTTTTTTATTTTTATTTTTAGTAGAGACGGGGTTTCACTTTGTTGACCAGGCTGATCTTGAACTCCTGGCCTCAAGTTATCCGCCCTGCCTTGGCTTTCCAAAGTGCTGAGATTGCAGGTGTGAGCCACTGTGCCTGGCCAAAATTCTACTTATTTTTTTATAGAGGAGTAGTACAGGCTGTTTCTGACTGCCCCATCTGTAAGTAAACAATCTAGTTTTGAATTGTCAATTGATTTAAAAGTGATAGTTTTCAAATCTTCATTGAGGCATTTTGTATCCATTGATTCTTTCTGCCAGGGCACACACTCTGTCTACGTTATGCACTGAAGCCTTTCTGTGTATCCTTACTGGGCCTTGATGCTGGGTAACTGCACGATTCTGGTAACCAAACCTGGTGGCACATCCCAATCAGCTTTTTCAAAATAGGGCTTTCTAGACTTTCACCTGGAGATTCTGTCTAGAGGTGTTTGGGCTGAAGCCTGGCAACTGTGTTACATGAACAGTTGGCCCCCATCCCTGGGGCATCTGCCTCTGCTGCACTGATGCCTTCCCCAGCTCACATCATGGCTGCATGGGGCCAGAGGGGGTTCCCTGTGATGCTTGCAGAAAAGCTTGGGTCTGCTGGTAGGAGTGGAAAATGGACTGCTGCCCACTCCAGAGTGGCTTTAAAGGACAGTGGAGAGGGAGTCTTCCTAATGAGCAGAGCTGTGAGCAGTACCCTTGTTTGTCCATCTTGTATGGAGGGAGAAGGGGCCCGAGGTCGCTTACATGGACTCCTGGGGAGTGGTGACTGATTTGGTTGCAAGTCTGGAAAGAGCAGGAGTGGAAGATCTGAGAGCAAGAGTCAGGGTGAGGTGTGGATGAACCTACAGGAGTGGGCAGAGAGCACTCAGATCTCCCTGCTGGCCATCAATACCCGGCTGAGGGTGAGCACAGCAGAGGAGTCGCTCAACAACCGGGTGGACAAGACGACTCGTCTGGTAGACGCCTGCCAGCCTCTGCCCTTGGTCACTCCAGTGCTCATGTTACCAGAAAGGGGTCCTGATCTAGATCCCAAGACAGGGTTCTTGGATCTCACACAAGAAATAATTCGAGGCTAATCCATAAAGTGAAAGCAAGTTTATTAGGAAAGTAAAGGAATAAAGAATGGCTACTCCATAGGTGGAGCAGCCTGAGGGCTGCTGGTTGGCTATTTTTATGGTTATTTCTTGATTATATGCTAAACTAGGGGCAGGTTATTCATGAGTTTTCCAAGAAAGAGGTGGGCAATTCCCAGAACTGAGGGTTCCTCCTCTTTTTAGACCATATGGGTTAACTTCCTGACGTTGCCATGGCATCTGTAAACTGTCATGGCACTGGTGGGAGTGTCTTTTAGCATGCTAATGCATTATAATTAGTGAATAATGAGCAGTGAGGTCACTTTTGTTGCCATCTTGTTTTTAGTGGGTTTTGACCAGCTTCTCTACTGCAACCTGTTGTATCAGCAAGGTCTTAATGACCTGTACCTTGTGTGGACCTCCTATCTCATCCTGTGACTTAGAATGCCTAACCTCCTGGGAATGCAGCCCAGTAGGTCTCAGCCTTATTTTACCCAGCCCCTATTCAAGATGGAGTTGCTCTGGCTCAAACACCTCTGATGCTCACTCCACGGGCCCATGGCTGGAAGAGTTACGGTAGTAGGGATAGAGGCTCTGTAGAGGGCCAACAGCAAGGGCCCCCTCTGACCAAAGCTGATCCAGTTACTGCCACTGCTGAATACCCGACCTGTTGATGGCAGAGAACGAAGATGACCCCTTGGTATGGTCCTACTTCTTGGAGAGTCTAGCTAGACATTTGCTGGCAAGTTGATTCCATCAGGCCTTTCTCACCCTGCAGGGGACAGTGATTGATTCTTTTTTGGAGTTGATTCCATCAGATACCATCAGTTTGCCCTTCCTATGTCTTTGCTGGTATCATCCAAGGGTTCACAGAGTACCTGATTACTGACATGGGGTTCCATGTAACAGCTTTTCAGATGAGAGCCCATTTCACAGTGGAGAAAGTGTGATACTAGCACCCAGCACAGGGTTCTCTGGACCCACCACGCACCACATGGCCTGGCAGCCTAAAGGAGGATGCAATGGCCAGTGGGCCTTTGTCCCCTCAGCTGGAATCAGCTTGTGGTAGATGTCCCTTAGATAGAGCCCCCAGAGACATCCAGGGACTCTGAATGCAGGTATTTCCATAGAGAACAGGAGGCCAGAGGAAGCAGGAGTTCAGGCCTGGTAGCATGTGTGCAGTGGGACACTAGATGTCTCAGAGCAGGAATCTGTATTTTTAAAGCCTCTTAAGGGATGACAGGTACTCTCCTAGGGTCGAGAACCACCGGGGGGGGGAAAGAGGATGAAACATGGAGGAGGAAGAGCTGGTTGTGAGTCCTGGTGCCATCACTTGCCCAAGGTGACCTCCCTTCGTCACAGGCTGAGGTGAGGATCACAGTTACTGGCTTACTCATTTATACTCTTTTCTCATTAGAACTGGGATCAACATATCAGCTAGGATCACCGTGTGTGAACCACTATTAAATGAGTTAATATACATAAGGTATATAAAACAGTGCCTCAATTGCACAAGAGCACTATAAAAGGATTAGCTATTTTTATGCAAGTGATTGTTACTGTTAACAGAGGTTGAGGCACAGAGGAAGTCACTGATGAGGCCCAAAAATGCCTAATTCTTCCTGTCCATTGGCTCCTTGAGAACCCAGCAGCAGGCAGCAGGCAGCAGGATGACCATTTCTTGCTTTCTTTTTTCTCTCCACTTTTTATTTGGAAATAACTTCAAACTTACAAAAATTGCAAACATAAAATAGTGCAAGGAGCATTTATATACCTTTTACTCAGATTCACGCATTGGAATGTTTTACTCCCATTTGCTTTATTGTTCACGTTCTATTTTTTTCTTTGAGATGGAGTTTCGCTGTTTTTGCCCAGGCTGGAGTGCAATGGCGCGATCTCGGCTCACTGCAACCTCCGCCTCCCAGGTTCAAGCGATTCTCCTGCCTCAGCCTCCCTAGTAGCTGGGATTACAGGCGCCTGCCACCACGCCCGGCTAATTTTTTGTATTTTTAGTAGAGATGAGGTTTCACCATGTCGGTCTGGATGGTCTCGATCTGTTGACCTCGTGATCTGCCCACCTCAGCCTCCCGAAGTGCTGGGATTACAGGCGTGAGCTACTGCACCCGGCCCTATTGTTCATGTTCTTTATCTTTCTTCCTATCTCTCTAAATTTGTGGAATATATATACATACATATTTATATATAGATACAGATGTATATCCATATATAAATATTTATTTATTTATACTATCGTATATTATATATGCATTCCCATTTTTTTTTGGAATTAAAGGTGAGTGACATCATGGCCTTTAATCCTCAATACTACATTATACCAAATACTAAATTATAATACCAGGAGTACTAAATACTACACAAAGGATGATCTCTTATATAACCACAGCACAGTTGTCAGCCTCACACATTTACACTGATACAATATGTTATCTAATCTACTGTTCATATGCCAATTTTATCAGTTGGTCTAATGATGTTTTTTTCCAGCATTTTTCCCTCCAGCACAGAATCCCCTGTAGGGTCAGGCTGCATTTAGTTGTCCTGTTTCTTCAGCTTTCCTTCATCTGGAACATTTCCACAGCCTTTCTTTGTCTTTTATAACCTTGACATTATTGAGGGACACTTCCCTTCCCCCTGTTGTTTTAATAGGACGTTCCTCATGTTACATCTGTCTGGTGTTCCCTTGCAAGCAAGGTTGTGTGTTCTTGGCCGCCATGGGTCCTGTTGTGCAGGGCCACCATTCCTAATAAGGCAAGAGTGCTGGTGGCTGATGAGCCCAGGGCTGCTCTTGCTCACTTTGCTGACAGCACTCGACGGGGAGTCAGCAAAGCCAGAAGTGCAAATAAAGCCATAAGCTTCAGGAAATCTTGGGTGTCATTCCATGTAAACAATAGGACTGGACGAATGGAAAACTAGGCAGCTGGAAGCACTGTCAGAAATTCAAGCCAGTAAAACCAGGCAGAGCAATGTCATTCCACGATTACAGCCAGCTGCATATTTCAGTGCTAAAATGTTTGATTTCTGAACAATGACACTCACTAGTTATAAAATAGATGGGATTGGTTTATGCATATTTTATCTCTGAAGTTGCTACTGTCATATCCATTTTACAAGTAAGGAAACTGAGGCTTGGGGGGCAACTACAGTAATGCCACATGGCAAGCATTGGCGCTAAAGCTAGAATCCAAGTTTTGGTCTAAATGCCCTATGCTATCTCCATGAAAGCAGTGCTTTGCATGAGAAGTCCTCAAGTTTTAGTTTGAGGGAGGTGGGCTGTAAATCAATGTGAAGCCATTGATAAACACTGATTATCTACAAATGTTACTAACTTCCTGGCCTTTTTTCTTTTCTTTGCTTTTCTTTTTCTTTTTTTCTTTTTTTTTTGAGAAAGAGTTTTGCTCTTGTTGCCCAGGCTGGAGTGCAATGGTGTGATCTCAGCTCACCGCAACCTCTGCCTCCCGGGTTCAAGCGATTCTCCTGCCTTAGCCTCCTGAGTAGCTGGGATTACAGGCATGCGCCACTACGCCCGGCTAATTTTGTATTTTTAGTAGAGACGGGGTTTCTCCATGTTGGTCAGGCTGGTCTTGAACTCCTGACCTCAAGTGATCCACCTGCCTCGGCTTCCCAAAGTGCTGAGATTACAGGCGTGAGCCACCATGCCTGGCCCCTGCTTTTTTCTTTAATCTTCGCTCTTGACAAATCATAGTGAAATGTCTTGGGTTCATTGTCTTGGGAAGTCTGAGGTCTAGGGCCCCCTTTTGATGGAGGTGGAAGGCATTTACATGGTGAGAGGGCCAGTGGATACCATCTCAGGTCTCTCTTGCTCTTCTTACAGAGCCACTAGTCCTACTGAATTAGGGCCTCATCCTTATGATCTCATTTAAGTTTAGTTACCGCCTAAAAACCTATGTCTAGATATAATCCCACTGGGAATTATATTTTCAACACATAAACTTCTGGGGACACATTCAAACCATAGCATGACTTTTGATTTTGAAGGCTGACCTGGGTCTGTCCGATGTGTCCTCATGGCCAGACTCAAGCCGTGCACTCCTGGAAGACTTCCAGAAAATTATGCTGTGCTCTTCCTGATGCAGAATGTAGATTCTTCCCTTGGTGTTACCTTGACCACTTTGTCAAGTTGGTTTCTGTCATATTTCTCCTCCAAAAAGCCACTGTTTTTTCCATTGTGATTAATGAGTATTTTGTAGGGAGATATTCTGGCATTGTACCAATATCCTGTTCCTCACTGAACCTTTACCCACCATCCTTAGCAATTATTGACATCTTCCTCTATCATGGTTGCCACATCATAGAATAAGATCTATAATCTCCCATTTCTGTCATCCTATCTACTTTTATTAGTTGGCATTCACTGTAAGGAAGGGCTTTCCCTTCTCACCCACTTGTTTATTTATATCTTTAAGGCCTCATAGATTCTCATTTTATCCAATGGATTGTAAATCATCACTATCATTATTTATTTCAAAGGTCAAATTTTCCAAATTTGGCCAGTGAAACTCCCTTCAGGCTGGCTCCCAAGTCCTTTTGACACGTCTGTATCAATCTTTGAATACTTCTTTACTTTCTGAAACAAGATATTCCAAACCCACCTTATACTTCGTACTTATTTATTTAATTATTTATACGCTAAGGTCTCATTGATTCCCATTTTATTGAATGGCTGTAACCCATCACTATCATTATCTATTTTAAAGTAACTGCTATTTTACCTCTAGTCTCATTTCCCTAAAATTCATCCAATATTTGCACCAGATTAATCTTCTAAAAGCATAGCTACTGTCCTTATTTTTTGACCATGCTGGCATCTTTGAAGAAGCAGGAAAAAACCCAAGCTTCTCATCCAGCATTCAAGACGCTCCCCACTCTGTCCCCATTTGCCCTGGCCATCAAGTTTCCCAAGACTCTCTGATGTGTTTCTCCGTGGATGTTATGAGCACCTCCTCATCCTCTCATCCTCCCTCCCTCCCTCCCTTCTTTTTTCTCTCCTCCCTCCCTCCCTCCCTCCCCTCCCTCCCTCCCTCCCTTCCTTCCTTCCTTTTCCTTTCTTCCTCCCTCCCTTCCTTTTCCTTCCCTCCTTCCTTCCTTTTCCTTCCTTCCTTCCTTCCCTCCTTCCTTCCTTTTCCTTCCTTCCTTCCTTTTCCTTCCTCCCTCCCTTCCTTCCTTTTCCTTCCTCCCTCCCTCCCTTCCTCCCTCCCTTCCTTCCTTCCCTCCTTCCTTCTTTCCTTCCTTTTCCTTCCTTCCTTCCTTCTTTCCTCCCTCCCTCCCTCCATCCCTCCATCCCTCCCTTCCTCCCTTCCTCCTTTCCTCCTTTCCATACTTATCTAGAAGCTGCAATGTGTCAGGCACTGAACTAGGCACTGAGGACAGAGCAGTGAATGAAATGAAGTTCTTGCTGTCATGGAGCTTGTCCTGGAAAGAGACAGTAATCACACAAATACATATGCATCAGGTAATAGTAAATGTTGTGAGAAAGAATAAAGCAGAGTAAGGGGATAGAGTGAATGGTGCGTGATTGAGGGTGTGTCTATCTCTCTTTCTACCTGTGTGTGTGGATGCACAAGCGATATTTTACACAGGGCACATCTAGAACTTCCCTACCTTCACACCTCCTTCGCTCATATCATTCCTTCTATTTGGCATTTTCTTCCTTGTTGATACTTGAGCTTGAACTTCAAGAAATAAGGTTTTCCAGTCCTCATGACGTCTTCTCTGATTGCCCCAGACCCAGTGATCCTTCTCTGAACAACAACAAAAAGCAAGTAGAAAACATGGGTCTGTATATACAGCATGTTATATTGAAGTGATAAAGTTATACTGCGAAGCATTATAATTTATATATATAATAAATTATATATATTATAATTATATATAATATATATATCTATTCCTCTTTCTATCTTATCTCTGTAGCACATAGTAGATGCTTGATCAGTTTGAATTAAAACATAAATAAAAGGACCCGTGAAGATGAGAGAGATGGGAAATATGGCGGACTTTTAGAAGTTAGTGAAAAGATTGTGACTTTTTCTAGAACCTTTGGCTATGATCTCACGCCACTGCAGCATCTGCAAGTTTGAGGATTCTAGAGCTAGGGTTTTATTTTCTAATTTCATAGATGGCAGATGACTGAATGACAGTTTCACATCATATTTTCATGTCAACTGCTCTTGATGGTTATTTCTGATTGATTTGACACCCTGGTGAATTCCTGCAGCAGATCTTTTTTGAAGTTTATTTTTTATTTTATATTTTAAGTTCCTAGGGTACATATACAGGCTGTACAGGTTTGTTACATAGGTAAACATGTGCCATGATGATTTTCCCTGCAGCAGATCTTGGAAAAAAAGAATTGCCATGTTAGAATTCAATGATGTTAGCCTGAAACAAGCAAGAAAGCAGACAGGCATATAACCAATCAACGCAGCCTCCTCCCTGCTATCGCACGTTCTTTTCTTTTTTTTTTTTTCATCCCCAAATAAACATAATACCTGTGACGTTTAAAGTCTAGGTCAGATACTGTCTGCCTGATGTAGCAATTCTCTCAGGCTGTATCTGCGATACCAGTGCGGCCGGTGAAGAGGGCGATGGTGAATTGCACCAATAATGCTGTAGGTGGCGCTGTGTACTTGATGCATGTGGCCAGCGTGTCTCGAAGATTTCTTTGGAGAACGGATGGCGTCTGGCATCGTTTTAGTTAAACGTGATCTGTCGGTTTAGTTTCTGTGGAGCAAGTCTGAGAAACAGATTAGCCAATTTCTGACCCTAAATGGAAGGTCAGACGTTCTGTGCTCAAATGTAGCATTCGCCGTACCCTGCATGATATCTCGGGCTGGGCATTGGAATGATGCTCATAGGCTGTGAAAATGACCCTAAGGTGTTTCTTCCGAGACTTTGCCGGGGCGTCTTGTCTGGGTTTTGTACTTGGAAGCAGAAACTACATTAGAGTCACATTCTAGGCCTCTGGAGGTTAGGGGGAGGTTGAGTTGAACATGACTCATCAGCTATCTTTAAGCAGCAAGGCCGTTTGGTGCTTTAACTGATGTAGCTCAATTTTTCAATCCAATATTGCCCTTTAAAGTGGGCCCCTGGTTGAATGAAGTCTTTATTGCCCTCATCCCATTCCCAAGTTTTTGGAGCTCTTTCTTTGTTAAAAACCTTTATGACCATTCAGGAAAATTGGCCTAGCGGCTCTGATTGTGTACTGCAGATCACCTAATAGGAGAAAATTGGGTGCTGACTATATCATTTGTCAGCCAAACTGCAGGATCTCGAATTCCTTAATTAAACTTGCAGGTTTCAGGTTTTAAAAAATGAATTCGTGTCTTCGTGTCTTATTTTTACAGATTTTGAACATGTAGAATTGAGAGAATTGAAGAGCACCTAAGAACTATGGACTAGATGACCTCCTAGTATATTACAATGCTAATTCCCTAAACACATTTACTAAAGGCATATCTGACTTCAGGTGTCTCTTATATATTCTTATATTTAAGAAAATATTCTCATGTATTTATATTGAAGGGAATGAGAGGATGCTTCCTATCACATTTCTCTGTGAAGTTATTAAAGATGAATTTGAATATTTTTACTTTTTTGTGTTGTTTTTAGATGACTTCCTCCTTTTACTTGTGACCAGTAGATGGCTCTATGGCTTTCCTTGAGTTAACAGGAGTTAGTTTGGTGCCTCTCAAAGTAGAAGGTTAGTTCAGTTTTGCCCTGGCCTGAGGGGAAATCTTGAGCTGTTTTTTCCAATCCCACAGGAGAGGAGGATGGCTGATGAAGGTTCTTTCCCTCCACCTAGAAAGATTTAAAGAGTACTGACCTGTCTTCGTCTGTTTTCTGTTGCTGTAACAGAGTACCATGAACCAGGTACCACCACCCTCCTACACCATCCCTACTCTCTGCCTCTGGATCTCTGAGAACCTTACGTTATGAGTGAATGTGTGTGGAGGGGGATTGTCCACTGGAGTCGTCAGATAATGACTAAGTCTGGGGGCTCACGTGGGCATCAGTCCTGTGGATGGTCACTGGGCAGTGTGCTGGCTACTGTTGATCAAAGGTCCTGCCCAGATGCCAGAGGGAAGGATGACTATTGTGACTCCTCAGCTCTGGCCATGTAGAACACTAATGGAGTCTGGAGTATCTGACTATCTGTAGCACTGACTCAGTTCTGTTTGTCTCCCTGGTGCTGGGGGTGACTGCTTAGAGGAGGTGGGGCGTGGGGGTGTATCTCTGGATGCTGTCTGTGTTTCTGTCCACATGGTCTCTCCAAATAAAGGCCCTTTGTGAATTGCCCTCATCACTTTTCTTTCATTGCTGTCATTCTAGGAGTGGGAACAACTGTGCCCAATCACATATATTCTTAAATCTTTTCACCATATTCTTGTGAGGTAAAAATTGCTAGTGCTCACTCATACCTGGTTCTCCTTTCCTCCCTGGCACAAGTGAAGTTGAAACTTACCAGCCCATCTTGTAGTTAGGTGGAGCCATGTGACCTGTTCTAGCCAATACAATTTGAATGGGAATAGTATTTCATATTTCCAGGCTGTTAGGGACTGAATTGTCTCACCCCATCCCCTCAACCCCATTGAAGCCCTAACTTCAATGGGATTGTATTTGGAGACAGTCTTTAAACAAGTAATTAAGGTTATAATGGTGAGGCCCTAATCCAATTGACTGGTGTCCTTATAAGAAAAGAAAGAAACAGTAGGGATCTGCACACTTCATGTGAGCATGCAGAGAGTAGGTGGCCATCGGCAAGCCACGGAGAGAAGCCTCCGGAGAAACCAAATCTCTCACACCTTGATCTCGGACTTCCAGCCTCCAGAGCTGTGAGAAATAAATTTCTGTTGTTTGAGCCACCCAGTCTACAGCATTTTATTATGGCAGCCCTAGCTGACTGATATACAGGCTGAGGAATTTAACAGTGAGTGTGAGTTCTCCATTCTCTCTTCCTCTCTTTATTGACCTTCAGGGGATCTGTATTCCAGATGATGTTGCTAAAAGCTAGAATGGGGAGGCCCAACCCAAATAACTTTTCTTGTGCCAATCCACTGATATTTCTGGTTCAGTTTTGCCGTAGTATAGCCCAGCATTCATCAGGCAGACCAACTCAACCTGTACCTCGCCTTTGAAAACAAAAGCTAAGCATGTGACCATTTGGCTCTGCAATTCCATGGGATGAATCCTCCTTCAGGCAATGGATGCCTCCTGTTTGGATGCATGAATGGGGTTGACTCACAACATAATTGAGAATATCAGGGTAAAAGAGTTGGTTAATTGATCGCAATATTATAGTGCTACAATTACATAGGGCCCCAAGCAATCTAAGCGGTTTCCTCTTAGTGTTCAAACAGCCCTCCAGATCTCAGAGACCTGATGAGATGCTTGAGGTGAAGGTCAAAGGCAAGGTGGGCCTCTGGCATTTCTCTCTTTAATAAGAACAAATCTACTTTTGTCTGTGTATGGTTTTGTGTGAGATTTAATTTAAACGAAGAGTTCTGTTGCTAAAGAAAATTTAAAAATCACTCTGGTGTTTCCATATTAAAAGAAATACAGATTTTATGAGTATATGAAGTTCTTGGAGCTTGAAGTTTAGTTTGATTCAGCCAGAGCTCTGTATTGATGGCTTCAAGATCATAAGCCTCAGTTCAGCTCAGTTCCTTGATCTAGTTGATCTGAAAAACTCTCTGACTCAAGGAAATAGATTTGCACAAAGTGCAAGAGTCATTGTAGGTCTTCATGTGTTAATGTTTTAAAAAGGTATTTATGAAAGACACCAATGGCATACGGTGATACAGCAGTAATAGTAAAACCATATCCTGAAAAGACACCTATGTGTTTCAAATGCTGCTACTCCCCATTCTGTGCAGACATGTCTAGATGATCACAGAATTTATTCCTGCAGAGCCCAGATATAGCCCTACAATTCTTCTCAGTACTCTGTTCTATGCAGCCCCTTCCCACTAATTCATGTTAACACATGAAATGAGACCCCATTTATCATCTTTATGCATAATTAATAATGATTTGGGGTTTGTTCATCTATGTCTTTGAATGCTGGGTTATAGAGCTGTGGTTGAGTTGGTCACTGAGTGATCAGTACTTCTTGAAGCCCATAATGCACATGATGACCATATGTTTAAAACTTAAATTAGGGATGTATTCTATCTTAAGATCCTAATGAGATTAATGTTTGAAATGAGAATGTATCAATCAGGACCCTGGCTTTATTTAGCTTTTTAGGTGGCTCCAGTTCTTTCTCAAGACCTCTCTCTTGATTTTAGCTACAATTTTTGTTTGTTTGTTTTGAGACAGGGTCTTGCTCTGTTGCCCAGGCTGGAGTTCAGTGGTGAGATCCATCTCAAAAAAAAAAAAAAAAAAAAAAAAAATATATATATATATATATATATATATATATATAATAAATAAAAAATAAAAAATATATATACACATAACACTATGAAGTAGAGTAAAATACAAGTAGGTTAGAAAATTGTAGCTGAAGGCTGGGTGTGGTGGCTCATGCCTGTAATCCAGCACTTTGGGAGGCCAAGGTGGGAGGATTGCTTGAGCCCAGGAGTTTGAGACCAGCCTGGGCAACATGACAAAACCTCATCTCTACAAAAAATGCAAAAATTAGCCAGGTGCAGTGGTGCACATCTGTAGTCCCAGCTACTTTGGAGGCTGAGGTGGGAGAGTCACCTAAGCCTGGGGAGGTTGAGGTTGCAGTAAGCCGTGGTTGTGCCACTGCACTCCAGCCTGGGCAACAGAGTGAGACCCTGTCTCAAAAAGCAAACAAACAAACAAGAAAATTGCAGTTGAGAGAAAGGTAGGATGAAGTGGGATGGGAGGTTAGGCACACACTGCCTGCCTTGTCCAAGGGAACTTGCCTGGGGCTTGGGCATACATTTGGCTTTAAGATGTTGATATTATATTATATTATTTTATTTTTTGAGGTAGAGTCTTGCTCTCTCACCCAGGCTGGAATGCAGTGGCGTGATCTCAGCTCACTACAATCTCCACCTCCTGGGCTTAAGCAATTCTCCTGCCTCAGCCTCCTGAGTAGCTGGGACTACAGGTGTGTACCACCACACCTGGCTGATTTTTTGTATTTTTAGTAGAGACGAGGTTTCACCATGTTGGCAAGGCTAGTCTCGAACTCCTGACATCTAGTGATCCGCCCACCTCAGCCTTCCAAAGTGCTGGGATTACCAGCGTGAGCCACCGTGCCCAGCCTTTAAGATGTTTAGTAGCCAACACAACAAGAGAAACATGAGCAGTTAATGCAAGAGAGAAGAACCCATGTCACTATTCCTATTCTTGGTGCCAAGTTCAGGATAATGTTGCTATCATGGGCCCTCAAAAACGTAACAAGCCTCGTCCTCAACAACCCTCACTGTTTGGTTTTCTAGGACTATTTCTTTTAATATGCTTTAGTGTAGGCTGAGGCTTGGGGCAGCCCCCCAATCCAAAAATATGTCCACAAACATGAATTTAAAACACATACGGGATAGTGTAAGATGTCAGGAAGCAATGCCCTTTAGTAAACATGTTGTGTCCACTGCCCCACCCCCATCACTGAGAATGTTGACCTTGGAGATGAGGGTGTCTCCAATCTCCTTAAAAGGGCTGAGGAATCTAGCAGTACATGACGTGTGGGACCACGGGGGCAGCAGTAAGGGAGAACACCCTGAAAGAGAAGCTTTACAATTTCTCCGTGAGGGAAATGAGATTTTTCTAACCTTACTCCTGCTAGTGATTTTTAAACCAAGTCATAAAATAAATACAAATGTAAGAGAAAAAAGAAAGGAGAGAAAAGCAAAATAACGAGGAAAGGGTAGAAGTTTAAGAGAATATTAAAAATAAAGCATTGATACTTGGTAAGAGAAAGGTAAAGGGAAAGGAGCAGGATAAATATTACAATCAGAGAATAAAAGCCCAGTGCAGATAAAAGGTTAAGACATAAAGCCACCGTGAGAGATACGATAAATAAGTTTTAAGATAAGAATACAGAAGAGTGAAATTATTAAAAGAAAATGAGAGGAGTGAAAAAATAAAGCTAAAATTAAATCCAAGTTAAAAAATTAAGACACTGTGAATAAAAGTTAAAAAGCAAAATAGAAATTAAGAATTAAAAAGTAATGACAAGATAATAAGTAAATTAGATTTAAGATAAAAGATGAAATAATATAAACCAACAAGGTAAAAGATTAAATACATCAAAGTGAAAGAGATAAAAGATTAAGAGGATAACAGACTAAACCCCATGGGGAGAAACAATAAAAACATAAAAGTAGATGGTTTTGAAGCTTAAGTACAAGATTAAGGAATTAAGAATGTTCTTTTGGGTGTTAATACTTTAACAAAGAGGATTAAGAGAAAAATATTTTAAAAAGAAAATAAAAGAAGCTTGAATTTAGAAAAATAGATAATAAATCAATCCAGATAAAGGAAAGGAGAATTTAAATTAGCACAAACCAAGACAACAAAATTTTCAGCAATAATCACACAGAAAAAAAGCTAAAAAAAACCCGAGTAGGAAACCCAGAATGTTTCCGTGGTAAACAAATACCCAACAACTTCAAAACCAGCATCTATTTATTACAAATTCCCAGCCTGGGCTTTGGTCCCCGCACTGGAGAGTCCCCTGTTGTATACTAGTGGCATTTATGGCAAGATGAAAGAGGCCAGGCATGCTGTGGGATGCCCTTACTTTTTCATAGAAGCTTGCAATCTCTGCTTTCACCACTTTCTTTTGCAGTAGTGAAAGGATGGTTGCTCTGTAACTCAACCAGCTGGGGTTGGGGGTTCTGGCACAAGCAGTTGCCAGCCCAAACTATGCAAACATCTTGGGCAAAAACCACATGGGAAAGTAATTTGTTCTTCAGAGAAGGAGGGAAAAGTTGGCAGGGAGATGGGGGATAGGTTTGGGGTTGAGGGTTGGTGAAGGTGGGGATGGAGAGAGATCAGAGTAGATCGAGGGAGGAATAAGAGGTAGCTCTTCTCAGTGAAATAGGAGTTGAGGTCATTTTCTGAGAGTGAGAGGGTGAGACCGAGGATGAGCAGAATGAAAATGACTGGGTGCAACTGAGGGGTGGTGAAGTGCCTTGCAACCCAACCCTTCACCCCTAGTTGGGACCCAGCTGTGATTAGACAGCCTGACTTTGTCTAATGTTACCAGGCAAAATCACACTTCAGTGCTGGTTCTCTTACAAAGTAGGGTCTCAGTGGGTGGAAAGCCAAGAGCAATTTGGATCCTGGGTTATTAGTAAAAGCAGAATTAAGTGGCGGTTGATCAGAAGTGGTTGATCTTGGGAACTAGCCAGGCCAGAGGGGACTGGTTGAGTGGAGAATGGGGCTGAATACTTGCTTCAAAACAGTCTCAGTAAGAGAGGGGACTGTGGCCCTAGGCAGAGGTAGCAGTTGGATGGGAGTTTCAGAGCTAGGGCTTACGCTTTGATGTTTTGGAGATAAAACAGGCTCATGCTCACACAATACATGAGGGTGTTTGAAGGCAAGGGAGACCATTGGGGGTGTTTCAAGACCATGAAGATATTCACATCTCTGAGGATGAAGGAAGGGTATATTGGCTACAATGATGGGAGCAAAGTTTGGAAAGTCCTGAAGAACATAGGGGAGAGGTCACATGGAATAATTGATTCAAGAGGATACAAGAGGAGGTGGTGAAGTAGACAAAGAAGGGAGAAATATGTGGATTTTTCCTTCTGGTTTCTCAAACTGGAGTGAGTAGGAGAAGCAGTGGTCTTCTTTGGATGGCATGGGAAGGGGGCAATGTAGGTTTCAGTTTAGGAGACGAAGTAGAAGGGGAGAGGAGGCAGGATCTGAGAGGCAGATGGACTCAAAGAATCTTTCTTCTGATAAGAGCATGGCTGAAGAGAAGAGAACGCTTGATTTAGCCTGGGGAGGGAGAGAGTAGAGTGGAATAGAGATAAAAGAAATCTAAAAAGAGAATGTGCAGAGTTATTTGAATCTACGATAGCAATTGTGGGTCACTGGGACAAACAGACAGGCCTTGATAGTGTGGTGGGGAGGGATAGAAGTGTGGGGAGTGTTGAGAAGAGTTTATTTACCATTGGACAGTTTAGTGTAGCTTATCACATTCCAAGTTTTGATATAAACACTAAGGATTCTACATACATTGCATATACTAATAATTTAAAGGCAGGGGTTTTTATTGCTTTTTGTCAGGGGGAAGGCGTGGGTGCTACTGGTAGAGGCCAGGAGGTGGGCCATTTAATAACCCCTTCCAAGTTATGGTGGTTTACAAATATAGTTGTGGCTGGGTGCAGTGGCTAACGCCTGTAATCCTAGCACTTTGGGAGGCCAAGGCAGGTGGATCACCTGAGGTTGGGAGTTCGAGACCAGCCTGACCAATGTGGAGAAACCCTATCTTTACTAAAAATACAAAATTAGCCAGGTGTGGTGATGCTTGCCTGTAATCCCAGCTACTCAGGAGGCTGAGGCAGGAGGATCGCTTGAACCCGGGGGGCAGAGGTTGCGGTGAGCCGAGATCATGCCATTTGCACTCCAGCCTGGGCAACAAGAGCCAAACTATCTCAAAAACGAAAACAAACAAACAACAACAACAAAAAAACCACACACACAAATATAGTTGCAACCTAAGATAAACAGTTCTTTGGTTTGAATATCGTTTGACCCTAGCAGAAGTCATGTTGTCTTGGTCCCCAGGGTAAGGGTGATGAGAGTTGGTGAGACCTTTAAGAGCTGTTTAGGTCATGAGGAATCTACCCTCATGAAAGGATTAATGCTATCTCATAGGAGTGAGTGAGTTTTGCTCTTGTGGGACTAGATTTGTTACTTCGAGAGTGGGTCATTATAAAGGGAGGCTGCTTCTCATGTTTGGTCTCTTTACACACTACCTCTTTCCCTTCTGTTTTCCACCATGAGTTGAAACAGCATGAGGTCCTCACCAGATGTGGCCACCAGATATTGGACTTTCCAGGCTCCAGAATCATGAGCCAATTAAACCTTTTTTCCTTATGAATTACCCAGTCTCAGATATTCTGTTATAGCAACAGAAAACAGACTAAGACAAACAGTGAAAATTAAGGAGTTAAGAGTAATTAGGAAGAGTACTGGTTTGAGACTCAGGACACCAAATAGGTTATTACAGATAGTTGGTTTGCTAATACTGCTGCCAAAGTACCTTTGATTCCCAGCATATTAGACAATAGATATAAAATATGCCTGTGTGCCTGAAAAAATTTTCAGGGGCAATAGCTGCTGGCAACTCTTCTGTAGGTAATTACAACACAAATTCTCACACATCTGCTTAGTGGATGGCCCATCAGTGATGCATAACAATGATGATTTGTTTCTGGTTGGATGTGTTAAATTGTCAGCTATCAAACATTTTATATGTGAGACTGCTGGGAGTGATGAGATTGCAAGAGCTTTTTCAAAGCATACCCTCCACAGGATATCTCAGCATCCTGTGCACCATCCAGCATCCATTTCCGTGAAGGATAAGGAATCTGGGCCATCAATTTGAATACCAATTAAATGGCTTAAAAATGTCCTGGCACATGTATTGATCCAGAATAACCTGGCTCCACCAAAAAAGCCTTTGGCTACGGTGGGAATTTAAATGCATTTGTTAACCAGGGCTCCAGGATGCCCTGGGAGTATGTGGGAAGGGGGCAAATGACCTCTTTTGACATTGGTCCCCTAAGGGAGGGGTTGAGAGAAACTTTTCTCCTTGAGAAGGAGCTGGAGGGAGTCTTTGAGAAAGTTGGACTAGATAAGTCTTTTTCTTTTTCTTTTTCTTTTAGTAAGTGAGGAAAGGTTAAATAATGTGCCAAAGGTTGTACAATTAGTTTCTGTTTTAGGCAATGCTTGCACTCAAGACTCTCATCTGATATTTAAAGGATCTTTTTGTTTTCACCACTTTTGTGGAGTTCATTCTTTGAGATGTTACATACCTAGTCTGCATTCAAAAGGATGAAAAAATGTTGTCATTTTGTTTTATCTGCTCACCTCAAATGTGTGTGTTTGTTTTTCTGTAGTGTTGCTCTGTTAGGATGAACTGAGATCTCAGGGAATATTGCAAAGTGGAATCAACCCCACAGAAACAAAAGCCCACCTCCTCTGGAGCAGGTCCTGCTAGTGTACCAATGCGTCATCCAGGACTGAGCAGCTGCTGTTGATGGAGAGAGTGGGCAGGGGTCAGCACTGAGGCCTGAGGTGCTGACCTGAATCCTTCTGTTGCACGTCCAGTGACACAGTGGTAGCAGCTTCTAAGTTGGTTTCCAGTCAGCCCTAATGCCCATATTCATGTCTTTGTGCAATCCCTTCCCCTTGAGTGTGGCTGGACCTAGTGACTTGCTTCTACTGAATAGAATGTGGGAAAACTGATGAGATGTCACTTCTGAGGTTAGGTTACAAAAAGACTGGCTTCCTGTCTTGCTTGCCCTTTCTTGTTCTCTTGCTTTTTTCCTTTGAGGGAAGCCAGCTGCCATGTTGTGAGCTTCTGTGTGGAGAGGCCCACACAGCATATAACCGAGGGAGGCTTTGGGTCAGCAGCCAGAGAGGAGCTGAGGCCCTTAGTCCAACAGCCCTCAAGGAACTGAATCCTGATAACAGCCATGTGACTGAACTTGGAAGTGGATCTTCCCCCAGTTGAGCTCTGAGATGACTATACCCTTGTGAGAAACCCTGAGCTAGGGTCTTCATTTAAGCTGCTCCTGGATTTCTGATCCACAGAAACTGTGAGAAATATGTGCTTTTTTTTTTTTTTTTTTTTTTTTTGAGACAGAGTCTCACTCTGTCATCAGGCTGGAGTGCAGTGGCGCAATCTTGGCTCACTGCAACCTCTGCATCCTGGGTTCAAGCGATTCTCCTGCCTCAGCCTCCTGAGTAGCTGGGATTACAGGCGCACACCACCACGCCTGGCTAACTTTTGTATTTTTGGTAGAGATGGGGTTTCACCATGTTGGCCAGGATGGTCTCGATCTCTTGACCTTGTGATCTGCACCCCCGGCCTCCCAAAGCGCTAGGATTACAGGCGTGAGCCACCATGCCCAGCCAAATATGTGCTTTTTTAAGCTGTCAAATTTTGGAGCAGTTAGTTATGCAGCAATAGATGATAGATAACTAATGCAGATACACTTGTTTACCTTCATTGAAGAGTAGTTATTGCAAGGCCTTAGTAAGGTGGCATGTTTAGTCCTGCCTCCCCTCGTTAGTGATATAAGCTACTGTCAAGTGCAAGGATACTCTTTGCCACAGGTGTGAATTAATCTTTGGATAGCTTTACTATTTTACGTTTAGTGCTCATGAGACTATGATAGCCAACAACCTTCACAGCATCAGTCATGGCCTTGTGTCCCTTGCATGCTGAGGTGATACAATGTTTACAGACAAGCATCTGAAGCGCATTGAGAATAATGAATTTTATCCAGAGCTGCCAACATTAACAGGTTACCTTCACAGTCAACAGTAGCCTACTAATTTTGCAACTCACAGTTTAGACTTGGAGTACTTGTAAGTTTTACATGATATCTCATGAATTTCCTCATGGTTCTGCACATTTTAGAACACTCATCATCCCCTCTATTTGAGATCTATCCACTCAAACATTCAGAAGCAATCTATCTCAGACTCTTCCCTCTGCCTAGTCGTGTGAAGAGCAGGTTTAGCAGGAATGATGCACTGGGACACTTGGTCTTGGTGGTTAGGTTTATCAATAATGGTGTCTGCATCCAAGGACTGTTTCTGATTTTAGTTCTAAGGAATATACAAGCTGCAAGCAGAACTTGTTAATTGCTTGCAGGATCTGAGAATTATGTAACAAAAGAAACCTCAAAGATTTTTACCTCCTTTGATTCTATATGCTAAACAAGCATGAGGTGTCATGGGAGGGGATAGTAGAAGTAGCAAAAACTTGAGAGTTAGATGAATCTGAGCATCATTACTTACTAGCACATCACCTGGGGCATATCACTTATTTTTCTGAGCCTCAGTTTTATCATCTATAAAATGGAGATAATATCTAATTTGAAGTATTGTTATGGTTTGTTTAATAAGGTTGCAGGAGAAATATTCCACACACAGCTGCCTTGTGTTGGAGATGGTTTGAGGAAAGTAAAGAAAAGGGACTTCCTCAGCATTTGGGGAACGTTAAAGGTTTTTAAGCAAGTGAATGATGTGATCACATTTATATGTTGCTGATACTCTGGAGATGGCATAAAGGATAAATTGGAGGAGGGAAAAGACTGCAGATAGGAGACCAGTTAGGATGACTTCACAAGGTTCCAGGTTGGAGATATGAAGGATAAATTGAAATTTAAAGATAATATACAACTATTAAAATAATTAAATATTTTCAAGCAAAAGTTGCAATCATCACACGAAGAACTTCTGAATACATCCAGACTCACCAGTTAGTATTTTGCCACCTTGGCTTTTGCTCTCTTTCAATCTACCTGTTTATATAAAGCTATTATTTTTGCTAAACCATTTGATAGTAAGCTGCAGACCTGCTGCTCCTTTGCCTACAAATACTTCAGCATGCATTTCCTAAGAACAAGGATGTTCTTTACATAACCACAGTACAATGACCAAATTCAGAAAATTTGACATTGCAATAATGCTATTATCTAATACACTTTCCATATTCTAATTTCACCAATTATCCCAATAATGTCCTTTATAGCTATTGTTTTCTCTGGTCCAGGATTTAATCCAGGATCATGCATCACATTTAGTTATCATGTCTTCTTAATCATTTAGCTTGGGACAGTCCCTCAGCCTTTCTTTGTCTTTTTTGACACTGACATTTTTGAAGAGTACAAGCCAGTTATTTTGTAGAGTGTCCCTCAATCTGGGTTTTTTTGATGTTTCTTCATAATTAGATTTTCATGCATTTTTGGCAGGAATATAATAGAAGTACATCACACCAGGAGCTACTTAATGTCAGATTGTCTCATTATTGGTTGTGATAGTAACTTGGTTAAGGTGGCATCTATCAGGTTTTTCCACAAGTTACTATTTTCTCCTTTGTAATTAAAGAGTTATTTTAGGGAGCTGCTTCCCAGCCATTTGCTGAGAATTTATTAAGTCCCAGGAGATATTTGATACTTTATATACTTTATTTCATTTAACAACTATGAGGAAGTTTATTTTGTTTTTTCACATTAAAAACAGTATGTATTTTATTTTCAAGCATACAACAAACACCAAACTTTTCCAGTGCCAGGATGCTTTCCATGAATTGAAGAAGTTTATTTTTGTGTTACCCTCTACTCTTCCTCCCCTGTTTCACAGATGAGAAAACTGAGGCTTGTCTAAGGTCACACAACATGGTTGTCTGTGATCCAAAGTCTGTGTTCTTTACTCATACAGTGTCTCCCAGGACCAGTCAAATATCTAGAGCTCTCAGTGCCCAGACAGGGGCCTCCCATCACAGGTAAACCTGTGGCCATGAAAGACACAGAGGACCCTCAAATGCCTATTAGTAAGCGAAAGAAGCCAATCTGAAAAGGCTGCACGTTGTATGATTCCAAATATATGATATTCTGGAAAAGGCAAAACTAAGGAGACAGTGAAAAAGGTCAATGCTTTCCAGGGATAGGGGAGAGGGAGGATTGAATAGATGGAGCATGGAGAATGGAGAGCAGTGAAGCTACTGTGTGGTACTATAATGGTGGATACGTGTCATTGTATGTTTGTCCACACCCCTGGAGTGTATAGCACCAAGAGTGAACCCTAATGTCAACTGTGTACTCTGGGTGGTTGTGATGTGTCCATGAAGGCTCATCAGTCATAAGAAATGCACTGCTTTGGCAGAGAGATGTTGCTAAAGGGTATGTGCCCCATCCACATACCCAGCTAGTTCCTATAAGTGCTAATGTACCGCTTTAGTGGAGAGATGTTGCTGTGCATGTGTGGGGGCAGGGCGTGCTGGAAAAATCTCTGGACCTGCTGCTCAATTTTGCTGTGAACCTAAAACTGCTCCTAACAAATAAAGTCTATTTAAGAAAACAGAGTGGGGCTGGGTGCGGTGGCTCACGCCATAATCCCAGCACTTTGGGAGGCCGAGGCAGGCGGATCACTTGAACCCCATCTCTACTAAGAATACAAAAATTAGCTGGGCGTGGTGGTGTATGCCTGTAATCCCAGCTACTCAGGAGGCTGAGGCACAAGAATCGTTTGACCCCGGGAGGTGGAGGTTGCTGTGAGCCGAGATCGCGCCACTGCACTCCAGGCTATGCGACAGAACAAGACTCCGTCTAAACAACAACAACAACAACAAAAAGAGGGTGGATCCTGATAGAGGAGTTTTTATTTTCCTCAGTGATCACAAATTATCTTAAAATGTTTCAACTATTGCTTTCAAAATAAAGAGTGTATATACTCCAGTTCTGCTAAAATCAGTGATTGTTTCTAAAGGAAGGTGGGAGATGGGAAGGAAAAAAAATAGAGCAAATTGAGAGAGTACAATTTTAAAGAGATAAATATGGAGTGTGTGAATCTGGAACATATGCATGTGCCTGTCAGCTTGTGAATTAGGAAAAAGCTATAGCAAGAAAAACAAATACCCTTCTTGTGGCCTTTTCTGCTAACAACCTTTTGCATTTTCAACTGCAGGCTTGAAAGGGAAGGAGTCACACTTTGCTCCTTACCCTAAGGGCAGTCTGGGCTGACTGGGGATGCACCGCCTCTGAGAGAAAAGGGTTCTTCTGACCCCATTAACTGCCTGTGGAGGCCCAAGCCTGCCCTGAGGCTCTCTGCCCTTGTCTTCAATCCTCAGGTTGACCACCTGCCTCCACCTGCCAGCAGCCTCAAGAGGTAGCCAGGGATCAGGCCACTGTAGACAGGGACTGCTGGGTAAGGGCCAGGAGAGCCAAGACCCTTAGCTGGGAGTGTGGGGTGGCCTTGTGGGATAGGACAGCCGGCTGCACACAAACGGCATGTGAGGGTCTTGAAGAAAACTGCCTGCTTTGCAAAGAAGTAAGGTTTAGTCAGTAAGAATGGGATGAGAGGAAATCAGAAAACTTTCTCTAGATATCAAATGGGATATTATAAGTAGGCTGGAACCTAATTATTTTCAAGGAAGAAAGAGAAGCCAAAATAATAGATGCTGCAGGGAAAATGTTGCGTTGGATAGTCTGAGGCTCCCCAGGACTCGTGAGAAGGCTGAGCGATAGGATTGCCCCGGGAGATGGCCAACTCATCACTTTCAGCAGAGTCACTTAATAGCGGAATCAGCCCAGGAATTGGATAGATACCTTGAGACAAGCCTCCTGTAATGTGAGTCACTCAGAGAAAATGAAAGGAAGCCGAAGCAAGAGAAAGGGAAGGGAGGGAGGAGGAAAGAAAAAGAAGAAAAAACGAGAAGCTAATGACAAGATAGAAGATGTACACTTTCACAATCAGTCTCCTTAAAGTTTTGGACAAGAATGTTTCAAATTAAAGAACAGGGTCGGGCAGTTTGCTCAGTCAAGAGATGATAATACTTTGATAGAAGCAATTCTCTTTGAACAAATAAGTGAATATATATATAAAATAGGAAACAAATAATTATAGACAAATTTGGGTTTATGTCTTAGTAAGATATTCATTTATAAAAATATTTGTCACTGTTTCATTCCACTGAACCCACGGCTGCAGTCACCCCAAAAGTGGCATCAGGGGAGTTCCCACAAGGGAGTGCCCCAAACTATCCCTAAATGGAGTCGTTTAGGATTCCAAAGAAAGAGGCACTCAGTGCCAGGGTGATCAGTCGAAAGCATTTATTAGGGGAACTTACGGAGTGCTGCAGCAATCCTTGCCACAGACAGTGAGAAAGGGCTGTTCTACCGAGGTATGTTCCAGCTAGGGAGTGGGGTATGGAGTTTACATGAGGGTTTAAGGAATTTGGCTCAGGGCTGGGGCTAGTTTCTTTTATGTTTTGGACAACAACCTAAACACCTTTTTGGTGTTTAGAGCCTGGTGTTTGGAGCCTGGGAATGTTCAGGGCTCCAGCCTGGGTTCAAGCCTGCAGGGAAGAACATGCAGCTGCCCAGGCAACAGAGCATTGACGGTACACTGTATTTCTTGGTCAGGACAGAAAAAAAGTGGGGAATCCTGGGGCACCGTCCGGTCACTAGGCAAATGTGAGGCATGTATTGCTGTAATCCTATTTTACGGTGTGGATGGCAAGATTAAATATTATTTCTGTTTAACAGGTTCATTGCCACACAAGAGGTAGAAGCAGGCAGTGATCTGGGGTGGCCGCATCGGTCCCATCTTCCATTCTGAGCTCTGCTTCTCAGCTCCAGCTCAGCTCTTTGTGTTATGATTGGTTCTCAGCCTTGGGTGTGCACTGGAGTTCTTTGAGGGGGATGGACAAAAATACCAGTGTCAGGTCCCACCCCAGATCAATTCAACCAGAACTCTGGGGATGGGACCCCAGCATTGGTTTTTTATTATTGTAAAAGCTCCTCAGGTGGTTCTAATGAGGAGAGCTGCTGATGTAACCTGCCCTGAGCAATTGGACTTTGTTCCTATAGAAGACAACCTGGTAATGTCTGTGGGACAATAATGCTGCTCCCATGGGGCCGAGCCGCCATCCCTTTGCTATGGTGGCTGGCCCCAGCTGGCATTAGCCCCCTGTCCTCCAACGCTCTGATCATCCGCAGAGGTCAGCAGTTTGACAGAGGGCTAGGCAGTGCCAAGTGGCATATCCCTGGTGACAGGAGATCCAAGAGAGGAATTGAACCAATAGAGAGTGTCTTGTGGCCAGGAACTGGCTCTGATGCTTGGATGAGGGCCCTCTGAGAGGGCAGGGTTGTTTGGGGAGGTAAAGCTACAGAGTGAGGTTGGCAGGGTGGAGGATGTAGAAGAACAGGGTGATGAGTGGGTGAGCAGTGGTGGAGAAGGGGTGTGGGCTTGGTCTCAGGCATCAGTGGCCTGGGGGTTAGGACTGAGGTTAAAATTGCGCCAAACCAGAGTCAGCCATGTAAGGACTCAAGGTCAGCCTATCAGACCAGAGCTGGGAACCCAGGGGCAGAGGAACCACAGCACTGGGGGCCCAGAAGGAAGATGCAGATGTGGAGATGAACACAGGCTTGGAGAAGCAGGCTGCCCCAGACGGCCTTCCTGAAGTCTGAGCTGCCGGAGGAGGTTATTCTCAACTTGCCCAACTAGCCAGCTCCCAAGTATGTAATTTGTGGGGCTTAGTGTGAAATGAAAATTCTGCCTTTTGCTCAAAAAAACCAAAAAAGTGATGTGCAAAGTACTAAAATGTAAAGCTTTTTCTGTTCTTCCATGGTCTCTCTCACAACTTGTCTCTCCCACAACTTGTCATGGTAATTTTTATTTGCTATTTAATGTGTTTCTAAGTAAAGAACAATTGAGATTTTAAATTATTAGCATGAATTATACTGTGCAACTTAGTATTGTGCAATGCTAGTTTTAAATGCAAATATAAGAAGCATGCAACTCATATGCAGAATCACTGAAATTACACAATTTGTATTTCGTAGCTCATGAATACATGTATGTTTTGTTCTTACCAGAACAGTAGACATACTGCACACAACTAACTCAACTTTTTATTTCACTTTGTGATATGTGCACATTCCACTGACCTTCTCTACCTTTGCTTTCCTGAGGAGTAAGAAAGGATGGAAAGGAAAGGAAATATGGATTCTCTGCTCTTTTCCTTTTCTTTTAAGTCATCATTTTTTTTTCTTGAGATGGAGTCTTGCTCTGTCACCCAGGCTGGAGTGCAGTGGCGCAATCTTAGCTCACTGCAACCTCCGCCTCCCGGGTTCAAGGAATTCTGCCTCAGCCTCCGAGTAGCTGGGATTACAGCTGTGCGCCATCATGCCTGGCTAATTTTTGTATTTTTAGTAGAGACAGGGTTTCACCATTTTGGCCAAGCTGGTCTCAGACAGTAACACAAGTAAGTGACACGAGGATATGAGAGGGTTCCTTGGTCATTTATGTTTCCTAGAACATCATTGCCTCTTTTCTGTGTTCAAAGCAAACTCTGGTTTGAAGGGAAGTGTGGCCTCTTGGAGCTGTCAGCACCCTGCATAATGAGTGGTAGACCTAGCATGCTCATCTGCTTCTAACTTTGAGTCTTGCTGATGCTTTGTGTGTCCACTGCAAATCTGTACTCATGGGGCATTGAGACAGCTCTGTGCTAATGGGGCAGCAAGGAACTTTGGGGAGCGTGCATATGGAGCATGCATATGGAGCATATTGTCTCTGCCCCAGTGCAGGCTCCATTGTCCCCTCGGACTTCACTCTCAAAATGCAAGTTCAAAGATAAAATTAAGAATTTCCAGGTAGGAAGAGCAGAGCATTAAACCAAGTGCAGGGCCCTAGGTGACTGTGCAGGCTGTACATCCATGAAGCTAGTCCTGATGAAAAGAGGAGTCAGGAGCTAGGGTTGTGCTTTATATCCAAGAATGATTTCCTTCTGGTTTTATTTTAATTTAGATTTTTAAAATTGAGGAGCTTATTTTATTTAGAAATGTTATCACTTCTGTAATTAACCTCGCATTACAAGCCGAATCAGCTCCTGCCTAGATTAATTTGAGCAGGGGAATACAGAGCTGGGTGAGGAGCAGGATTAGCAGCTGGGGAAGTCAGAAATTCCTGAAGAGCTGCCAATCAGGCTGGATGGAGCTGAGGGGAGAGCCAAATGCTTAGAAATCAGATCTGGGATGCCATTTTGAGAATGGGCCAGCCCCAGAGGCTGGGAGGAAAGGGGATAAACAGACAGGGGTAGAACAGAGGAAAGACCCTGGGAGCTTCAGCAAAGGCACCTGGTAGCTGTCCTGGCTGGTGGACTGAGGGTGTTGCCTGGGGAGCCTCAGGACGATCTTGGCAGACATCCAGGCTGGCAGAATCACAGAGTGTGACTTTATTATTGGCAGTAGGTTTAAAGGATAGGACGCCAGTTTCTGGGGAACTAAGCATAGAAGGTCAGGCAAGCCTGATTCCAGCTTCCAGAGGAACTGAAGGAGTTGAAGGAAAGAATTCAAGAGCTCTGCAGACAACATGGACGCTGGTAGACCAGGCAAGTTTTTGTTTGCTGTAAGAAGTAAGGCAAGTAGGAGTCCCAGCACTGGATCTGGGATCCAAGGACTGGGCAAGAGTGCCCCCTGATTCAACGGATGTGAGTTCCTGAGCACCAGTGGTCCTTTTATTTCTCTGACCACAGGATCAGCCCAAGGGCCTGAGGGTGGGCAAAGGGGCCCCAGCTGGCGATTTAGAAAGACATAGGAGCTGGGAGCCAGAGGAGTTTTTACTTTGTGCACACCATTTCTGCTGAAATGCTTTGATTTGCTCCCTGATTTATGTTTTGTATGTGGAAAAAACCCAAAATATTGGCCTTCCTTTCCCCAAGTAGAATATGGTTGCAAATGATGCCCAAATATAAATCTGTGTTAGCCTGCTAACCAATTCCAGGGGCTCAGAATTCACCTAATTCTGCACTGGTCCTTTTTCCTAGGAGTGCTTGTGCAAACAAAAATTCACAAGGCAAATTGTTTAAAATCAATCAACTACAAATAAACAAACCTACATATTAAAATCAGTTGGCAAACATTAAATATTGCAGTTGTTTCCAAACTATAGCCCTTGCTCAATCAAATGGCATGACTCTCCGCAGGCTGAGCACAGGTAATGGGACCTGTCACACTTCCAGCCACTCTGATGGAGGCCAAGGTGATGTGATTTCCCATCACTTGAGGCTGGGGTCACTTCAGGATTCACCGCAGTTCCAGAATGCTCCAACCTGAAGAAAGTTGCACTTCCTCAGAGCCAGGAATCCAAAGGCATCTCATTACCAGGCACACGGCTGATGTGTGTGGGTTTGTGGGACTGTGTGACTGGGGAGCCTACATTTCCAAGGATGACTTCAGTTAGTGAGTACTGTGCAGCTTAATTATTAGCATATCATCCCTTGGCCTCCCAATCACACCTTCTGTATCCATGTCTTGCCTCTTCTTTTCTGTAATCCATGAGGTTTTATACATCTTTGGGAAAGCCAAACAACGGCCCTTCTCTGATACGGCAAAAGGAAAGGGCAGGCAGTTTGAATTCTTTGGCATTTCCTGAAAGTGGTCCATAGATCTGATCTAGTGACTTAGTTCTGCATGTATAATTAATTGGCAGCATGTTCACAGCTCCTACTAAGCTGCCTGATTTACATAGTGAAGCTAGCAGATGCAGATGCGGGGCTGGTCTCTCAGCCAATGAGAATTCTCGAGGACAGACAACGCAAGGTCACAAATGAAGATTGGAATGAAGATTGTGTCTTGACAGGCTTTGAAGGGAAGTGAAAATAACCAGGCTTTGATTTGCACCTATGGTCACTGCAGGCTCCAAAAGATGTCATTTTTAGATATTTCCTGTGTTTTCTTTTAGAGTCACAATACGTCAGGCTCAGCTAAATGAAGAACTAAATTAAAACTGTCACTTCAGCTCATAAATAACAGATGTCTAATGCATTTAATTATTTATAGTCTTGAATCTTTCAAAAATGAAAATGACTACACACATTTTTAATGTAGTTCTTGGTAATTTGCCACCTGACTGATAAGATTTGCCAATAATCCTGCTTGCAAACATGAAAAATAAAACCGAGACTGACTCGTTTATTTCACGAGACTGCTTCTTTGCTCCCTTGTGGCTTTAACAAAATTTAAATTAAACTGAAATCTAATCACAACAAAATGATGTTCATATACTCACATTAATAATTGAGTTTTTGCAGATCATGAGGTAGGTCCTTGGATGCCAGAGATTTTTGCATTGCCTGAAAAGTCCATGCCTTGTCCTTCTCCAAATCATCCCCGGGCCAGGAGGCTGTGACTACACTGATCAGGGTTTAATAGAGAAAACAGACACATGGCCCCTGAGCATGGCTCCCACATCATATTGGCAAGTTTGGCTAAGTATGGTTAAAAATGCCATTGTGATTTTAGTGATACCAGAAAATGCTCTTCTTCCCCAGAATAGTTACCTCTTTCAGGTCTCTGTTAAGGCTCCAAAATGACTTAAATTTACACTAAGGTATAATTGGCCAGTGTCGGATTCTGAGAGTAGTTATTTTTAAGAGGAGAGAGGATACAGTTAAGATGCTTTGATTAGTTGGGTAATTACTTTCTCAGTGGGCAAAGATAAACATTTGCTATTGGGTCTAGTGGTGTAATGAAAAGCGAATTAATTTTGAGGGTCATAAACACCTAGGTTAGAATCCTGGTTGTAACAGTTATAAGCTAGTGTCCTTGAGTAAGTTACTTAAAATCTCTAGGGCTCAGTTTCTTTATTTCTAAAATGGGCATAATCATACCTGCCTCCGAAGGATGTTATAAAGAGTAAATCAGGCAACATAGGTAAAATACCTGTAGTTAGTAGGTATACTATGAATATTAAGGGTTCCCATATCTGGCTGGGAAAAAAGCAACACATTGTTCATTAATGGAAATAATTATATTAATTGTTCCCTAAGGTTCTTTTCAAGTGAGTCCTTGCCTCCACTGCTCGCCAACCTTGTTATTTGGCTCCTGCAAAAAATCTTCATTGACTTCCCAGTACTGCTCAGTTCTTCCCTTTGTGATTTCTCTGGGCCATTTCACTAGTCATGACTGCTCAGACATGTGCTTTGACACAAGGCTGTCAGTATCCTCTGTTGAGAAAGCCACTGTTCCCAGGTTGTCATGTGTCATGGAGTTACACAGTCATATGTAACTCCAGTGGGTCACTGGCACATCCCAGAACCAACAGCATATGCCCCAGAGGCCCCAGGGTGGTCAGATGCCAGCAGGGACTATGTGAATGTCCCAGGAGAATCTAGGGGCTTGTGGAGATTGCAGTGAAGAGAAGAGATGATGGCTGTTGACGACGATGCAGCCACTCGTTCCCAGCTCTAGATTGTTGCCATGCATGAGCACAGGCCCAGTGTCACCAGGTCTTCAGCTTTCTCAAGAGAATCCAGAAACCAAGATACATTTTTTTTTTTAATGGAGTCTCTCTCTGTCACCCAGGCTGGAGTGCAATGGCACAATCTTGGCTTACTGCAACCTCTGTCTCCCAGTTTCAAGCGATTGTCCTGCCTCAGCCTCCCAAGTAGCTGGAATTACAGGCATGTGCCACCAAACCTGGCTAATTTTTGTATTTTTAGTAGAGGCGGGGTTTCACCATGTTTGCCAGGATGGTCTTGAACTCCTGATCTTAGGTGATCCACCTGCCTCGGCCTCCTGAAGTGCTAGGATTACAGGCATGAGCCACCATGCCTGGCCCAGATACCAAGGTACTTATGTGAAAACTTCTAAGTTTTAAGTGGCAAGCTCTTCATTCACACGAAACAAAACCAAACCTGTGATTATCAATGCTGTGCTATCCAAACAAAGCAGGCCTGTGGGTTTTCAGTTCTGACTTATGGGTTGAAGGTGTTTCATTGGCCCGAACTCATGGGTGCCATTTATCTCTCAGGGGTCTTAGACCTCCTGGGAGCAGTTATAATTTTTCCTTTAGTAGCTATGAAGATTTTCTTCCATCTCTCATGGGGCTTATGACATTTTGATATGGCCATTTAGCTGCTGTAGTGATATTCATATCTATTTGGTGACCATAAAAAATAATTATTGAACTTAAAAAAAAAGTCAAGTGATGCCTTAACCCTCACTCTATCCCTGACTTTCAACCCTCATCGTCCTCCTATCATTGAATCTCACCCCCTCCCCAAGGCTCCAAGGTAAGAAGAGTTCAAAGATGAGGTAAAAGCACAAATCTCAGTGATGAAAATCCTTGCATTTTAGTGGTTTAAGTTTTAGGCCTTGTGAAATGTCCCAGTGTTAAAACAAAATAACCTGCTTAAGATCTTGAAGTAATGAGTGTTTTTAGCTCCCCTTTCTCCTGGCAGAGGTTGTCCCTTAAAGACAGGGATATTAAAGGTTCATAATCTCTTATTCTAAAAGTTGGGGCAGGTAGGTTTCAGAATTCCAAAGCATTTGAATTTTGGAAATGTAACATATATGTTTCCATGCAGTAGAGCTTAGGGAAGCACCTTATGATCAAATACACCGCTATTTCTGTAGCAAAATATGAATATTCACACTAAGTAGGTTAAATAAAGATATTTATGAATAGTCACATGTCAGTTCGGGTCAGGTTTTGATGTCAAATGAATTACAGAAAATTACAGGAAATATTCTGGTTTTCAGAGATGTTTGGATATCAGAATTATGGATGAGAGGTTATAATCTTACACATGAATCACAGTTCAGCTGCTGTCCAGTGGTGATCTCTTCAGCGTGGCTTCAGTAGCAAATCCCATTTTGAGCTTCTTTATACTAATCCATGCCTCCTTACCTTATTATTATGTAGAATTACATAAGATAATTTTAATTGTCTTTATTTTTTAAATTTCTACAGTGAATATATATTTTAACATATATTGGAAAATGTATGAATAATTTCACATGAAGTTTTATAAAGTCAGGACAGTAGGATGTCCATATCTGGTGTGCGTGTGGGTGACCTGCTGAAAACTTAACTTTGATTTTGCTTTTTCCTGCTGTAGCAATAAGTTCTCCTGTCTGTGGGTACCTCCTTAGGAAGAGGTGGAGGAATTCCCTTCTTGCCCACCAACCTCCTCTTTTTCTCTTCACCCCTTGACCCTCACAGGAGTAAACAGGCCTCTGTGTGTCTACAGCCTTATTAAGGGCATGGTGGAACATTTTGATTTCAGGGACATAAAAAGACACTGCTGGGAGTGGAGGTGCAGTTGCAAGTTCCACAAGGATGGGTGGGTGGATAGATTGGTGGATAGTTGGATGGGTGGGTGGATAGTTGGATGGGTGGGCAGAGAGGTGAGTGGATGGATGGATAGATGGGTGGGTAGATGCTTGGATGTACACTGGCAAAATGCCTCTGAGGCAGCAGGATCTTAGAGACTGACCACATGGGGCTCTGAGCTGGTTGGTAATTAATTGTGGTGGCATTTAGAGCCCAGAGAACTTACTATGGAGGGAGTGGAGCTGGGATCTGCTTAATCAAAGCTTCGCAGACCATCAGTGTCTGAAGAAGGCTTGACAGCACTACTCTGAGGCAGGGAAAGCAAGGGCTGGCTGGGAAGGCAGCTGAAAAAGACACCAGGCTTCATCCTGCTCAGAGAGAAGTCTAAGGGCCTTTCTTTCTGGACTGTGTTCCTGGAGACTTTGAACCAACCACAGGAAAATTGGGAGCTCTTAGGAGGTAATGCTGTAGTTGGATCAATCTTGAGAAAAACAAATGTGACTTTCTTTGTATCTTAAGACTGAGGCACTACTATAATTATTACAACTGAAAAAAAATTATGATGTGGAAAACAATAAAATCTAACTTTTAAGAATTTGAGTGTCTTTTGTATTATTCTGTAGTATTATCTGATCTATGTAACAATGTTATCAAAAAGGGAAAAGAACAAAATTGATCAATGTTCTGACATGGTGGGGAGGTATTAGACATCTAAAGGAGGGTTGAAGGGGGCAGATGACGGGAAGAGAAAAAGCCATAGAGACTGGCAATGGAGGGAAAACTACTTTACAGGTTTACCTCCCGGTCATCTACCTTCCAGAGAAAATCACAGTGGATCTGTGGTTTCCAGCCTTGGATTCTTTGACCCTAGAGGTCAGTGCATATCGTGCTGAGACTCCATGAGCAATTTTATGAATCTCTAAAAGTCAGATGGAAATCATACATTTCTCTCTGCAATGGCTGTGTGGGCTAGAAAACACACACATTTCTTTGGTTTTTGCCAGGGATTCTATTGCTTGAGTGTGGGAACTGTGATTATCAGCACTGATCAGATGCTGTGTGTGGTTCCAAGGTGTATCAACGATTAATAAAAAAATGGAGTAAACAAATAATCAGTGGCCCAACAAATGTAGATTGTCTGGTGGTGAAAAATACGGCAAATTATGGTGCTCATTTGGGTAGAGGAGATTTATAAAAGAAGTTTTCAGGAAAAGGCTGGGAACCCCTGTGTACACAACTCTGCCTTCCACATTGCCTGAAACCAGATAGCTGGTCATTTTTTTGTGTCTCCTCTCTTGGCTAAATGATATCTGTCCTTGTGGGCTGTGCAGATGGGTGGCAGCCACTGGCCTCCCTATGGAGCTGTTCTTTAAATCATTAAAAGAAGGAGACCTTTGATTTCAGAAGAGGGAAAGATTTAAGTTTTCCTTGTTGATGAACATTTAATCCTTCAAGTTCTCATTAAATGAACTTGGACCAGTCCTCCTGTAGCTTTGTTGACACAGGACTCTTTGGGTCTCTTACCTTTTTTCTCTGTTATTTTCATTTACCACCTGCTTCTTCCCTCTGCCATCTAATTGTGGGTGCTCTGCTTCTCCAGCTCCACACACATTTTCATGGCTCCTGCTTCTGACACACTGCTTCCCAATTTTCTCCTCCATCCCTGGTCCATAGTATGTCTCCTTTACAATGGTTCTATTACTATGGAGCTTCTACTGTCTGTGCCAGATGCTGGGCTGGCTCATGTGCAAAGTTCTTGCAAAGACTAGTTGCCAAATACATGTTTCTTTTTCTACCTTACACACTGGCTAGTTATGCAGAATAAATCTGATTTTACCCTTTCCATGTGAGATCGTGTTATTAGGACACAGAAAATCTCATAACTTCCCAGTCTTCCCCTGTGGTAGGAGTTGGGCAAGGGAGACTATGCACATAAGCCCTTGCAGCCTTGCCTTAAGCATCTCTAAAGGTGTCTGCTCACAGGGGAGTGGCAGGGTACAAAGGACAAATGGGATTCTGCTAGCAGTTTAAATGTCACATTGGGGCTTTGCAGTTTTCCTCTGGACACCTTGGTCTGAAGCATTCAGGGAAGGACTGCTACTCTAGCCTGGAGGTCCAGAAATTAGAAAGTGGAAAGGGAGAACACCATCCTCCAAACCTGGGCATGCACTGAAACCTTTAGCATACTCAGACTACTGTGGTGGTTGTTTAATTGTGATTCTCCCTTGCATGAAAGATCAAGCTTTCTTCAATTTGTGCCTGATTCTTTGTAGAGGACTTGGGGTTTGCTAGTGGCAATCCACAACCTGCACTATGAGGCTATGGACAGTCTGGCTCAAGATGCTTCAGTTGCCCCAACTCCAGCCTCTGCCTTTGTCTTTGCATCCCCTTCATCTCTGTGTTTTTGTGTGTCCTTTCTTGTTTCTTATTAGGACACTCATTGGATGTAGGGCTTGCTCTCTCCAGTATAGTCTCATCTTGATCCTTAGTTACATCTGCAAAGGACCTATTTTCAAGTAAGATCACATTTTGAGGCTCTGGATGGACATGAATTTTTGGGAGACACTATTCAACCCACTGCAGTGGTCAATCTAGTATGACTCTCCTTTTCTCTGAAAGTCAATCTCTCATCCACTTGGCAATATCATCATGCCTTATAAAATACCTTACCATCTGCAAGTGCTTTTGCATCTGGTATCTAATTTGGGCCCTTCCCTGTGAGACAAGTGGGCAGGCATTACCTTTTTTAAGTTTCATCCATAGAATCTGTGTAAGTGATCTGATCAAGGTAAGTTGCAGAGCCTGGATTTCTGCTTCTCAGAAAGCAGTGCACTGCGGTGGAATAAATGGAAAATGTAGAAATGATATTCTTGCTTGTCTCTCTTCCCTTTTGGGATGTGTGTTGGGGGAAGGGAGGCTTCGCATTTCTTTTAATTTTGTGTCCAACAATCACATTCAGTTATTGTGGGGTGAACTCACTGAAGCTTTGACAAAAAAAGCAATTGTAGAAACTTCTCTTCTTTCTCTGACTCTCACTTCACTGCAAAGAGGCTACATTCATTCCCACCATCCCCTTGTCCCCCAGGCCTACTCCTTTGCAGGAGCTGTGCTACTGCACAGAAGACCTAACACACAGTTCTAGCACCATCACCACCACACCCTTCAAACCCTCTCCTCAACTCGAGAGTCTAGGCTCTGCAGAATATCCATTGGAATGGCTGCAAGCTTCCTAACATACTGTCCCTTGTGGAGAAGTTTATCAATGGGTAAAGTTTATCATGAAGTTTGTCAAGATTGAGCCTTCTTATGAAAATGAAAACTTTGCAACACATTAGACATACTAATCTAACATATAAACAGAGAATTTAAAACACACGCACGCACACACACACGCACACACACATCACATGCTCAACTGTGTGCCTGAGAAACTTTAGGCTCCAAAGTAATGTTGTGAAGTAGGAAGAGTAGACTTGGAAATGGGAAATGCAGGTATTATGGGCTCAGTTGTGTCCTTATGACCAAATTCAAATGTTGAAACCCTGACCCCCAGTGCCTCAAAGTGTGACTGTATTTGAACAAAGGACCTTTAGAATGCTTCTACACTGTTGGTGGGAGCATGAAATAGTTCAACCCCTGTGGAAGATGGTGTGGTGATTCCTCAAATACCTAAAGGGAGAAATACCATTTGACCCAGCAATTCCATTACTGGGTATATAACCAAAGACATATAAATCATGCTATTATAAAGATACATGCACGTGTATGTTCATTGCAGCACTATTTACAAGAGCAAAGACATGGAATCAACCTAAATGCCCATCAATGATAGACTGGATAAAGAAAATGTGGTACATATATGCCATGGAATACTATGCAGCCATAAAAAGGAATGAGATCATGTCCTTTGCAGGAACATAGATGGAGTTGGAAGCCATTATCCCCAGCAAACTAACACAGGAACAGAAAACGAAATACTACATTTTGTTACTTACAAGTGGGAGATGAATGATGAGAACACATAGACACATGGGTAGGGAAACAATACACACTGGGGCCTGTCATCAGGTGTGGGGAGGGAGAGCATCAGGAAGAATAGCTAATGGATGCTGGGCTTAATACCTAGGTGATGGGATGATCTGTGTAGCAAACCACCATGGCACATGTTTACCTATGTAACAAACCTGCACATCCTGCACATGTACCCCTGAACTTAAAATAAAAGTTGAAGAAAAAAGAAAAAGAAAAAAGGACTTTTAAAGGGTAATGAAATTAAAATGATGTCATTAGCTGGGTTCTAATCCAATCTGACTCATGTCCTTATAAGAAGAGGAAATTTGGACACACATGAGACACCAGAGATGCCTGTGCACAGAGACCACGTGAAGAGGCAGCGAGAGGGAGGTCAAAGAGAGAGGTCTCAGGAGAAACCAACGCTGCTGACACCCCGATCTTGGACTTCCAGCCTCCAGCACTGTGAGAAAATAAATTTGTGTTCGTTAAGTCATCCAGTCTGTGGTATTTTGTTTTGACAGCCGTAACAAACTAATACAGCAAGTGCCAATGCTTGCTTTTAGGGTATTTCTTGACTTCTTTAGGCCTCAATTTCCTCATTAGTAAAATGAGGATTACAGTATCTCTTTCTTCTACCCCACTTGAGATAACATTTACAATTTTTTAATATAAATTAAATTCCATCGGAATAAAATATAATAATTATAAAATCCATCATCCACGTTGTTCAGTCCTAGAACAGCATCAGGGTGAAAAAACGTGGCCACACATCTAAGAGAATAGCTCAGGACTTTTCATTGTTATGTCTTGAGCATCATGGAGAAGACATAAATCATCATCTCCAATTTCCTAGCTCTTGCCCCCCTTGCCCCTGTCATTTCCCAGCACTCAGGCAGAGGAGCCTGATGATGGACAAGTTAGAATCTTCTTTAGAGGGGTGGGGCAATAGAAGGATAGGGACACACGAAGACATTAAATGTGATGAGGTAGATGTTATTAGGTTGGAGACCAGAAGACTGCTTTTGGCTCAAAGGATGGGAATGGTAGATGGTCATGGCCATAGTCTCAGGCCACGTCTACACAGCTGAATCATAGACTCTCCAGGTAGTGAAGAATGCTTCTTAGGGTGCTAGGGAGGCTCCACATTGCAGTTCTGGTGCAGTTTGCAGGAGCTCCTGGGGCTCCTGCCTTCTTTAGTGCTGAGAGAAGAAAACACATCAGGCAAACAATCCTTTCCAGTTGTACTGGTTGATCAGTGATTTACAAGGAGTGCGGGGAGGTTGCCTCCCTACCCCTAATCCCATTCCCAGGGATATTTTTGGTTGTCACAACTTAGTTGGTGGGGGGTGCTACTGGCATCTAGTGGGTAGAGGTGAGGGTGCTGTTAAACATCCCGCAGTGCCCAGAACAGCCCCACAACAAAGAATGGTCTGGTCCCCAGTACCAACAGTGGTGAGGATGAGAAATCCTGCTGTGGACCCTCTTGGTCGTCTCTGGCCACCACAAGCTCTCATTCCCTGCCTCCTTTCCCAATTTCTGCATTGTTCTGACCTAAATCTAACCCAGTCTCCGGGGATCAACTTCTGAGGAAGGAAATAGGCTATTTCTGGGAGAGTAGATGGGAGCTTGAAATTAAGGAATTCTGATTGCGCGTCGGAGAGAAAAGGGAGGTCAGAGCTGTTTGATTTCCTTGCCATTAAAATTGGGAAGCAGCGTTTAAAGAATGAAGAGGAACAAAGGGCACATATGCTAAGAGGATCATTGCACACAAATAAAATGCAGTTCGAGCCAAAAAGCAGGGAATTGAAACAGGCTGTAAATAAACGGCATCCATTTGCAGATGAAAAGAGGACAGTGGCTCCCATCAGCCCCGAAAAAGCATGTTGACTTGGCAAACAAATTTCACATTGACATTTCCCAGCTACCACAGGATGACAAAGGCAGTAAAATACCAAAAAACAATCTGATCTCAGCGGCGGTGGTACTGCTTTAGCAATGTTTTGTACCAGTGCGGGGTTTCACAATGCCGCGTTGGTGAGATGCTGCCCTTTCCAAACTTCCATGGAAATATTTTCCATCATTTTGACATTTCATTTAAAATGAAATATAGGAGATATTAAAAATTCGTGTTCATGACAGGTATTATTTATTTGACTTTGAAATACACAGTGAACACACTGTTAATGAACAGTGAGGGAAGTGTCAGTATTGTGTGCGCGTGCATATTCATGGACTGCTCCCTGACTTCAGAAGAAAACAATTGCAGAATCAAAGAGGCTTGACCTTTTATGGTTCTAAAATCCATGAGTGTGTGGTTATGAATAATTGAATATGGAATAATAAAAATGACCCTTTTTTGGGGTAGTTCAGGTAAAAGCAAAATGCCATGACTTTATCCTGGAAACATGAACCTCAATTATTTCTGAATTTGCATGAATTACATGAATATCTCACTTGAAACATTACTGGGGATGCAATCACATTAATTCATCCAACTGCCAGCATGCCATCTGTGTTTCTCTGTCGTCTTTCTTCCACCCCAAGGACTGTGCAATCCTCGGGCTTGGAGGGAAAACGCTTCCCCATTTTGTATCGTCTATTCTCCTCTCATTTAGAACCTAAGAGGAAATTGCTTTTTCCTAGGCTAGGAGACACTTTGCTATGGTTTGAATGTGTCCCCCAAAGTTTATGTGTTAGAAAATTAATCCCCAATGTAATGGTGTTTTGGGGTGAGGCCTAATAAGAGGTGACTGGGGTGTGAGGGATCTGTCTTCATGAATGGACTAATGTCATTATCTGGGGAGTGGGTTAGTTGTTGCAAGAGTAGATTTTTTTTTTTCTTTTAGTTTTTTTTGAGACAGAGTCTCGCTCTGTCACCCAGGCTGGAGTGCAGTGACACGATCTCGGCTCACTGCGAGCTCCACCTCTCAGGTTCATGCCATTCTCCTGCCTCAGCCTCCCGAGTAGCTGGGACTACATGTGCCTGCCATCACGCCTGGCTAATTTTTTGTATTTTTAGTAGAGATGGGGTTTCACCGTGTTAGCCAGGATGGTCTCGATCTCCTGACCTCGTGATCTGCCCACCTCGGCCTCCCGAAGTGCTGGGATTACAGGCGTGAGCCACCGCACCCAGCAGTAGATTTGTTATAACAGCAAGTTGGCCCCTCTCTTGCTGTCTCTCCTGCCTTTCTGCTTTCCACCATGGAATGACGCAGCAAGAAAGCCCTTGCCAGACGTGGACCTCTCCACCTTGGACTGACTAGCCTCCAGAACTGTAAGGTATACATTTCTTTTCATCATAAATGACCCAGTCTGTGTTATTCTGTTACAGCAACATAAAAACAGATAAAGACATCCTTTTTCTGCATTGTTCTGGGTGAGGGGAAGGAAAAGGACTGTTTTGTGTCTATTACCATTAGTAAAAAAGAAGGTAGTGATGTTGGGTGGGGCCACTATATGAAAATGAGAAGAAAAGGGTTGGAAGGAGAACATATTTCCTCACTTAGACCAAAGAGGGTAGCCTTCTATTTTCTTTTATTCAAAAAACATAATCAAATTTACTGTTATTACTTTTTAAAATGAAGATGTAGGATTATTGTATTCTTAGAGTGTTCTATCATGTCAAATTCTGTGAACACATCCCAGTTTTCTCACTAACTGCCTTTGTAAATTAAATCAGAGTTTCATTTATTCACGGATCTTTCCAGAATGCCTGCCACATGCTGGGCACAGGGGAGAGACAGGTTCTGGGCCTTGCACACCTTACAGTCTATTGGGGAAAGACAAATCGGAAACTAGTAGTTACGAGTGAGGTGCAATGCCCGCAGGGAAGGTAGGTTGCTGCTGGCCCACAGGGCAGGGTCCCAGCCTGGTCTGGAAGTTCAGAAAGAAGCTCCCTGGTAGGCTTGAAGGAGGAGTGGGAGTCGTCCCGGCAGAGGAAACAGCAGGTGTGAGGGCCTGAGGAGAGATGCTTTTCCAAGATGACCTCTCAGCTGCCACAAGGGTAACAACAGCAGGAAACTCCCAAAGAAATTGGCTTTCGGGGATGAAATATGGTGGGATTCATGAGGCCTGGGTTCTAGTATTGGTTTTGCCATGTGTTAAGGAAGAGAGAGGTTGTGAGATTTGTTCAAGGTCACATAATCTGTTACCTCATTCGTAATTTCCGTGTGTGTGGGATAGCATGGGGCATGAGGGGTTTGGGGTTGGTTTAGTGATCTGAAATCCTATTTTTGAACACTAAATCATCTTTCATGTGTATCCATGTATGTAAAGGGTATTGTAATTCAACATGAGTGCCTCCCCCCGTAAGATTTTCTTTTAAAATTATGTATATCTCATGAGATATGGCACTAGAAAATAAGCTCTAAGAAAAAGAAAACTTGTCCTTGTTCACTATTGCTCAGGAGAGTTCCAGGCACATAGTGAGTGTCTAATAAATGAGGCTGAATGAATAAGTAAATGTTATTAAAAATTAACAACTTACCTGTCAGTTAACATCACTGTGAAGCAAGCAAGTTGAACACAAATATAGGGAAATGGACTGGTCCCTAGGTCAGGCAAGTTTGCCTGGAGGAAAAGTGGGGCAAAGCGTCTGTGAGCTGAGTGAAGTTTTCATTCTCCATCCAGATTTTTTAGCATCAAATACATTTGTCTTTTATGTCAGCAAGTTTAACATACCTTAATTTTCAACAAAGCAAAAGTGGACTCCAAGAAGGAGATGGTTAGAGAGCAAAACTTTGAGTAGATATATCTTTTAACTACTTACCATCCCTGCACATCTTCAACATGGGCTGTTGAAAGTTGACTACTGTGTATCTAATAACTGATTCTCCTGACCATTAAATATGAGAATTTGTTTCCTTGATCCAACTGCAAGGTGAGTTTTGATACAAAACAACTGATTATGTACTCTAGCTGCACACATCAGCTTGCTGATGTGAAACCTCATAAGGTTATGTGAAACCTCATAAGGAATTATAGTCAACGCCAATCATTGTGTAAGTGAAGGTCAAATTTTACATTTTCTGTTGGTGTCATCAGCATTTTTAGGATAAATCTTTGAAGCACACAAATTAATATTGGGATACCATGTCAGCACTGAAGGCATGTGTGAGAAATTAAATGCCTGTGGACTACGTAAGACAGCATGTGGGAGAGAGAGAAAAAATACCAGAGTCCGTATGCACAGAATTGTTGGTTTAAACTACAAGGACTATGACCAGTCAGCTTTTTAAAAGTGCCAAACACAGCTAAGATATTTGGGTTAGTCAAAAATACTGCTTCCAAATTTAAAATCTTCAGTCAGTGAGTAGCTGTGGAGAAAGATGCACATACATGTATGTACACGCACATATGGATATATGCATTGCTGGAGCTCCACTAAAAATTATAGCTGGGAGTGCATTTGTAGAGGCAATATAGATAGGTGGGTAGGTAGGTAGACAGATGGTATGGTAATTAAAAGCGATTCCCCTGGATTAAGACAAGCTTGGGCTCAAATCCTGACTCCACCACTTACTTCCTGTGTGACTTTTCTGAGCCTCAGTTTCCCTCCTATGTAAAATAGGAGTATAATAGTACTATTTACCTCATAGGGTTTCTATTAGTTAGCTTTTGCTGTAATAAAGCTGCATAACATACAACCACAAAACCTCAGTGGCATAGAACAAGCATTTATTACTCATGTGTCTGGAGTCACCTGGGTTTGGCTAGGCAGCTCTGCTGATCTTGACACAGCTTGATCACTTTTCTGGGTGTTGACTGGCTATTGGTTAATCAAGGATAGCTTCATCTGGGATGATTCACGTGACTGGCTGTGCTCCATGCGTCTTTCATCTTCCAGCAGGCTAGCTTAGGCGTAGTCTTGTGGTGGTGGAAGGGGGCAAGAGCAACAAGCAGAAGCACAGAAGCACTTTTTAAGCCTCTGATTGCTTTGTGGTTGCTAATATGCTATTGACCAGGTTTATCACATGGCTGAGCCTTAACTCAGAATGGGATGCAATACAGTTACATGCAAAGAATGCGGATAAAAGGAGAGATGAAGAATTGGGCACATTATGCAATCGACCTACTGTAGGATAATGAGACTTAAATGAGACAATAGTCAGTACTCAGCACATGGCAATCATTTAATAAATGGTAGTGGTTGTCATTATTGTTACTCCCTATTTACATCACAACTAGCATCTATCATGGTTTTAATTTTTTCAACTGTTCTTTGTGTGTTACTTTATAAGCTTATAGAAATTCTTGCTTTAAAACAGAATGAAGAGATTTGGGCTCAAAGCCTTGTTATCAAACCTCCTCTTAATATACCCTCACTATGTTATATGGTAAAAAGGAGTGTTTGCTAGGGATCCGGGCAGACACTGGTTAAGTACTGACTTTGAAAACTTTTTCTTTGACATTGTATATCTACTTCTCAGTCTGTTTAGCTGCAAAATGCTGATAATTTGCTTTATCATGCTAGGTTTTTGGGAAGATTAAATAAGAAAAATATGTTTTATATCTTTCTTAATGTTTGTTACACAGTGTTTATAACTTTAGTAATCTATATTTGTAGAAAAATGAGAAAAACACATCAGAATTATACTATATAGAAACAGTGACAATTATTACTAATTATTGATTATAATTTTATATGCATATGTTTCCAAAATTAGGATTTGATTACTTATCCTATTCTAAAAATTGTTTTCTTCACTTAATATAATGACAATTTTTTTATCCATTCATCTGTTGATGGACACTGAAGTTGTTTCCGTGTCGTCCCTGTTGTGAATAATGCTGCAATGAACATGGGAGTGCAGATACCTCCTCTAGCCACTGGTATATAGCCAGAAGTGGGATCGCTGGATCACGTGGTAGTTCTGATTTTAGCTTTTTGAAGAACGTTTATAATGGCAGAATCAGTTTATATTCCCACCAACAGTATACAGAGGTATCCTTTTCTTCATATGCTTACCAAACTTGTTGTCTTTTTGATAATAGCCATCCCATCATCCTATCTCATTGTGGTTTTAATTTGCATGTCCTTTATGATTAATGATATTGAGCACCTTCTTATGTACCTGTCTGTTGGCCATTTTAATGTCTTCTTTAGAATATGTGTATTTGAGTCCTTTGCTCATTTTTTAATCAACTTTTTTTTCCCCCGATTGAGTTGTGTGAGTTCCTCATATATTTTGAATATTAACCCCTTATCTGGTGTATGGTTTAAAAATATTTTCTTCCAATCTGTAGCTTGCCTTTTCATTTTGTTGTTCCCTTTATCGTGCAGAAGCTTTTAAGTTTGATGTAGTCCCACTTGTCTGTTTTTGCTTTTGTAACTTGTGCTTTTGGTATCATATCCAAAAAAACATTGCCAAGACTAATGTCAAGGTGCTTTCCCTTAGATTTCCTAGACTGTGGTGTATACATATACAATGGAATATTATGCATCCATAAAAAGAAATAAATTCGGCCATTTGTGATAACATGGATGAATCTTCAGGGCATTATGCTAAGTGAAATAAGTCAGACAAAGAAAGACAAATAATGCCCACATATGTGTAATCGAAATAAGTTGAACTCACAGAAAAAGAGATGGTTGCCAGGGGTTGGAGAGTGAGGAAAATGGGGAGATGTTGGTTAAAGGCCACAAACTTTCAATTATAAGATGAATAAATTCCAGAAATCAAATGAGCAGCATGGTGACAATAGGGAATAATAAATACTGTACTGTATACTTGAAATTTGCAAAGAGAGTTGATCTTAAATATTCTCACCACAAAACAAAAATGGTAAGTAGGTGAGGTGATAAAATTGTTAACTAACTTGATTATGATAATCATTTCACAATATATACATATATAGTGGCTGGGTGTGGTAGCTCACGCCTATAATCCCAGCACTTTGGGAGGCCGAGGCAGGCGGATCACCTGAGGTTGGGAGTTCGAGACCAGCCTGACCAACATGGAGAAACCCCGTCTCTACTAAAAATACAAAATTAGCCGGGTGTGGTGGTACATGCCTGTAATCCCAGCTACTCGGGAGGCTGAGGCAGGAGAATCACTTGAACCCAGGAGGCGGAGGTTCAGGTGAGCTGGAGATGGTGCCATTGCGCTCCAGCCTGAGCAACAAGAGCAAAACTCTGTCTCAAAATATATATACGTATATAACATCAGCGTGTTGTACACCATAAATTTACACAATTTTGTTTGTCAGTATACCTCAATAAAGCTAGAAAAAAAATTTTAAGAAATGACATTCTTCCACATGAACAAATATAGATCTACAGCAATAATTTTAATAAATGTATCCTATGTATTGTGTGGATATATTCTCATTTATGAAACCAACATCCTATTGTTGAATCTTTAGGTTATTTCTAATTTTTTTTTTTACCATTAATGGCACTACAATAAGTATCTTTTATATCTTTATCCATCTGTCAACTTGTTTCTTTAGGTTAAATTTCTGGAAGTAAAATTGCTGGGTTAAAGATCAGTTACTTTGTAAAATAACTTTTTATCGTCAAATATGTATGTTTTGTACATTTAGAAAAGTACAAAAATTAGCTTTTAAAGGGTGGCTACTGAATCTATGGATGCTGCCCCAGGAGTGGGAGCTGTTGTATCTTCTGCTCTCTTCTACTTCCTGTTGTAACCAATAAAAGCTGTTTGTACCATTAAAAAAATAAGTAGAAGTACACAAAGTACACAAAATGGAAGTGTAAAGCTCAGCCAATCATTGTAAACAAACACTCATGTAATCACCATCCAGCTCAAGAAAGAAAACAGTGCCAGCCCCTAGAAACACTCCCTCTGTGTCCCCTGTCAATGACCAACTTTACTTACTTCCCAAAGGTAACCATGATCCAGGCTTTTAATACCATAGTTTAGGTTTGCTTGTTTTTGAATTTCACATGAATGGGCTCATGCTATGTGTATTCTTTTGTTTCTGGTTTCTTTCAATCAACATTCCATTTGTGTTTGTGAGATTCAACCATATTGCTTCACATGGACATTGTTCACTCATTTCATTGTTGTATATTATTTCATTCTATAAATATATATTTTACTGTTGCTGAACATTTTGGGTTATTACCATTTGGACTCAAGTATAATGTTGCTATTTTCTTAAGAGCATATGTGCTTTTTTGGTGTGTAGGTGTGTGCATTTCTGTCAGGCATATTCCTAGGAGTGCAATTGCAGGATCATAAATTCTGAGTATGTTCGTTTTTAGTAAATAGTGCCAAAGTCTTCCAAGGTGATTGTTCTAATTAACACTTCCACCTGCAGTATATTTAAATTCCTGTTTGTTTCACATTCTCTTTAACACTTGATATATATATTAAAAAAAAAACCAAAAAACAAACAAACAAAAAAAAACAGGAAGCTATTCCAGTGGTTGCATTGTGGTTTTACCTTGTATTTCTCCAATAACAACGACGTTAAACACCATTTCATGTATTTGAGCCACTTTGATATTCTTGAGATGTGCTTGCTCAAATCCCTTGCCCATTTTTCTACTGGTTATTTGACTTTTTAAGCAATTTATTTGTAAGAGTTCTTCTATATTATGGATAAAGGCTTTTGTTGAAAAATGTGTTGCAAATATATTTTCTTACACTTTAGTTTGCTTTTACACTCTCTTCATAGCGTCTTTAGATAAACATTACTTCTTAAATGCCTAAGGAGTCAAACGTATCTTTTCTTCCTACTCTCTCCATTACTTTTTTTGTTTTTTCGTCCTGTTTTAAGACAACTTTGCCTGACTTGGATGTCTTAGTCAGTTTTGCCTGCTATAACAAAGTGCCATAGACTTGTGGCTTATAAATAGCAGAATTTATTTCTTACAGTTTTGGAGGCTGAAAGTCCAAAGTCAGGGTGCCAGATTGGCTGGGCTCTGGTGCTTCTTGTATCTTCACATGGAGGAAATAGGGCTAGAAAGCACTTTATAAGCACACGAATCCCATCAAATTATCTAGTTACCTCCCAAAGGCTTCACCTCCTAATACCAGCACACTGAGGGTTAGGATGTCAACATGTGAAACCTTGGGGTGGGGGATGGGGACGGTATAGACATTTAGTCCATAAAAGAGGACAACAATCTCTTATATCATCTTCTGGAAACTTGTTCTTTGTTTTGCCTTTCACGTTTGGGTTTACAGTCGGCCTAGAATTGAGTTTTGCATAGAATGAGGTAGGAGTCAAATTTCATTGTTTCCTAATATGTACATCCCATTGTCTGGGCACCCTTTAGTAACAATTTTGGTTTTTGCCCATTGCTTTGCGGTTCCACCTTTATTTTAAATCAATGTCCACAAATCAGTCTATCTGTTTTTGAGCTCTGCGTTCAATTCCATTGATCTATTTGCCTAAGCTTTAGTCTCTGAAAGATATTAAGTTTTTAAAAAGGCTTTTGTCACATACTGGAGGGGGCTATTTATTTGCTACTTAAAAAAAATGTATTAGGTACCTTTTCAATTCTTTTGGGTATATGCTTAGGAGAAAAGTTGCTGGACTGTATGGTAAGTCTGTGTTTAACTTTTTGAGGAGTTGCCAACTTTCTCTTTATAGTGGCAGCCCCATTCCCACCTGCAATGTAAGAGTGTACTATTTTTTCCACATCCTCACCAACACATTTTTTAAAAAATTATTATACTTTAAGTTCTAGAGTTCATGTGCAGAACATGCAGGTTTGTTACATAGGTATACATGTGCCATGTTGGTTTGCTGCACCCATCAACTCGTCATTTAGGTGTTTCTCCTAATGCTATCCCTTCCCCAGCCCCACACCCCCCAACAGGCCCCGGTGTGTGATGTTCCCTGCCCTGTGTCCATGTGTTCTCACTGTTCAATTCCCACCTGTGAGTGAGAACATGCAGTGTTTGGTTTTCTGTCCTTGTGATAGTTTGCTCAGAATGATGGTTTCCAGCTTCATCCATGTCCCTGCAAAGGACATGAATTCATCCTTTTTATGGCTGCATAGTATTCCATGGTGTATATGTGCCACAATTTCTTAATCCAGTGTATCATTTCATTGTTGGACATTTGGGTTGGTTCCAAGACTTTGCTATTGTGAAGAGTGCTGCAGTAAACATATGTGTGCATGTGTCTTTATAGTAGCATGACTTATAATCCTTTGGGTATATACCCAGTAATGGGATCACTGGGTCAAATGGTATTTCTAGTTCTAGATCCTTGAGGAATCGTCACAGTGTCTTTCACAATGGTTGAACTAATTTACACTTCTACCAACAGTGTAAAAGTGTTCCTATTTCTCCACATCCTCTCCAGCATTTGTTGTTTCCTGACTTTTTAATGATCACCATTCTAACAGGTGTGAGATGGTATCTCATTGTGGTTTTGATTTGTATTTCTCTGATGACCAGTGATGATGAGCATTTTTTCATATGTCTGCTGGCTGCATAAATGTCTTCTTTTGAGAAGTGTCTGTTCATATCCTTTGCCCACTTTTTGATGGGGTTGTTTGTTTTTTTCTTGTAAATTTAAGTTCTTTGTAGATTCTGGATATTAGCCCTTTGTCAGATGGGTAGATTACAAAAATTTGCTCCCATTCTATAGGTTGCCTGTTCACTCTCATGATAGTTTCTTTTGCTATGCAGAAGCTCTTTAGTTTAATTAGATCCCATTTGTCTATTTTGGCTTTTGTTGCCATTGCTTTTGGTGTTTTAAACATGAAGTCTTTGCCCATGCCCATGTCCTGAATGGTGTTGCCTAGGTTTTCTTCTAGGATTTTTATGGTTTTAGGTCTTACATTTGAGTCTTTAATCCATCTAGAGTTAATTTTTGTATAAGGTGTAAGGAAGGGATCCAGTTTCGGCTTTCTACATATGGCTAGCCAGTTTTCCCAGCACCATTTATTAAATAGGGAATGCTTTCCCTATTGCTCATTTTTGTCAGGTTTGTCAAAGATCAGATGGTTGTGGATGTGTGGTGTTATTTCTGAGGCCTCTGTTCGTTCCCTTGGTTTATATATCTGTTTTGGTACCAGTACCATGCTGCTTTGGTTACTGTAGCCTTGTAGTATAGTTTGAAGTCAGGTAGCGTGATGCCTCCAGCTTTGTTCTTTTGGCTTAGGATTGTCTTGGCAATGTGGGCTCTTTTTTGGTTCCTTATGAACTTTAAAGCAGTTTTTTCCAATTCTGTGAAGAAAGTCAGTGGTAGCTTGATTGGGATGGCATTGAATCTATAAATTACCTTGGGCAGTATGGCCATTTTCACGATATTGATTCTTCCTATCCATGAGCATGGAATGTTCTTCCATTTGTTTGTGTCCTCTTTTATTTCGGTGAGCAGTGGTTTGTAGTTCTCCTTGAAGAGGTCCTTCACATCCCTTGTTAAGTTGGATTCCTAGGTATTTTATTCCCTTTGTAGTAATTGTGAATGGGAGTTCACTCATGATTTGGCTCTCCGTTTGTCGTTACTGGTATATAGGAAAGTCTGTGATTTTTGCACATTGATTTTGTATCCTGAGAGTTCGCTGAAGTTGCTTATCAGCTTAAGGCGGTTTTGAGCTGAGACAATGGGGTTTTCTAAATATACACTCATGTCATTTGCAAACAGAAGCAATTTGACTTCCTCTTTTCCTAATTGAATACCCTTTATTTCTTTCTCTTGCCTGATTGCCCTGGCCAGAACTTCCAACACTATGTTGAATAGGAGTGGTGAGAGAGGGAATCCCTATCTTGTGCCGGTTTTCAAAGGGAATGCTTCCAGTTTTTGCCTATTCAGTATGATATTGGCTGTGGGATTGTCATAAATAGCTCTTATTATTTTGAGATACATTCCATCAATACCTAGTTCATTGAAAGTTTTTAGCATGAAGCGTTGTTGAATTTTGTCAAAGGCCTTTTCTGCATCTATTGAGATAATCATGTGGTTTTTGTCATTGGTTCTGTTTATGTGATGGATTACATTTATTGATTTGCATATGTTGAACCAGCCTTGCATCCCAGGGATGAAGCCAACTTGTTCGTGGTGCATAAGCTTTTTGATGTGCTGCTGGATTCGGTTTGCCAGTATTTTATTGAGGATTTTCACATCGATGTTCATCAGGGATATTGGTCTAAAATTCTCTTTTTTTTTGTTGTGTCTCTGCCCGGCTTTGGTATCAGGATGATGCTGGCTTCATAAAATGAGTTAGGGAGGATTCCCTCTTTTTCTATTGATTGGAATAGTTTCAGAAGGAATGGTACCAGCTCCTCTTTGTACCTATGGTAGAATTCGGCTGTGAATCCATCTGGTCCTGGACTTTTTTTGGTTGGTAGACTATTAATTATTGCCTCAATTTCAGAACCTACTATTTGTCTATGCAGAGATTCAACTTCTTCCTGGTTTAGTCTTGGGAGGGTGTATGTGTCCAGGAATTTATCCATTTCTTCTAGATTTTCTAGTTTATTTGCATAGAGGTGTTTGTAGTATTCTCTGATGGTAGTTTGTATTTCTTTGGGATCGGTAGTGATATCCCCTTTATCATTTTTTATTGCATCTATTTGATTCTTCTCTCTTTTCTTCTTTATTAGTCTTGCTAATGGTCTATTTTGTTGATCTTTTCAAAAACAAGTTTCCGGATTCATTGATTTTTTGAAGGATTTTTTGTGTCTCTATCTCCTTCAGTTCTGCTCTGATCTTAGTTATTTCTTGCCTTCTGCTAGCTTTTGAATTTTTGCTCTTCCTTCTCTAGTTCTTTCAATTGTGATGTTAGGGTGTCGATTTTAGATCTTTCCTGCTTTCTCTTGTGGACATTTAGTGCTATAAATTTCCCTCTACACACTGCTTTCAATGTGTCCCAGAGATTCTGGTATGCTGTGTCTTTGTTCTCATTGTTTTCAAAGAACATCTTTATTTCTGCCTTCATTTCGTTATTTACCCAGTAGTCATTCAAGAGCAGGTTGTTCAGTTTCCATGCAGTTGTGTGGCTTTGAGTGAGTTTCTTAATCCTGAGTTCTAATTTGTTTGCACTGTTGTCTGAGAGACAGTTTGTTGTGATTTCTGTTCTTTTACATTTACTGAAGAGTGTTTTACTTCCAATTATGTGGTCAATTTTAGAATAAGTGTGATGTGGTGTTGAGAAGAATGTATATTCTGTTGATTTGGGGTGGAGGGTTCTGTAGATGTCTATTAGGTCTGCTTGGTCCAGAGCTGAGTTCAAGTCCTGGATATCCTTGTTAACCTTCTGTCTTGTTGATCTGTCTAATATTGACAGTGGGGTGTTTAAATCTCCCACTATTATTGTGTGGGAGTCTAAGTCTCTTTGTAGGTCTCTAAGAACTTGCTTTATGAATCTGGGTGTTCCTGTATTGGGTGCATGTATATTTAGGATAGTTAGTTCTTCTTGTTGAATTGATCCCTTTACCATTGTATAATGGCCTTCTTTGTCTCTTTTGATCTTTGTTGGTTTAAAGTCTGTTTGATCAGAGACTTGGATTGCAACCCCTGCTTTTTTTTGCTTTCCATTTGCTTGGTAGATCTTCCTCCCTCCCTTTGTTTTGAACCTATGTGTGTCTCTGCATGTGAGGTGGGTCTCCTGAATACAGCGCACTGATGGATCTTAACTCTTTATCCAGTTTGCCAGTCCGTGTCTTAATTGGGGCATTTAGCTCATTTACATTTAAGGTTAATATTGTTACGTTTGAATTTGATCCTGTCATTATGATGTTAGCTGGTTATTTTGCCTATTAATTGATGTGGTTTCTTCATAGCATCAATGGTCTTTACAATTTGGCATGTTTTTGCAATGGCTGGTACCGGTTGTTCCTTTCCATGTTTAGTGCTTTCTTTGAGAGCTCTTGTAAGGCAGGCCTGGTGGTGACAACATCTCTCAGCATTTGCTTGTCTTTTTTTTTTTTTTTTGAGACAGAGTCTTGTTCTGTCACCCCGGCTAGAGTGCAGTGGTGGGATCTTGGCTCACTGCAAGCTACGCCTCCCGGGTTCACGCCATTCTCCTACCTCAGCCTCCCAAGTAGCTGGGACTACAGGCGCCCGCCACCACGCCTGGCTAATTTTTTATATTTTTAGTAGAGATGGGGTTTCACTGTGTTAGCCATGATGGTCTCGATCTCCTGACCTTGTGATCCACCCTCCTCGGCCTCCCAAAGTGCTGGGATTACAGGCGTGAGCCACCACGCCTGGCCGGTATTTGTTTGTCTTTAAAGGATTTTATTTCTCCTTCACTTATGAAGCTTAGTTTGGCTGGATATGAAATTCTGGGTTGAAGATTCTTTTCTTTAAGAATGTTGAATATTGGCCCCCACTCTCTTCTGGCTTGTAGGGTTTCTCCCGAGAGATCTGCTGTTAGTCTGCTGGGCTTCCCTTTGTGGGTAACCCGACCTTTCTCTCTGGCTGCCCTTAACATTTTTTCCTTCATTTCAACCTTGGTGAATCTGACAATTATGTGTCTTGGGGTTGCTCTTCTCGAGGAGTATCTTTGTGGTGTTCTCTATGTTTCCTGAATTTGAATGTTGGCCTGCCTTGCTAGGTTGGGGAAGTTCTCCTGGATAATATCCTGAAGAGTGTTTTCTAACTTGGTTCCATTCTCCCTGTCACTTTCAGGTACACCAATCAAATGTAGATTTGATCTTTTCCCATAGTCCCATATTTGTTCGTTTCTTTTCACTCTTTTTTCTCTAACCTTGTCTTCTCACTTTATTTCATTAATTGATCTTCAATCACTGATATCCTTTCTTCCACTTGATCAAATCGGCTACTGAAGCTTGTGCATGCGTCACAAAGTTCTCATACTGGGTTTTCAGCCCCATCAGGTCATTTAAGGTCTTCTCTACACTCTATTCTAATTAGCCTTCGTCTAACCTTTTTTCAAGGTTTTTAGCTTCCTTGCGATGGGTTAGAACATGCTTCTTTAGCTCAGATAAGTTTCTTATTACTGACCTTCTGAAGCCTACTTCTGTCAACTTTTCAAACTCATTCTACATCCAGCTTTGTTCCCTTGCTGGCGAGGAGCTGTGATCCTGTGGAGGAGAAGAGGCACTCTGGTTTTTAGAATTTTCAGCTTTTCTGCTCTGGTTTCTCCCCATCTTTGTGGTTTTATCTATCTTTGGTCTTTGATGTTGGTGACCTACAGATGGGGTTTTGGTGTGGATGTCCTTTTTGTTGATGTTGATGCTATTCCTTTCTGTTTGTTAGTTTTCCTTCTAACAGCCAGGCCTCTCAGCTGCAGGTCTGTTGGAGTTTGCTGGAGGTCCCAGAAATAGTTTTCTTTCAAAAGTAATTGTAGATTCCAAGGACAGATACACTGGGCTGACCTCTGCCCAGTTTTGCAGGCTGGGACATCAAGATCAATGAGCATTCAGTGTCTAGCAAGGGCCCACTCTCTGCTTCATTGACGGTGTCTTCTCGCTGCATCTTCATGTAGCAGAAGGGGCACATCGTTTTTATTAAACTGAAAAAAATCATAGCAATTCTAATGGGTATAAAGTGGTATCTCATTGTGGTTTTCATTTGCATTTATGTAATAACTAATGATGTTGAACATCTTATCATATACTTCTTGGCCATTTGTATATCTTTTTGGAGAAATGTCTATTGTCTTTTGCCCTTTGTTAAAATTGGATTATTTGCATTTTTCTTGTTGAGTGGTAAGAGTTCTTTATATATTCTGGATATATTATTTACAAATATTTTCTCTCTATAGGTTGGCTTTTCACTTTTAAAATAGTCTTCTTGGATGCACACATTTTTAAATTTTGATTAAGTCCCATTGGTCTATGTTTTTACTTTCATTTATTGTGCTTTTGGTGCTATATCTAATAACTTACTGCCAAATCCAAGGCCATGAATATTTACTCCTATTTTTTTCTAAGAATTTTATAGTTTTAGCTCTTATATTTAGATTGTTGATCTATTTTGAGTTAGTTTTTGTGTATGGTGTGAGGTAGGGGCCCAGTTTCATTCATTTGCAGGTGGATATTCAATTGTCCCAGCAGGCCATATGCAGTTTTATTTGGGAGGTGTTGTGAGATGAACTTTCACTGTTTGCTGTGACTTTCCTGAGATGTGTGTTTTATGTTTATGGCCGTTTCTACAGTGCTGAAGGCTGAGCATTCCTCACACTCACAGAAATATGCATTAAAATTGAGAATATGACACCTCCTCTCCTTCCTTTATTTCCCTGGCTATATCAAAGAAAAGGTGCTTCAGTTTAAGGAAAAACTACAAAAAGCAGAGTAATGGGATAAAGTGAATTGGGATTAAGTTAGTCTAGATTCTGCATTGACTAAGGAAGTTTTCCCATTTCCCTGTCTGGAAGATTAATGCAGGTGTCACTAATTCTTTTTCTAGAAATGGGAAAGCTATGATACCAGGTGACTAAGTAAAAGTGACCTAGAAGACTGGTTAAAAATATAGATTCCAGGGGTCAACCCTCTGAAGTTTGTATTGAGACCTAAGCACCTGTATTTTCAAAAATGCTATATAAACACAATAATTCTATTGCACAGCTAGGCTGGAAATCTTTGAGTTCTCAAGTTTACTCCCTGAATTCTGCAAGATTATTGAAACCTATTTGAATGAATAATATTTATCCACATCATTTGCTAACTAACAATTTTTGTTTGTGTATATCTTTTTCTTCTTTGATCCTGTAAGATTGGGAAGTGTTACTGTTCTTATTTATCTTTATATCCTCAATGACATCCAGTAAGTATTAAAAGGCTATCATAAATTTAAACCGTAAATATTGTGCACATTTTGTCAGCTTATATGAAGATATTGGTGTGTTAGTTTCTACACTGACTAGAGTTTCAAGGGTTACCTGTTTATCTGTTTGTTTTTAGTTTCATGATAGGATTTCCTTCTCTTGCTTTTTGCCCTTCTCTTTAGCACTTCTTGTTTGCTACCCTACATTGTATCTCTTGCTGTATAGACTTGCATGTTGCTACACGATCCCAAAAGAAACTTGTCTTGGTGTGATTGGCTGGGTGGTTATCTCAGCTAAGGAGGATTAGAAAACTCACATCTCTGGACTCTCAGTCCTAAGCCCTTTTCACTAACTGACAATTCTGCCTCTCTTCCATCCTGTGAATAAGAGAAAGTTTTCCTTTTTCTCCTTTTCAAAAACACAGCCCTTTTGCAGCTCCCTCACTTCCCATGGAGATGGTCCATTTGAGCCCTCAGGGTCTTGCATGGCAGAATGGCTGCAGTTGCAGAGATAAAGCCAATGAAACAAATGCCATCAAGTCTTTCTCTAAGCTCCTGGTAAACGGATTTACATGCAGCAGCCATGGAACAAACTGAAACAGTAATTGACCTCGTGGACTGCCTCTGATTATTCAAGGTGCAGTAATCTCAAGGGGCCTCATTCATCTCTTTGCTGGAGTCTTAGCTGACTGCAGAATAATTACAGGGAATTCAAGTTAAGGCTTAGAAAGACTTGTCACTGGCCGGTGGATACCACTGGCTTAATAAAACTGAACACACTTAGAATTAGCATAAGCCAGTTACAAGTATTCTTGTGTTTAAATGCAAATTATTAAAACACCTATTACCAAATAAGAAAAGTTTTTAAAATATTAGGGATTCCAAGCACAGGAATGTGTGGTGAACTTGAGAAGCTTGATGCCAATTATGTGCTTCACTGAATTAAAATGAATTGGTGTTACTAATGAAGACTCAAATGATCTACCCTCCCAGCCCAATCTTTTACCACCTCACATTTCATTAGAAATGAATTTTTCAATTAAGATCTGTCTTCCCACACTTACCAAATTGAGTTTTCCAGACTTATGATTCAGTCACAGAAGCTTAAGGAACATGGTAGGTGCTGAGGTTGGGAGCAGGGGTGGTGGGTCATGCCCAATTGGCCAATAGAGACATGACAGCTTGCCAGTCTCTAATACAATATTTCTACTTCTTTCAGAGTAATGTGGTCCCTTGTCTAGGTCCCTGACATTGAATAATTTATTCAATAAAATGGTGCAATTTAAAGGAAAGTGAATGAAGATGTTTACATTGGTGGCAGCTTTCTAAAATAATATTTGCAGTTGAAAATTGAAATGAATCTGTCATTAACTATTTTGGTAAGAAGAGAAGGAAATAGATAGGAATCAAAATGTTTGAAGATGTATTATTATTCTTACTTAGATTATCCTACAAGGAGCTTTTCCATGCAAATGAGAAAACATTCAATTTGAAATTCTTCCTAGAAACTAGATTGATTTGCAAATGTTTGACACATTAATAATTTCATAAGTAAATAGAGTTATAATTTAAGGCATGATTCAGCATTTCTCAAAAAAAAAAGAATCAGTAGTATATTTATTCTTTTTTGGTGATCTCTTTAACAGTGGTGTAATTATTCTGGAGGCTCTTTTCCACCCTCACTTCCTCCTTTCTTTCACTTTGATTCACCAACCTTGCCAGGTTACTCATGATTGTAAAGAAATGCAATGGCAGAGATAGTTGTTTCCTCCAGTTTATATAACCATTTGCCTCTCCTTGGCTAATACCAGCTGGACAAAACTTGTTTTTTGGGAGGAGTGGGGTGATTTATTCATACTTCTCCCCCTTGGATTTTGTTATGTGTGCTTTTCATTTCACTACCAATTTTCCCGTAAGATCACTGTAAATAGTGGCTGGCCTGGCTCCTGGTAAGCTCCTTTTTTGCCTGTTTGCTACTGTATCTGCAGTGCTGTGAGCGGTGCCTAGTCCACAGTGACTGCTTAACAGTCCCTCCCCGACTCAGTGGGTGGGCCTTCTTACCTGTCAGCCCCTCCACTCTGTCTCCTCAGCTCTCATGCCCAGCACAACCCGCATCCATCCCTACTTCCAGGCTGGGCTCACACTGTTTTCCCCACCAAACCTGATTCCCTCCTCTTCTCTGTCTAACCAAATTCCACCCATATGACTGCACTTGAGTTCCGTGTCCTCCATGATGGCTTCTGAGATGACGCTCATCCACAAAGCCTAGGAGTTTGTAGTCTGACTGTATCTCACTATAACTTGTTCGGTTTTGTTTGGTTCTTTCAGGATTTCATGAGAAATAGTGTTTGTTCTCAGTTCTCATGGAGTTTGGGCCTACGTGAACAGCCTAGGCCCTATGGCAGACTCTCGAATGGCCAGCGTCGTCCCTCAAGAGCTTGGCATTGCACAGATGCTTGCATTGGACGTCTGTTAAGTGCTCACTGCTGACTGTTCTCAAGTAGAGGAGGATTATAGATCAAACTAAAAAATGTACCGTTGACAGTTCTCTGTCCTCAGTACAGCAGAGAGTGATGCCTGCTTAGCTTTGAACCCCGCATTTATTTCGGTCATGACTTCAGGAGGTCAGTCAGGTCAAAACATGGCAGTCATTTCCTGTCTCATTTTTCCCAAGCGGCTGCTCATCTTTCTGGATAGCTCAGCAACCTCTACAGAGAAGCCATGTTCTTAATGTGTGAGTCTTTCCTGGTGTCCTGTGTCCTAGCTCCAGCCTAGTTGTCTCTTTCTGCCTCAGGTTGCCTTTGTCTTTCCCACACTCTTCCCAACTGTAATATATCATCATGTTTTTTAAAGGTACATTTTTTAGTTTGGTCTCTAATCTTCCTCTACTTGAGAACAGTAACCCTCTATTAAAAAATGATTTCATAATTTGTACTTTTCACTGTCAGACTGATCTTCCCTTCATTTAGTTCAAATTACTGAGCTTCTATTGTGTTGAGCTACTCTTTCACCCTTAAGTTTCAAAAATGCCCTTTTCTGTCAAATCTTATTTAGGCAGGTTAACAGAAGAATATGACTATACATAGACTGTTGACACCCAAACAGGATCCTTGAAATAGATGACCTTGGATATGGGCTTTGAGATAATTAGCAAAAAGAGAATTGACAGAAACCAACTGCTTCCAAGATAGCACAGGGTCACAATCAAAAGAAGGGCAGCAGAAATTGAATAGACAAGCTGATCAAAGACAAAAACTTACCAAGTGACCTGGATTTTTAAAGAAAATCATTGGGGCACCTGTTATTCATTAAATAGTAGTTCCACGGGTGTGTATTGAGCAACTACTGTATTATTTGCACTATTCTAGTTGCTGGTAATACAGCAAAATGAGACAGGGTCACTCACATGCTCTAGTCTAGTGGGTAAGTGTCAGGGTAGGAGTAATGGTAGGACACATCAAAATGCATTGTTCCTGGGAGGGAGGGTGGCAAATTTCATTTTGGATTCATGTGTCTGATACTTGGTACTTGTATATCCCAGTAGGACTGCTCAGTAGTTGTTGATTTCCCCATTAGAGATGGTTGAGCTGGCGCCACATGGACAGCTGCTAGTGATCCTGCAGAAGGGATGGCACCTTGGACCCTTAGATGAGCTCACAGAGCATATGAATGACACCGTGTTTATTCCCACAATTCTTCCGTAGTATCTTCTCTTCAATAATGCTCATGGAAGGGGATGGGAGATTCTGTGAGCATCCAAGCCCTTGGCCACAGCACCCTCCTCTCAGAAGCAGAAATCATGAAGGAGATGCCTGTTTCCTGTAACCCAGGTTATGAAGGCAATTAAAATGTTCCATGGCTTATTTCCTGCCTTTCCATACAACTTTGCAGATTGACATCTGAAATGGTCTCCAACCTGGCAGCTGTCTTCTAATTATCTAAAATGAAAGAAAGGAGAAATGTTTGTATTTCTTAGGAAAAGAATGCACACTGCTTCTTAAAAAAAGCAAAGACATCAAGGGAAAACAGATTCATTGCTTAGGTAAATTTAAAACGATAATTTTTTTTCCTTGTTACCGAATCACAAAGTCAACACAGAAAATTCGGGCAGTACAGATAAGGAAAGTACAATAAAAATCACCTGTGATTACACCATCCTGACATAACTGTTAGCAACATTTTGGCTTTCCAATTTTTTTCTATGAACATATTGAGACATATTTTATAATAGTATGTTTATACTAAGCATACTATTCTGTAATCTTTTTTCGTTTAATAGTTGTAGTCAGCATGTTTTGTTTAATCAGTTTGGAGGTACAAATGAATTAACAATACTTTTAAAATTGAAGTTAAATTAATTTGTGGCTCTAATACATAAGAATATCTCTCTTTCATTTCTCTTTATCTATCTATCTATCTATCTATCTATCTATCTATCTATCTATCTATCTATCTATCATCTATCTACCTATCTATCTATCATCCCAAGGGTATTTTTTTAACTTTAGGAGTCAGTCTTTGTCACTGTCCTGCCATGGAGAAAGGACCAGAAAACCTGTGCAGCCAGTGGAACAGCTCCATTATCTTGGCCATTGTTGCTCTTGTTGCCACATGTTATTGCTCCAGTGTTGTTTTCTGACCACTACCAAAAGACTTGCAGTAATGCGGACACACTTGTCATGGACGCTGGTGGTCCTGCAGCCTGGCATAGTTATGGTCCACTGAGGTAAGTGTTTTTTGGACTAATGCACCTGTCAGCTCAAGAATAATTTCTCCGGATGCTGTTGGAGGGGAAAGAGGAAGATGTTTTACCTATATCATCACATTCAGCTGGGTTGTACCATATGTGCAGGCTCCTACACACACACACACACACACACACAGAGTTGCAGGTTGGGTTATTTAGAAGAAGATAGTAAGATGGAGTTCAAGGTGTAAGATGTTTATTGGGGATCAACACCTGGAAAGGAAGAGGAAAGAAGCAAGATTGGACAGAGGGAGAAGTTGAATGGCAATTCAGACCTGAAAAAGCCAACATCAACCTCTCAGAACTGTCCTATGTAGGGATGAAATGGCTGAAGCTTTATGTGCCTGACTCTCTCAGTCACTGGATGTGAGCTGTCCCAGGGAAGGACATGATCTTGGGCAAGGTAGCTCTCTGAAGCTGAGGCACACCCTAAAGGAGTTCTCATTTCCTCCAGAGCTGGGCAGCAAGTCCCTCCTTGAAGGGAGATCTGGGTGATGCATCTCTGGTCCACCACAATCCACAGCCTCCTTAGCTCTACTTCATATATTTTGGGGGAGCAGCTCTTCCTGGATACCTGGATCTCTCTCTGATGGAAAACTTAGAAGAGGGAGTTTAGTAGGATGAACTACAGTCTCTGTCGCTGCAGTTGTTCTTGGGGCTGGAATTGATATTCATTGTCTCCCTCCTCCACTGTTCATTCTAGATTCCTCTCAATCTCATGACCAGATCTTCTAGGCTCAGTGGCTTGAACCAGATCCTGAGGGGTCTGAGACCTTGGTAGCCATGCCCTTCTCAGGAAGGATTGTTATGTCTGCTCATTTAACTCATAATTGGGCAAGGGAAGACCAAAAGATGCCCAGATGAATTACTGGGTGTGATTCATTCATATTCTTCCTTGCTCCCGTTGTGTAGCAATAGTCTTACCTTAGTCTCATGAGCAGGGACAGTTACCCTACCAGGATGGTGACTCTTCTTTTTGCCTACTTGCCTTTGAATATAAGGAGCCCAGAGTGTCCAGGAAGTACCTTATAGTTCAATGGGGCTTTTGCTGCTCCCATGGTAAGTGTCCTCTGTCTGGAGACCAGATTTCTCTATCCCTGTAGAGCACATGCCCTACATGCTCTATAGGGATAGGGATCTGGTCTCTAGAGAGGGGACAGGAAACCCAAATTTCCTAAGTAGGTCATTGGGAGTAATGGTAAGGGGAGTCATTCCTATTTCAACACCCTGGTTCCCAGACCCATGTATTCCTTCTACTCGGGAGACAGTGCCATGTAAAGTTCTTTGATTTAATGTCAATATGGCATCCTGGATGATGGATCTCATTCTTTCAGAGATTTGCTTCTGAGATGACACTTCCCCTGTGCCTTCAGTAGGCTTATCAAATACTGTGTCAGGCCTGCAGCTCTGGGTAGTTGTAGAATAGGATATGACAAGTGGAATTTGTGACCATAGACCCACCTCTATACCTGGTGCAGAAAGAATGCCTCACCATGAAACACTAAGTGACCATGTGTCTGGATCTTTCCACCATTAGTTAGGTTCTATCAGAGCTGCCAAAACCTAAGACCGAGTAGGCCCAGCCATTTGTTGTAACATGGAAGTGGTATATCCTGGAATGAGCATGAGCAAGACCAATAGGCATTCCAGCTCTTCCAGAGCCCTGTAGCATGCCAGGAGATGGTTTTCAAATGGTATCTAATTTTCTGGGGTAGATGACATGGCCTAGTTCTAGAACCCAAGCTTGTGGCATCTACCACAGCTGTAACAAGAGTCCGTCCTCAGTTTGTATCACAACTCTAATCTTACCCCTAACCTCAGGGGCAGATGGCATAACTTTGCTCTTCAATCCCAGGGGACTGTACTGTGATTCTTCCAGTGGAGCTTGCCACTAACTCCACAAGATGTCTTGCCCACCCTTGATACCTCCATGACCACAAGGTCTGTGGGATCCTATGGCCTATGTGGCAGGACTGCTTTCACTGTAGCTTGCATCTGCTGCAGAACTCCTTCCTGCCGTGGGCTCCACCCAAGCTGGCTGCTCTTTGGTCACCAGATATAGGGGTTGGAACAATATTCCTTATTCGTGGGTGTATGGAATTTTCCAATTGAACTTTTTACAATGGCGGAAATATCCTATACCCACGTTGTTAATGTGGTAGCCATTAGCGACTTGTGGCTATTAAGCAATGTGGTTAGTACAAGTGAGGAACTAAAATTTAAATTTAAATTTAAACTTGCATAGCTGCATGTGGCCAATGGCTACTGAACTGGACATTGTAGATGTAGAATATGCTGACTTCAGAACCCAAAAAAGCTCATCAGGTGTTGTGCTTCCTTCTTTGTGGTAGAAAGTACAAGAGGCAATAACTTATTTTTAACTTTAGGGAAGGGATGCCCCAACATGTCCTTGATCTCTATTCTCTTAAACTTTTACTAAAGTAGTGGCCTCTGGCTTTATCTCCCAACTTATGGAGTGCATATGTCTTACAAAGTCTAAGTGATAGCTACTTCTTGTGTATGTAATACAATCAGCATATTATCCATGTGATGGATCAGTGTAATATGAGATGTCCAGATGGTTCGGATTTTTTGATTTGTAGTATGATAAAGTACAAAGAGTTAATATAGTCCTGGGGGAATATAGTAAATAAATAATGTCCATCTTACACAAATGCAATTGTTAATGATTCTTTCTATTAATTCAATCACCAAATCAATAGCCCCAGACCACGTATATGATGCTGTGTTAATTTGCTCTAGTAGATACCATATCTGACATAGTGGCTCCAGTTGGGCTACTATTGGGTCAAGCTTGTGATAGTTTACATCACAGATTAGCAAATTATAGCTTTTGCTGCCTTTTTTTGTAAATAAAGTTTTATTGGAACACACAGCCATGTTAATTTGCTTGTATACTGTCTGTGGCTACTTTCACACTGTAGTGGGAGAGTTAAATTTTTGTGACAGAGCCTGTATAGGCCATAAAACCTGAAATATTTACTGTCTCTTTATAGAAAAAATTTGCCAACTCCTGGTTTACATCAATTGTTCACGATCCATGTAGTTTTTTTAGGGGCCAGAGTGGTGAATTAAGAAGAGTCATTCTCAGTAAACTATTGCAAGGACAAAAAACCAAACACCACATGTTCTCACTTGTAGATGGGAATTGAACAATGGAACACATGGACACAGGAAGGGGAACATCACACTCTGGGGACTGTTGTGGGGTGGGGGGAGGGGGGAGGGATAGCATTAGGAGATATACCTAATGCTAAATGACGAGTTAATGGATGCAGCACACCAGCATGGCACATGTATACATATGTAACTAACCTGCACATTATGCACATGTATCCTAAAACTTAAAGTATAATAATAATTTAAAAAAAAAAGAAGAGATATTATGAGGGCAACTACTCTTTGATACTTTAGATCTTTAAGAGTTAGTCTAGACTGGGTGCAGTGGCTCACACTTATAATCCCAGCACTTTGGGAGGCTGATCACTTGAGGTGGAGGATCACTTGAGCCCAGGAGTTTGAGACCAACCTGGGCAACATAGGGAGACCTTGTTTCTACAAAACACAAAACAAAAAAATTAGCCAGGTGTGGTGGCACACGCCTGTAGTTTTAGCTACTTGGGAGGCAGAGGTGGGAGGATCGTTTGAGCCCAGGGGTTCGAGGTTGCAGTGAACTATGACCATGCTATTGCACTTCAGCCTGGGTGACAGAGTGAGTGAGATTCTATGTTTAAAAAAAAAAAAGTAGCTTTAATTTTCACCTTCCCTGCACAACACCTCTCCTCTTCTGTATTCTGATGTATGCAACTGCTAACTATACATCTGTACATTTGGCACTGGGGAAATGACCATCAGGTTAATCTGTGGGCCTAGTGGATCCACTATAGGCCAGACTTTGGCTTTGTTTCCATATATACCTGTCATCCATATGTCCCCACTCTAACAGGGGTTCGTGGTAACACTCCAGATCTCCAGGTATCAGCTCAGGTCTTCAAACCTTATGTCTCATAGTCCTGCCTATTCTCCTTCCCCCAGTGTGGTTTAACCCCAATAAGTGGCAACAGGTCCCTTTGGAGGAAGGATCAGAGCAATCATTATAGTTAGTGTATACGTGCTGTGCTATCTGGGCAGCCTCTTTAGTCAATGGGTTCTAGATCTGAAGACTTGTTCAGGTATGGGAACTGCATAAGATACCATGCCTTTTTTGGGGTGACGAGGTGACCCTAGTCTTCTAGTTATTCATCTTTTATTTTTTTCTGCTGCTACAAACTCAGTGGTACTCATCTATTTTGCCTCTAAGGATTCAGTGTTCTACTAACCATCCATATAACTCTCTACAGTTCAGGCTTCTTGGCTGCCATGCCAACTTTGCCATTAACTGGTTACCATTACTATAATCCTCTATTTTTAAGCTGTTAACCACTACCATTTGTCCTCTATTATTTTGGGGTCCCATCATCTCCATTGGTAGTAGGGAGCCAAGTTCCATAATAGCCTCTCCTCCATAATAGCCTCTCCTACCATCACCTCTGGCCTACAGAGGAGCATCACAACGGCATGTTAGTACTGGTACCCCTCTCACCAGCACATTTACCGGCACATAGTCTTGGTAAATGGTGTGTCCTGTGGGTCTTTCAATGCAATGTAATCACTAAGCATGGCTTCTGGCCATACATAGTATCTCCATTTCAGCTAACCACTTCCATGAGTCTTTAAATCTCTTCCTCTACCATTTGCCATGGCATTCCCAGCATTACAACTTTGATCAGGGAGCACAATCATTTTCCTCATGTTCCCAGGAGCCATTTTCATAGCAAGCTTGTACCATCTCTTGGGGTCCTTGCCAAGGTGTTAAATTCTGTTTCTTGGGAGACCCAACTTCAAGTGAATGAACACTTCCCTATTTTAAGTTTATGTTTCAGTCATCTTGATTAAGCACCATCAGAATCCAGTCCCAAATGTACTACCCTGGTACATGCTGGTATGTGATAGAACATGCTGGCTAAATTTGCAGCTCTTTGGGGGTATAACCCCTTTCCTTCATTATTAGGCCCAGCATATTCTCAGCTGGGTAATGCTGTGATTTAACTATAGTTATAGGCCTAAAGGCCAGGAGGGGTGGTGGGGCAAATCTTATAGCATTGCTGGGAAGAAGTCTTTGGGTTGTCTTCCAGAATGAGGTGGAAAGGGAAGTGCTAGCATTTAGTAGGGAAGGTGGGTTATTTTTGCAGGCTCAGAAAATTTAGAGGAGTCTATGGAGTCAATATGTTCTGGACATCCTTCCAGATGTCTCTATGGCATGTCAGGTCCTAGGTTTTCTCAAGTAGGACCCTGAGCTTGACATAACAAATCTGCATTTCTTGGGCAAGTTTAGTTACTTGGACCATTAAACCCTGGCCTTAATCCTTGTTCTCTGTCCTTGCACTGCAGGAGATAAGGACTTTTTATGTTACCAAAGAGGTCCTCTGGCTTTTGCTTTTCCTTCTTTTTTTTTTTTTGAGACGGAGTTTTGCTGTGTCACCCAGGCTGGAGTGCAGTGCGATCTCGGCTCACTGCAAGTCCGCCTCCCGGGTTCACACCATTCTCCTGCCTCAGCCTCCCAAGTAGCTAGGACTACAGGTACCCGCCACCACGCCTGGCTAATGTTTTGTATTTTTAGTAGAGACAGGGTTTTGCCGTGTTAGCCAGGATGGTCTCGATCTCTCGACCTCATGATCCGCCCGCCTCGGCCTCCCAAAGTGCTGGGATTACAGGTGTGAGCCACGATGCCCAGCCTCCTCTGGCTTTTATACTTGGTTTCCAATTGCTTGTTAATTTCCTTTAGCATCTAGTTTATTTCTGAGGAGCATCAATGCACCTTGGTAATAACCACCTAATCTCATTTTTCTTGTAGTTATTTCTGTCTTTCATGATATATTGCACCAATGGATGGTAGGAGGCAATTTGTACATTGTCTTTCTTTTTATTAAACATCAAGTTAATTTTATAATTACTTTTGTGGATTGGTCTTCCCTGCTTTGTGAGTTCTCAAGGGCAAGGTCAGATCACATTCAGTTTTGTATAAATGTCTTTTAAATAAGTGCATGAGATATTTTGTGGGCAGGTGGTTTTTGGAGGTCTCTTAAATTTTATCATGGATTACTATCTCTACTACCTATAAGTAGGAGTAGCTTAACATCTATTATAAAAGTTCTATAAAAGCATTAATAAAAAGAATTCTGCCTTTTTTGTTCTCAAATCAAATTAGATTTGGACCCACAATATTATCATTTACTGGACTCTTCAAGATAATAAAAGTCAGTCTCAACCTGGATGAAAGTTGAAGTCTTCTAGAATGTTCTAAGTCACTCAAAAGATAATGCTTTTTAATATAAAGACTAAAATAGATTTTGAGATGTTAATGCCATGTGGTTTCTCTGTAGTATGACTTTTAAATAATAGCGATTGCTAATATGAAAAAAGTATCTAGTATGTGCCAGGCACTTTGGAAGTGTATTAACTCATTTAATCCTCATAACAATCCCATGAAGAGATTACTGTCACTATTTCCATTTTTTAATGAGGAAATTGAGGCACAGAAAATTCATAGTTTCCCCAAGTTCACAGTGTAACTCAATAGATTTTGAACTCAGGTGGTTTGTTCCAGAGCTGTACTATGTCTATGCTATATTTTAAACAAAATTATCCAACACATGCAAAATAGTTCTCATTAAAAAAATCTAGAGCCTATTAAGAAAAATTTATCAACTCATATAATTTTCAGAAAGTCTACATGGTTTGTGGATTTTTTTTTTTTTAACATTGTAAAATCCAGATTTAAAACAAACCTCGGTTGGGCACAGTGGCTTATGCCTGTAACCTCAGCATTTTGGGAGGCCAAGGCAGGTGGATCACTTGAGGCCAGGAATTCAAGACCAGCTTGGGCAACATGGTGAAACTCAATCTCTACTAAAAATACAAAAATTAGCCAGGCAGGGTGGCGCATGCCTGTAGTCTCAGCTACTAGGGAGGCTGAGGCAGGAGAATCACTTGAATGTGGGAAGTGGAGATTGCAGTGAGCCAAGGTCGCACCATTGCACACCAGCCTGGATGACAGAGCGAGACCTTTTCTCAAAACAACAACAAAAACAAAAAACAGAAAAAACCCCAAACCTCATACAACACAGAAAAATTCTTGTCTCAGTGTGGTGATAGACCTATTGAAGTATCCTTTCAGCCAAAGGCACATCCTTTGTCTCATTGATGTCTTGACTTAAAGACTGAAAGTGATGTGCAGCACCCGGGAGGGATGATGAACCATATCCCTTCCTTTTATTAATGTCCAAACCTGCCCTCAGTGCCTCTGGCCTCTGCACCGGCTCTTTCATGTAATCACACATATCACTTGGTCACCAAGCTGATCTGTGTCCCACTAACAGGCATTTTGGGATGATAATTAGGACTTAGTGCATGGCCCTTATTCTAACGGGACTGACCCAGCTGTAACATACCATAAATACAGCCCGACAGAAGCCTGAAAATTGGTTCTGGTTGATTGTCTTTACATGGTCCTATGACTCATTGCTTAATTTCTTCCCGATGCTTTTACCATAAAGTTTCTGTAGCCTATAATTTTTGTAAAAAATGTATCTAATTCTTGGTGTTATAAAAGGTTTGGGGTAAGTAATCACATTTATTGGACATCTCAATCCTAGGACTGCATTTATAGTTATTACCCATTTTTAAAAACAGATGTGACAGGCTTAGTTTCTTTGTTTGGTGTTTTTATCAATATAAAATATATGGAATACCTATGATGTAAGAAAAACATAAATGTAATTCTGTCTGCCTTCCCCTTGTATCAAGTACTCGTTCTGTAAGAGTCTCTTTTAGAAGATTGGTCTCCCTGTTTATCATACTGTGGTCAGATGTAGCACTTTTGATGTAGATCCCAGAGCAGCAATAATGCTGAAAACATTTCCAATCCTTGTGTTTTTTCAACATGAGGCAGAATCTTAGCACATGCTCTAGCCAGCTGCTTTCAGCTCTTACCCACCTCTGTGTGTGTCTCCATGAGGCTTATGGACATGATAAACACTGATAATTTGCATTGAATGCCATTGTGGACAGCTACACTCCAGCCACTGTTCTTCCCCATCTAGTTCCACTCTCCAATCCAAAGTTTCATACCATCTTTGAGAAGGTTAGCTCCCCAAAGACAAAGTTATTCTATCACTGTGTGCCCAGGAACCAGAACAGTGCCTGGTATGTGGCAAAGGGTCAGTGATTGTTGAACCAAACGTGGCACATCCACAGAAACATGCTATTTACTTCTTTTTTCATTTTCATAGGGGTCTTGGTTATTATCATTGTCATAGGTTTATTACTTGGAATATCTTTTTAGTTAACTATATATTTTCTTCTAAAAATAACATGCATTACTTATAGACATTTTGGAAAACAAAACATTTAATAAGAGTGAATACACATAACCTCACACATTAACACTATTTTTGATTTGGTATCATAATTTCTAGATGGTTCGAATACTGTTTTTCACTTGGTATCATGTTGGGAACATTCCCTTTTACCATTAAATAGTCTTCTAGCATAATTTTTAATCGTTGCCTGCAGATTTAATCATGTAGAATGTAATTGCTTCCCTTCGTCCTTCCAGATCCGCTGTCCATGTAACTCCAGCCTCTGTACCTGGCTCTTTGCCTCTGGAGGCTGAACTCATGGACAACATCAAGGAGTTCCTGTGCCTTTCAGCTTCATCTTGGATTTGGGAAATGGGAAGCCCTGACAGGAGATGGGAGGAGAGGGAGGGAGAAAGGAGATAAAGGGCAGGTATTTTATTTCTTTGACTCTCTCCCTGGCAGGTCACCTCAAGTTGGCTAGGTCTTTCCACCAGGCACTCTACTGGGTTGTCTCCTTCTGAGGTCCAGTAACTATTCCTCCCCTCATCCTTTTAGGCTAAGGAGTTTCAGCCAGGATTACTACACTGTCTGTTGTCGTTTTTCCACACGCATCTTTGTAAACACTCTCTTGAATACCCTGTAATGTTATCTCTTCCTGTTGAGAACTTGACTCATCTATACCAGAGTTTAATTTTCTGGGATTGCATCATTATAAATATTATTTCAGTTGAACCTACTTGTACCTAGATCCTGGTGCTTATTTCTGATTTTTTTCAAAGGATAACTTCTACAAATAGAATTACTTGGTCAAAAATTAAAAGAAAATTACGGATCCAAATTGCCTGTCAATGTGAAATACTTACTGTAGGTAGTTACTTGCTATTTGTTTTGGAAAGTCCAGCATCTAAATCTCATTCTTGTTGTGGGTGTCCCTTAAAGTTTTAATATTGTTGATAAGCCAGGCCCTGTCTCATGTTAGAAATGAAGGACGCAGATATTTCCTCCTTCTGCTCCTTGGCAACAAAATCTAGGGTACATCAAGCAGGTTTTGCCATTGGATGCTCTATTGGGCCACTTTTTTGCATTGCTATAAAGAAATACCTGAGACTGGGTAATTTATAAGAAAAGAGGTTTAGTTGGCTCACAGTTCTGCAGGCTGTACAGGAAGCATAGTGGCATCTGCTTCTGGGGAGGCCTCAGGAAGCTTCTGATCTTGGTGGAAGGCAAAGGAGGAGCCAAAGCAGGAGCAAGAGAAAGAGTGGGGAGGTGCTACACATTTTTAAACAACCAGATCTCACGAGAACTCACTATCGTGAGGACAGTATCAAGAGGATGGTACTAAACCATTCATGAGAAATCCATCCCCATGATCCAATCACTTCTCACCATGCCTCACCTCCAACATTGGGGATGACAATTCACCATAAGATTTGGACAGGGACACACATCCAAACTATATCAGATGTTCTTGCTCTGGACTTGAATCTGAGAGGGATATAGCTCTGAAGACATGGGGGATACTTAGAGATTACACACAGAGAGGTGGGATGTTGCAAGTGCAGTGGCAACGGCTACCATGGGAGCAGAAACCACCGCATTGTTGAGCGTTCCATGCAGGCGGCCCGGCTGTTGTCCTGGCTGAATATGCCCTTGCTTTGCGACCAAAGCTCTCATGGTTCCTATCTATGCTCTAAGACTGGTTCTTCAGTTCCTCATCACTTCTTTATGAACTGACCCTTTGGTCATTATGAAATGCCCCTCTTTATTTTTCAAAATACTCTTTGTTCTGAAGTTGACTTTGTCGGATATTAATATAGCCTCTCTAGCCTTCTATGCTTAATGTTTTCATGGCATGTTTTTCCATCTTCTTTTAAATGATCTGTATTTTTATATTTAAAGTAGATTTCTTAAGATCTACTCTGTTGGCAAATTTCAAGTATACAAACAATGTTGTGAACTATAGTCATATTGCTGTATATTATTCATCTTGCATAGCTGAAACTTTGTGGATCTTAAATGTTTTCACTACCTGCACACACACACAAACACAAGAATGGTTTTATGTGATATATATGTTAATTAGCCTGATTGTGATGATTTTACGATGTATACATATATCAAAACATTAAGTTGTGCACCTTAAATATATAGAATTTTTATTTCCAATTATATCTCAATAATGCTGGAAAAATGGATTTCTTGTTATTCTCCCATGGCTGGAAGCAGGAGGTTGTCTTCCTGTCACTTTTATGAACTGCTTTGCTCCTCCTTGTAAGTTTCTTATCTGTTTCATCAGCTAGAATTCATTTCTATGGTTTGCAGTCAAGAAACTTGACTGGTACAATATTGGTACTGGGAGAAGATGGTAAGTAACAGATCATCAGGGAAAATTGGGGAATCTAGGCTTGGTAACTGGGGAAAAAGATGGTAAATCCCTTTGTATTAGGGAATGGTCTTCTGGTAGCACAGGGCACGCAGTGGTGAAACAATCTCTTGTGATCACCTGGAATTAAGAGCTCATTAAATGCAAAGTTTTGAGAAGTCGAATGGCTTTGGGATGGAGGAGTATGAAAAGGGTGAACATTTAAAATATTGTGGAATGGTCTGACATAGCCAGACCTCACGGGAAGGGAGACAGTAGGATAAATATCACAGCCTTCTGCTCCAGCTCCTCTGGGACTGTCATGTTAGGGCTCCCACTTTTCCTGATTTGTTATATTTTGAGTACTTTCTGATTGTGTAATGTACACAATAAATTTCATGTTGTAGATACTGGATTTTGTTAATTTCTTTTGATGAGTCATGTTTCTTTCCTTTTAGCACACAATTAACCTGGTTAAATATGAGCTCCAAACTATTTTTGGTTTTTAACCAGTTCCAAACTCTCTTTAGGTTCTTTACCTCTAGCTGAGGTGCTTTGAGTCTGCTCCATGCATGTGTGATTCAGGAGCCAGCCAGAGATGTGGGCAGGCAGAATTTGGGTATCCCCCTCCTGGCTGTTTTTCCTCCCAAATTTCCCTTTTCTTCAGTGACTGCGGTTGCCCTGGACTCAGTACTCAGATTTCTTTTTTTTTTTTTTTTTTTTTTTTTTTTTTTTTTTTTTTTTTTTTTGAGACGGAGTCTCGCTCTGTCGCCCAGGTGGGACTGCGGACTGCAGTGGCGCAATCTCGGCTCACTGCAAGCTCCGCTTCCCGGGTTCACGCCATTCTCCTGCCTCAGCCTCCCGAGTAGCTGGGACTACAGGCGCCCGCCACCGCGCCCGGCTAATTTTTTTTGTATTTTTAGTAGAGACGGGGTTTCACCTTGTTAGCCAGGATGGTCTCGATCTCCTGACCTCATGATCCACCCGCCTCGGCCTCCCAAAGTGCTGGGATTACAGGCGTGAGCCACCGCGCCCGGCCAGTACTCAGATTTCTAAGGCCAGAAAAAATGTGTTTATTTTTCACTGTACCTGCTGTTCCATGCAAGCTAACTGAACCTACCCCCAGGCTAGAAGCAGCAGCATGGAGTACCTACTCCATGTAATGTCTTCCCTGGTGCATGGACTCCTCCCTAGACTCTACCTGCCTTCCATCACCCTCTTGTGCCTCCATGTAGCTGCTTCTTATAATGTGTCCATATTTTACAGTAGCTGTCTGTAAGGGTGTTTATTCTGGTAGAATCTTTATTTGGCCATTACTGGAAGCTCAGTCCTTGTTTTTAAAGCATGTCTTTTTTTCATATTTCTAGAATGTCCCTCCCTACTTATTAAGGATGCACTATAACCTTCAAAATGCTTTCAAGCTTGCTGTGAAAATCTGAGCCCCTGAATGTTACATGTTGAGGTGGCATTAAAGATTATTTAGCTGAACTTCTTCATTGCACAGATGAAGAAACTGAGGCCTTGAGGAGGCAAGTAATATATCCGCAAAGAGGGGCTGTCCTGCCTGGGAAGATGAGCGACACATGGGTTTTCCGAGAAGCGACACATCTGAAGAGTGAAAGGTAATTTGTAAAACCTGTTGGGGAGAAACTTTTTCTCTGGTGACTCTCTGCAGTGGTGATAAGGGTATTATAGATTTAGAAGCTTGAAATGAGGAAGAGAAAGGATTTCTTTGGAAATCTTGTCTGAAACTGCCATAAATTTTAGAAACATCCAGTTGGAAAACACATCAAACA